>NC_000005.10:139453659-140078659 GCF_000001405.40 Homo sapiens
GTGTGGGGCATGTGTATAGTATGGGTTGTGTGTATGGTGTGTGATGTGTGGGGTGTGTGTGGTGTATGCATAGTGTGGGGTGTGGGGAGTGTGGTGTGTTTGTGGTGTGTGTGTGTGGTGTGTATAGTACAGGGTGTGTGTGGTGTGTGATGTGTGGGGGATGTGTGGTGTGTGGGTATGTGTGTGTAGTGTGGGAGGTGCAGTGTGTGGTGTGTTTGAGGTGTGTGTGAGGGTGGTGTGTACAGTATAAGGTGTGTGGTGTGTGGTATGTGGGGTGTGTATGAGATGTGTGGGTGTGTGTGTAGTGTGGGATGTGGGGCATGTGGTATGTTTGAGGTGTGTTGGGGTGTGTGTATAGTATGGGATATGTGTGGTGTGTGGAGTGGTGGTGTGTGTGTGTAGTGGGGTGTGTGGTGTGTTTGAGGTATGTGTGGGGTGTGTGTGTGATGTGTGATGTGTGGGGTGTGTGGTGTGTCTGATGAGTGGGGTGTGTGTGTGTGTGGTGTGTGGGTATGTGTCTGTAGTGGGGTGTGGGGTGTGTGGTGTATTTGAGGTGTGTGGGAGTGTGTGTGTGGGGGTCGTGTGGTGTGTGAGATGTGCGTCTAGTGGGGTGTGTGGTATGTGGTGTGTTTGAGGTGTGTGGGAGGCGTGTATAATATGGGGGTTGTGTGTGATGTGTGATGTATGTAATGTGTGTGGTGTGTGGTGTGTGGGTGTGTGTAGTGAAGTGTAGGGTGTGTGGTGGGTTTGAGGTGTGTGTGGGTGTGTGTAGTGAGGTGTAGGGTGTGTGGTGGGTTTGAGGTGTGTGGGGGTGTGTGTGTGATGTGTGAAGGTGTATGGTGTGTGGTGTGTGGGTGTGTGGGTGTGGAAGGCAGGAAGTGTTGGTTCCCTCTGGGAGTTGGGGTCTGGGTGTCAGATAGAAGATTTTTCTGACGGTCTTACCTTTCAGACAGCCCTGAACTCCCAGGTTTCTGGGGATCTGTAAAAAGCCAAAGGCACAGGTTGGGGCTCACATGCTGTAACTCAGAAGTCCAGCCTTCCTCTCAAAGCCCACCTGGGGACCCTCCGGCTCATGGAGTGGCAGATGCAGGCTGGTGTGAGCTGGGGCTCTAGCCCTGGGTCCGCCAGCAGAGGGGAAAAAGATCCCCGAGGGCAGGGCACGCACCTTCAGACTCCTTGCTCTTCCGACACTTGAACCTCAGGCTGACCACACCAACTAGGATGATCACCACAACCACCAGGATGACAATGAAGCTGATAACACCTGAACAGAGAAAAGAATGGGGTGAAGGGGGCCAGTCGGGGGGACAAAGGGGCCAACAAGAGTCCGGCATTCCCTTCCCAGATAAGTACTGTGTAGACAGGCTCCAGGAGCAAAGTGAGTTCCACTTCTCTGCTGAACAGGTGAGCTCTCAGCCTGCCCGCCCCCTAGCCAGAGTGGGCTCTCCACCCGACTCCATCCCTGCATGAGAACATGGAACCCAGCACAGCCAAGAAGAGCTAACTGGAGGGCAGGGGCCCCCCTCCACAAGGGTCTTCCTTATCAGCCAGAACCTCCTGGAACAAATGGGTGAGATTTGAACTTGCGTTTCAGACCCAGAGTCCAAGTTAATTCCAGGGGTAGGGGTTCCTCCTATGTCCCACCTTCTCCTTCCGGTCTCACCAAATGCAGCCACAGTGAGCACAGTCTCTGACGTGGGGCTGGGCAGGATGGTCGCATCTTCCCTCATGCTCAGGCTCATGGTGGTTGAATTGGGGGGAACAGTTTGAAATGTGTCTAAAATGGAGTGGAGTCAGGGGCATCAGCGAAGGGGACTGACACAGGGAAGCTAGAGCTAGCTTCCCTCCCGCTTCCCCCTAGGGAAGGACCAGAATTTATGCTGCAGAGCTAGGAGGTCAGACTGGGCAAAATAGAGCTGTCTGTATTGTGCCAGGGTTGAGGTGGGAGGAATGTTTCTGCTCAGGCAAGGCTCCAACAAGCCAGGCTGCCTGTTAAGGGGCACAGATTTCTGGCCCTCTTAAAAACTGCTATGTTGGCCTGGTGCGGTGGCTCATGCCTGCAATCCCAATACTTTGGGAGGCCAAGATGGGTGGATCACTTGAAGTCAGGAGTTTGAGACCAGCCTGACCAACATGGTGAAACCCCATCTCTCCTAAAAAAAAAAAAAAAAAAAAAAAAAAAGACCGGGCACGGTGGCTCACACCTGTAATCCCAGCACTTTGGGAGGCCGAGGCGGGCAGATCATGAGGTCAGGAGTTCAAGACCAGCCTGGCCAATATGGTGAAATCCCATCTCTACTAAAAATACAAAAATTAGCCGGGCATGGTGACGCGTGCCTATAGTCCCAGCTACTTAGGTGGCTGAGGCAGGAGAATCTCTTGAACCTGGGAGGCAGGGGTTGCAGTGAGCCAAGATTGTGCCACTGCACTCCAGCATAGGCAACAGAGCGAGACTCTGTCTCAAAACAAAAAACAAAAAATAAAAACTAGCTGGGCCTTTTGGTGCATGCCTGTAATCCCAGCTACTCAGGAGGAGGAGGTTGCAGAGAGCCGGGATCGCACCGCTGCACTCCAGCCTGGACGACAGAACAAGACTCCTTCTCAACAAAAAAAAGGTGCTATGTCACCTGTGTCTTCCCTTCTCAACCCATTGTACTTCAGGCCCAATTGCTGTTCCACTTATCTCTCCTCACTTCCCCTTCCCAAATAAGTCTGGGAGAATAAAAAAATCTGAGAGCCAAGGGATAAGACGAGAGAAAGGGTCACAGACATCTCCTGCCGACTTCTCTTCAGGGCGAGTGCAGCAGGACATACCTCTGCTTGTGCCTCCGTCTCTTCCACTGCTGGGGACACCTGCGCCTGCACCATGAAACAGCATGACCAAGATGGGGGCATCCCCCAGCAGCTCTTCTCCCTCGCTGCTAAGCAAAGGCCAGTCTTCCCTGCCTGAGAGGACTCTAGCTCTTTCTCAGCCTTTTCTGCCTTCCTTTTCCTTCATTTTGGGGTATCCTTCTCCTCCCTCTCCTCTCTGGGTATGCCTTTCTCAGTCTCAAGTCTAAGCTCCTGTTACCTTCGTTGTGACCAGGCCCAAGGTCCTGTCTCTACGCCCCACCAAACCTCTTTCTTTCCTGAACCAGGGTGCCACTGATGTGGGTCCTGACCCCTGTGGCCTCCTGAAGAGGGCAGAAGGAACCCATCCAGATGGAACCCAGTGTTTTTCACCGCTGCCCCCCGCCCTGGGCACTCAACAAGTCCTGATGTGTACATCTGTGGCTTGGCCCAAGTTAGGCCCAACCAGGTCGGGGAGAGCCCATCCACGGTGCCTGCCCTCGGCATCACGGGTTTACTGGCTGCCATGGGGGCCTGCGCGGCCTTCTTTGGAGCTGCCGTGAATGAGGAAGCACACTCGGGCCTGCTCAGGGCCTTGGCCGGCATGTGCACCGGGTGGGCTCTTCAGTCCAAAATCTTCCTCTTCTTTCCTGCTTTCAGTTCTAGAAGGGGCCATTCTCTTGTTCACCTCTGGGCAGTTCCCTCTGCCTGGAATAAGCCCCACTACTCTCCACCCCACCTGGAATAAGCCCCACTACTCTCTACCCCACAGCCTCCACATGCTCAGCTGACCCCTTCTCAGCTCGGCTTCAGAAGCTGCTTCTGGGAGTCATCCCTGGCCCCCGAGTCTGAAGTGACTGACATGTGCCTGGGCTCCCACACTTCTGCTGGTGCCCACCGCAGCCCTTCTCACCCTGCATGTCATCCTCAGTGTGAGGGTCTATTTCCTTGTCTGTTCCCGCTCGCCCCAGTCTATATTCTCTTTTAGAGCAGAAACTGTTGGGGTCCTCACTGGGCCCTCCCTGGATGGCATTTGTAGTCTGAATGACACAGTACCTGGGGTACCAGTGCTGGACAGATGGCTTGGCCTGTTAGCCTCTGAGGAAGGGATGTATCCTGCAAGGACAGAGGCAGATAGGGAGTGGGAGGTGGGGTAGGTTTGGTGACACCACACTCCCTGTCCCACCCAAGAACCCCTGGGCTCCAAGCAGGTCTGAATGAATGGGTGTGGGGCAGGAGCAGGGACCTCAGCAACCACACTCACTCACCTGGGTTGGAAGAAACTGGCTCTGTGGTCAGACTTAGACCGCCAAGGCCTCCTGAAACAGAACATCTGAGGCTGAGGGGTGCACCGCCTCCTACTGTTCCATCTCCCTCTCTTGTTCCCTAGATCTGTGTGTCTTTCTCCCTACCCCATCCCCCACCCCTCATTCCCAACCATTCACCTCTTTTTTCTTTCAAGGTACATTAGACTCAGCTAGGCTGAAAAAAAATCCTTAGATGAGCTCAGCCTTGGTGAGTCCTGAGAGCTCCCGCTCCAGCTGCGGCCCCAGCCCCCTGAGGTTAAGGCTAAATTGGCATAGAGCTCCTCTCACCCTTCCTAAGCTCCTAGGCCTACACGCTGGAGTAGACCCATGTGTTTGGTCTTACCCTGAGAGCTAGAGGTCTGGGTCATTGTGGGCTGGGAGTTGTGGCCTGCAAGAGAAAGCAAAACACATAGCTTGGTAAGTCCCCTGCCCAGCACAGAGCCTAGAAAGGAACCCTTAGAATGCCTTCTGGCCCAGCCTGGGCAACATAGCAAGACCCTGTCTCTAAAAAAAAATTTTGTTTTGTTTTGTTTTTTTTTTTTTTTTAAATTCTCCAGGCACAGTAGTGCACACCTGGAGTCCTAGCTACTCAGGAGGCTGAGGTGGCAGGATTGCTTGAGACCAGAAGGTTGAGGCTGGCTGCAGTGAGCTATGATTGCACCACTACACTCCAGCCTGGGCAACAGGTGGAGACCCTATCTCAACAAAAAAAAAAAAAAAAAAAAAAAAAAAAAAAAAGAAAGAAAAAGAAAAAAGAAAAGAAAACACTGGCCAGGTGCGGTGGTTCACACCTGTAATCCCAGCACTTAGGGAGGCTGAGGTGGGTAGATCACTTGAGGTCAGGAGTTCAAGACTAGCCCGGCCAACATGGTGAAACCCTGCCTCTATTAAAAATACAAAAATTAGCAGGCCTGATGGCACACGCCTGTAATCCCAGCTGCTTGGGAGGCTGAGGCATGAGAATCGCTTGAACCCGGGAGGTAGAGGTTGCAGTGAGCTGAGATCATGCCATTGCACTCCAGCCTGGGAGACAAAGTGAGACTCTGTCTCAAAAAAAAAAAAAAAGAAAAGAAAACAGAAAAAAACGTTTTGGCTTTCTAAGCCTACCATGCTGGAAGGCAGACACACTAGGCAGAGGACTAAAGGATGTGGGCTGTGGCTCACGGTGCTGGCTTCCTCTGAGACTGTGACTCAATAGCAACATCACCACCACCTCATGGCTCAGAGTCCCGAAGTCCTTCCCTGTCTCTTCAATCTGACATGGGCATTTTACCAACCTGATGCAGAGTCAGGAGAAGGTTATTTTAAACTAGTGACATTTCTAAGGACAGAAGATCAATGACCTGCCACACCTAGACAAGGAAGGGCCCAGGACTCCAGGTCTCTAGGCTAATGTTTACCTTAAGCTACTGTCACCCTGGTCCTGCCCCCAGGGAAGGGGCTGAGAGACGGGAAGGTGAGTGAGATGGGGATGGGGATTAGGGCTTGTATCTTGCCTAGAGGTAGGGGCCTGTGCAGAAAGTAAGTTCTGAGGTATATATAGGAGGCAGGGAAGCTCTAGCATGAGCAACCCATTCACTCTCACAGGCAGAGGATACATAGGAAATGGTTGTTATTGACCAAACCCAGAGAGGGGTCAGTCACCAAGAGTCCCCAATCAGAAGCCCTCACTGGCTTTTTTGTATGTACACGTGTGTCTGCGGGGCTCTATGCAAATGTATGTGCATGCTCGTGTGCCCTTGTGTGTGTCCCGCTGTGTATGTGGAACCTGAAAGGTCAGGTTGTATTTGCTCATTTTCCACAATGAAATCATTCTTGAAACCTGTGAACAATGTGAAAGGAAAACAACGTGGGGAAGTGGAGCCGCCCAGCTGGGTTCCCGTCCCTCTGCTTGAGCAGGGACTACAGCCCCTGGCCTGGCTCTGCTGCTCCCTTGGTCTCTCAGCATCAGGGGAGCATTCAGCCCAGGCCTGGGTGGACAGAGGCGGCTGGGTGCCAGGGGCCCACCCCAGCCTGTGGCAACCTGCTGCTCTGCTTATTTTCCTTAAGCCACTGCCTTCCTCCATGGGGCTATCATCTGGATAGTGTAGAATTAATTGCTTCCAAGTGTAAAATTACCAAACCCTGGGCCATGTTTTTCTAGATCACCATTTCTGAGAGCCCCATTCCCTTGTTGGCGAGAGGGGGATGGTCAAGAGGGGAGTCAAAATTTATAGGAAGCCCAGGCTAGAGAAAACCCTTTCTAGCTGGGGAGGACCCTTGGAGAATCCTTTTAACCCAAGGCATGTCCTGAAAACATGTATCAGTTACTAATCCAGCATATGTAATGTATTTTTTGTTTTTTTTTTTTCGTTTTGAGACAGAGTTTCGCTCTTGGTCACCCAGGCTGGAGTGCAGTGGCGCGATCTCAGCTCACTGCAACCTCCGCCTCCCGGGCTCAAGCTATTCTCCTGTCTCAGCCTCCTGAGTAGCTGGGATTACAGGCGCCTGCCACCATGCCCGGCTAATTTTTGTATGTTTAGTAGAGATGGGGTTTCACCATGTTGGCCAGGCTGGTCTCAAACTCCTGACCTCAGGTGATCCATTCGCCTCAGCATCCTAAATGCTGGGATCACAGGCGTGAGCCACCGAGCCTGGCCTAATGTACTATCTAAATGCTGTAAGGTTATAACTTAGTTTTTGGTGGGAAGGTACAGGGAAGGCACAGGGAACTGCCTTCCTGCATTTATCTAGAAAGAAAATTATTCAGTGGCTTGGGAGGAGTTCCAAAGTCACAAGCTTCAAGACCCTGCTCTTTCTTTGCCTCTTGCCCCTCCCACTACCCAAACTTTTTGTCACCAACAAAGATTTCTCTGTGGGTAAGGGAGGGACTTAGGGAGCATCTGTGTCTACAGCCGAGGGTGTCTCTGACCACTGGGCCTGCAGATTCCCAAAGAACTCTAGCCACAGGAATTTTTGATTTCCCAGGTCTCCCCTCTCTAATTCTGTCTGCTTTATCCCCTTCTAGTCTATCTCCACACACACCCCTCCCCATTTTTTCCTCAAAAGCATAGTTTAGAAGTTAAAATCGTGGATTTTAATCGAGCCTGGCAAGCCTGAGTTCAAGTCCTGGCTTTGTCGCTGTCTGACCTAGGCCTCAGTTTTCTTTACTTTGAAGTACAAGTGACCAGCCTGGGCAACATGGTAAAACCTTGTCTCTACAAAAAAATGCAAAAATTAGCTGGGTGTGGTGGTGTGTGCCTGTAGCCCCCAGCTACACAGGAGGCTAAGGCAGGAGGATTGCTTGAGCCCAGGAGGTCAAGGCTGCAGTGAGCCATGATCATGCCACTGCAACTCTGGCCTGCGCAATGGAGCAACCCTGTCTCAAAAATAACTAAGTAAAATGCAAGTGGTATCAGTACCTCGCAAGTTGTTGTGAAGGAAGGAAAATGCATATGAAGCACTTAACGCAGTGCCTGACATGCTCAATGAAGGCCAGACACTTTTGTTTTTGCCCTGTTCTCTCAAATCCTCCAAGTCTCAAGTCTGCCCTGCCTCTGGGTATCCGTAGTCAAGTCCCTTTATGGGCCTGAATGTGCTCAGGATTCCTCAGTCCACCAAGATGAAGGAGCCAGGAAATGCTCTGCACACTTCAGGATGAAGGGTTAGGAAACTCGGGGCGGGTGACAGCAGCTTAGGTACAGCCGACACAGGGCATTTGAGAGTGCTGGCACTTGCCTGGGAGAAAACAGTGGGTAGGGAGGCTGGGAAAAGTCTCGGCCTGTGAAAATGCCACCTCATGAGCTTCACCTGCAGTTTCCACAACAGCCTTGTTCCCCAGCCCCAGACCTGTGACTCTGTCATGGAGGGGGTAGGAGGGGATGGGGACAATCAGAGTCTTGTCCTCCAGCCCATGGACTTTTAGAGAAATGCCTGACATCTCCGGAAGCCAGTGTTCTGGTACTCAGGCCCTCTTACCCACCACCGACGAGGGGCCACCACCCCTCCCCATCTGAGCCCTCTTGTGCACTCTTTCTGCTGCTTTGAGCACAGAGGACTTGTAGAGGGTGAGGTGGGGGCAGAGCAGGAATGGTCAAAGGGAAGTTGCTGCCCTGTGAGTCAGAATGCCCTGGACTCGTCATGATTCCCAGCAACTGCTCCCTGATGAGAGGACCCCTATGAGCGGCTTCACAACTCATTGGCTGGCAGAGCCTGTCAGAGAGGTGCCATTTCCAAGTAGCCTCCTCTGGAGGTCATCTACTCTAGCCCCCTGGATGTGAGAATGTTAAGCACATCCTCCTTGGTGAATAGTTCTTTGTGTCTAACCTGAGTCCCTCTTGCTGTGATTTAACTTTAAAATCTACATTAGGAATTCCTAGGTTGCTACTCCTCATGTGAAAGGAGAGAACAGATCCCCTGTGAAGCCCATGGTGCAGAGGATTTGTGTTAGAACAGTTGAGAGAGTGGCCGTCGTCAGCCCTGCCCCAAGATCAGAGGGTGAGGGTCATGAGTAGCCTGAGCACATCCTAGAAGGAGCTTTGGGCCTGGGTCTTGCACTAACACAGCTCCCTCCCACAATTCAGGAGGCCAGCCTTTATGGGGAGCCCAGCTCCCCCAGGACAATTTCCCACAAGAGGGTTTAACCGTAGCTCCATTTTACCCCTGCCTGGTAATCAGGACCCCCCAATCCAACTGATCTTCATGGAAAGGCTCTGGAATTTCCCCTGGGCACAGCCCCTGGATGGAAAGCATGTGTCTCCTGAGAAAGAGACCGATGCCTAGAATGGCCAGCTGCGGAGAGGAATTGCCATGGGAAAGCGGCAGGCACCTCTTACCTCGGAACAGGAGGAAGCCCAGGATCACCCAGCACAGCTGCATGGCTCCTGCGGTGCCCATGTCAGCTGGGTATGTGGCGGGCAGGCAGCAGCTCAGTGGAGGCTCTGTCCATAGTGGAGAAGAGAGAGGGAGTGCTGGGGCGGGATGGGGGTGGGGACTGGCTCTCCAGGAGCTTCCTGTCAAAAGAATAGAAGGAAACACATTGGGACCAGCTCCAGGGGCCCTGCTCAGCCATGTCCAGATGAGGATGTGAGGCTGCAGCAGCGACTGTGCCCACCCAGCATGGCCTCTAGTGCCTATGCACAATGACCAACCATGGCAACCTGGCCCCATCCCCATTCTCTTCCCTTCTGAGGGTCCATCAGGTTCCACCACAGACCGCCTGGGGGTTTTCCTGGAATCTAACACCAATCCCGCCCAGTACTGTTTCAGACCAGGTTCTCCTTTCCCATGATTCAGCCTGGAAGCCCAGCCCACCAGTCACCCATGCTCCCTGGACCCTGAATTCTCCACATTCCTCTCCCTCCTCAGGGATCCCAATGCAGATAGGACTCCCCACATCTTTCAGAGAGGCCCTATACGCATGATTATTATTCCTTTTTTACTTTTTTTTTTTTAAGAGTTGGGGTCTTGGCCAGTAATCCCAGCACTTTGGGAGGCCCACGCCTGTAATCCCAGCACTTTGGGAGGCCGAGGTGGGCAGATCACGAGGTCAGGAGACCGAGACCATCCTGGCTAACATGGTGAAACCCCGTCTCTACTAAAAATACAAAAATTAGCCAGGTGTGGTGGCAGGCGCCTGTAGTCTCAGCTACTGGGGAGGCTGAGGCAGGAGAATGGCGTGAACCTGGGAGGTGCAGCTTGCAGTGAGCCAAGATCGTACCACTGCACTCCAGCCTGGGCAACAGAGTGAGACTCCGTCTCAAAAAAAAAAAAAAAAGAGAGAGATGGGGTCTTGCTATATTGCTCAGTCTGGACTCAAACTCCTGGGTTCAAGTGATCCTCCTGCCTCGGCCTCACAAGTAGCTGGGACTTCAGGCATGTGCCACCAAGCCGGGTATCGTTATTCTTAATAGAAAAGCAAGAGTCCCCCTATTTGAAGCACTCCTCCCTCTGCATCCTCACTGGGGTGAGGTGTCCCCTGTCCTCGGCATCCAGCAGCACTCATCCTTATCCCAGGATTCTCTCTGTTGCAGACTGCAAGCCAGCATTGTGACTTTTTTCAATATTCCTAGGACCTGGCACAATGCCTGCCACATAGCAGGTCCTCAGCACATATTTATTGAACTAAACTCAAAAGATTTAAGGTCAGGGCTGCGCAATGGCTCATGCCTACAGTCCAGCACTTTGAGACGTTGAGGCAGGAGGATTTCTTGAGGCCAGGAGTTTGAGACCAGACTAAGCAACACAGCAAGACCCTGTCTCTACAAAAAAAAAAAAAAAAAAAATTTAATTAGCCAGTCATGATGGTGCATGCCTGTAGTCCTAGCTACTCAGGAGGCTAAGGCAAGAGGACCTCTTGAGCCCAAGAGTTCAAGGCTGCAGTGAGCTATGATCAGAGTGAGACTCCATCACTGAAATTAAAAAAAAAAAAAAAAAGATTCGAAAGCAGAGGAATGTCAGAAACAATCCTACCTCCTTAATATTAATTATATTATTGTTATTAATTCCCTTCCAGTCTATTTGCCTTCCAGTCTTTGACAATATGCATATACATATACAATCATTTAAATGAATGGTATCCTTTTTTCTTTCCTTTTTTTTTGTTTTTTTTTTTTTTGAGACAGAGTCTCTCACTGTTGCCCATACTGGAATGCAGTGTAAGATGTCTGCTCACTGCAGCCTCCACCTCCCAGGTTCAAGCCATTCTCATGCCTCAATCTCCAGCGTAGCTGGGACTGCAGGCTCACGCCACCACGCCCACCTAATTTTTGTATTTTTAGTAGAGACGGTTTCACCATGTTGGCCAGGCTGGTCTCAAACTCCTGACCTTGTGATCCACCCACCTCAGCCTCCCGAAGTGCTGGGATTACAGGCATGAGCCACCATGCCTAGCCCTTTTTTCTTTATTTTCTTAATATTTTATTTTGAAACAGTCACAAGAAAAGTTGGAAGTACATTACACAGAACTTTTTTCCCTGAACTGTTGTTCAGAGTAAATTGTCAACAGGATGCCCCATCACCCCGAATAGTTTAGTGTGTATTTCCTACAAGGGACAGTCTCCTACATAATCACAATACAGCCATCAAAATTAGGAAATTAATATAAATATATTAATACCATCTAATCTTCAGATCCTATTCAAATTTTGACAGTTGTTTCAATAATGTCCTTTATAGCGAAAGGATCCTGCCCAGAATTACTCACTGAAAGTCTCTTCAGTCTCCTTCAATCCGGAATAGTTCAGACTTTCCTTGATTTTCATGGCCTAAACACTTTTGAAGGTTACAGTACAGTTATTTTATAGAAGTTCTCTCAATTTCGGTTTCTCTGATGTTTCCTCATAAGATTTAGGTTATCTAGGCTGGGAGCAGTGGCTCATGCCTGTAATCCCAGCACTTTGGGAGGCCGAGGTGGGTGGATCACGAGGTCAGGAGACTAAGACCATCCTGGCTAACACGATGAAATCCCGTCTCTACAAAAAATACAAAAAATTAGCCAGGCGTGGTGGCGGGTGCCTGTAGTCCCAGCTACTTGGGAGGCTAAGGCAGGAGAATGGCGTGAACCCAGGTGGTGGAGTTGCAGTGAGCCAAGATCATGCCACTGCACTCTAGCCTGGGCGACAGAGTGAGACCCTGTCTCAAAAAATTAATTAATTAATTAATTAATTAATTAATTAAAATTTAGGTTATCTATCTCGGCAGTGACATCAAAGAAGCAATGTTGAGTCTCTCTCTTTGCATCCTATCAAATAATGCATTATTTTTTCCTTTTTTTTTTAAGAGACAGGGTCTCAGGGCTGGGTGTGATGGCTCACGCCTGTAATCCAGCACTTTGGGAGGCCAAGGAGGGAGGACTGCTTGAGCTCAGGATTTTGAGACCAGCCTGGGCAACATGGCAAAACCTTGTCTCTGCTAAAAATTAAAAAATTAGCTAGGTTTGGCGGTACATGCCTATAGTCCCAGCACTCAGGAGGCTGGAATGGGGAGGATGGCTTGAACCTGGGAGGCAGAGGTTGCAGTGAGCCAAGATTGTGTCACTGCACTCCAGCCTGGAAGACAGAGCCAGACCCTGACTCAAAAGGAAAAAAAAAAGAGAGAGAAGGATCTGGCTCTGTCACCCGGACTGGAGTGCAATGGCACAATCTCACTTCACTGAAGCCTTGAACTCCTGGGTTCAAGTGACCCTCCTGCCTCAACCTCCTGAATTGCTGGGATTACAGGCATGAGCCACAATGCCTGGCTCAATTTTTTTTTTTTTTTTCTGCGATGGAGTCTCGTTCTGTCACCCAGGCTGGAGTGCAGTGGCGTGATCTCAGCTCACTGCAACCTCTGCCTCTTGGGCTCAAGCAATTCTCCTGCCTCTCGGCTCACTACAACCTCCACCTCCTGGGTTCAAGTGATTCTCCTGACTCAGCCTCCCGAGTAGCTGGGATTACAGGCACCCACCATCATGCCCAGCTAATGTTTATATTTTTGTAGAGATGGGGTTTCACCATGTTGGCCAGGCTGGTCTTGAACTCCTGACCTCAGGTGATCTGCCCGTCTCGGCCTCCCAAAGTGCTGGGATTACAGGCGTGAGCCACCACGCCCAGCCTGCAAAGACCCTTTTTCCAAATAATGTAACATTCACATGTTCTGGGGATTAAGACATGGACATATCGTTTTGGGGGCCACAAGTTAGCCCACCACAGCCAGTTTTCTCCACTCTAAAGTTACACTTTTATCCTTTATAATTAATAGAGATGTTATGAGGAGATATTTTCTATATCTATATATAAACTCATGTATTTCTGTTTTATTCACTAGGTTGGAATACAATCATTTATTGTTCTGATGCTCAAATTGTCTCCATTTTGGCCACTGTTAGCCCCTACAAGCTGGCTTCTGTGTCCTTTTGACACGTCTCCATCATTTTTTGAGCACTTCCTTACTTTCTGGCATAATAAGATGTTTCAGGCTTTTTTTTTTTTTTTTTTTTTTTTGAGGCAGAGTTTCGCTCTGGTTGCCCAGGGGGAGTGCAATGGCATGATCTCGGCTCACTGCATTCTCCTTCTCCCAGGTTCAAGTGATTCTCCTGCCTCAGCCTCCTGAGTAGCTGGGATTATAGACACACACCACGAAGCCTGGCTAATTTTTGTATTTTTAGTAGTGACGGGGTTTCACCATATTGTCCAGGCTGGTCTCAAACTCCTGGCCTCAAGTGATCCACCCACCTCGGTCTCCCAAAGTGCTGGGATTACAGGTGTGAGCCACCGCACCCGGCTTCCAGGCACTTCTTGTGCTTCACCTGCCCCAGCCCTGGAATCGGCTGTTTCTTTAAGGGGTCTTCATTCCTTTTGGTGCAAATGATATTTAGAAACTGAGGGCCGGGCACAGTGGCTCATACCTGCAATCCCAACAATTTGGGAGACCTAGGCATGAGGATCGCTTTAGCTCAGGAGTTTGAGACCAGCCTGAGCAACATAGTGAGATATCGTCTGTGCAAAAAAAATTTTTTAATTACCCGGGTGGGGTGGTGTGTGCCTGTAGTCCCAGCTACTCAGGAGGCTGAGGTGGGAGGATCACTTGAGCCTGGGAGGTTGAGGCTGCAGTGAGCGAGATCATGCCACTGCACTCCAGCCTGGGCCACAGAGTGAGACCCTGTCTCAAAAAAACAAATTTTTTCAAAAGAAAGAAACCGAGGTCTGAGTCGTCAGTGTGCTCGTTGGTGCTAGGGAGTAGCATCTCTAAGGCCCTTCTCTGACTCCCATGATCCTTAAATACTTACTTATTGGATCACTCCCCTTTCAGTAACCAAGCTCCCATTTCTGCTCCCATTCCTTCCCCACCATGTGGATGCCTTCTTCACCCTCTCACTCGTCCTCATTTGAAGTGCACAATTCAGTGGCTTTTTTTTTTTTTTTGAGACAGTCTCCCTCTGTTGCTCAGGCTGGAGTGCAGCCGCACAATCTCGGCTCACTGCAACCTCTGGCTCCCGGGTTCAAGCTATTCTCCTGCCTCAGCTTCCTGGGTAGCTGGGATTACAGACACGCCACCAAGCCTGGCTAATTTTTGTGTTTTTAGTAGAGATGGGGTTTCACCATGTTGGCCAGGCTGGTCTTGAACTCCTGACCTCAGGTGATCCACCCACCTCGGCCTCCCAAAGTGCTGGGATTACAGGCCTGAGTCACCACACCAGCCTCAGTGGTTTGTTTGTTTGTTTGTTTGTTTGTTTGTTTTCAGGCAGAGTCTCGCTCTGTTGCCCAGGCTGGAGTGCAGTGGCATGATCTCGGCTCACTGCAAACTCCGCCTCCAGGGTTCATGCCATTCTCCTGCCTCAGCCTCCAGAGTAGCTGGGACTACAGGCGCCCACCACCACGCCCGGCTAATTTTTTGTATTTTTAGTAGAGTTGGGGTTTCACCGTGTTAGCCAGGATGGTCTCGATCTCCTGACCTTGTGATCTGCCCACCTCGGCCTCCCGAAGTGCTGGGATTACAGGCGTGAGCCACCGGGCCCGGCTGCCTCAGTGGTTTTTATATATTTAGAGAGTTGTTCACTCACCCCAAATAAAATCAATTTTATAACATTTCCATTACCCTAAAAAGAAACCCCACACTCCTTACAGACCTATAGCTTTTTACAAGGCTAGAAGTGGGGTGTGGTAGAGGAAAGCAGCCTTTGCTCCTTACTTACCCAACTCTAGCCCAGAGTTTCCGATGACCTCAAAAGTCAGCCGCCTCTCAGACCTGCCCTGAGTCTATCATGGCAACCCCACTCTGGCCTGCTCAGGGTATTCCCACAGGCCCCTGTCCTTCGGCTCCCTCTGCAGACTCCTCAGCCTGCCTGCCTTTGGTGGTGACAGAGTGAAAGAAGGGTTGCTCTTTGCCTTCCTCTGGCCAGCAAAGCCACTTCCACCCTCCCCCAGAGAGATGGAAAGGAGGTGGAGGTTGCAATGAGCCGAGATTTCGCCACTGCACTCCAGCCTGGGTGACAGAACAAGACTAAGTCTCAAAAAAAAAAAAAAGAGTCATGGTTCCTGGAAAGATGAGCCTCCGCATACCTGTTACATAAGACAAAGTGTGACAAATGTTAGGAGCGGGTAAGAAACATTATGCTGTAAGGCTTAAGGAAAAGAAAGCAAGTTACTCAAGTACAGGGCTGAAAAATTCGTCCCTAGAGGAGGCCACACTTGACCTAAGCTATAACAGATGTTTAAGGTTTAGACGGCAGGAATGGGTGGGCAGCTCATAGCAGTGGTAGAGAAGTGACACAGAAGGCTGGGGCTGTAGTCTGGTCCCAGAAGTTCCACCGTATTATCCTCTCGGAAGCCCTTTAGGAGACAGATCCAGGATTAATGAGGGAGGAAAGGGAAGAAGTAGTCATCAGAAGGATCAAAAATTGGGCTTTTGGACACAGGGACCGGAGCCCCAGTGGAGATATCTGCCAGAGCAATGGCACATGTGTCTTGAGGAGGCAGGAGGTGAATAGCAGTGGCCGAAGTTCAGGACCCGTGGCAGAGTCCAGATTCCCTCTGGCTAAAGTCTAAATGGACCAAGGTGGGAAGCAGAGGATGAGCAGAGCCTTTGATCCCGTTGGGAGGGGGTCAGCCAGGGGCTTCAGGGTCAGCCAGGGGCTTCAAGGTCAGCCAGCAATAGGTCCCGCTCACTTTGCAGATCAGGTCAGCAGTCCAGGGATCTGGGCTCAAGTGAACTTGGAGGTCTGAGTGGGGGCCCTGGATGTCAGGATGTGGGCAGCTCGGCTGAGAGACAAGGAACCAGGATGCTACATTCTGTTTCATCCTGGATCAAGACTCCAGCGGAGGGGAGTTCCCAGGGTGTCTCTGGCTCTCCAGACTGGAAGGGAGGATGGTGAGTGCACAGCAATGGACAGAATGAGGGATGGCTGGTCCCACAGAGTTAGCTGTGGCTAAAAAAAACTGTCTCTAGAGAGAGGAGAGATTGGTGGGCAGTTTTTGTGACTTGGACACATTAAAACACATACATACTCTCAAATGAAGTTGCATTCAGGCAAATGCAAAGAAATACAGAATTCATATTTATAAAAACCAAAAGAAAAAAGGGAAAACAATGCCTTGTGTGAGAATAATAAACATCAAATTCTATTATTATTATTTTTTTGAGATGGGGTCTCCCCCTGTTGCACAGGCTGCAGTGTAGTGACACGAACATGGTTCATGGTCTTTGATCTCCTGTGCTCAGTGATCCTCCCACCTCAGCCTCCCAAGTAGCCGGGACTATGGGTATACACCACCACACCCAGCTAATTTTTAAATTTTTTGTTGAGATAAGGTCTCACTATGTTGCCAAGACTGGTCTCGAACTCCTAGCCTCAAGTGATCCTCCTGCCTTGGCCTCCCAAAGTGCTGGGATTACAGGCATGGGCCACCACACCCGGCCAATAAACATCAAATTCTATGAGATGTTTATCCCTGTGGTGAGAAGGAGGGGAGAGGTCAGGAAGTGAGGGCTTCTGTTTTCATTGTAATATTAATATTTTAAAAATAAATGTGACAAACTATTGAGAGAAGACAGAGCTGGTGGTTGAGCCTTGGAGATTTAGAGACTTATTATGTATTTATTAAAGAGAGAATGTATCTGCAGTTTCCATTGTGTTTGAAATATTGTACTTAGAGGCTGGGCACGGTGGCTCACACCTGTAATCCCAGCACTTTGGGAGGCCGAGGTGGGTGGATCACGAGGTCAGGGGTTCGAGACCAGCCTGACCAACATGGTGAAACCCCGTCTCTACTAAAAATACAAAAATTAGCTGGTCATGGTGGTGGGTGCCTGTAATCCCAGCTACTCAGGAGGCTGAGGCAGGAGAATTGCTTGGACCCGGGAGGCGGAGGTTGCAGTGAGCCCAGATCACGCCACTGCACTCCAGCCTGGGCGACACAGCGAGACTCCATCTCAAAAAAAAAAAAAAAGAAATATTGCATTTAGAAAGAAAAGATCAAAGGACAATAACTCCAGGAAATTGGTTAAGGCGAGGAGCCAGCATGACTTGGTGGGGGGCAGATTAGGTTGGGGCTCTGGCCAGGCTTCTGAGATCTGGTGGAGGAGGGGTGGTCAGGCACACCCAGGCTCCTGAAGCTGGCAGGGGGCATGAAAGGAGGCGCCAAGGAGGAAGATTAAGGTACTATCAGAGTTAAGGGCAGAGCCCAGGGTAGCCCAGATGTTCCCGGAAGGAAGTGCAAGCGCAGGAGAGCGGTGAGAGTGTGTGCACAGGGTGTGTGCCCATGGGCCCCGCAGACGTGGCAGCTCCGGGTAGGGGCTGAATTAGGGTGGCCAGCCCTCCTTTACCCAGCTGGCTGCCAGTCCCAAGGGAGCCCTGTGTCGGCCCGGACAATGCACCAGGTAGACTCTGCTCACCCCTTCCTGCCAGGCTGGGCTGACTCCCTGCAGGGTCCCCCTGTCTGTCACCAGCCTCAGCTTCCCCTTTTCCTCTGCACATCTAGAGCTGCTTCCCCACCCCCTGCCCTGGGAACTTTGTGGCCTGGGACCCAGAGACACTTGCAAGGTAGGGTGGGGGGTGTGCCTTTCCACGAAGGGATGCATGTGGGAGATGGGATAGTGTGGACAAGGGGACTGAGGGGCTAAAGGACATGGGTTTGTCCTGGGAAGCCTTTCCTGGCCTACCCATGGGGAGGGCCATGCTGAGAGTGCAGGGTTAGAGAGAGGGGCTCCACCCGCTAAGATTTGTTCCAGGATGGCCCATCTGGGAAGGGGAAGCTAGGGAGGCAAAGTTTCTTGGGCCTGTGAGGACCTCAGCTCTAGGGTTTACAGTTTTGCCATTTGCTACCTTCACTACAATGCCACCACCCCCATCTAATACCAAGCAGGGTGGAGTCAGACAGGGGTACGGATCGTGACCCCCAGCTTTTGGTAGAAGAACACTGGGACTTGGACAGAGGAAGACTGGCACAGGGTCTCCACAATCCATCCTGGGCAGAGCCAGGAGTCCACACTGGGCACCCCCTCTCCTCCAGGACCCCAGAACCTGATGTTGAGACCTCGGCAGGGTGGCAGGGGTACAGTTATGGAAAGAGGCATCCCCCTGCCTTCTAAGTTCACATCCCCTCTACCTCTACCTCTACCTCTCCCGCCGCCAGGGCACCACCTGTCTGTCTTCTGTGTGAGTGGGGAGTAAGGGGAGCCTAAAATGCTGGACAAGGACCCCCTTTCCCCAGGACTTTAAGAAGCAGGTGCTCTCTGCCCACTGCCTAGGATGTGGGGACAGCAGCCCATAGCGTGCCAAGACTCCCGACCCAGGGCACAGGATCTATTTAGGAATTTTGCTGGAGACCTGGGAAAAGGGGACAGTGGGAGGAAACTTGGGGGGCCAAACTGTATACGCTGGACTGTGATGAAGCCAGCACTCTCTTTGACCCTGTCTGAATGTCTTTGTCTCCCTGCATCTGTTTCTTTTTTCTCTGTCTCTGTCTGTATCTTTATTTCTGTCTGTTTTTATGTGCCTTTTTCTTTCCCCTTTCCTCTTTCTTTCTCCCTCTCTGTATCCCCCTCTGCCTTTTCTGCCTTTTTCTTTGATCGTCTCTGCTGCCATGTGGTTTACCTCTGTATTCTCTGCCTCTCTCCAGGTCTTTACTCTGACTTTTTGTCTTTCTGTCTTTGTCTCTGGTCCCTCCCGCCCTCAACCCCCCGCCTCAGGTTCCTTTGGGTGTTTGTCTCTTTCTATTTTGGTCTTTTTCTGTGTGTATACATCCATGTCACCCTCTCTCTCTGCCACTCTCCTCCCAGGCTGGCCACTACTCCTGGCCTTCTCCAGCTGTGAACAGTTCATCAGAGCAGGAGCCCCAGAGGCAGCTTCCGGAGGTGCTAAGTGGCACCTGGGAACAACCTCGAGTTGACGGGCTGCCTGTGGTCACCGTCATTGTCGCTGTCTTTGTTCTGCTGGCAGTCTGCATCATAGTGGCAGTCCATTTTGGGCCAAGGCTGCACCAGGGCCATGCCACTCTCCCTACAGAGCCACCGACCCCAAAGCCAGATGGTGGCATCTACCTCATCCACTGGCGGGTGCTGGGCCCCCAAGACAGTCCTGAAGAAGCACCACCGGGCCCTCTTGTCCCTGGCTCCTGCCCTGCGCCAGATGGACCCAGGCCCAGCATCGATGAAGTCACTTGTCTGTAGGAGGGAGACTTTGGAGAGTTAGCCTGACCTAGCTCAGAACAAGAAACCGGGCAGAGAACTAGGGCAAAAGCAAATTGGAGCCTGGGCATCAGAGCGTCGGAAGGGCACACTGGACTCAGCTGGAGCTGCTCTCTCAGAACATTTATAGAGAGAGCCCTGTGGTGGGCAAGAGAAATCAAAACTTGAGGGCCCTGCCCAGAAACATGCTGCGGGGGGCCTTCCCAGGGCCCAAGGCCACCTCACAAAGTCCCTCCCTCCTCTTCAGGGACCACCAGACCCCTGAATCTCCTTTTCTGAGTCTCTGCCCCTTCATTGCACGCTTAATCTCCTTCCTTTGTAATGTGAATCCAACTCCCCACAAGCAGGAATGTCAGAGGCCCCGTGGAGAGGCCCTCATCCTACAAAGGCCAGCCAGGGAGAGCCCAGGCGGAGAAGCTGGGATCTGCCTTCCCTTAGGCTCACTGGTCTTAGGGAAGTGACGAACGTCTGTTCTCCTTGGGGCAGTCAGTCAGGGGCAGTCCTTCGGCTGTTAGGGCCCAGACCTTGTTGACAAGCTCCGAAGTCCTTGTAAGCCCAAGCACAATTTATAGTTCAAAGATTGGCTTTCAAAGGCCCCCACTGACTCTGTCTTGCCTCTCCAGAAGGGATGGGGGAATTTGGGAGCCTCTCATTGCCTCCCACTTTCTGTGTGCCTGGGCCTGTTGGAACAAGCCTAGAATGTACCACAGGACATTTCCCAGATCTTTCCGGCTGATGAGAAAACAGGAAAGGAAAAGGAGCTCCATGGAACTTGTTTTGGGAAGGAAGGAGTGGGGTGGGGACCACTCCCAGCTGTGGGAGTGCCTGGGTCTAATCAGCAGGGGGGTCAGGATGATGCATCCAGAAGCCAGGAAGACAAAACTGGGCCTCCTGGTGGCTCAGTGCCTGCTGGTGGCACTGCCTTCCCCAGCACCTCTGAATCTTACTCATCTGCAGTCAAGAACACGCAGACAGACATTTATGGCAGGACCTCTGGTGCTCTACCCTGGGGAACTCCTGGGGACAAGAAGTCCCCTGGGGGCATTGGCAAGACCCCACCACAGTCAGGGAGGCTGGGAAATAACAGAATATAAAAAGGAACAGAGGTGGGGATTGCAGTGTGTGCAGAGGGCAGGCTTGCCTCCTTTGGGATTGGGGAGAGGCAGCTAAAGTGTTAATAGCTGCCCCTTGTTGTGGGTCAGCTAAGTGCTGGACACCAGGCTTCTCTGTGGACCTACAGATATGATACCATTCACTCCTCACAACAACCTCCAGGGGAGGGGCCACTGCTATCCCCGTTTTACACTTGGGGAAACTGAGGGTTATCAAGATACCTAAGTAGACACAGGTCCTAAGTGGTGGAGTCAGGATTTGAAGCTGGGGCCATCAGACTCCACAGCCTAAGCCCCATGACAGTTACTGGATGGATTGGAAAGGCCTTTGATTCTGGGCTGGTTTCTAGTATACAAGCCACTGGTGTGATGATGGAGGATCTTCAGGCCTTGAGGACAGGGTGGGATACTTAGGGAGAGTGGGGACTGTTCCCCCTTGACTCCCTTGGCTCTGCCGTTCTTAGGGGCAGCCAGTTCCTTCTAACCCATGTGTGTCTGTGTGGAGCATTTCTCCACAGTGATGCTGTACTCAGAAATGTATATTGAGCCTTTGTGACCAAAAAAAAACAAAACAAAACAAAACAAAAAAAACCAAAACAGGCCAGGCACAGTGCACGGTGTCTCATGCCTGTGATCCTAGCACTTTGGGAGGCCAAGGTGGGAGGATCACCCAAGGTCAGGAGTTCAAGACTAGCCTGGCGAAACCCCGTCTCTACTAAAAATACAAAATTAGCCGGGCATGGTGGTGCATGTCTGTAATCTCAGCTACTCAAGAGACTGAGGCAGGAGAATCGCCTGAACCCGGGAGGCGGAGGTTGCAGTGAGCTGAGATCGTGCCGTTGTACTCCAGACTGAGTGACAACAGCGAAACTCCAACTCAAAAAAAAAAAAAAAAAAGGTGGGAGGGAGGGAAGGAGCCCAGCTTGGTGAGACAAATGGAACTAACAGAGATGGGCTGCCTTCCCTCCCAGATGGGGACAGCTGTGCCACCACAGTGTTGAATCAGTGGCTCAGTTGTAACCGTGATGGTGGAAGGTATGGCACGGCAGCTGGCTGTGCTGTCCAAGGCCCTCCAGGGACTGTCCCATCTCATCACACAAACTCTTTCCCCCTTGTCCGTTTGCAGGCTCTCTCATCTGGCACCTATAGTGACACCTGCTCCTTTGAGTGGCCCCTTGCCCAGGACACAGCTGTGTTCCTTCATGGCATCATTTGTGTGCTGGCTCAGGCCAGCCTATGGTCCCTGCTCCCCAAGCCTCTCACTGAAGAGAAAGGCACTGAAAGGACAGGTGCCCTCAGCCCAACTGGTAGGCTCTGTCCAGATGGTAAATGACACGCAGCACCCTGCTGCCCTGTACCAAGATGAGGAGGGGTGCAGGGAGGCATGCATGTGCAGGCAGGTTTGGACATTAGGGACAGTAATTCCCATCTGTTATATCGGTCAGAGTCCAGCAGGAAAAAGACGACACACTCACATTGGGTAATCTGAGATGTGCTTTAAAAAAGGACCGTTGAGAAAGGGGTGGAGTATAAGGAAACCGCAAGTGAGAGGGAGTACTCTAGTGGGGTGGGGGTGCCGATACACAGCTAGGCTTAAGGGGCCAGGGAAGGAAGTGGTGCCAGAATCCTAGAGATAGTCATGATTACGCAAGAGTTGCCCGGCAGGAGAGTCCATAGCAACCTTGATGCTGCAGGGTGGGAGCCGGGGGATTCAATACCCCAAACTCAGCCTCCTCCTCCTCTCCATTCTTCTGCTGGGGCTCCCCAATAATGGAACATGACCAGGAGCCAGAGGGCGAAGGAGCCTGTTGATACCATTGAGAGAGTTCGGCGTCCCCGGGCAAAGGAAGGGGAGAAGGGTGGGGAGTGGGTCTGGAAGGCCCCATGAAAGACACCTGGCACACCCCCTAAGTACACTAGCATCCAAAGTTTATGAAAAACTTCCACACACTCAGTCCTCACAACAACCGTGAGGGAGGTAAGGCAGTGATTATGATCCCATTTCACAGGTTGAAGACACCGAGGCTCAGAGAGGGGAAATGACTGGCCCAAGGGGACAAGACGCATCTTAAGATGTCAAGTCCTGGACCCTTCCCTGCAAGGCCCCCTGTGGAAGGAAATAGCTCTGCTGGACATTCAGCCACTGAAGAGAGCCCCCAGTCCAGAGGCTTGGAGACCACTGGAGGCTCTGGCCTGGTGACCCTGGGTCTCAAGAGAAATCCGTGCGGAGAGGGAGGGGCTTTTCCATTCCACTGATGAGGAGCTCAGGCTCTTGGGACATCGTGGAGGTACTGGGCACCGCTGAGGTCTTCAAGCTGCCCACAGTAACCTCTTCCTTTTCCTCCTGCCGCAGGTGCCGGAGAACCTCCTGGGACAGCGAGAAGCTGCTGTCATCTGCAGGTTCTGGAACAGGGAGATAGGGGAGAGAGTAATGAGGATCTTACCCATTCCCACTCAAACATACCTAGAGAACTTGCTGGGAAGATCCCCTAACCCTCCCTACCCCCCTTCCTACCCAAGCCCCAGCCACTGGGACTAGAGTTTCATAGAATCCTAGAGGTAGAAGTGGTTCAGGCCTGGCACAGTGGCTCACGCCTGTAATCCTAGCACTTTGGGAGGCCGAGGCAGGTAGATCATGAGGTCAGGAATTCAAGACCAGCCTGGCCAATATGATGAAACCCCGTCTCTACTAAAAATACAAAAATTAGCTGGGCATGGTGGCGGGCGCCTGTAGTCCCAGCTACTTGGGAGGCTGAGGCAGGAGAATCGCTTGGACCCGGGAGGTGGAGGTTGCAGTGACCCGAAATCGAGCCACTTCACTCCAGCCTGGGCAACAGAGTGAGACTCCATCTCAAAAAAAAAAAAAAAAAGTGATTTCAGAGAGAATGAAATTCCACCCTCTTACTTTTAAAGCTAATGCTCAGAGAGGAGCAGAAACCTGCCCGAGGTCACACAGTGAGGGAGTAGTAGAGCCGAGGCTGCAGCCCTAGTCTCCTGTGCCCAGTACATACTGGCCTGGGACTCTTCTGTTTCCTCTGGAATCCTAGATGAAGTGAGAGGCCCCTAGAACCCACCTCTTCAGGCTCCCCTGAGGGATTACAGTCAAAGACCTAAAAAGCAATCTGGTGTGCTGGGAAGAGGGGGCTTCTCCCAGGGAAGGAAGGACAGGCCCAGGGCATGGTGCTCCATAGCCCCTTCTGACTCTTTGGGAGACCCTGGGACCCCTGACTCCTCCTGCCCTCCAGCCTATCAACCCCTCACCCTACCAACCCCTCACCCTGGTAGGCAATGAGGCGGCAGTTGTTCTGAGACTCAGGGGCATCTGCCAGGATGTCCTCAAGTGTCCGGCAGAAGAGTTTGGCCTGCTCAAGCCTATCCTCCCGGCTAAAGCCAGCTTGACTGTATTGTGACATGGCAAACAAAGTCTGCAAGGGGGTGGCGTACTCCAGGACACAGGTGCCCGCCTAGAGGAGGTAAGAGGAAGACCAGACTAAGCCAGGGGCCAGGCGGATGGAGAATGGAGGGTCCAGTCCAGGCTCTGGCCCCCAGTGCCACGGGCTGAGGCCCCACTCCCTCAGCCTGTAACGATAGAGTCCTGGGAGGTGGCCACCCTAATGGGGTCTATGCTGTCTGGCCTGCCTTTGCCTCTGATACCCAACTCTGAAATCAGGGACACGGCTGGGCTAAATTTACCCTTCACAGATCCTTCTTCCAAGATCCTAGGGCAAGACCCGAGGCTGTCAACTGCTCCAGCTGGGAATCAGGTCTGGGGCTAGGCTCTGGGTTCAACTCTGGTCTGGGTTCCCCTGCACCCACATGAATCCTTCAGATGTTCTCACAGCCTTCGTCTGGGGCAGCTTTATGGTCAAGAGCATGGTACAGTCAAGTTTAAATCGTCCACTTTCCTACGGTGTCTCTGAGCCTCAGTGTCCTCCTCTGTAAAGTGGGAATGCTAACAGTCCCTACCCCATAGGGTGGTGGTGAGAATTCAATGAGGTGATCAGATGACACACCCAGAATAGCATCCAGCTTGTAGTAAGTGCTCGATAAATGTTACTCATCATTATCATTCAGAGCTGAATCCTGCCCAGACCTGGGACCAGCTAGGGACACTACAGCTCAGAGAAGGGCAGTGAATTTTCATCAGTGCTTGGCTAGGGCCCAGGGTTCTGGGGTCCTGACCCCTCCTCAGAGACCCCCACTCCCCTGCACACTTACCCGCTGCCCGTTCTCCAGAAGCTCATAGATGCTGTTGCTGTAAACCCGATCCTTGATGCCAGCATGGTCACCGGTCTGCTGGGGCAGTTTATCCAGGAAGCGAATGTTGGGGTCAGCCATACTCAGGTTATCAGGCACCCCACAGTCCAATGGGAGGAGAATATACAGCCGCTGGCTCACTGCACCCCGTAGCAGGTTGTTGTAATGCTGATTGTAAGTTCGAATCCGGGCCTGGAGCTCTGAGGCAGGGAAGCCCAAGAAGTTATTCCTGCTAACCCTATCTCCCACCTGATTCAGGAGTGAGACCCAGGTCATTGGCCCCCGCAGTGTGTGGGTGCCAGAGAATGGAGAGTCCAGTGCACTCTCATTGTACAGGAGGCCAGGAGGGGCAGCGCCTCCAAAAGCCCTCCCCACCCCTCCTCTTACTGCACCACCCTTTACCCTCCCTCACTTCTTTCCTCAGATGTCTATGTCAGCGCCACCCCTTTCCACCATGGCTTTCAGGGCTGAGAGGCAGGCAGAGCCCTGAGAGGTGACATTTCCAGCATTCTCGTGTGCACAGAGGGAGGCCTCTAGCCCCAGATCAGTCTCCTAGCGGAAGCCCTAGGAGATAGCAATGAGATATGGAAGAGCTGCCGCTTTAGCCTGCAAGTCAGAAGAATAAAACACACAGGCTTAGGGCAGGCACAGTGGCTCACGCCTGTAATCCAGCACTTTGGGAGGCTGAGGCAGGTGGATCATTTGAGGTCAGGAGTTTGAGACTAGCCTGGGCAACATGGTGAAACATTGTCTCTACTAAAAATACAAAAATTAGCCAGGCATGGTGGCACGTGCCTGTAATCCTAGCTATTCAAGAGGCTCAGGCAGGAGAATCACTTGAACCTGGGAGGCAGAGGTTGCAGTGAGCTGAGATCTTGTCACCACTGTACTCCAGGCTGGGTAACAGAAAGAGACTTCATCTCAAAACAACAACAACAACAACAACAACAACAACAACAACAACAACAACAACAAACACAGGCTCCACGGTGCAGTGGTCTAGGGTCCAGGCTCTGGACAAACCTGGGTTCAAATCCTTTCTCTTCCTCTCTCTAAGCTATGTGATATCGGATAAATCACTTTACCTCTCAGAACTGCACTTAAAAAAAAAGGCCAGGCACAGTGGCTCATGCCTATAGTTCTAGCACTTTGGGAGGCCGAGGTGGGTGGATCACCTGAGGTCAGGAGTTTGAGACTAGCCTACCCAACATGGTGAAACCCCGTCTGTACTGAAAATACAAAAATTAGCCGGGCGTGGTGGCAGGCACCTAAAATCCCAGCTACTTGGGAGGCTAAGGCAGGAGAATCACTGGAACCTGGGAAGCAGAAGTTGCAGTGAGCCCAGATTGTGCCACTCTACTTCAGCCCGGGTGAAAAAGTGAAACTCCATCTTAAAAAAAAAAAAAAATCTAAGGCTGGTGCAGTGGCTCATGTCTGTAATCCCAGCACTTTGGGAGGCCAAGGTGGGTGGATTACTTGAGGTCAAGAATTCAAGACCAGCCTGGGCAACATGGTGAAACCCTGTCTCTACTAAAAATACAAAAAAAAAAAAAAAAAAAAAAAAAAAAGCCATGCCGGTGGCAGGGACCTGTAATTCCAGCTACTTGGGAGGCTGAACCCAGGAGGCAGAGGTCGCAGTGAGCTGAGATTGTGCTACTGCACTCCAGTCTGCGCAACAGAGTGAGACTTTGTCTCAAAAAAAAAAAAAAAAAAAAATCTAAAATAGGTATGGGCTTGGTGGCTCCTGCTTGTTATCTCGGCACTTTGGGAAGCCAAGGCAGGAGGATTGCTTGAGCCCAGGAGTTGAGACCAGGCTGGGTAACATAGCAAAACCCTCTTCTTTTTAAAAAATATATAAATAAAATAAAACAGGAATAAAGATTATTCCTTCCTCATAGGGTGTGAATTAGAAAAGGCACATGAGAGCACACAGCATGCAGTAAATATTTATTGAAAGAATTTACAGCTGGGCTCACGCCTGTAATCCCAGCACTTTGGGAGGCTAAGGCAGGCGGATCACTTGAGGTCAGGAGTTTGTACCGGCCTGGCCAATACGGTGAAACCCTGTCTCTACTAAAAATACAAAAATTAGCCGGGCGTTGTGGTGGGTGCCTATAATCCCAGCTACTCGGGAACCTGAGCCAGGATAATCACTTGAACTTGGAAGGAGGAGGTTGCAGTAGCCGAGATGGTACCACTGCACTCTAGCCTGGGCGACAGAGGGAGATTCCTTCTCAAAAAGAAAAAAAAAGAATTCACAAGTGACCTTGGGCAAGTCACTTAATGGCTCTAAGCCCCATATTCCTTTCTGCAAACTAGGCATCATAGCAACATCCTTCATGCCTTGGGATTAAAGGATTTGGTAGACATGAAAATGCTTTGAAAAATATAGTGAGTTCTGTGTGTTTAGAAACACAAGAGGCTGTGTGTCTTAGTGTCTGTTTTGTAGATCGAGAAATGGGGGCAGAGAGGATGGCCCACCTGGCAGGATCAGCCGCAGATATCCGATGTAATATGACCATGCCAGCCCATGGGCCACGTTGAAATTCCCTTTTTCACACACTGCAGAGATCTCAGCTGGGGCCAGGCCCTGTGGACAGCAGGATGTGGCTGGGGGGCCTCCATCAAGGACACCCAGAGAACTCCTCCTCCTCCTCCAAGGCTTCCCAACCTGCTCCTGACTTGATCCCTCTTTTGCCATTGCCAAACCCACTGTTCCAGGACATTATAGGTTCTACTCCATGGACTCCAGCCTTTAAACCAGTCCCACTCCCAGTACTCAGCTCAGGGCAGGTCACACCAGCCACAGCCACCACTTGGCCAGAGCTTCTACCTCCCCCTGTGTCATACCTTGAGGCCCAGGAGGATGTTCAGTGCCTGCGAGAGGCCCAGGAGGGCAAGCATCCAAGTGAAGGGCGGGCCGACCGCATTTGGGAGGGAGTAGTAGAAATAGATGGACAGCAGCAACAGGGCCCCACGGCGGAGGGGGCAGCCCAGGCAGGCCCGCACAGTCCTCCAGTAGCTGCCCCGGTACCTGTGAGTGACAGCCAGACCCCAGACCCCAGCCCCCAGCCCAGCTCAGCCAGAGAGGTTCAAGGAGGGGCAGGGCTAGGCATCAAGGGAGTGACACACGTTGGATACCCCGTCCCTGGGTACTGCAGTGAGTCACCTGGAGTGGATGTGGCGCAGCTCCTCAGCCAGGCTGCAGACCCCGTTTAACAGCAGTCCCAGCTGCAGGGAGGCTAGGTGGAGCACCAGGTACCGGAGAGTGTGCTCTGGTGGCTCTCCTAGCCCCCAAAGGGTCACCAGGCAGGCACTCAGCAGAACCAAGGCTGCCTTCTGGGCCCCGTGACCCCTGGGACACGGGATGGATGGATGCAGGCTGGAGTGGGGCATCTGTGGGCACCAAGAAATCCATGACCATTCTCCCCTTGCCCTCCTGCCCTTCTGGGACTGAGGCTCTGGCTGGGCACTTCCTCCCAGTTCCCCTTTCCCTGGTGCCCAGCCACTCCCAGAGGCTGCTCTTAGAGACACCTCTAGGAGGCAGGCTGGGAATAAGTCACCCCAAAGCTCCTGTCTCAGCGAGGTTTGCTGAAAACAGAGCAGGGCCTGCACATACACGCCCCACCAAGACCCAGGGAGACCACAGGTGTGGTGAAGAAAGAAGGCAGCAACTATCCCAGACCCAGACTTGAAGCTGTCCTGTGCAGCCGTACCCAACCAAGAACCCTTGGGGACCTGGGTTCCCCTGTCCCCGGAACCCACCCCAGGGAGGACCTTAGTCAACAAAGTGGAAAACAGAGCTCAGGGAGTGGGGACAGGGCAGCCAGCAGGCACCCCCTCGCCTCTGGGTGCCAGGGGCCCTAGGTTTGGCGTTCTGCCAGGCTGATCTTGAGCCTACCTTCTGCCTCCCGGACACTGGCTGCTCTGGATGATGACGAGGAGAGAAGGCCCGGCGCTACGAGCAGCCAAGGGCAGCTTCTCTGAGTGCAGCCTGAAAATGAGATGTTAACAACGATTGGTTTCTCCACAACACTCTAGCCCTGGCGTTTCTCCAAACCGCAGCTTTACTGGTGCTGGGAAGGAGGGTATTTCCTGTTCCTCAGGAAGGGAGGTAGGAACCTTCCCTCAAAGCCCTGATGAGCTGGGCCTGAGTCCTGGGGTCAGGGGTGAGGTTTGAGAAAGCCTCCATTCCATTGCCCTTTGCTACCCCCAAACCAAGGGTGTTTAGAAACACTCACCGCAGTCACAGCTCTGAACAGCGGGTTCCCCTCAAGCCACCACGATCAAACACACTGTACCTAACACCTGAGCAGGACTCCACACACTCAGCCAAAGGCAGCACACACATCACACGATGATTCCCCGTCTCATATTTTTCTTCTGGTTTCCAGGATGCAGATTCTTTTTCTGAAAAGTGTGACCTAGGAGGGAGGAGTGAAAAATGAACAGTTATTTCCGGTAACAAGAGCTATTTTTATAAAGCACTTGGTGGGAGAGGAGGGGCACAGAGGAATGGGGGTTTGGCTCTTTGCAGGAAATGGCCACGCCTGTGACTTCTCCAAGAGAGCCTGCCGGTTTCTGCCCAGAAGGCGGTTGTGGGGATGATATTAGGTAGGAGCAAAAGTAATTGCAGGCCTGGCACAGTGGCTCATGCCTGTAATCCCAGCGCTTTGGGAGGCCGAGATGGGTGGATCACTTGAGGTCAGGAGTTCAAGACCAGCCTGAGCAACATGGTGAAACCCCATCTCTACTAAAAACAAAAATTAGCCAGGCGTGGTGGTGGGCGCTTGTAATCTTAGCTACTTGGGAGGCTGAGGCAGGAGAATCGCTGGAACCTGAGAGGTGGAAGTTGCAGTGAGCAGAGATTAGGCCACTGCACTCCAGCCTGGGCAACAAGAGCGAGACTGTCTCAAAAGAAAAGAAAAGAAAAGAAAAGAAAAATGATCTGACCTACATTGTTTGAGTGTAGGTTATAAAATCCCCATGCATCAACCTAAATTATAATAATAATAATAATAATAAAGTGTTTACCTTGTTCCAGACATTATGCCAAGTGTTGCATATATCACTTCACTTGTATATCATTTCACCAGCCACCCTGTCAGGTAGGTATAATTCTAGCCCCATTTTATAGATGGATAATCCGAGGCTCAGGGAGGTGAAATAACTGGTTTAAGTAATTGAGAGTGGGGACTTGAAGCCTGGTGGGTTGCTCCAAAGCCCAGCTTGCTCTGTGCCTTGATTTCATTCCAGTAATCCCAGCACTTTGGGAGGCCAAGGCAGGAGGATCACTTGAGCCCAGAAGTTTGAGACCAGCCTAAGCAACACAGGGAGATCCCATCTCTACAAAAAAAAAAAAAAAAAATTAGCCAAGCATGACGGAACACGCCTATAGTCCCAGCTACTTGGGAGGCTGAGGTGGGAGCATCACTTGACCCCTGGAGGTAGAGGTTGCAGTGAGTTGTGATGGCACCACTGCACTCCAGCCTAAGTGACAGAGTGATACCCTATCTCAAAAAAAAAAAAAAAAAAATAGGCCAGGCGCAATGGCTCATCCTTGTAATCCTCGCACTTTGGGAGGCCAAGGCAAATGGATCACTTGAGGTCAGGAGTTCGAGACCAGCCTGGCCAACATAGTGAAACCCCATCTCTACTAAAAGTACAAAAAATTCGCTGGGCGTGGTGGCGGGTGCCTATAATCCCAGCTACTCAGGAGGCTGAGGCAGGAGAATCGCTTGAACCCAGGAGGCGGAGCTTGCGGTGAGCCGAGATCATGCCACTGCACTCCAGCCTCGGCAACAAGAGTCAAACTCCATCTCAAAAAAAAAAAAAAAAAAGGCCGGGTGCAGTGGCTCACTCCTATAATCCCAGCAATTTGGGAGGCCAAGGCAGGCAGATCACCTGAGGTCAGGAGTTCAAGACCATCCTGACCAACATGGAGAAACCCCATCTCTACTAAAAATACAAAAAATTAGCTGGGCGTGATGGCGCATGCCTGTAATCCCAGCTTCTTGGGAGGCTGAGGCAGGAGAACTGCTTGAACCTGGGAGGCGGAGGTTGCACTGAGCCGAGATCGTGCCATTGCACTCCAGCCTGGGCGACAAGAGCAAAACTCCGTCTCAAAAAAAAAAAAAAGAGAAGAAAGAAAGAAAAAGAGAGAGAGAGAAAGGAAGGAAGGGAAGGGAAGGGAAGGGAAGGGAAGGTCTGACCTACATTGTTTGAGTGTAGATTATAAAATCCCCCTTCCAGAGAGGGCCCTGCCCCACACTCAGAAAGAAGGAACACACGCTCAGAGAGGCCAAGAAGAATCTAGACAGACGGGCGAGGCTGGGTTTCCCCACTCATTCTATTAGCATTAGAGCATACCCTTTCTGTCCAATTATATTTCAACAAGGGTGTCCATACTTTAATGAACCTAAACGTAAAAATAGACAATTTGCCCTCTGTCTTTGGGTCTTCATTCTGAAGGCCTCTGTGACACATAAAACTCTGATCAAATAAATTTGTATATTTTTCCTCCTGTTAATCTGCCTCTTGTCAGTGATTTTCAGCAAGCCTTCAGAGGGCGGAGGGGGAATTTTTCCTTGGCCTTGACACAAGCTTTGAGTTCCCTTGGGGTGGGAAGTGTCTCTGGCTGCAGTAAGCTGCTTCAAAGAAGGGGCAGGCCTGGAGAGTGAGGCTAGGATGGCACCCGCAGAGCAGCAGTAGTTCATTCCTGTCCAGGTCAGAGGGGTCCTCGCCCTGAACCCTTCCCCACATCATGACCAGACATGGGAAGACACACATTGATAGATGCCTTGGCCTCAGAGGAGCAATGAGGCTTCCTGGAAACTCTGGTTTTTCAAAATCATGCCCTAACAATGCAGGGAATTCCCTACACTTTCTCTCCTCTACAATAGGCTCACATAAAGACCTAGGAGAAGGCCAGGCGCAGTGGCTCATGCCTGTAATCCCAGCACTTTGGGAGGCTGAGGCGGGCAGATCACGAGGTCAGGAGATCGAGGCCATCTTTGGGAGGCTGAGGCAGGAGAATCGCTTGAACCCGAGAGGCGGAGGTTGCAGTGAGCCAAGATCGTGCCACTGCACTCCAGCCTAGGCGACAGAGGCAGACTCCATCTCAGAAAAAAAAAAAAAAGATCCAGGAGAATATATGACAAAGTTCTAACAAAGGTTACTCTGTGCAGTTGGAATATGGGTGATTTTTATTCTATTGTCCTTTTTTGCTCATTATGTTTTCTAAGATTTCTTTTCCCTACATTGAACATGTATCATTTGTTTAATGTTTATTTATTTATTTATTTTTAAATTTTTGAGACGGAGTCTTGCTCTGTCGCCAGGCTGGAGTGCAGTGGTGCGAACTCAGCTCACTGCAACCTCCGACTCCCTGGTTCAAGCAATTCTCCTGCCTCAGCCTCCAGAGTAGCTGGGATTACAGGCACGTGCCACCACACCCAGCTAATTTTTGTATTTTCAGTACAGACGGGGTTTCACCATGTTGGCCAGGATGGTCTTGATCTCCTGACCTCGTGATCCTCCCACTTTGGCCTCCCAAAGTGCTGGGATTACAGGCGTGAGCCACCATGCCTGACCTGTTTAATGTTTAAAATATGCCGTAAAGAAAATCCAGCTGGGCACAGTGGCTCACGCCTGTAATCCCAGTGCTTTGGGAGCTCAAGGCAGTAGGATCGCTTGAGCCCAAGGAGTTAAAGGCTGCAGCAGTGAGCTATGATCACACCACTGCATTTCAGCCTGGGTGACAGAGCAAGACCTAGTCTCAAAAGAGAGAGAGAGAGAGAGAGAGAGAGAGAGAATCCCAACATTGTCTCAGTCTTAAGACCTCCTTCCACTCCCGTCTGTCCCCTCTCCCTCCCCTCTGCCCTACCTGCTACTCTGGGCTCATTTCCCTGAGTCTGAACCTGCTCTAATGCAGACCTTGCAGGCGCAGAAGGCACTGAGGCCAGGTCATTCAGATAAAGTAAGCTGGGGCTTGGCCAAAAGGAGTGGGAATGGTGGGGTCCAGGGAAGCCGGGAAGCCAGCCTAGCCTGGCCTGCCTGGAGAGAAAGGTCCTGCAGGGTGCGGGAAGGAGTGCAGGCTGCGAAGGGAGCAGAGGCCCCACAGCCTGGGCCTTCCAGTGCCAGGCCAGGATTTCCGCACACCCTTAATCCATGCAGTCTATCCCTGTGTGTACCGTGCTTTGCATGGGATAGGACTGCTGGTGCACGTGCCAGGTCAGTACTTGTCATGGCACCTACAGCTGGACAGGGGAAATGGGCAGAACACAACTGTATGAGTAAGTAGTTAACTACAGATGTGGCAGGGCTACAAGGAATGCACTCAGCCTGCTGCCGTGAGCGGAAATTGGAATACCCAGGGTCAGGTTTCCCTGAAGGCAGCGATTTACCCTGAGTTTGGAAGGAGGATGGGAGTGATGGAGGGCGGGTGGGTGTGCAACATTCTGAAAGGAGCAGCACACACAAAGGCCCTGGAGTGGGAAGGAGCCAGGCAGTGGAGGAACAGAGCAATGGCTGGTGCAGCTGGGGCAAGTAAGCATGTGGAGGGGTCTCTGTTAGTTTCCAAGAACTGCCATAACAAAGTATCACAAATTTCGTGGCTAAAAACAACAGATGTTTATTCTCTCATAGTTCCAGAGGCTAGAAGTCCAAAATCAAGGTGTTGGTAGGGCCACACTTCCTCTGAAATCTCTAGAGTAGCGGTCCCTAACCTTTTTGGCACCAGGGACTGGTTTCTTGCAAGACGATTTTTCCATGGATGGGAAGGGGGATGATTTCAGGGTGAAACTGTTCCACCTCACATCCGAGCATTAGTTGGATTTTCCTAAGGAGCATGCAACCTAGATCCCTCGCATGTGCAATTCACAATGGAGTTCGCACTCCTATGGGCATCTAATGCCGCCACTGATCGGACAGGAGGCAGAGCTCAGGCTGTAATGCTCGCTCGCCCACTGCAGCCCGGTTCCTGACAGGCCACAAACCAGTTCTGGTCCGAGGCCCAGGGACTGGGGACTCCCGCTCTAGAGGAGGATCTCTCCTTGCCACTTCTACCTTCTGGTAGTCCCAGGTGTGTCTGGACCCAACCTCTGCCTCCTTCATCACGTGCCATTCTCCCTTCTGTGTCTCTGTCTTCACATAGCCTTTCTTGTTATGAAGACACCAGGTGAAGGTACAGTGGCTCATGCCTGTAATCCTAGTGCTTTGGGAGGCTGAAGCAGGAGGATTGCTTGAGGCTAGAGTTCAAGGCCAGCCTGGGCAACACAGGGAGACCCCATCTCTAGAAAAAAAAAAGGCCAGGCACGGTGGCTCATGCCTGTAATCCCAGCACTTTGGGAGGCCGAGGCAAATGGATCACCTGAGGTCAGGAGTTCGAGACCAGCCTGGCCAACATGGTGAAACCCCGTCTCTACTAAAAATACAAAAAATTAGGTGGGTGTGGTGGCAGGACCCTGTAATCCCAGCTTCTCAGGAGGCTGAGGTAGGAGAATCTCTTGAACCCAGGAGGCGGAGGTTGCAGTGAGCCGAGATCACGCCGCTGCACTCCAGCTTGAGCAACAACAGCGAAACTCCATCTCAAAAAAAAAAAAAAATTAGCTGGGCATGGTGGCTCACGCCTGTAATCCCAGCTTCTCAGGAGGCTGAGGCAGAATTGCTTGAGCCCAGGAGGTGGACATTGCAGTGAGCTGAGATTGCACCACTGCACTCCATCCTGGGGGCAGAGTAAGACTCTGTCTCAAAAAAAAAAAAAAGCACCAGTCACTGGATTAGGACCTACCCTAATGACCTCACCTTAACTCAATTGCATCTGCAAAGGCCCTATTTCCAAGTAAGGTCACATTCACAACTACCATAGATTAGGATTTCAGTATTATCTTTTTGGAGACACAACTTAATTCATAACAGGGTCAGTGGTATAAGAACGGGACTGGAGGGTGGGTGGGACCCTTGTGGCTTGTGGCCAGGGCCTCAGTACCTAGGAAGCATCACAACAGCTGCATTCATGGGATTGTCCTCAGCAGTAAGACACTTCAGCTGTATTGACAAGCAGGGACATCACAGCTCTTCCAGACTGACCATCTGGTCCTCCAAAGAGGAAGCTGAGGGCCATGGAGGGAAGTTAGGCCCAAGTTCCAGGCTGCCTGGCTTACTGGCTGCAGCTCTCAGGCTGGTGGTGCTGAGTTCCCACACTCCGCTCCACAGCCTGCTCCTTCCTCTGGTAGTTGCTTCTTCCCTCCAGACACCCCGGAAGTGCTGGTCTGGGCTGGCTTTCATTTCTATTTCCAGCTGAGTTACAGCTTTCACGAGTCTTCCCTGAAACTCATTATCAGTGGTCCCAGTGAGAAATAAGCCCCCATGCTTTCATTCAGGGGACTCTGGGCCTTGGACAGAGTGTGAATGGGGTAGGGAGGCCTCTGGCCTCTATGGAGCCACTCTTTTGCCCACACAACCTCAGTGCCCCTTAATCCTACCAGAATAGGGACATTGGGGGGATTTTATCAGTTGATCACAGTAGACCTGGTTTCCAATCTGGCCTCTGCTTCTTCTGGCTGTGTGACCTTGGCCCAGATATGCAACCTCTTTAAACCCAAATTTCCTCATACCTAAAATGGGGATAGCAACATCTTTTATCTGACAGAATTGTTTTGAGAATGGAAAGAAAAAATGCATAAATGCATGTGCAGACCTGATTTGTAAATGCTCAGTAATTGCTAAGTCTTTTTATTTTATTTATTTATTTATTTATTTTGAGATGGAGTCTCACTTTGTTGCCCAGGCTAGAGTGTAGTGGTGCAATCTCGGCTCACTACAACCTCCGCCTCCTGGGTTCAAGCGATTCTCCTGCCTCAGCCTCCCGAGTAGCTAGGACCACAGACACATGCCACTATTTTTGTATTTTTGTATTTTTAGTAGCGATGGGGTTTCACCATGTTAGCCAGGCTGGTCTTGAACTCCTGACCTCAAGTGATCCACCCATCTCGGCCTCCCAAAGTGCTGGGATTACAGGTATGAGCCACCTTGCCCAGTCATTTTTTGTTTTTGTTTTTTTTTGCTTGTTTGTTTGTTTTTGAGACAGGGTCTGTCTCCCAGGCTGGAGTGCAATGACAATCACAGCTCACTGCAGCCTTGACCTCCCAGACTCAGGCAATCCTCCCACCTCAGCCTCCCAAGTAGCAAGGACTATAGACTTGTACCACCATGCCTAGCTAATTTTTGTATTTTTTTTTTGTAGCGATGGGGTTTCACCATGTTGTCCAGGCTGGCTTAGAACTCCTAGGCTCAAGCAATCCACACACCTCAGCCTCCCAAAGTTCTGGGATTACAGATGTGAGCCACTGCACCCTGCCAGTAATTGCTAACTCTTATCACCACCACCAGCACCATCACCATCATTATCACCACTGACAATCACACTCTTGGAGTTGCCAGCCCCTCTTACCTTGGTTTCTACCTTGGGCTCAAATCACCTCTCCTGCAGACACAGAGATTTGATATCTAATCCAGGGGTGGCTTCTGGGTCTGACTCCAGCTGCCCCTCTGTTATAATTCTATTGTCCCATCATGGAATTAACTATTGTGTCATGGTCTTCCCTAAACAAGATGCTATCCTAGTAGACGTAATGAGGAAAGAGGGGCTAGATGATGGTGTGATTGGGGGCAGGGAAGCACAGCTGGCTGGCTGAGCTGCTATATCTTCAGGAAGTGAACAATGGACCCACATTTTGTTGGAAGGAGGTATCTAGCCGGGTGCAGAGATCTACCATTTATTTATTTATTTATTTATTTATTTATTTATTTATTTATTTATTTTTGAGATGGAGTTTTGCTCTTTTTGCCCAGGCTGGAGTGCGATTGTACGATCTCTGCTCACTGCAACCTCCGCCTCCCAGGTTCAAGCAATTCCCCTGCCTCAGCCTCCCTAGTAGCTGGGATTACAGGCATGCACCACCATGCCTGGCTAATTTTGTATTTTTAGTAGAGATGGGGTTTTTCCATGTCAGTCAGGCTGGTCTTGAGCTCCCGACCTCAGGTGGTCCATCCCCCGCAGCCTCCCAGAGTGCTGGGATTACAGGCATGAGCCACTGCGCCCAGTCTTGTTTATTTATTTACTCATTTTGATAATAGCTTTATTGAGATATGTCATATATTATACGGCTCACCAACTTAAAGCATGCTATTCAATTCAATGGTTTTAAGTATATTCACATAGTTGTGCAACCATCACCACAGTTAATTTTAGAACATTTTTGTCACTCCCAAAAGAAACCTGTACCTTTAGCCATTGATATAGTTTGGCTCTGTCCCCACCAAAAATCTCATCTTGAATTGTAATCCCCATAATCCCTACATGTCAAGGGTGGGACCAGGTGGAGGTAATTGGATGATGAGGTGGTTTCCCCCATGCTGTTCTCATGATAGTGAGTGAGTCTCATGAGATCTGATGGTTTTATAAGCGTTTGGCATTTCCCCGGCTTACACTCATTCCATCCTGCTGCCCTGTGAAAAAGGTGCCTGCTTCTCCTTTTCCTTCTGCCGTGATTGTAAGTTTCCTGAGGCCGCCCCGGCCATGCAAAACTGTGAGTCAATTAAACCTCTTTCCTTTATAAATTATCTAGTCTTGGGTATTTCTTCATAGTAGTGTGAGAATGGACTAATATAACCATCAACCCCCAACCACCAACCAACACCCCTACCTCATCCCCAGACAACCACTAATCTGCTTTCTGTATCTATAGATTTGCCTATACTGGACACAACATAAATCGAATCATGCAATATGTGATTGTGTCCGGCTTCTTAGCATCATGGTTTTTTTTTGTTTGTTTTTTATGTGTGTGTTTTTGAGATGGGGTCTCGCTCCATCACACAGGCTGGAGTGCAGTGGTGCGATCTCAGCTCACTGCAACCTCCGCCTCCTGGGTTCAAGCGATTCTCCTCTCTCAGCCTCCTGAGTAGCTGGGATTACAGGCACGAGTCACCATGCCCAGCTAATTTTTTGTATTTTTAGTAGAGACAGGGTTTCACAATGTTGGCCAGGCTGGTCTCGAACTCCTGACCTCAGGTGATCAGCCCTCCTTGATCTCCCAAAGTGCTGGGGTTACAGACCTGAGCCACTGCGCCCTGCCCTTAGCATCATGTTTTACAGGTTTGCCCATGTTGTAGCATGTATCAGTACTTCATTTCTTTTTATCCTTCTTGTTGCCAAAAATATTCCATTGTGTATAATGTTCCATTGATATACCACTTTTATTGACCATTAATTAGTTAAGGACAATTGAGTTATTTCCACTTTTTGACTATTATAAATAATGCTGCAATGATCATTCATGCCCAAGTGTTTGTGTGGACACACATTTTCATTTCTCTTGGGTATGTACCTGGGTGAGGGGATGCTTGGTCATATGGCAACTCTATATATAAACTTTTGAAGAACTGCCAGACTGCTTTCCAAGTGGTTGCACCATTTTACTTTCCCACTAGTTATGTATGAGGGTTCCAGTTTCTCTACCTCCTAGTCAATATTTGCTATTCTCTGCCTGTTAAATTCTAGCCATCTAGTGTATGTGAAGTGATATCTTATTTTTTTATTTTAAAAAAATTTTGAGCCAGGCGCGGTGGTTCTCGCCTGTAATCCCAGCACTTTGGGAGGCTGACGCGGGTGGATCACAAGGTCAGGAGATCGAGACGAGCCAGGCCAACATGGTGAAAACCCGTCTCTTCTAAAAATACAAAAATTAGCTGGGCATGGTGGTGGGTGCCTGTAATCCCAGCTACTTGAGAGGCTGAGGCAGGAGAATCGCTGCAACCCGGGAGGCGGAGGTTGCAGTGAGCCAAGGTCATGCCACTGCACTCCAACTTGGTGACACAGCGAGACTCCATCTCAGAAAAAAAAAAAAAAAAAAATTGGGGGCCGGGTGCAGTGGCTCACGCCTGTAATCCCAGAACTTTGGGAGGCCAAGGTGGGCGGATCACTTGAGGTCAGGAGTTCAAGACCAGCCTGGCCAACATGGCGAAACCCCGTCTATACTAAAAATACAAAAATTAGCCAGGTGTGGTGATGCATGCCTGTAATCCCAGCTACTCGGGAGGCTGAGGCAGGAGAATCGCTTGAACCTGGGAGGTGGAAGTTGCAGTGAGCCAAGGTCATGCCACTGCACTCCAGCCTGGGCAACAGAGTGAGACTCCATCTCAAAAAAAAAAAAAGAAAATTGCTGGGGGCCTACGGTACAGGGTGAGCAGGGCCTGAATCGTGACCCTGACCTGGACCTGACCTGAATTGCAACCCTAACCCGACTGCAACCCTGACCACGACCCCAGTGGATTTTATAGAGAGGAAGTCAGACAGGGAGGGAGAAGAATAGGATTTGATGTCATCGTGTTGTTTGGCATCCAGGGGCCTTTATTTAGAGTTGGGTTAGAGCCTCCACCTGGAAAATGTGGATGCCAAGTTGGGCATTATGTGGTTAACCTGACTTATTTTGAGCAGTTGGCGCTCCCTATCTTGAGGAATGCAGATTCCAGCAGTGACCCAGGGCAGAGAGTGTGTGTCACTGATGAGAGTGGGAAAATGAAACTCTTTAGTTAGCCTTTCATCCAATCTGTTTGTCAGATGCTATCTACCCCAGGGACTATAATCGCTGGCACAATCCCAGTCCCTAAAGGAAAGTCACTGGCCCTTGTAGAAGAAATCAGAAACAGAAATGATGTGAAAGTGTTTAATGTCTCCAAGGAAGACAGAAACCACCTTCTGCAAGATATTGTGATGTGTGTGCAGAGCAGCAGGAAGCGAAGACATGTGTTCCTGCTTTTCTACCCGTGAAGGGGTGCCCAGTTCAAGAGGAGCCCGATGGAGCCCTGCCTGCCACGGCTGTATGCCTTTGGGGTTATGATAGCTTGTGGGCTTTTCTAGTGAAAATGTCAAATGTTTTCCATAAAATGTTTAAAAGATCAAATTAGCCTTAATGCTGGATTGTCTGTACAAGATTAATAATCCATTGTGGCTTATGTATGCTTAAAGATTTCTGTTTATTTCCTCTTGCAGTCGTGCACATGATTTGGGTAAATTATGAGATGAGAAATGGTTTTCAGAGTATTAGATGGAATTTGCCCCCATCGAAGTTTATAAATGTGTTCACAGGGAGGGAGGAATAATAGCTCATTGCCTAACCAATTTTGCAGGTCATGAAAATGAAATCCCTTTCCAGGTGCAGCTTCAGTCCCATGCAACTTAAAATAATAACAGTTATTTGATTTTTTAGAAAACTATTCCAAAAGAAAACCATTTTAGGTAATCTCCCCCAACTCTTACTATTTGTTTGCTTATTGCTTCATAAATATAAAAATAAATCTAAAGGTTATAGACAAAAGAAAAAAATTTTTTAGTCTGGAAGCAGTGGCTCATGCTTGTAATCCCAGCACTTTGGGAGGTCGAGGCCAGCAGATCACTTGAGGCCAGGAGTTCAAGACTAGCCTGGCCAATGTGGCCAAACCCCATCCCTATTAAAAATACAAAAAATTGCTTTGGGCCCTAGGTTTGTGTGGCCCGTGTCTCAGCCCACCCAAGGTCCCCTCGGATCGCTCAGAGAGGCACTCGGACCTGGAGCAGTGAGCAGAATGAATACCTTCTAAGACCAGAGTGGCAGCTCCAGTAATAGAGAACCCCTTTTGAGGCCAGGCACGGTGGCTCACACCTGTAATCCCAACACTTTGGGAGCCCGGGGTGGGCGGATCACGAGGTCAGGAGATCGAGACCCTCCTGGCTAACACGGTGAAACCCCGTCTCTACTAAAAATACGAAAAATTAGCTGGGCGTGGTTGCAGGCGCCTGTAGTCTCAGCTACTCAGGAGGCTGAGGCTGGAGAATGGCCTGAACCCAGGAGGCGGAGCTTGCAGTGAGTCAGGATCGCGCCACTGCACTCCAGCCTGGGCAACAGAGCGAGACTCTGTCTCAAAAATAAATAAATAAATAAATAAATAGAACCCCTTTTGAGGTGTAGTGATGCATGGAGGGACTTGGAGCTTGCTATTGGTGGAGTTCTCCGGGCTGAACAGCAAATTAAAGATAACTTGAGAGAGGTCAAAGCTCAGATTCACAGTTGCATAAGCTGTCACCTGGAATGTCTTAGAAGTTGTGAGGTGTGGCTATATGAACAGGTAGACCTCATCTATCAGCTTAAAGAGGAGACACTTCAACAGCAGGCTCAGTAGCTCTAGTGGTTATTGGGCCAGTTCAATTTTCTTACTCATCAACTGGACTGTACCCAAAACAAAGATCTAGCCAATCAAGTCTGCGTGCCTGAAGAGACTGGGCAGTTTGACCCTTAAGCCTAAAGATTCAACTATCTCGCTCTTTGAAGCTGACACAAGTGCTCTGCGCCAGACCATCACCACATTTGGGTCTCTCAAAATCATTCAGACTCCTGAGCACTTCATGGCTCATGCTAGTTCATCAAATATTGGGCCCTTCCTGGACAAGAGAAGCTATAACCCAATGCCAGAGCAGAAGTCAGCATCCAGTATTGTAGCTGTCCCTCTCAGTGAATGGCTGCTTGGGAGCCAACCTGCCAGTGGTCATCAGGCTCCTTACATACCCAGCACCAACCCCCAGGACTGGCTCACCCAAAAGCAGACCTTGGAGAATAGCCAGACTTCTTTCAGAGCCTGCAATTTCTTCAGTAATGTCTGGGGAAACCTAAAGGGCTTAGAAAACTGGCTCCTCAAGAGTCAGCAACAGGAAATTCCTGAAAAACCAAGTTATCAAAACTGTAACAGCCATTCCACTACTAGTCATTTCTCCATTGAAATGGAAAAGTTTGAAGATCTAAAGCTTCCTGATCAAGATGAGATGGACCTATCAGATTGGCTGGTGACTCCCCAGGAATCCCATAAGCTGAGGAAGCCTGAGAATGGCAGTTGTGAAACCAGTGAGAAGTTTAAGCTCTTATTCCAGTCCTATAATGTGAATGATTGGCTTGTCAAGACTTACTCCTGTACCAACTGTCAGGGAAACCAGCCCCAAACTGTGGGGATTGAAAACCTGGGCAATCTGAAGTGTCTGAATGACCACTTGGAGGCCAAGAAACCATTGTTCACCCTCAGCATGGTTACAGAGGATTGGCTTGTCCAGAACCATCAGGACCCATGTAAGGCAGAAGAGGTGTGCAGAGCCAATGAGCCCTGTACAAGCTCTGCAGAGTGTGTGTGTGATGAGAGCTGTGAGAAGGAGGCTCTGTATAAGTGGCTTCTGAAGAAAGAAGGAAAGGATAAAAATGGGATGCCCGTGGAACCCAAACCTGAGCCTGAGAAGCATAAAGATTCCCTGAATATGTGGCTCTGTCCTTCTAGAAAAGAATTAATAGAACAAACTAAGCACCAAAGGCAGTGGTTCCTTCTAGAATTGCTGATTCCTTCCAAGTCATAAAGAACAGCCCCTTGTTGGAGTGGCTTATCAGGCCCCTATACAAAGAAGGAAGTCCCAAGGAAGGGCCTAGCACTGAAGACAGAACTGGCAAACAAAAGCTTAAAAGGCCCATATGAGCACTTCCTGGTGTCCCTTTAACACAGCTGACTGGGTCCTGCCAGGAGAGAAGATGGGCAATCTCAGCCAGTTATCCTCTGGAGAAGACAAGTGGCTGCTTTGGAAGAAGACCCAGGAAGTATTACTTAATTAACCTCTACAGGAGAAACATAACTTCCCCCGAGACCATTACCACCTCCCTGCAGTTTGTGATCTCTTTGCCTGTATGTAGCTTAAAGTTGATAAAGATAAGTGGTTATATCAAACTCCTCTACAGATGTGAAGGATTGGACAAGAGTTGAGCAGCCTTTCTGCCTATTATCACACATCATGAGCTAAGTGACCGCGGCTTGCCAAATCATTGTGTTTCTGGGTCTGACCAGTTAGCTTAGTTCTTCTCCTGCCTAATTTTGAACTAGTAAAGCAAAATGAGTCATCAGATTATGAGTTATTGTTTAAAAGAAAAATGCTGTTTATTGATGCTGAGGTGATTCAGTTCCTTCCTCCTTACAGAAGTATTAATTCACCCACACACTAGAAATGCAGCATCTTTGTGGATATGTCTTTTTCACAAGCCTCCAAGTCTCCTTAGATTGGGTTGTTACTAAAAGTACATTAAAACACTCTAGTTTTAAAAATGAAATATTTCTCTAATCAAAGTGTATTGATGTATTCTAAAGATAGTAAATTCCCTAACATTTAATTGCCCTATAGATGCTTCTCTTGCTGTGGGTTTTCTTCTGTTAGTGGTCTGAAATAATGATTTTCCTGTTCTATTAATATATAGTGTATTTTGCACAAAAAATTAACCTGCCCAATGGTGGTTACCAAAATATATATTAATAATCTTGGCAATTTTTGACATTAATTACCAAACATTTTAGCCTACATGTTAGTTCTACATTATTACTTTTCACTTGAAAGGAACTCAGCTACTACAAATTTTGTCTTTCTTTCTTTCCATAAATGTTATTTAAAAATGCAGTGAGCTCTTTTAAAAGGGCTCGGTATTATTTCAACACTATTTTTGAGGTAGTTCTAACCTTTTAAAATATTCTACAGCCCAGCCAGGTGTGGTGGCTCACCCCTGTAATTCCAGCACTTTGGGAGGCCGAGGCAGGTGGATCACGAGGTCAAAAGTTCAAGACCAGCCTGGCCAAGATGGCGAAACCCCATCTCTACTAAAAATACAAAAATTAGCTGGGTGCAGTGGCAGGTGCCTGTAATCCCAGCCACTCCGGAGGCTGAGGCAGGAGAATCGCTTGAACCCTGGGGGCGGAGGTTGCAGTGAGCCAAGATTGCGCCACTGCACTCCAGCCTGGGTGACAGAGTGAGACTCTGTCTCAAAAAAAAAAAAAAAAAATTCAGACCCACAGAGTTTAAAAGAACCCCAATACTGACTAAGCAAATAGGCAAAAGACCTATTGGAAATAGTACTTGAACGATTCACTATCATAGGGATTATTGGTGCATCCTGTGTAAATGGAAGCTGAGCTTGACACCCGGTGCTTTAAACTAGGGATAAAGTCGTCCTCTCACTGCAAGCACAGCATACCTGTATCTCCAAAAGTGATGTTCTAGTGAACAGGCCGTTTTCAACACTTGTGCCTTGGGGTGTTCATTGAAGCTTTATGAAAACTACTGATGTTTTCTCAATCTCCTTAAAGTTATGTCCATGCTTTAAAATGTCTCTGTAGGAGAGAAGTGGAGTTTATGTTTTTAAATTCTCTAAGATATCTTTACTGCTTTCCAGACTTTGAAACTATTAAGCTTCTTAACTGCCTGTTATTGAAAATACTTCTACGGAAACTTCATGGTCCCACAATGTCATTGCCATACAGCTTCACTAGAGTTCTTTGAACCACAGCTGAAAAGAGCTTTGTCTTATTTTTTAATTCCCTCCCCAGATATCATTTAGAAGTATCATAATAAAGGTGGTGAGCAAAAACAACGTAAAGAGCCTTTCCAGTTATGTTAAGTTGCAGCTAACTCTCTACTTTCTTTTCTGAGGCCAAACACACTGTACTTTACATTGTCAAGATATAATTTACATTAATCACTATGTCTATGAGTATGTAAAACATCTTTTGCATTGATGAATTTTGTACATGCCACCATTAAAAGCATAACAGCCATTAAAAAAAGATACAAAAAATTAGCCAGGCGTGGTGGTGCATGTCTGTAATCCCAGCTACTCAGGAGGCTGAGGCAGGAGAATCACTTGAACCCAGGAGGCGGAGGTGGCAGTGAGCCGAAATCATGCCATTGTACTCCAGCAGGGCAGTGACAGAGCGAGACTCCGTCTTAAAAAAAAATAAAAAGAAAAAAGAAAAGAAAAAATTTCTTTTAGAGAGGGGGTCTTACCATGTTGCCCAGGCCGGAGCAAAGTGGGTATTCACAGATGTAATCATAGTGCACTACAGCCTCAAACTCCTGGATTCAAGGATCCTTCCACCCCAGCCTCCCAAGTAGCTGGAATCATAGGTGCTTACTACTACACCCTGCTCATTTTTTAATTGGGTTATCTTTTTATTATTGTAATAATTTATTATTTTATTATAAGAGTTCTGTATTCTAGATACGTTACTTATCAGATATATTAGTTTTAAATTTTTTCTTCTTCTTCTTCTTCTTTTTTTTTTTTTTTTTTTTTTTTTGAGACAGAGTCTTGCTCTGTCACCCAGGCTGGATTGCAGTGCATGATCTTGGCTCACTGCAGCATCTGCCTCCTGAGATTTTCTGAGTGATTCTCCTGCCTCAGCCTCCCGAGTAGCTAGGACTACAGACATGAACCACCATGCCTGGTTAATTTTTGTATTTTTAGTAGAGATGGGCTTTCACCCTGTTGGCCAGGCTCGTCTCAAACACCTGGCCTCAAGTGATCCACCTGCCTCAGCCTCTCAAAGTGCTGGGATTACAGGTGTGAGCCACTGCTCCCGGCAATCTTTATTTATTTTTTTGAGACAGAATCTTGCTGTCACCCCAGCTGGAGTTGCAGTGGCATGATCACGGCTTACTGCAGCCTCAAACTCCTGAGCTCAAGTGATCCTCCCATCTCAGCCTGCTGAGTAACTTGGGCCACAGGCACGCACCACCATGCCTAGCTAATTTTTTATTTTTTGTAGAGACGGGGTCTCACTACTTTGGGTTATCTTTTTGCTGTTTTCATGGTGTCCTGTGAAACACAAAAGTTTTTAATTTTGGTGAAATCCAATTCATCTACCTTTTGTTTTGTTTTGTTTTGTTTTTTGAGTTAGCGTTTATCTCTTGTTGCCCAGGCTGGAGTGCAGTGGCGGGATCTTGGCTCACCGCAAACTCTGCCCCCTGGGTTCAAGTGATTCTTCTGCCTCAGCCTCCCAAGTAGCTGGGATTACAGGCATGCACCACCACGCCTGGCTAATTTTGTATTTTTAGTAGAGATGGGGTTTCTCCATGTTAATCAGGCTGGTCTCGAACTCCCAACCTCAGGTGATCCGCCTGCCTCTGCCTCCCAAAATGCTGGGATTACAGGAGTGAGCCACTGCCCCCAGCCTACTTTTTCTTTTGTTATTTGTCCTTTTGGTACCATATCTAAGAAAATCTTGCCTGAGCAAGTCACAAAGATTTATGCCCATGTCTTTTTCTAAGAGTGTAAATAGTTCTAGCTCTTATATTTAGGTATTTGATCCATTTCGAGTTCTTTTTTATATGGTGTGAGATAGGAATTCACATTTATTCTTTTCCATGTACATATTCAGTTGTCCCAGCACCATTTGTCGGAAAGACTATTCTTTTTCACATTAAATTATTTTGGCACCCTTGTTGAAAATAAAAATCAACTGTGACAGGGCCAGGCATGTTGGCTTATGCCTGTAACCCCAGCACTTTGAGAGGCCAAGGTGGCAGATCACTTGAGGTCAGGAGTTTGAGACCAGCCTGACCAACATGGTGAAACCCCATCTCTACTAAAAATACAAAAATTAGCCTGATGTGGTGGCACACGTCTGTATTCCCAGCTACTCGGGAGGCTGAGCCAGGAGAATCACTTGAACCTGGGAGGCGGAGTTAGCAGTGAGGCAAGATCACATCACTGCACTCCAGCCTGGGCAACAGAGTGAGACTCCCGCTTAAAAAAAAGAAAAAAAATCAACTGACTGTAAATGTGAGAGTTTATTTCTGGATTCTGAATTCTTTTCCACTAATCTATATGTCTTTTTTTTTTTTTTTTTTTTTGACAGAATCTCTGTTGCCCAGGCTGGAGTGCAGGGGCACTGTGTCAGATCACTGCAACCTCTGTCTCCTGGGTTCAAGCAATTCTCCTGCCTCAGCCTCCTGAATAGCTGGGATTACAGATGTGTGCCACCATGCAAGGCTAATTTTTGTGCTTTTGGTAGAGATGGGGTTTCACCATGTTGCTCAGGCTGGTCTTGAACTCCTGACCTCGTGTGATCTGCCTACCTCGGCCTCCTGAAGTGCTGGGATTACAGAAGTGGGCCACCATGGCCGGTCTTTTTTTTTTTTTTTGAGACAGGGTCACTCTATCACCTCGAATTTGAATTCCTGGGCTCAGATGCTTCTTCCACCTCAGCATCCCGAGTAGCTAGGACCACAGATGTGCACCACTACACTCAGCTAAATTTTGTATCTTTTGTAGAGAAGAGGTTTTACCATGTTACCCAGGCTAATCTGGAACTCCTGGCCTCAAGTGATCTGCCCACCTCGGCCTCCCAAAGTACTGGAATTACAGGCGTGAACCACTGTACCTGGCCAAGACTCACTTTTAACTGCATATGCTTTTGCACTTTTGTACCTTTAAATTTTTATTTTTAGTTTTATTTATTTATTTATTTATTTATTTATTTATTTTGAGACAGAGCCTGTCGCTCAGGCTGGAGTGCAGTGACAGGATCTCAGCTCACTGCAACCTCTGCCTCCTGGGTTCAAGTGCTTATCCTGCCTCAGCCTCCCAAGTAGCTGGGATTACAGGTGTGTCTAGGCCGGGCATGGTGGCTCACACCTGTAATCCCAGCACTTTGGGAGGCTGAGGCAAATGGATCACCTGAGGTCAGGAGTTTAAGACCAGCCTGACCAATACAGTGAAAGCCTGTAACTACTAACAATACAAAAATTACACCTGGGCATGGTAGGTCATGCCTGTAATCCAAGAACTTTGGGAGGCAGAGGCAGGTGGATCACCTGAGGTCGGGAGTTTGAGACAAGCCTGACCAACATGGAGAAACCCCATCTCTACTAAAAATACAAAAATTAGCCAGGGGTGGTGGCATGTACCTGTAATCCCATCTACTCTGGAGGCTGAGGCAGGAGAATTGCTTGAACCCAGGAGGCAGAGGTTGTGGTGAGCCAAGATCACACCATTGCACTCCAGCCTGGCAACAAGAACAAAATTCCATCTCAAAAAAAAAAAAAAAAATTACCCGGGCATGGTGGCAGTCACCTGTAGTCCTCCCAGCTACTCGGGAGGCTGAGACAGGAGAGTCACTTGAACCTGGAATCGTCCCACTACATTCCAGCCTGCGTAACAGAGCGAGACTCTGTCTCAAAAAAAAAAAAAAAAAAAAAAAAAGTCTACAGGCTTGGTGAGGTGGCTCATCCCTGTAATGCCAGCACTTTGGAAAGCCGAGGCAGGATTATTTGAGCCCATGAGTTCGAGACCAGCCTGGGCAACATGGTGAGATTTTTGTCTCTACCAAAAAAAAAAAAAAATCCACAAGTTATCTGATACTTCTCCCTTCAAAAGGGGAAGCCTAATTCCACTCCCAAATATAGAACTAAGTATGTCCTAAACAGCACTGTGGCTTCTTCTTTGATCTCTTTCTTGGATCACTTGCTTTGGTGAAAGTCGTCTGCCCTGCCATAAAGACACTCAAGCAGCCCCATGAAGAGGTCCAAGTGGTGGAGCTACAAGGCCTCCTATCAACAATCGGCAATATCTTGCCAGGTCCATGAACCAGCCACCTTGGCAGTGAACCCCCAGCCCTAGTCAAGCCTCCAGATGATTGCATCCCTGGATGACATCCTGATTGCACTTTCATAAGAAACCCTGAGACAGAACTACCCAGGTAAGCCACTCCCAAATTCCTGAATCTCAGAAACTATAAGATAATAAACATTATATTTTAAATTTTTTATTAAAATGAACGTGTATTGCTTGTATAATCAAAACAGAGAAAAAAGGGAATAAGAGAAAAATGGAAATAAATTCAGTCTTAGGTTCATTAACACAGCTGTGTGATCCCAAGATGGGGGTATCTTGGTCTCTCAGCAGTTTGAGTGAAGAATCCTTGAGAGCTTTGAAGGGCCACAGGTGTACTTCGAGTCATGATCAAAAAGCTGATGCTGGGCCAGACACAGTGGCTCACGCCTGTAATCCCAGCACTTTGGGAGGCTGAGGCAGGTGGATGACCTGAGGTCAGGACTTCAAGACCAGCCTGACCAACATGGAGAAACCCTGTCTCTACTAAAAATACAAAATTAGCCTGGCATGGTGGCACATGCCTGTAGTCCTATCTACTCGGGAGGCTGAGGCAGGAGAATTGCCTGAACCTGGGAGGCTGAGATTGCAGTGAGCTGAGATTGTGCCATTACACTCTAGCCTTGGCAACAAGAGCAAACTTCCGTCTGAAAAAAAAAAAAAAAAAAAGCTGATGCTGGCTGGATGTGGTGGCTCACGTCTGTAATCCCAGCACTTTGGAAGGCTGAAGCAGGTGAGTCTCTTGAGGTCAGGAGTTCAAGACCAGCCTGACCAACATGGTGAAACCCCATCTCTACTAAAAATACAAAAATTAGCCAGGCATGGTGGCGCACACCTGTAATCCCAGCTACTTGGGAGGCTGAGACAGGAGAATCGCTTGAACCTGGGAGGCAGAGGTTTCAGTGAGCTGAAATTGCACCACTGCACTCCAGCCTGGGCAATAGAGAGAGACTCTGTCTCAAAAAATAGAAACCAAAGGCTGATGTTTCCTTGGGCCATGTTAGTGGAAATGCAGTGCCTGCAAGAGAGGTGACCCACATCAGGCTAGATCTGGGCCTTGAACACTGTCATTGAGATGGCATTCAGGGGCCCAAAGGGGCTTCTTCCTTCATCTTGGGCTGATTCCCTCATAGTGAGAGGTGAACCCGGCTGGGCTTCTGGGTTGGGTGGGGACTTGGAGAACTTTTCTGTCTAGCTAAAGGATTGTAAACACACCAATCAGCACTCTGTGTCTAGCTAAAAGTTTGTAAATGCACCAATCAGCACTCTGTAAAAATGCACCAATCAGCGCTCTGTCTAGCTAAAGGTTTGTAAATGCAACAATCAGCATTCTGTAAAAACGGACCAATCAGCACTCTGTAAAATGGACCAATCAGCAGGATGTGGGCGGGGCCAAATAAGGGAATAAAAGCTGGCCACCTGAGCCAGCAGTGGTAACCTGCTCGGGTCCCCTTCCACATCATGGAAGCTTTGTTCTTTTGCTCTTAGCAATAAATCTTGCTGCTGCTCACTCTTTGGGTCTGCACTACCTTTCTGAGCTGTAACACTCACTGTGAAGGTCTGCAGCTTCCCTCCTAAAGCCAGCGAGACCACAAACCCACTGGGAGGAACAAACAACTCCAGATATGCCAGCTTTAAGAGCTGTAACACTCACTGGGAAGGTCTGCAGCTTCACTCCTGAAGTCAGCAAGACCACGAACCCATTGAGAGGAATGAACAACTCCGGACGTGCTACCTTTAAGAGCTGTAACACTCACTGCGAGGGTCCGTGTCTTCACTCCTGAAGTCAGCAAGATCATGAACCCACCAGAAGGAAGAAACTCCGGACATATCTGAACATCTGAAGGAACAAACTCTGGACACACCATCTTTAAGAACTGTAACACTCACCGTGAGGGTCTGCGGCTTCATTCTTGAAGTCAGTGAGACCAAGAACCCACCAGAAGGAACCAATTCCAGACACATTTTGTCTACCCAGATGGGACTATCGCCTATCGCCAAGTGGTGAGTACCATCAGACCCCTTTCGCTTGCTATTCTGTCCTATTTTTCCTTAGAATTTGGGGGCTAAATACCGGGCACCTGTCAGCCAGTTAAAAGCGACTAGCGTGGCCGCCGGACTAAAGACAAGAGTATCAGGCTTTCTGGGAAAGGGCTCTCTGACAACACCCGACTCTTCAGAGTTGGGAGCGTTGGTTTGCCTGGAACCAGCTTCCGCTTTTCCTGTACTTCTGGACTGAGCCAAGGGTCAACACAGAGGAAAGCCATTCAGCTCCCAGGTCCCGACAAGTTGGTTGACCCTGCGGCCATGAGTGGAACTCTGAAAGTCATGTCGCCCAAGCGAGACTCGCCCGTCTATCCTATCTATCCTGACCCTTGCCTCCTGGGTCCTAATGCCTGTCAGACAAACTTCCTCTCGCCTCTCTTCTCTGAGGCTAGTCCTGCTTCTAAAAACCACTCCCTATCTCTGGTGCTTTTCTAGTTTCTCCCATAAGAATGATTTCTAGTATAAACTTCAGGACTCATGAGAGTCCCTTCTGTAGGCACCCAGTCTCACCAATCAGAAAGACATAATTTTTGCCCAAAGCCCCATTGTAGGGGGGAATATCTGGAATTCTAGGATCCCTCCTCAGACAAACAGGACTAACAAAAGCTATTTCTGAAGCTAGGATATGGGGAGCCTTAGAAAGCTAGGATATCCTTAGAAGCTAGGATATGGGGAGCCTTTATCCTTCCTATTCATATAAGTGAGGACAAAAGGCATCACACTTCCAACTCTGGAGATCCCTTCCCTCCCTCAGAGTATGGCCCTCCACTTCATTTTTGGGGCATAGCATCTTTATAGAACAGGGGTAAAGTCCCAATACTAACAGGAGAATGCTTAGGATTCTAACAGGTTATCGAGAATGCGTCAGTAAGGGCCACTAAATCCGATTTTTCTTGGTCCTCTTTGTGGTCTAGGAGGACAGGCAACGGTGCAGGTTTTCAAGAATGCATTGGTAAGGGCCACTAAATCCGACCTTCCTCAGTCCTCCTTGTGGTCTAGGAGGAAAACTAGTGTTTCTGCTACTGCATTGGTGAGTGCAACTATTCTGATCAGCAGGGTCCAAGGACCATTGCGGGTTCTTGGGCAAGAGGTGTTTCTGCTGCTGTGTCAGTGAGTGCAACTATTCCGATCAGCAGTGTCCAGGGACCACTGCAGATTCTTGGGCAGGGGGAGAAACAAACAAACCAAAACCATGGGCAGTTTTGTCTTTCAGATGGGAAACACTCAGGCATCAACAGGCTCACCCTTGAAATGCATCCTCAGTCATTAGGACCAATTTGACCTGCAAACCCTGAAAAAGAGGCAGCTCATTTTTGTCTGCACTATGGCGTGGCCCCAGTATTCTCTCTGATGGGGAAAAATGGCCCCCTGAGGGAAGTATAAATTACAATACTATCCTGCAGCTTGACCTTTTCTGTAAGAGAGAAGGCAAATGGATTGAAATACCTTATGTCCAAGCTTTCTTTTCATTGAAGGAGAATAGACAACTATGCAAAGCTTGCAATTTACATCCCACAGGAGGACCTTTCAGCATACCCTCAAATCCTAGCCTCCCTATAGCTCCCCTTCCTATTAATGATAAGCCTCCTCTAATCTCCCCTGCCCAGAAGGAAATAAGCAAAGAAATCTCCAAAGGACCACAAAAACCCCCAGGCTATCGGTTATGTCCTCTTCAAGCTGTAGGGGGAGGGGAATTTGGCCCAACCCGGGTACATGTCCACTTCTCCCTCTCTGATTTAAAGCAGATCAAGGCAGACCTGGGGAAGTTTTCAGATGATCCTGATAAGTACATAGATGTCCTATAGGGTCTAGGGCAAACCTTCGATCTCACTTGGAGAGATGTCATGCTATTGTTAGAGGAAACCCTGGCCTTTAATGAAAAGAATGCAGCTTTAGCTGAGTTTGGAGGTACCTGGTATCTTAGACAAGTAAATGATAGAATGACAGCTAAAGAAATGGACAAATTCCCTACCAGTCAGCAAGCCGTCCCCAGTATGATCCCCACTAGGACCTTGACTCAGATCATGGGGACTGGAGTTGTAAACATCTGTTGACCTGTGTTCTAGAAGGACTAAGGAGAATTAGGAAAAAGCCCATGAATTATTCAGTGATGTCCACCATAACTCAAGGAAAGGAAGAAAATCTGTCTGCCTTCCTTGAGTGGCTACGGGAGGCCTTAAGAAAATATACTCCCCTGTCACCCAACTCACTAGAGGGTCAATTGATTCTAAAAGATAAGTTTATTACCCAATCAGCCACAGATATCAGGAGAAAGCTCCAACAGTGAGCCCTGGGCCCTGAACAAAATCTGGAGGCATTATTAAACTTAGTAACCTCAGCGTTCTATAATAGGGACCAAGAGGAATAGGCCCAAAAGGAAAAGCAAGATCAGAGAAAGGCCACAGCCTTAGTCATGGCCCTCAGACAAACAAACCTTGTTGGTTCAGAAAGGACAGAAAATGGAGCAGGCCAATCACCCAGTAGGGCTTGTTATCAGTATGGTTTACAAGGGCACTTAAAAAAGATTGTCCAGTGAGAAACAAGCCACCCCCTCATCCATGTCCACTGGCAATCACTGGAAGGCAAAAGGCCCTAGAGTGCAATGGTTCTCTGGGCCAGAAGCCCCCAACTAGATGATCCAACAACAGGACTGAGGGTGCCCAGGGCAAGCACCAGCTCATGTCATTACCCTCACTGAGCCCTGGGTATGTTTAATCATTGAGGGCCAGGAAATTGACTTCCTCTTGGACACTGGCATGGTCTTCTCAGTTTAATCTCCTGTCCCAGATGACTGTCCTCAAGGTCCATTACCATCCAAGGAATCCTGGGACAACCTGTAATCAGGTATTTCTCCCACCTCCTTGCTTGCAACTGGGAGACTTTGTTCTTTTCACATCCCTTTCTTGTTATGCCTGAAATTCCCACACTCACCCTTATTAGGGAGGGAAATATTAGCCAAAGCTAGAGCTATTATCTACATGAATATGGGGAACAAGTTACCCATTTGTTGTCCCCTACTTGAGGAAGGAATCAACCCTGAAATGTGGGTATTGGAAGGACAATTTGGAAGGGCAAAAAATGCCTGCCCAGTCCAAATCAGGCTAAAAGTCCCCACCACTTTTCCTTATCAAAGGCAATATCCCTTAAGGCCTGAAGCTCATAAAGGATTACAGGATATTGTTAAACATTTAAAAGCTCAAGGCTTAGTAAGGAAATGCAGCAGTCCCTGCAACACCCCAATTCTAGGAGTACAAAAACTGAACAGTCAGTGGAGACTAGCGCGAGATCTTAGACTCATCAATGAGGCAATAATTCTTCTATATCCAGTTGTACCCAACCCCTATACCCTGCTCTCTCAAATACCAGAGGAAGCAGAATTGTTCACTGTTCTGGACCTCAAGGATGCCTTCTTCTATATTCCCCTGCACTCTGACTCCCTGCTTCTCTTTGCCTTTGAGGATCCCACAGACCACACATCCCAACTTACATGGACTGTCTTGCCCCAAGGGTTTAGGGATAGCCCTCACTTGTTTGGTCAGGCACTGGCCCAAGATCTAGGCCACTTCTCAAGTCCAGGCACTCTGGTCCTTCAGTATGTGGATGATTTACTTTTGGCTACCAGTTCAGAAGCCTCATGCCAGCAGGCTACTCTAGACCTCTTGAACTTTCTAGCTAATCAACGGTACAAGGCATCTAGGTCGAAGGCCCAGCCTTGCCTATAGCAGGATAAATATCTAGGCCTAATCTTAGCCAGAGGGACCAGGGCCCTTAGCAAGGAATGAATACAGCCTATACTGGCTGATCCTCAGCCTAAGACATTAAAACAGTTGCGGGGGTTCCTTGGAATCACTGGCTTTTGCCGACTATGGATCCCCAGATACAGCAAGATAGCCAGGCCCCTCTATACTCTAATCAAGGAGACCCAGAGGGCAAATACTCATCTAGAAGAATGGGAACCAGGGGCAGAAACAGCCTTCAAAATCTTAAAGCAGGCCCTAGTACAAGCTCCAGGTTTAAGCCTTCCCACAGGACAAAACTTCTCTTTATACATCACAGAGAGAGCAGGGATAGCTCTTGGAGTCCTTACTCAGACTTGTGGGACAACCCACAACCAGTGGCATACTTAAATAAGGAAATTGATGTAGTAGCAAAAGGCTGGCCTCACTGTTTAAGGGTAGTTGCGGTGGTGGCTGTCTTAGTGTCAGAGGCTATCAAAATAATACAAGGAAAGGATCTCACAGTCTGGACTACTCATGATGTAGATGGCATACTAGGTGCCAAAGGAAGTTTATGGTTATCAGACAACTGCCTACTTAGATACCAGGCACTACTCCTTGAGGGACTGGTGCTTCAAATACATACATGCGTGGCCCTCAACCCTGCCACTTTTCTCCCAGAGGATGGGGAACCAATCAAGCATGACTGCCAACAAATTATAGTCCAGACTTATGCCGCCCGAGCTGATCTCTTAGAAGTCCCCTTAGCTAATCCTGACCTTAACCTATATACCAATGGAAGTTCATTTGTGGAGAATGGGATACGAAGGGCAGGTTATGCCATAGTTAGTGATGTAACTGTACTTGAAAGTAAGCCTCTTCCCCCAGGGACCAGTGCCCAGTTAGCAGAACTAGTGGCACTTACCCGAGCCTTAGAACGGGGAAAGGGAAAAAGAATAAATGTGTATACAGATAGCAAGTATGCTTATCTAATACTACATGCCCATGCTGCAATATGGAAAGAAAGGGAGTTCCTAACCTCTGGGGGAACCCCCAGTAAATACCACAAGGAAATTATGGAGTTATTGCATGCAGTGCAAAAACACTAGGAGGTGGCAGTCTTACACTGCCAAAACCATCAGAAAGGTGAAGGAGAAAAGGCAGAAGGAAACTGTCAGGCAGATGCTGAGGCAAAAATTGCTGCCAGGTGGAACCTCCCATTAGAAATACCTAGGGAAGGACCCTTGGTATGGAACAACCCCCTCCAGGAGATTAAGCCCCAGTATTCCCCGACTGAAACAGAATGGGGACTTTCACAGAGGCATAGTTTTCTCCCCCCAGGGTGGTTAACGACAGAAGAAGGAAAGATACTTATACCTGAAGCTAGCCAGTGGAAAATACTTAAAACCCTCCACCAAATTTTTCATATGGGTATTGAAAACACTCATCAAATGGCTGAATCCCTATTTATAGGGCCAAGTCTCCTCCGGACCATCCTACAGGTAGTCAAAGCCTGTGAGGTGTGCCAAAGGAATAATCCCTTTGTCCATCATAAGGCCCCTTTGGGGGAACAAAGAATAGGTCACTATCTTGGAGAGGACTGGCAGTTAGACTTCACCCATATGCCTAAGTCAAAGGGATTTCGATACTTGCTTGTCTGTGTTGATACCTTTACAAATTGGATAGAAGCTTTCCCCTGCAAGACAGAGAAGGCTCAGGAAGTGATTAAAGTCCTAATTCATGAAATAATTCCTAGACTTGGGCTTCCCCAAAGCTTACAAAGTGACAATGGTCTGGCCTTTAAAGCCATGATAACTCAGGGAATTCCAGGGCGCTAGGGATACAATATCACCTTCACTGCACCTGGAGGCCACAATTCTCAGGGAAGGTCTAGAAGGCAAATGAAACACTCAAGAGGCACTTAAGGAAACTAACACAAGAAACTCATCTGCCATGGCCTACTCTGTTGCCCATGGCCTTGTTGAGAATCCGAAATTCTCCTCACAAAATGGGGTTCAGTCCATATGAAATGCTGTAGGGACGACCTTTTCTCACAAATGACCTCCTACTTGATCAGGAAACGGCCAACTTGGTCAAAGATATAACTTCTTTGGCAAAATATCAACAAAACCTTAAAAACCTACCTGAAGGATGTCACAGAGAAAAGGGAACAGAGTTGTTTCAACCTGGAGATCCAGTGTTGGTCAAATCTCTCCTCTCTACCTCCCCATCTATGGACTCTTTGTGGGAAGGACCATACTCAATAATCCTCTCTACCCCCACTGCAGTTAAGGTGGCAGGAGTGGAATCTTGGATTCACCACACCCGAGTTAAATTTTGGACATCCCCTGAGGAACCTGCGGGACCATCAGCTCAGGAGTCCCAAGATCACCCAGACCAGCCTTGATACCTGTGAACCATTGGAGGACTTGCATCTCCTATTTTGGAAGGAATCATCCCAGACTAAAAAGGCTCCTACCACTGATCCTGAAGAAAAACCCCTTCCTCCTTAAAAAAGATAAGTGAAAACCTACATAATCTTTAACACCTCTCCTTGCCCCTTTAATGGAAACCTTTTACTATTTCATCATGTTATTAAGCAGCATACTAACCATACTCTTTGCAATAGGACTATATACTGTAGCTCCTGCTGGGATGAAAATAAAATAGAACACAGGGAGCCACTCACTTTGCTCCCAACATCCCTTTCCAGCCACTCACCGGAGCTACCTTGGCAAGTACTCTAGAAGTATGAAAAAATGAAAACAACAAACTCGCACACCTTTTTAACATACACAACCAGTTTTGTCTACCCAGCCGAGGTATATTCTTCTTATGTGGAACACCGACCTATATCTGCCTCCCCACTAACTGGACAGGCACCTGCACCTTAGTCTTTCTAAGCCCCAACATTAACATTGCCCCAGGAAATCAGACCCTATCAGTACCCCTCAAAGCTCAAGTCCATCAGCGCAGAGGCATACAACTAATACCCCTACTTATAGGGTTAGGAATGGCTACGCTACAGGAACTGGAATAGCCAGTTTATCTACTTCATTATCCTACTACCACACACTCTCAAAGGATTTCTCAGACAGTTTGCAAGAGATAATGAAAACTATCCTTACTCTACAATCCCAAATAGACTCTTTGGCAGCAGTGAGTCTCCAGAACTGCTGAGGCCTAGACCTCCTCATTGCTAAGAAAGGAGGACTCTGCACCTTCTTAGGGGAAGAGTGTTGTTTTTACACTAACCAGTCAGGTATAGTACGAGATGCCACCCGGTGTTTACAGGAAAAGGCTTCTGAAATCAGACAACGCCTTTCAAACTCTTATACCAACCTCTGGAGTTGGGCAACATGGCTTCTCCCCTTTCTAGGTCCCATGGCAGCCATCTTGCTATTACTCGCCTTCAGGCCCTGTATTTTTAACCTTGTCAAATTTGTTTCCTCTAGGATCGAAGCCATCAAGCTACAGATGGTCTTACAAATGGAACCCCAAATGAGCTCAAATAACAACTTCTACTGAGGACCCCTGGACCTACCCACTGGCCCTTTCACTGGCCTAAAGAGTTCCCCTCCCGAGGACACTACAACTGCAAGGCCCCTTCTTCGCCCCCATCCAGCAGGAAGTAGCCACAGCGATCATTGCCCAATTCCCAACAGCAGTTGGGGTGTCCTGTTTAGAGGGGGCATTGAGAGGTGAAGCCAGCTGGGCTTCTGGGTCGGGTGGGGACTTAGAGAACTTTTCTGTCTAGCTAAAGGATTGTAAACACACCAATGAGCACTCTGTGTCTAGTTAAAGGTTTGTTTTTTGTTTTTTTTTGAGACAGAGTCTTGCTCGGTTGCCCAGGCTGGAGTGCAGTGGCACTATCTCAGCTCACTGGAAGCTCCGCCTCCTGGGTTCATGCCATTCTCCTGCTTCAGCCTCCTGAGTAGCTGGGGCTACAGGCACCCGCCACCACGCCCACCTAATTTTTTGTATTTTTAGTAGAGACGGGGTTTCACCATTTTAGCCACGATGGTCTCGATCTCCTGACCTCATGATCTGCCCACCTCAGCCTCCCAAAGTGCTGGGATTACAGGCGTGAGCCACCACACCCGGCCAAGGTTTGTAAATGCACCAATCAGCATTCTGTAAAAACGCACCAATAAGCGCTCCGTCTAGCCAAATGTTTGTAAACTTACCAATCAGCAGTCTGTAAAAACGGACCAATCAGCACTCTGTAAAATGGACCAATCAGCAGGATGTGGGTGGGGCCAAATAAGGGAATAAAAGCTGGCCACCCGAGCCAGCAGTGGCAACCTGCTTGGGTCCCCTTCCACACCGTGGAAGCTTTTTTCTTTCACTCTTAGCAATAAATCTTGCTGCTGCTCACTCTTTGGACCCGCACTACCTTTCTGAGCTGTAACACTCCCTGCAAAGGTCTGTGGTTTCACTCCTGAAGCCAGCGAGACCACAAACCCACTGGGAGGAACAACCAACTCCGGACGTGCCACCTTTAACAGCTGTAACACTCACTGGGAAGGTCTGTGGCTTCACTCCTGAAGTCAGCGAGACCACGAACCCATCTGGAGGAATGAAAAACTCCAGATGAACCACCTTTAAGAGCTGTAACATTCACTGCAATGGATCACAGCTTCACTCCTGAAGTCAGCAAGACCACAAACCCACCAGAAGGAAGAAACTCCAGACACATCTGAACATCTGAAGGAACAAACTCCAGACACACCATCTTTAAGAACTGTAACACTCACTGCAAGGGTCTGCAGCTTCATTCTTGAAGTCAGTGAGACCAAGAACCCACCAGAAGGAACCAATTCCGGACACAATAGCTTCTTCCTCCCTTGTGTGCTCCCGCAAGACTGGGCCTTGTCTGCCTCCAGACACTCCGTACTCTCTCTCACTGCTTAGATGGCTCTTTCCATCCCTCTTCCATCCTCCAAACACGCCATCCCTTCCCATGATGCTGCATTTTCCAGTGAGCAGACTAAGCTCAGAGCATCAGCAAAACCCTCCGTTTTTCTTGAAACTTTGAACTTCATGGAAGTTGCTCACCTTCTGCCTAACCACAGGGAAATGGCCCCAGGAAGTCTTCCCAGTCCCCATGTGGGTGAGGGCCTTGCCTCCTGTTCCAGGTCCACCCACATCTTTCCTATTTGGCCATGTCCATGTGTTATTATTACTGTTGGTTTGGTTGTTGGCTTCTTGGACAGACTATAAACCACAGGAGGACAGGCTTCAACCTTATTTATTCTCTGCTATGGCCCCAAGGCCTGGCACACAGCAAATGCTCTGTATAGAGTCATGAATGAGTGAACAAACAAATAAGTGAACAAACAAATAAATGAACAAACTCAGGATACCGGAACAATCCCTTAAACTGCCTGCAGGGCCAGGTTTGGCAGAAGAGCCTTCCTCTTTATGAACACAGATGGCAGAAGTAGGACAAGTCAAAGTGAATGTCAAATTTTTGTTTTAAATCAGGAAGAACCTTCTAATAACATAGATTGCATTGTGAAGTAGTGAGCTGTGGTCACCAAAGGGGTTTACAAGAAGGCTAGTGGGCTCTCTATGAGGAACAGTCTGCAGAAAGAATTCCAGACTGGACAGAGGTTGTGAATTCCCAAGGTCCCACGCCAGCTGGGCTGTTGAGGAAGCCATGAATGTATCTTTATGGCGAGGGAGGATTGAGGAGATAGATTTTTTTTCCACTTGAGGAATTTGGTTTTTTCGTTTGTTTTTGCTTTTTTCAGTTTTTTTGAGACAGAGTCTCACTCTGTCGCCCAGACTGGAGTGCAGTGGCCCGATCTCAGCTCACTGCAACCTCCACCTACCAGGTTCAAGCAATTATTGTGCCTCAGGCTCCCGAGTAGCTGGGACTACAGGCACGTGCCACCGTGCCAGGCTAATTTTTCTATTTTTAATAGAGACGGGGTTTCAGCATGTTGGCCAGGCTGGTCTCAAACTCCTGGACTCAAGTGATCTGCCTGCCTTGGCCTCCCAGAGTGCTGGGATTACAGGTGTGAGCCACCGTGCCCAACTGGAATTTAGGCTGGCTGAGCAGAGCTGGCCAGGTTCACTCATCCATACTTCCCCATCCCAGCCCATCACTTCTCAGGCCTGCAAGAGGCCATGTGACTGGCACTGGTGACACCTGGTGGCCAGTTGGACAAGGAGAGAGACAGCTGTCTATCTGGTTCATGGCTGTATCCCAGGCCTGGCAAAGAGAAGGCTCTCCCCTTTGAGGGATGAATGAATGAATACAGACTAGAAAGAGGAAAAGGAGGAATAGATACTCTCTCTTTAGCCTGGAGACCCACCAGGGCAATGAACCAAGACTGCATGAGAAGGCCAGAAATTCATCTGCTCAGGGTTGTGCAGACAGAAGGGCCTCTGCTCTCTCTTACCTCCCTTGTCTGTGCCTGTCCTGTGTTCTAGGGCACCTGTGAGGCAGGGGAGGGGCTATTTTGGGAAAAGGCTGATGTTAATTAAAGCTGCTTCTGCATCTGAGCTTAATCATGCTCTGAAGCTATGAATAGAGAGACCCGTGGGCTGGGTTGGAAGTGCCTGAGCAACACTCCTTTCAGAGAGAGGACACTGAGGCCAAGAGAGGGCAGGAGCCTGCCTAAGGTTCCAGAGCCAGGACTCCCAGCTCCAATTCATTAAGCCGTAGCACTGGTCACCTAAGATAGAAACACAGAAGAAAACAGTTGGTGTGGAGCCTGGAGGAGCAAGCACAAGCACCCTAGCCTGGCAGGCAGGGAGCGTTAACATCACCACTGACTCCGCCCGGCATGCACCTTTCCTTCCAGCCAAAAAGCCGAGGATCTGTGGGCTGCACCAAGTGTGCATCCCTCCCAACTCACCCAGGCTCCCTCCTCTCAATCACTCTGCTTTACACCCATCCCTTCAAGTGTATGGGCTGGCTTAACCTCTCTGGGCCTCAGTTTCCTAATCTGCAGAGGGATTGTTTGAAGTGTGAAAGAGACTATGTGTCAAGTGTATAGAACAGTATTTGACACATGGTCAGCATCCAGTAAGAACTACAGCTGCAGTCAGGCGCTGTGGTTCAAACCTGTAATCTCAGCACTTTGGGAGGATGAGGCAGATGAATCACCTGAGGTCAGGAGTTCAAAACCAGCCTGGCCAAAGTGGTGAAACCCCATCTCTACCAAAATACGGAAAGATCAGCTGGGCATGATGGCACATGCCTGTAATCCCAGCTACTCAGGAAGCTGAGGCAGGAGAATAGCTTGAACCCAGGAGGCAGAGGTTGCAGTGAGCTGAGATCACGCCACTGTACTCCAGCCTGGGCAACAGTGTGAGACTCCATCTCAAAAAAAAAAAAAAAAATGCCAGGCGCGGTGGCTCACACCTGTAATCCCAGCACTTTGGGAGGCCGAGGCAGGCGGATCACTTGAGGTCGGGAGTTCAACACCAGCCTGGCCAACATGGTGAAACCCTGTCTCTACTAAAAATACAAAAAATTGCTCAGGTGTGGTGGCACACGCCTGTAATCCCAGCTACTCGAAAGGCTGAGTCAGGAGAATTCCTTGAACCCAGGAGGCAGAGGTTGCAGTGAGCCGAGATTGCGCCACTGCAGTCCGCAGTCTGGCCTGGGCGACAGAGCGAGACTCCGTCTCAAAAAAAAAAAAAAAAAAAAAAAGACTGTCTCAAAAAAAAGAAAAAGAAAGAAAGAAAGAACCGGCCAGGCGCGGTGGCTCACGCCTGTAATCCCATCCCAGCACTATAGGAGGCTGAGGCGGGTGGATCACCTGAGGTCGGGAGTTCGAGACAAGTCTGACCAACATGGAGAAACCCCGTCTCTACTAAAAATACAAAATTAGCCGGGCATGGTGGCACATGCCTGTAATCCCAGCTACTCGGGAGGCTGAGGCAGGAGAATCGCTTGAACCTGGGCAACAGGAGCGAAACTCTGTCTCAAAAAAATTAAAAAAAAAGAACCACAGCTGCGATGATCATGTTTATTCTAATTAAGGCTCAATTTAAATCCTTCCCACAACTCCCAATTAAATGGGGAGAAACGTACTTGAGGTCAGGGTCAGAGTTCCTTGACTCTGTATCCAGAGAAGGACCAGAACACAGGGTATAGCGTGGTCTGTGTTGGCTCTAGGCAGCATCAGCTGGCTGGTTTCCTACAGGCTGGGCAGGGACTGGCCCTGCTGTCTGAACCTGGCTTTCTTGAGGCTGTAATGGCTTATTTATCTAGACTGGGCTTGGGATTTCTCTGATGGGTCAAAAATCAGAGAGACAAGGTACTGCTGGAGTACAAAGATGCCATCTGAAGCTGGGCGCAGTGGCTCATACCTGTAATCCCAGCACTTTGGGAGGCTGAGGCAGGTGGATCACCTGAGGTCAGGAGTTCGAGACCAGCCTGGCCAACATGACGAAACCTTGCCTCTACTAAAAATAAAAAAAATTACCCGGGCATGGTGGCGCACACCTGTAATCCCAGTTGCTTGGGTGGCTGAGGCAGGAGAATCACTTGAACCTGGGAGGCAGAGGTTGCAGTGAGCTGAGATCGCACCATTGCACTCCAGCCTGGGCAACAAGAGTGAAACTCCATCTCAAAAAAACAAACAAACAAAAAAAAAGATGCCACTGCTAGCTGCCCTGGATAGTACAGGTAGGACTCAACGCCCCAGTAGAGCGGTAGAGATGGGTCAAGAGGTCCACAGAGACCACAGAGAAGAAAGTTGATATATGCACACAGGTTCTCCTTGGCATCCTTGGGAGGAGATACATCCTTAAACTAGACCCCTGTGGGTGACAGCTGGAGGGGGACTGGAAGGGCCCGATACTCCCCAATCACTTCTTCTCCTCCACCCCAGGGATGGCTTATTCTAGTTCCTCTTCTCTCTCACCAGATGCCAGGTGCTAGAATTGTCTCAAGCTTGGAATATGTCCAGATATTCATTAATTCAATACTTAACACATATTTATTGATCCCCTTCTCTGTGCCAGGCACATTGCTCTGTGAACAAGACAGACACAACCCTTGCCATAAGGAGTTTACATTCTGACTGGGGGACAAAGAAGCAGACAGGCAAAACTCCACTTAAGCACTGTTTTAGGAGTAAGCCTGGGGCTTCAGGAGAGCAGGAGAGGGATGACCTGTAATCTCAATGTGAAGGAAGCAGAGGAGGTGTAGTGTCTGAGTAGGGGGAAACTACACCTCCTGTGCTGTGTACAGGCTAGGAGGGAAGATAACCCTGTTTTTGGCTTTTTGGGGTTTTTTGTTTTTTTTTGTTTTGTTTTGTTTTTGAGACAGAGTCTCACTCACTCGTCGCCCAGGCTGGAGTGCAGTGGCGCAATCTCGGCTCACTGCAACCTCCACCTCCCGGATTCAAGTGATTCTCCTGCCTCAGCCTCCAAAGTAGCTGGGATTACAGGCGTCTGCCACCATGCCGAACTAATTTTTTGTATTTTTAGTAGAGACGGGGTTTCACCATGTTGGCCAGGCTGGTCTCGAACGCCTGACCTCAAGAGATCCGCCCACCTCCGCCTCCCAAAGTGCTGGGATTACAGTAACCCTGTAATTTTTCCGGAGCTGCAAGAAGCGGGTCTCAACTAAGGAAACCTGGTGAAAATGCGTGCCACTCCCAGGGATTCTGATTTGATGGGTCTGGCACAGGGACCCAGAATCTGTGTATTAAACAAGCTCCACCAGTGATGTTGATGCAGATGACTGTGGATCCACCCAGAGGGAGGCTTTGTGAAAGATGGGCTGGAGGGTGCAGGGTCCAGGCCTCAAAGGCTGGTGGGTCAGACCGAGAAGTTTGATCTTTATATGAAAGGAAGGCTGCTGAAGATCATCAATCCTAGGAACAACATTATCTTTACAAATACCCTTCCTCAGAATCGCTTGAACCCGGGAGGCAGATGTTGCAGTGAGCCGAGACAGTGCTACTGCACTCCAGCCTGGGCGACAGAGCGAGACTCCGTCTCAAAAAAATAAATAAATAAATAAATAAAATAAATAAATAAATTTCCTTCCTCCAGCTGCAGGGCAAAAAATGGGTTGAAGAGCCGGACTGGTGGTAACTGGTGTGGCCATCCAGCCTGGAGTCGATGTTGGCATGAATGAAGACACAGGCAGTTGGGACAGAGAGAAGCGAGTGGGATGTGGAGGTGACCCGATGAAATACTGGCCCGGAGATATGAGGCATGAGGCGGGGAGCACGAGGGTGTCGAAGGGCCAAAATGTGGTAAGAGAAGCCGGAGGAGTGTGAGGACAGGTGGAAGGGATCCAATGTGGGATCTAAGGGGTCTGAGACCACCGTGGCCGCGGGAGGCAGGAGAAGGTACCGCAGAGCTCCCGGTGATGTGTCAGGAGGCCCTACACTCGCGCGTGCACTGGCTCGCAGTTTGGACAGAGACCCTACAGGCCAGGCCGCAGCTGCGCCCAGACCACCCCCAGCGGGTGAAGACTGCCGCGGCGGCGCAGTTCCCGGCATGCCTCCGGCCGGTGACTTCATCCGGCCCGGGGCCAAGGCCCGGCCTCCGCTAGAGGGCGCTGCTCTCAGCAGCCGCGCCGCCCGGATGGACTCGCGCCAGAGTAGGACAAGAGAGGCAGGCGGCGGCTGCTCCGTGCGGCTCCCACGCCTCTCGGGCGGCAGGTCCTGCCTCGGACCTGGGACCACTGGCTGGCGCCTGTGGCTCACATCTCCACGCCTTTGCCCGCTCCTCCCAGGAGCCCGAGTCAGAAACCTGTGCTTCACCCTCGAGAGCGCTGCCATCCTCCCCCTCAACCAGACGGGCATGGCGTCTGGTTGTCCGTCCTGTCTTCTCATCGTCTCAGAGCCCTTCCCTGACCCCTACCCTCTCTCAGACCAACAGGATGATGACAGGAAGAGGATCCAGGACCAACTCCTAGCGGTGACCTTGAGAAAACAATCTCATACCCCAGTTTCCCTTACAATGCAATGGAAATAATACTAACAACCCTGGAAGAGTGTTGGAAGGACTAAACGAAATCATCTTTTTCAGTACTAAGCAGAGGCTCAGTGAGCATCAGCGTTTTTTTGTTTGTTTGTTTGTTTTCTTGAAACTGGTTGGAGCCCAGGCTGGAGTGCAGTGGCATGATCTTGGCCCACTTGAGCCTCAATTGCCTGGGCTCAAGCCATTCTTCCTCCTCAGCCTCTGGAGTAGCTGGGACCACAGTTGCATGCCACCACGACTGGCTACTTTTGTTCATTTTTTTTGTAGAGTTGGGGTCTCTCTAAATGGTCTTGAACTACTGGACTCAAGCGATCCTCCCACCTCGGCTTCCCAAAGCACTGGGATTACAGGCATGAGCCACTGTCCCCGGCCAACATCAGCTATTTTAACACTTCTCTCTGTTGCTGGAATGTACTCACTGGCCCCAAACTCTTCAGTGGCTTCTGACTGCCCTCAGGATCAGTCCACACGTTTAGCTTGGCATGCACAACCCTTTCAGTCTCGTTTCTTGTCATCTCCCACGTCCTTTGTGTGCTTTATCACAGGCTTTGGCCTGAACACTCCTTTGCCACCTTTTCTACCTGCCTAAACACTCCTCACATTTTGAGACCCAACATAAAAGCATTCCTATCACACATACCACCTGCACCACCTCCCCCATAATGATCCCAAAGTTTTAAGATGCCCAGAACATCTTTGCTGCTGCTGCTTCTTTTTTTTTTTTTTTTTTTTGAGATGGAGTCTCGCTCTGTCGTCCAGGCTTGAGTGCAAAGGCGTGATCTCAGCTCACTGCAACCTCCACCTCCTGGGTTCAAGCAATTCTCCTGCCTCAGCCTCCCGAGTAGCTGGGACTACAGGTGTCCACCACTATGCCCAGCTAATTTTTGTATTTTTAGTGGAGATGGGGTTTCATCATGTTGGCCAGGGTGGTCTCGATCTCCTGACGTCGTGATCTGCCCACCTCGGCCTCCCAAAGTGCTGGGATTACAGGTGTGAGCCACTGCACCCGGCTGCTTCTTTTACCAGTAACAAAATGGAAACACTAAGGGACACTATGTCATTATTATAGATATTCTTGAGCACTCTATGCTGACTTTTAAGGACAATAATAGTCCTTCTTCTGGGTAGGGTGTGTTGGTGGTAGATGGCTGGGGAGGTGAGTGAGCTGGGATATTGGATGGGAAGAGGATGAGGAAAGAGAAAAGGAAGGGAGCTCCCAGAAAGGTGTGGTGGCTCATACCTGTAATCCCAGCACTTTGAGCTGAGGTAGGAGGATCACTTGAGCCCAAGAGTTTGAGGCCAGTCTGGGCAACATAACAGTCTGGGCTGTCTCTACAAAAATAGTAGTGGTGTGCGCCTATAATTTCAGCTACTTGGGAGGCTGAGGTGGGAGAATCGCTTGAGCCCAGGAGGTCGAGGCTGCACTGAGATATGATCACACCACTGCACTCCAGCCTGGGTGACAGAGTGAGACTCACTGTTTATTTTTAAGTAAAAATAAAAAGAGTCCGGGTGCAGTGGCTCACGCCGGTAATCCCAGCACTTTGGGAGGCTGAGGTGGGTGAATCACGAGGTCAGGAGAACGAGACCATCCTGGCTGACAAGGTGAAATCCCGTCTCTACTAAAAATGCAAAAAAATTAGCTGGGCGTGGTGGCGGGCACCTGTAGTCCCAGCTACTCAGGAGGCTGAGACAGGAGAATGGCATGAACCCGGGAGGCGGAGCTTGCAGTGAGCTGAGATTGTGCCACCACACTCCAGCCTGGGCGACAGAGCGAGACTCCGTCTCAAAAAAAATAGAAATAAAAATAAAAAATAAAAAAAATAAAAAAGAGAACTTCCCCCACCTCTCTAAGGTGTCCAAGCCCCGAGGAGGCCACCTCCCAGGAACCAGGTCAGGCATCCAGATAGAACTGACTTATAAGTTCTTGACCAGATGTGGTGGCTCACACCTTTAATCCCAGCACTTTGGGAGGCCGAGGAGGGCGGATCACTTGAGGTCAGGAGTTCAGCACCAGCCTGGCCAACATGGCAAAACCCCATCTCTACTAAAAATACAAAAATTAGCCAGGCGTGGTGGCTCACACCTGTAATCCCAGCTACTCAGGAGGATGAGGCACAAGAATTGCTTGAACCTGGGAGGCAGAGGTTGTAGTGATCATCTGAGGTCGGAAGTTCAAGACCAGCCTGACCAACAAGGAGAAACCCCATCTCTACTAAAAATACAAAATTAGCCTTGGGAGGCCAAGGTGGGCAGGTCACAAGGTCAGGAGATCGACACCATCCTGGCTAACACGGTGAAACCCTGTCTCTACTAAAAATACAGAAAATTAGCCAGGCGTGGTGGCAGGCACCTGTAGTCCCAGCTACTCCGGAGGCTGAGGCAGGAGAATGGCGTGAACCCAGGAAGCAGAGCTTGCAGTGAACCAAGATTGCGTCACTGCACTCCAGCCTGGGCGACAGAGCCAGACTCTGTCTCAAAAAAAAAAAAAAAAAATTAGCCGGGCGAGGTGCCTTTAATTCTAGCTACCCTGGAGGCTGAGGCAGGAGAATCGCTTGAACCCGGGAGGCAGAGGTTGCAGTGAGCCGAGATCGCGCCATTGTGTTCTAGCCTGGGCAACAAGAGCAAAACTCCATTCCCCCGCCAGCCCAAAGGAAAAAAAAAAAAAAAAAAGAACTGGTTTATAGGTTCTTGGGGGCAGGCACTGCACACACTCATTTGGGCAGTATTTTCAGCTGTGGGAATGGGTGCCTCTTAATCACCTGCCCACTGGCATCAGGTGCCCTGAAAATCAAAGGCAGGTATACGTGAGGAGGCCAGTCAGATAGGGGCAATGCAGGCTAATGGAGGGTTTGAGCTGGCAGCCTCTGTGAGGACTAAATGTAGATCCCAGCAGAACCCTATCAGTAACCTAATATGCACATGCCTATGCCCAAAGACCTTCAGTCTCCCAGTCAGGTCATCCAAAGCCTCCGCTCAACTAGGCCAACCTCAGAGAGGGGAGGGACACAGGATAGAAAACCCCTTCCCAACCATCTCAATCCTAGTGTTTAGCAACATGTGTGCCAGACCTTGGGCTAACCGATGACAGATATACGGGGCAGATACAGTACCGCAGTAATGCCATCCTTTCTCTCTCTCTCTCTTTTTTTTTTAATTATTATTTTTTTAGATGGAGTCTCTCTCTGTCACCCAGGCTAGAGTGCAGTGGCGTGATCTCGGCTCACCGCAAGCTCCACCTTCCGGGTTCAAGCAGTTCTCCTGACTCAGCCTCCCGAGTAGCTGGAATTACAGGCACTCGCCACCACACCGGGCTAATTTTTGTGTTTTTAGTAGAGACGGGGTTGGTCACGAACTCCTGACCTCAGGTGATCCACCTGCCTCAGCCTCCCAAAGTGCTGGGATTACAGGCGTGAGCCACCGCACCCAACCCGTCATCCTTTCTCTCTTAGGACTCACAGTCTAATGGGGGGAGACAAGTAAACCATGGGGAAAAGGCATGAGACGTGCTGTAACGGGGTTAAGTGAACTAGGAGTAGGCAATGTAGTGCAGTGGTTGGAAGCCTAGACTGGCATCAGATGATGCTACAAGAGTGCTTAGTGCCATGCATGTCCTGTAGGGAGTGATCAATAAATATTTACCTGATGCTATTTACCCAAGATGCTATTGAAGAAGCAAAGCTTATTTTACAAGCCTTCTGCAATTTCCCCAACAAATGTGAACTATCCCTATTAAATGTCTGTAGTTATCTTCCATAGACCCCTTGAACCTAGATGGGCACCCTGCCCTCTCACAGATAGCCTGGGTCCATCACCTGAACGGAAGACAATGGAGAGGGGAGCACAGGGGAAATGGCTGGGATGACAATAGGAGAAAGAAAGACTGGGGGAGGAGCTGGCACCTCCAAAGGAGGTAGCTCAGGCCCCTAGGGTGCCAGGGAATACCAAGGGGGCCCATCTGGTGGAAAGGGGTCCCTGGAGGACTTGTCTTGGAGGTACATTTGCATAAGAATAAGAAAGCATCTGGCTGGGCACGGTGGCTCACACCTGTAATCCCAGCACTTTGGGAGGCCGAGGCGGGCGGATCATTTGAGGTCAGGAGTTCGAGACCAGCCTGGCCAACATAGTGAAACCCTGTCTCTACTAAAAATACAAAAGTTAGGCTGGGCACAGTGGCTCACGCCTGTAATCCCAGCACTTTGGAAGGCCAAGGCGAGTGGATCACCTGAGGTCAGGAGCTTGAGACTAGCCTTGTCAACATGGCAAAACCCCATATCTACTAAAACAGTACAAAAAATTAGCTGGGCGTGGTGGCACACACCTGTAGTCCTAGCTGCTCAGAAGGCTGAGGCAGGAGAATTGCTTGAACCTGGGAGGCAGAGGTTGCAGTGAGCTGAGATCGCGCCATTACACTCCAGTCTGTGCAACAAGAGTGAAATTCTATTTAAAAAAAAAAAAAAAAAAAAAGGCCAGGTGTGGTGGCTTATGCTTGTAATCCCAGCACTTTGGGAGGCTGAGGGAGGTGGCTCACCTGAGGTCAGGAGTTCGAGACCAGCCTGGCCAACATGGTGAAACCCCATCTGTACCAAAAATGCAAAAAATTGTAATCTCAGCTACTTGGGAGGCTGAGGAGGGAGAATCGCTTGAAACCAGGAGGCGGAGGTTGCAGGGAGCCGAGATCACGCCGCTGCACTCCAGCCTGGGCAACAAGAGTGAGACTCCATCTCAAAAAAAAAAAAAAAAAAAAAAAGAACAGGGAAGTTGAACACACTGACATATTGGTTCTTTGAAGACGAACTCATTGTACTTAACAATTTTCCACCTCTTGAATTTTAAAGGAGGTTAACAGGCTAAAACCTTTGAAGAGGAATTTATTGTATCCTACATCACCAAAGCCTGAGGGAGAAGGTGTCATGTTTAGTCCTAATTTATTGTTAAGGAAACTGAAGCACAAAGAAGACGAGTGACTTGGCCAAGGCCATGCAGCTAGCAAGTGGAGGAGCCAGAGCTTTTTGTTCCACCCTCAGCCCCGCTGGTTGGGTTGCCTAGGTCGACCAGACCTGGCCACCCTGGGGAGAAATTGACAAAAGAGGGTTAAAGCTTCAGTCTAGGCCATTTCCCAACCTTCTCGAAGAGCCACATTCTGGCCAGGGCCAGCAGCTGACCCTGGGATGAGGAAGGCGTGGACGGAGCCCTTTCTCAGCACTAGTAACCTTTGATCTCTAGGTGGGGTGGCTAGCAGCGGCACCTGAAAGGATGGCAGGGTGGCTGGACTGGGAGGGACTGGGGATCTAATCCCTTTGTGACCTCAGGGGTGTCTTCAGTAATTGGAGGGACAATGACTGATGGTGGGGGGTATTGAAAATCCCAGTTGTGTGGCGGGAGGGCAGAGATGAGGTGAGGGAGGGGCCTGGAGAAAACTATTGATACAGAAGGACGGGGGGCCAAAGTGCCAACGGGAGGAAGAGAATGGGAAGATGGGGAGCACTGGTTTTGGAGCCCCAGCACGGGCATTTTGTGGTGCTATCATTTTGAGCAATTGAGAACCTTCAGCTTTCTTTTCCTTGTCTGTAACAGTATCTTCCTCCCAGAATAGTTGTGAGGAGTTTGGTACCTAATAAACACTCAGTAAATGCAAGCTATTATTATTACAAAGTACTTAAGATGTGGCCCTGAGTGTGGTGAGCGCTGAGTCCCAGGAGGCCATTGTTATGCATTGCTTGGCTGCCTGTGGAGGCCCAGCCTAGACCCCCAGCTCAGGCTGGAGTGATCAAACGAGGCCTGAAGATCCTGAATGTGAAAGCCCCTTAGGAGGCTCCAGGGATCCTGGGAGCCTAGCCAGGAAGGCCTTTCTGATTATTATTAGGCCCTAGACAGGGGCCCACTTCCAAGCTTGGCCAAATCATTCCTTCTCTAGAAAGGCTCAGTGGCCCCCTGGGCCTTTGGCAGGAGACGTGTGAAAATCCCCAGTGGAATAGGGAAAGCCACACACTAAAGCTGGGCCAGGTGGGCCTTTCGTCCACCCCACCCCCAACCCCATCCCACCCCTGCCGCCTGTTGCCCCTCTCCCCAACCCCCACTGTCAGCAGGTAGTATCTGAGTCTCCAGCGATAGGTTCAGGGCAAATAAAGAATGGAAGATGCCCCAAGAGTACCCTCCTTGTGCTGCCCTCCCCTCCCCAGAGAGTTTGACAGACCATTCCTGGAACCAGGGAGAACAGAGAAAAAGCTATAGGAGGACCTTAAAAATGACCTCCCCTCACTACAGAACTCAAGTGAATGACCTGAAATGGCAGTAGGAGGGATTGCAATTAGACTGCCAGAGGGAATTTACTGACTGACAGCAATGTTAAGTGAGCTAGTTGCAGAGAAGTTATAAAACCTTTTGTTAAAGAAGAATAATAGTTACCTAGTTAGGTGCCTAGTGCTCTTCATACATTTGCTCATCAGTGCCTACAACAATCCCATTGGGTAAGTGCCATTATTATTTCCATTTTACAGATAAAAGCACTCGGCTCAGAGATGGGGAAGCCACTTGCCCAATATTACTCAGCAAAATAAGTGGCAGTGCTGGGGCCTCCACCCAGTAGGCAACCCTGCCTCTTAAACACACATCTTCAGAGAGGGGGTGGGTGGGTCCGATTTAGAGCCTCCCACAATACCTCTCAATGATTCTTGTTTTTAATTAGCAGAATCTCTGGCCATCCCTATAAAGCTGTGACCTAGGAATACAGGCAAATGAGGATCCTGGTTGTCACTGCTACCATTGGCTGAGGGCTTCCAATGAGTTACCAAAAGGGCCCAAAGACCACTCAGAGCAAAAGCTCCTAGTGTCCTCCCTCCAGGATCAGAAGACCTCTTCAAAAAGGAAGCCAAAATGCATGAGACTATCACTCACAGGGGGTAGGAGAAAAGCAGGCAGGAACTGCACAAGCTTTGAAATTCATTCTTGACCTTCTAATTCTCATGCTTAGGATTACCAGGAGTCTACATCCCCATTTTTACAAATGAAGAAACCAAAGTTCAGAAAGATACAGGCATGCAAGTCTCTGAACAAGAAATACAAGTGGCCAATAAACCTATGAAAATTATGCCTGGGGCCAGGTGTGGTTGGCTTACGCCTATAATCCCAGCAGTTTGGCAGGCCGAGGTGGGCAGATCGTCTGAGGTCAGGAATTCAAGACCAGCCTGGCCAACATGGTGAAACCCCATCTGTACTAAAAATACAAAAAAAGCATCCAGATGTGGTAGCATGCGCCAGTAGTCCCAGATCCCCGGGAGGCTGAGGCAGAAGAATTGCTTGAACCCAGAGGGGAGGTTGCAGTGAGCTTGAGGGAAGAGAGAGACACTCTCATATTGTTTTATATTGTTTTATACTCAGTACCTGTTTTAAGAAAAAACAATAAGGAAGTAAAACCAAAGACAGGCAGCCCAGCGCCAGGCCGAAACCAGGCCTGGGCCTGCCTGGCCTAAACCCAGTAGTTAAAAATCAACTCATAACTTAGAAACTGATGTTATTCATAGATTCCAGCCATTGTATAGAAGAACATTGTGAAATTCCCTGCCCTGTTCTGCTTCTCTCTGACCACCGGTGCATGCAGCCCCTGTCACGTACCGCCTGCCTGCTCAAATCAATCACGACCCTTTCATGTGAAATCTTTAGTGTTGTGAGCCCTTAAAAGGGACAGAAATTGTGCACTTAGGGAGCTGGGATTTTAAGGCAGTAGCTTGCCGATGACCCCAGCTGAATAAAGCCCTTCCTTCTACAACTTGGTGTCTGAGAGGTTTTATCTATGGCTCGTCCTGCTACATTTCTTGGTTCCCTGACCGGGAAGCAAGGTGACTGACAGACGGCCGAGGCAGCCCCTTAGGCGGCTTAAGCCTGCCCTGTGGAGCATCCCTGTGGGGGACTCCGGCCAGCCTGAGTGACGCGATCCAAAGAGCGCTCCCGGGTAGGAAATTGCCCTGGTGGAATGCCTCGCCAGAGCAGCGTGTAGCAGGCCCCCGCGGAGGATTAACACAGTGGCTGAACACCGGGAAGGAACTGGCACTTGGGAGTCCGGACATCTGAAACTTGGTAAGACTAGTCTTTGGAACTTGCCCCACTCCATCTGAGTGGAAGCGTGGCCTGATCACCCACGGTGTGCCTGCATTGGCACTTTTGTTCTGGTTTTGACTTGGCTTGACTTGGTAAGACTAGTCTTTGGAACTTGCCCCACTCCATCTGAGTGGAAGTGTGGCCTGATCACCCACGGTGTGCCTGCATTGGCACTTTTGTTCTGGTTTTGACTTGACTTGAATTGCTGGATACTTTAGTTTTGGTTTTCACTTGGCTTAAATTTTTTGGTATTCAGATTTTGAATTTCATGATTTTGGTTTGGTATAAACGGTAAAAGTGTGTGTGTACCCTCTTTACCCATTCTTTGTCTTGTGGTGAGTATGTGTGGTGTGAGCATGGTATTTTGTCTCGGAAGAAAAAAATATGGGTCAGGCGCAAAGTAAGCCCACCCCACTGGGAACTATGTTAAAAAAAAATTTCAAGATTTAAGGGAGATTACGGTGTTACTATGACACCAGAAAAACTTAGAACTTTGTGTGAAATAGACTGGCTAGCATTAGAGGTGGGTTGGCTATCAGAAGAAAGCCTGGAGAGGTCCCTTGTTTCAAAGGTATGGCACAAGGTAACCTGTAAGCCAAAGCACCCGGACCAGTTTCTATACATAGACAGTTACAGCTGGTTTTAGACCCCCTTCCCCCTCTCCCCACAGTAGTTAAGAGAACAGCAGCATAAGCAGCTGGCAGAGGCAAGGAAAGACCAGCAGAGAGAAAAAAAGGCCATCTATACCAATTTTAAGTTAATTTAGACTGAACAAGGTCTTATTAATAGCAAAGGATAATTGAAATCACAAACTTATAAGGTTTTCAACAAAAGTGAAGTTTGCTAAAAGTTAACAGTGTAACATGTATTATGGTAACTTCTAATCTTGTGGCCTTAGACAGTCTAGTCAAAACACATAAAGAAAGTTTGCTTTAAAAAAACAATGGTTATCTTCAAAAATAAAGGGGAGAGGCAGAATTTATATAAAAAGAGTTATATGATAAATTCTTGTCCTGAAATAAATTAACTGGTTGTTTAAAGAAAAGAATGTTTGTAATAAGTCAAAAAGTTAAAACATGTTTAAAAAATTGTCTGCAAAAGTCATAAAAGAAAAAATTTTATTAAAAAAATTTTAAGCAAAAAATGTTGTATAATTTAAAAGTAATAAGGCCTCCTGTGTACTATTAAGACAGATGCAAATTCCTGGTTGAAATGGATCAAATATTCCATCTGCACATTAAACAAAAGCAATTGTTATGCTTGTGCACATGGCAGGCCAGAGGCCCTGATTGTCCCCCTTCCACTAAGGTGGTCCTCTAGTCGACCAGGCGTGGACTGCATGGTAGCTCTTTTCCAGGATTCTACAGCCTGGAGTAATAAGTCATGCCAAGCTCTCTCTGCTATATCCCAAAGTCTCTGCGGGTCAGCCCCCAAGGGCCATGCAGCTTCTGTCTCCCAACACTAAGTTCACTTCGTGTCTCTCACGGCAGAGAGGAAACTTAGTATTCCTTGGAGACCTGAAGGGATGCAGTGAGCTTAAGAATTTTCAAGAGCTTATCAATCAGTCAGCCCTTGTTCATCCCCGAGTGGATGTGTGGTGGTATTGTGGTGGACCTTTACTGGGCACTCTGCCAAATAACTAGTGTGGCACTTGTGCTTTAGTCCATTTGGCTATCCCTTTCACCCTGGCATTTCATCAACCAAAAAAAAAAAGAAAAAAGAAAAACTCATGTCGGCCCCAGCCCTGAGGCTACCTGACCTGACAAAACTCTTTACACTCTGTGTCAGAAAGAGAAAAAATGGCAGTTGGAGTTTTAACCCAGAATGTAGGGCCCTGACCAAGGCCAGTGGCCTATCTCTCAAAACAACTAGACGGGGTTTCCAAAGGCTGGCCCCCATGTCCAAGGGTCCTGGCAGCAAGGGCCCTGTTAGCACAAGAAGCAAATAAGCTAACTCTTAGACAAAACCTAAACATAAAGTCCCCCCATGCTATGGTGATTTTAATAAATAACAAAGGAAACCATTAGCTAATGAATGCTAGACTAACTAGATACCAAAGCTTGCTCTGTGAAAATCCCCGCATAACCACTGAAGTTTGCAACACCCTAAACCCTGCCACCTTGCTCCCCGTATCAGAGAGCCCAGTTAAACATAACTGTGTAGAAGTACTGGACTCAGTTTATTCTAGTAGGCCCAACCACTGAGACCACGCTTAAACATCAGTAGACTAGGAGCTGTACGTGGATAGGAGAAGCTTCGCCAACCCCTGCAAAGTGACTCTGAAGAAGATGACAAGCCCTGCTCCAGTCACACCCGGAAGCTGACTTGTACACACATGGCCGAAGCATGAGGAAACTCATTGCGGGACTCATTTTCCTCAAAATTTGGACTTGTACAATAAGGACTTCAACTGACCTTCCTCAGACTGAAAACTGTTCCCAGTATATACATCAGGTCACTGAGGTAGGACAAAAGATTGCTACAGTCATATTATTTTATAGTTATTATGAATGCCTAAGAACTCCAAAAGGAACCTGTTTGTATAATAACACTCAGTATAAAGTAGGTAATCCAGGCAGTGACCAGCCCAATGTGTGCTATGACCCCTCTGAACCTCCCAAGATCACAGTCTTTGAAGTAAGACTAAGGACTGGTCCTTTTCTAGGTGACACAAGTAAAGTAATAGCTAGAACAGAAGAAAAAGGGGTCCCCAAAAATGTAATCTTAAAATTTGATGCCTGTGCTGCTATTAATAGTAAACAGCATGGGATAAGATGCAGTTCTCTAGATTGGAAAAAAAGTTACACAGCAGAAAATAAGTACATCTGTCAAAAATCATATTTATGCGAGATGTGTCAATACTGGTCTTGTGTCATTTGAGCTACTTAAAAAGAAAATAAAAAAAGATCCTGTTTGGCTCCAAAAATGAAAAGTCAGCCCCTCCTGCACAAGTGGGAGCTGCATCCTTTTAAAATTGATAATCACAAACCCCTCAGACCCAAGTAAAATAAAAAAAAATGTAACATTAGGCATTGATGGAAAAGGGCTGGATCTTAGTGTAAGCATCCTAATAAAAGGAGAGGTTCAAAAACGCTCTCCAGAACCAGTATTTCAGACCTTCTACCAGTATTTTCTACCAGTATTTCAGTATTTCATGATGAACTAAATGTGCCAGTACCTGAGATTCCAGGAAAAACTAAAAATTTGTTTTTTCCATTAGCCGAACATGTAGCCCAGTCTCTACAAGTCACCTCATGTTATGTCTGTGGAGGAACTGTAACAAGAGATCAATGGCCATGGGAAGCCCGAAAATTAGTTCCTACAGACCCAGTTCCTGATGAATTCCCAGCCCAAAAGAACCACCCTGACAATTTTTGGGTTCTAAAAGTCTCAATTATTGGACAGTATTGCATAGCTAGAGAAGGAAAAGGATTCACTCATCCTGTAAGGTGGCTTAGTTGTCTTAGGCAAAAGCTGTATAATGGTACCACAAAAACAGTTACATGGTAGAGTTCCAATCACACAGAAAGGAATCCATTCAGCAAATTTCCAAAGTTGCAGACTGTTTGGGCCCACCCAGAATTCCACCAGGACTGGACGGCCCCCACCAGGTTATACTGGATATGTGGACACAGAGCTTATGCTAAGCTGCCTGATCAGGACAGGTAGCTGTATAATTGGCACCATTAAGCCATCTTTCTTCTTACTGCCCATAAAAACAGGTGAACTTCTAGGCTTCCCAGTCTATGCTTCCTGCAAAAAATGAAGCATAGCCATAAGTGATTAGAAAAATAATGAATGGCCCTCTGAAAGAATCATACAATACTATAGACCCGCCACTTAGGCACAAGAAGGCTCATGAGGATATCGAACCCCTATCTACATGCTCAACTGAATCATACAGTTGCAAGCTGTTTTAGAAATTATTACTAATAAAACCGGTCAAGCCTTGACCGTTCTTGCCCAGCAAGAGACTCTGATGAGAAATGCTATCTATCAAAATAGAATAGTTCTTGACAACTTGGTAGCAGCTGAAGGAGGAGTTTGTAGAAAATTTAACCGTACTAATTATTGTCTACACATAGATGATCAGGGGCAAGTAGTTGAGAATATAGTTAAAGATATAACAAAACTGGCACATGTACCTGTGCAAGTGTGGCATGGACTCAGTCCGGGAGCCATGTTTGAAAATTGGTTCCCAGCAATAGGAAAATTTAAAACTCTTGTAATAAAAATAATAATAGTAATAGGAACCTGCTTACTGCTCCCTTGTCTTATACCTGTATTTCTCCAAATGATAAAAAACTTCGTTGCCACCTTAGTTCACAAAAATGCTTCAGCACAAGCATACTATGTAAATCACTATCAATCTATTGCACAAAAAGACATAAGTAGCAAAAACAAAAGTGAGAACTCCCACTAATAAAAAGTGAGAGTCTCAAAGGGGGGGAAATGAGGGAAGAGAGAGACCCTCTCATATTGTTTTATATTATTTTATACTCAGTACCTGTTTTAAGAAAAAACAACAAAGAAGTAAAATCAAAGACAGGCAGCCCGGCACCAGGCCTGAAAGCAGGCCTGGGCCTGCCTGGCCTAAACCCAGTAGTTAAAAATCAACCCATAACTTAGAAACTGATGTTATTCATAGATTCCAGCCATTGTATAGAAGAACATTGTGAAATTCCCTGCCCTGTTCTGTTTCTCTCTGACCACCGGTGCATGCAGCCCCTGTCACGTACCGCCTGCCTGCTCAAATCAATCACAACCCTTTCATGTGAAATCTTTAGTGTTGTGAGCCCTTAAAAGGGACAGAAATTGTGCACTCGGGGAGATCGGATTTTAAGGCAGTAGCTTGCCGATGCTCCCAGCTGAATAAAGCCCTTCTACAACTCGGTGTCTGAGAGGTTTTGTCTGTGGCTTGTCCTGCTACAAGCTGAGATTGCATCACATACCCCTGCACTCCAGCTTGGGTGACAGAGTGAGACCCTATCCAAAAAAAAAAAAAGAAAGAAAAAGAAAGAAAGAAAAGAAAAGAAAATAATGCCTGGCTGGACACTGTGGCACATGCCTGTAATCCCAGCACTTTGGGAGGCCGAAGTGGGAGGATCACTTGAGCTCAGGAGTTTTAGAACAGCCTGGGCAACAGTGTGGGACCTTGTCTCTACAAAAAATACAAAAACAAAAACAAAAACAAAAACAAAAAACCAGGTGGGTATAGTGGAATGCACCTGTAATCCCAGCTACTCGGGAGGCTAGGGTGGGAGGTTTGCTTGAACCCAGGGGGTCGAAGCTGCAATGAGCCATGGTCATGCAGCTGCACTCCACCCTGGGCAACAGAGAAAGATCCTGGTTGTGTTTTTTTTTTAATTATGCATGACCTCATTTATGATGAGGGATGTTTTGGGGGTGTGAGGAAACACTGTTGGTGGGGGATGTAAATGAGTACAACTTCCTTAGCAAATAATCTGTTAATATCTATCGAAAATTTCAGTTTGCATATCCTTTGACATAGCAATATTACATCTAGGAATTTATTCTACTTTTTTTTTTTTTTTGGGGGGGACAGAGTCTTGCTCTGTTGCCCAGGCTGAAGTACAGTGGCACGATCTCGGCTCACTGCAATCGACCTCCACCTCCCGGGTTCAAGCAATTCTACTGCCTCAGCCTCCCCAGTAGCTGAGATTACAGGCGCCTGCAACAACTCCCGGCTAGTTTTCGTATTTTTTTTTTTTTTCTGAGATGGAGTCTCATTCTGTTGCCCAGGCTGGAGGGCAGTGGCACGATCTCGGCTCACTGCAAGCTCCGCCTCCTCGGTTCACGCCATTCTCTTGCCTCAGCCTCCCGAGTAGCTGGGACTACAGGTGCCCGACATCACACCCGGCTAATTTTTTGTATTTTTAGTGGAGACGGAGTTTCACCATATTAGCCAGGATGGTATCAATCTCCTGACCTCGTGATCCGCCCGCCTTGGCCTCCCAAAATGCTGGGATTACAGGCGTGAGCCACCGCGCTTGGCCTAGTTTTTGTATATCTAGTAGAGACAAGGTTTCACCATGTTGGCCACATTGGTCTCGAACTCCTGACCTCAACGGATCAGCCTGCCTCGGCCTCCCAAAGTGCTGGGATTACAGGCATGAACCTCCATGCCTTGCCCTATTCTACTATTTTTAATGTGCTAAAAAATGAACCTCAGCCAGGCACGGTGGCTCACTCCAGTAATCCTAGCACTTTGGAAGGCCAAGGCGGGTGGATCACCTGAGATCAGGAGTTTGAGACCAGCCTGGCCAACATGGCGAAACCCCGTCTCTACTAAAAAATACAAAAATTAGCTGGGCGTGGTGGCACTTGCCTGTTATCCCAGCTACTCGGGAGGCTGAGGCTGGAGAATCACTTGAACCCGGGAGGCGGAGGTTGCAGTAAGCTGAGATCGCGCCACTGGACTCCAGCCTGGGTGACAGAGCAAGACTCCATCTCAAAAAAAAAAAAAAATATATGGACCTCAACTCCTCAACTTAAATATCCTTCAATAGGGGATATACATACACATACACACTTTTTTTGGTGTGTGAGAGATGGAGTCTCACTCTGTCCCCCAGACTGAGTGCAGTGGTGCAATCTCAGCTCACTACAACCTCTGTGTTGAAAAAAAAATCATTGAATTGTACACCTAAAATGAATGAAATTGATGGCATGTAAATTATACCTCAAAAAAGAGGTTGAAAGGAAAAGAAAAGGGGCCGGGCGTGGTGGCTCACGCCTGTAATCCCCAACACTTTGGGAGGCCAAGGCAGGTGTATCACCTGAGGTCAGGAGTTCAAGACCAGCCTGGCCAACATGGCAAGTTCCTGTCTACTAAAAATACAAAAATTAGCTGGGCGTGGTGTCTGGCGCCGTTAATCCCAGCTACTCGGGAGGCTGAGGCAGGAGAATCGCTTGAACCAGGGAGGAGGAGGTTGCGGTGAGCCCAAGATCGCGCCATTGCACTCTAGCCTGGGCAACAAGAGCTAAACTCCGTCTCAAAAAAAAAAGAAAAGAAAAGAAAAGAAAAGGATTGATAAATTGATAAGGACCAGTGTATTACTGGGAGCGTCAGAAAACAAGTAATTCCAAGAATTTAACTAGAGAACAATCTCAGCATAAATTAAAAAACATCTTTTTTTTTTTTTTGAGACGGAGTCTCACTCTGTCACCCAGGCTGGAGTGCAGTGGCAGGATATTGGCTCACAGCAACCTCCGCCTCCCGGGTTCAAGCGATTCTCCTGCCTCAGCCTCCCGAGTAGCTGGGATTACAGGCGCCCGCCACCAAGCCTGGCTAATTTTTGTATATTTAGTAGAGACACGGTTTCACCATTTTGGCCAGGCTGGTCTTGAACTCTTGACCTTGTGACCCACCCGCCTCAGCCTCTCAAAGTGCTGGGATTACAGGCGTGAGCCACCGCGCCTGGCAAAAAAAACATTTTTTTTTTTAACCTGCACATTCTTTGACCTGGCATCTTCACTTCTGGAAATTTATTACAGGCCAGGCACAGTGTCTCACACCTGTAATCCCAGCATTTTGGGAGGCCCAGGCGGGCAGATCACCTGAGGTCAGGAGTTCGAGACCAGCCTGACCAACATGGAGAAAACCGGTCTCTACTAAAAATGCAAAATTAGCCAGGGGCAGTGGCTCACGCCTGTAATCCCAGCACTTTGGAAGCCTGAGGCAGGCTGATCACGAGGTCAGGAGATCGAGACCATCCTGGCTAACACGGTGAAACCTCTTCTCTACTAAAAATACAAACCATTAGCCGGGCGTCGTGGCGGGCGCCTGTAGTCCCAGCTACTCAGGAGGCTGAGGCAGGAGAATGGCGTGAACCCCGGAGTCGGAGCTTGCAGTGAGCCGAGATCGCGCCACTGCACTCCAACCTGGGTGACAGAGTGAGACACTGTCTCAGGAAAAAAAAAAAAAAAAAATTAGCCAGGCATGGTGGCACATGTCTGTAATCCCAGCTACTCAGGAGGCTGAGGCAGGAGAATCGCTTGAACCTGTGAGGCTGAGGTTGTGGTGAGCAGAGATCATGCCATTGCACTCCAGCCTGGGCAACAAGAGTGAAACTCTGTCTCAAAAAAAAGCATAAAAAAAAGAAATTTATTCTAAGGAAACAGTTAATTGGGCACAAACATTTGTACAATAATATTTCCTATAGTATTGTTTAGAATATTGAATATCTGAAAATAATTCAAGGCTGGGTGCGGTGGCTCACACCTGTAATCCCAGCAGTTTGGGAGGCCAAGGCTAGAGGATTGCTTGAGCTCAGGAGTTCAAGACCAGCCTGGGCAACATGGCAAAACCTTGTCTCTGCTAAAAATAGAAAAATTAGCCAGGTTTGGTGGTACATGCCTGTAGTCCCAGCTACTCAGGAGGCTGAGGTGGGGAGAATCGCTTGAACCTGGGAGGCAGAGGTTTCAGTGAACCAAGATCTCATGCCACGGCGCTCCAGCCTGGGTGACAAAGTGAGACTTTATCTCAAATAAATAAATAAATAAATAAAGTCAGGGTGTGGTGGCTCACGCCTGTAATCCCAGCACTTTGGGAGGCAGAGGCAGGTGGGTCACGAGGTCAGGAGTTCAAGACCAGCCCGGCCAAGATGGTGAAATCCCGTCTCTACTAAAAATACAAAAAAAAAAAAAAAAAGAGACTTGCATGGTGGCGGGCACCTGTAGTCCCAGCTACATGGGAGGCTGAGGCAGGAGAATTGCTTGAACCTGGGAGGCAGAGGTTGCAGTGAGCCGAGATCGCGCCATTGCACTCCAGCCTGGGAGCGAGACTCCGTCTCAAAAAAAAACAAAAAACAAAAAAACAAAAATCAGCCGGATGCAGTGGCAGACGCCTGTAATCCCAGCTACTTTGGAGGCTGAGGCGGGAGAATTGCTTGAACCCAGGAGGCAGAGGTTGCAGTGAGCCGAGATCACACGACTGCACTCCAGCCTGGGTGACAGAGTGACACTATCTCAAAAAAAAATTCAAAAGTTCTCTAATAGAGAATTAGTTAAATAAATATGGAAGGCTATGCCCCTATCAAAGAGCATGAGGCAGGTTTCCATGTATTGACACAAAAGATATTTATGATATACATTTTTATTATTATGGAACATCTGCAACATATACAAAGGTAGAGGAAATGTATTACAGTGAGCTCTCATGCACTCCTTATCCAGCTTCAACAATTACTAACTGTGAGAAGTCTTGTTTCATTAATACTTCCACTTGTTTACATTTTTTTCTTTTCTTTTTTTTGAGATGGAGTCTCGCTCTGTTGCCCAGACTGGAGTGCAGTGGCGTGATCTCGGCTCACTGCAACCTCTGCCTGCCAGGTTCCAGTGATCCTCCTGCCTCAGCCTCCCAAGTATCTGGAATTACAGGCACCCACCACCACACCCGGCTAAGTTTTGTATTTTTATTTATGTATTTATTTATTATTTTATTTATTTATTTATTTATTTGAGACTGAGTTTCGCTGTTGTTGCCCAGGCTAGAGTGCAATGGCGTGATCTCAGCTTACCACAACCTCCACCTCCCAGGTTCCAGCAGTTCTCCTGCCTCAGCCTCCGGAGTAGCTGGGATTACAGGCATGTGCCACCATGCCCAGCTAATTTTGTATTTTTAGTATAGACAGGGTTTCTCCACATTGGTCAGGCTGGTCTCGAACTCCCGACCTTGAGTGATCCGCCCGCCTCCGCCTCCCAAAGTGTATTTATTTATTTTTTAGAGACAGAGTCTCACTCTGTAGCCCAGGCTGGAGTGCAGTGGCATAATCTTGGCTCACTGCAACCTCTGCCTCCCAGGTTCAAGCAATTCTCCTGCCTCAGCCTCCTGAGTAGCTGGGAATACAGGCACACGTGACCAAACCTGGCTAATTTTTTGTATTTTAGTAGAGACGCCCTGTTGTCCCGGATGGTCTGGAACTCCTGAGCTCAGGCAATTCACCCCCCTCAGCTTCCCAAAGTGCTAGGATTACAGGTGTGAGCCACCTTGCCCGGCAATTTTTGTATTTTTAGTAGAGGCTGTGTTTCACCCTGTTGGCCAGGCTGGTCTCCAACTCCTGAACTCATGTGATCCACCCACCTCAGCTTCCCAAAGTGCTGGGATTACAGGTGTGAGCCACCGCACCCGGCCCACTTGCTTACCTTTTATATTATTTTGAAGTAAATCCAAGATATCATTTCATCTGTAAACATAACCATACACAGTATTATTATCATGCTTTAAAAAGTAGTAAACCCAGGCTGGACGAGGTGACTCACGCCTGTAATCCCAGCACTTTGGGAGGCCAAGGCGGGCGGAACACGAGGTCAGGAGATCGAGACCATCCTGGCTAACATGGTGAAACCCCGTTTCTACTAAAAATACAAAAAGAAAATTAGCCGGGCATGGTGGCGGATGCCTGTAGTCCCAGCTACTCGGGAGGCTGAGGCAGGAGAATGGCATGAACCCGGGAGGCGGTGCTTGCAGTGAGCTGAGATCATGCCACTGCACTCCAGCCTGGGAGACAGAGCGAGACTCTGTCTCACAAAAAAAAAAAAAACAACAAAAAGTAATATACCCTTAATATGCTCAAATATCTAGTCATTGTTCAAATTTCCAATTGTCTTATAAACTTCATTTTTAATAGTTTTTTGAAGCGGAATGTAAACAGGGTTCATACATTGTGATTGATTGTTATGCTTCTTAAATATCATTTTTAACAGCTTTATTGAGATAAAATTCACATACCATGCAATCCACTCATTTAAAAAGTACGATTCAATCGATTTTAGTATATTCACAGAGTTGTTTGTCCATTGCCACAATCACTTTTATTAATTTTGCTTTGTTTTGTTTTGAGACAGTCTCGCTCTGTCACCCCGGCTGGAGTGCAGTGGTTCTCACCATGTCTCACCATGTTGGCTAGGCTGGTCTCAAACTCCTGACCTCAGGTGATCCACCCACCTTGGCTTCCCAAAGTGCTGGGATTATAGGCATGAGCCACCATGCTCGGCCTGGAAGAATTTTATTAAGAGAAATTTTCTGGCCAGGCGTGGTAGCTCACGCCTGTAATCCCAGCACTTTGGGAGGCCAAGGTGGGCGGATCACGAGGTCAGGAGATTGAGACCATCCTGGCTAACACGGTGAGACCCCTTCTCTACTAAAAATACAAAAAATTAGCTGGGCGTGTTGGTGGGCACCTGTAGTGCCAGCTACTGGGGAGGCTAAGGCAGGAGAATGATGTGAACCCGGGAGGCGGAGCTTGCAGTGAGCTGAGATCGTGCCACTGCACTCCATCCTGGGCAACAGAGCGAGACTCCGTCTCAAAAAAAAAAAAAAGAGAAACCTTCCCTATTTTGTTAACCTATGGCATGATACAGTTTTTTTGTTTGTTTGTTTGTTTGTTTTGTGGAGATAGAGTCTCACTCTTTCACCTTGGGCTGGAGTGCAATGGCAGGATCTTGGCTCACTGCAACCCCGCCTCCTGGGTTCAAGCAAGCATATGTGGCTAATTTTTGTATTTTTAGTGGAGATGGGGTTTTGCCATGTTGGCTAGGCTGGTCTCAAACCCCTGACCTCAAATCATCAGCCTGCCTCAGCCTCCCAAAGTGCTGGGATTGTAGGGGTGAGCCACCATACCTGGCATGGCATGACATAGTCTTGACAAATAAAAGTACTTTATAGAACACTCAAGTTCATAGCAGCATTACTCACAATAGCCAAAAGGTAGAAGTAACCCAAGTGTCCATCAGCAGATGAAGGGATAAACACAATAAATATCCATATAATTCAGACTTAAAAAGGAAAGAAATTCTACACATGCTACAACATAGATGAACCTAGAAGACATCATGCTAAGTAAAATAAGCCAGTATTCCAAAAGACAAATACTGAGGGATTCTACCAATGTGGGTAGAATCCCTTGGTAAAATATATATATATAAAACAGAGTCTGGTCACAGTGGCCCACGCCTGTAATCCCAGCACTTTGGGAGGCCGAGGCGGGCAGATCACCTGAGGTCAGGAGTTCAAGACCAGCCTGACCAACATGGAAAAACCCTGTCTCTACTAAAAATACAAAGGAATTAGCCGGGCATGGTGGCGCATGCCTGTAATCCCAGCTACTCCAGAGGCTGACGCAGGAGAATCATTTGAACCCAGGAGGCGGAGGTTGCGGTGAGCGATCATGCCATTGCACTCTAGCCAGGGCAACAAGAGCAAAATCCATCTAAAAAAAAAAAAAAAGCATTTTCATTATATGTATATTACTACAATAAAAAAATGTTTAAGTACATTGCAGAATGAAATACTAGTTGGCAACAAAAGGGACGAATGTTGACGCACACAATTTAGATGGATCTCAAGGGAATTACGTGACTGAGAAAAGTCAATCTCTTTTTTTTTGAGATGGCGTCTCGCTCTGTCGCCCAGGCTGGAGTGCAGTGGTGCGATCTCAGCTCACTGCAACCTCCACCTCCCGGGTTCAAGTAATTCTCCTGCCTCAGCCTCCTGAGTAGCTGGGATTACAGGCGCCCACCACCACGACCAGCTAATTTTTGTATTTTTAGTAGAGACGGGGTTTCAACATGTTGGTCAGGCTGGTCTCGAAACCCTGACCTCATGATCCACTTGCCTCGGCCTCCCAAAGTGCTAGGATTACAGGCATGAGCCACCGCACCTGGCCAGAAAAGTCAATCTCAAAAGGTCACATACTATATGATTCCATTTATATAACATTCTCAAAATGACAAAATTATAGACAGAAAATACATTAGTAATTGCCAGGGCTTAGGGAGATAGGGGTGTATGTGTGTGATTCTAAAGAGATGACATGAGGGAGATCTTTGTGGTGATAGAATAGTTCTGTATCTTGATTATGGTGATGGTTACGGGAATCTGTACATATGATAAAATGGTATAAAACTATATACACACATTGTACCAACATCAATTTCCTAATTTATTTTTTTTTAGACGGGATCACCGTCTGTCACCCAGGCGGGAGTGCAGTGGCTCGATCTCGGCTGACTGCAACCTCTGCCTCCCGGGTTCAAGCGATTCTCCTGCCTCAGCCTCCCAAGTAGCTGGAACTACAAGTGCCCGCCACCATGCCTGGCTAATTTTTGTATTTTTAGTAGATATCGTGTTGGGTTTCGCCATGTTGGCCAGGCTGGTCTCAAACTCCTGACCTCAAGTGATCCACCTGCCTCAGCTTCCCAAAGTGCTGGGATTACAGGTGTGAGCCACTGTGCCCGGACAATATCCTTGTTTTGACATTGTACTATGTATATATTTTCTGAGACGGAGTTTCTTTCTTGTTGCCCAGGCTGGAGTGCAATAGCACAATCTCGGCTCACTGCAACCTCCGCCTCCTGGGTTCAAGCGATTCTCCTGCCTCAGCCTCCCGAGTAGCTGGGATTACAGGCATGCACCACTACGCCTGGCTAATTTTGTATTTTTAGTAGAGATGGTGTTTCACCATGTTGGCCAGGCTGGTCGCAAACTCCCAACCTCAGGTGATCAGCCTGCTTCGACCTCCCAAAGTGCTGGGATTACAGCCATGAGCCACCACGCCGGGCTATACTATAATTATATAAGATGTAACCATTGGGGGAAAATGGATGAAGGGAACACTGGAACTCTCTGTACTATTTTTGCTAGTTCCAGTGAATCTATAAATATTTTTAAAAATAACATTTAAATAGTACATCGACATAACCTTCTATGTGACATAAACCCATCTTTGTTTAAAAAAAAGTTAGCTGGGTGTTGTGGCGGGCGCCTGTAGTCTCAGCTACTCGGGAGGCTGAGGCAGGAGAATGGCGTGAACCCGGGAGGTGGAGCTTGCAGTGAGCCAAGATTGTGCCACTGCACTCCAGCCTAGGCGACAGAGCAAGACTCCATCTCAAAAAAAAAAAAAAAAAGAATAATAGCTATCTAATTATCTGTTATTATCCCAGTATACCTTAGAGGAAACCAATGTGCAGGTTTGATTGTTAGCCTGTATTCTTAACCACTATGACATACAGTGTCTATATTTGTGTATACAATATTTACATTAAAAAGTTTGGGTCAGGCACGGTGGTTCATGCCTGTAATGCCAGCACTTTGGGAGGCCAAGGTGGGCGGATCACCTGAGGTCAGGAGTTCGAGAGCAGCCTGCCCAACATGGCAAAACCCTATCTCTACTAAAAATACAAAAAAAATTTGCTGGGCATGGTGGCAGGCACCTGTAGTCCCAGCTACTCGGGAGGCTGAGGCAGGAGAATTGCTTGAACCTGGAGGTGGAGGTTGCAGTGAGCCGAGATCGTGCCACTGCACTCCAGCCTGGGCGACAAGAGCAAAACTCAGTCTCAAAAAAAAAAAAGTCTGGATGCAGCTGGGCACGGTAGCTCATCCCTGTAATCCCAACCCTTTGGGAGGCTAAGGCGGGTGGATTGTTTGAGGTCATGAGTTCGAGAGCAGCCTGGCCAACATGGTGAAACACTGTCTCTACTAAAAATACAAAAATTAGCTGGGCGTGGTAGCATGTGCCTGTAATCCTAGCTACTTGGGAGGCTGAGGCAGGAGAATCACTTGAACCTGAGAGATGGAGGTTGCAGTGAACTGAGATCTGGCCATTGTACTCCAGCCTGGGCCACAAAGTGAGACTCTGTTTCGAAGAAAAAAAAAAAGCGGGGGGACCGGGCATGGTGGCTCACGCTTATAATCCCAGCACTTTGGGAGGCCGAGGTGGGCGGATCACAAGTTCAGGAGTTCGAGACCAGCCTGGCCAACACAGTGAAACCTCGTCTCTACTAAGAATACAAAAATTAGCCAGGCATGGTGGTGGGCGCCTGTAATCCCAGCTACTCAGGAGGCTGAGGCAGGAGAATTGCTTGAATCCAGGAGGCAGAGGTTGCAGTGAGCCAAGATCGGGCCACTGCACTCCAGCCTGGGCCACAGAGCTAGACTCCATTTCAAAAAAAAAAAAAAAAAAAAAAGGTACACATAGGGCTCAATGCTGGCACCTGTAGTCAGAACTACTCAGTAGCTGAGGTGGGAGGATCATTTGACTCCAGGAGTTGGAGTTTAGCCTGAGCAACATAACTAGAACAACCCTACAAAAAAAAAATAATAAAAATAAAAAGTCTCCGGGCTCAGTGGCTCACACCTGTAATCCCAGCATTTTGGGAGGCTGAGGATGGCGGATCACTGGAGTTCAGGAGTTGGAGACTGGCCTGGCCAACATGGTGAAACCCTGTCTCTACTAAAAATACAAAAATTAGCCGGGTATGGTGGCACACAACTGTAATCCCAGCACTTTGGGAGGCTGAGGTGGGCAGATCGCCTGAGGTCAGGAGTTCAAGACCAGCCTGGCCAACATGGCAAAAACCCATCTCTACTAAGTATACAAAAAGTAGCCGGGCATGGTGGCGTGCACCTGTAATCCCAGCTACTCAGGAGGCTGAGGCAGGAGAATTGCTTGAACCTGGGAGGCGGAGGTTGCAGTGAGCTGAGATGGTGTCACTGCATTCCACCCTGGGCGACAGAGCGAGACTCCATCTCAACAACAACAACAAAAAGTGTGAATTCACGAGTACCATTTGTTAGTGATAGTTATTCCTGGGAAGGTAGAGTGGTAGAGAAACAGGCTTACAGGCATGAGCCACCACACTCAGCCTGGAAGAATTCTATTAAGAGAAACTCCCTAACCTACTATTTTGTTAACCTATGGCATGATACAGTTTGTTTTGTTTTGTTTTGTGGAGATAGAGTCTCACTCTTTCACCTTGGGCTGGAGTGCAGTGGCAGGATCTCGGCTCACTGCAACCCCGCCTCCTGGGTTCAAGCAAGCATATGTGGCTAATTTTTGTATTTTTAGTGGAGATGGGGTTTTGCCGTGTTGGCTAGGCTGGTCTCAAACCCCTGACCTCAAATCATCAGCCTGCCTCAGCCTCCCAAAGTGCTGGGATTACAGGGGTCAGCCACCACGCCTGGCATGGCATGACATAGTTTTGACAAATAAAAGTTCTTTATAGAACACTCAGGTTCATAGCAGCATTACTCACAATAGCCAAAAGGTAGAAGTAACCCAAGTGTCCATCAGCAGATGAAGGGATAAACATAATAAATATCCATATAATTCAGACTTAAAAAGGAAATAAATTCTACACATGCTACAACATAGATGAACCTAGAAGACATCATGCTAAGTAAAATAAGCCAACTGTATGGGTTTGTTTCTGTGTTGTTTTAATAGTTTACACAAACATATGTAACTTTTTATTTGTTCATTGAGACGGAGTCGCTCTGTCGTCCAGGATGGAGTGCAGTGGCCTGATCTCAGCTCACTGCAACCTCTGCCTCCCAGGTTCAAGCGATTCTCCTGCCTCAGCCTCCTGAGAAGCTGGGACTACAGGCGCGCGCCACCATGCCTGGCTAATTTTTGTATTTTTAGTAGAGACGAGGTTTCACCATGTTGGTCAGGCTGGTCTCGAACTCCTGACCTCGTGATTCGTCTGCCTCAGCCTCCCAAAGTGCTAGGATTACAGGCGTGAGCCACCGTGCCTGGCATATGTTACTTTTTAAATTAAACAAAAATATTAAAGAAATTTTCATGGGGCTGGGGGAAGAAGGTAAACTTTGTGTGACACCCCTCCTTTATGAACTAATGGAGAACATATACCCTACATTAGTTACATTATTCTGGAAGATGAACGCTTGGCACAGTGAGCTGCCAAACTGTTAGGGTGTCCTCCTTTCCCCGCTCCACTTTATATCCATCTCTTTGGCCATTCTGCCTTCCGTGGGCCCAGCTTCCCTCTATACCCACGTAGATCCTGGATTGCACGTCAGTAGGCGGGCTGCAGAGGAAGGGCGCTGTTCTGGTTGGTCCTGGCCTTACCCCGCCGGAGGGCGCCAGCTGCCCCGGCGACGACACGGGGGACCGGACGGAGCCTCGGGCCGCCAGGGAGGGGCCTGGCTGCAGAGGCAGCTTTCTCACTAGCGACTCGGGCCTCTCAAAACCAGCCTTTAGGCATTTAAAAAGTGATACGGTTCACGCCGGTCTTCGCCACCAGATCCCAATTCTTTCCTGAGAGCAGTGCTGAAGTGACAATAGGCCCATAGCATTAAATGTCGTCTGCTTCCTTCTTCAAAGAAGACCGACTTCAACCAAAAGTTCAATTTCCTTAATGTAAATTAGAGGGAAATCAGCAATCACACTATCTGGAGTAGGCACAATTTGCATGAAGCCTTTGACAGGTGTTCACTTCATTTTCTTTTCCCACAGAGAGCCATTGAAGGCAGCAGGAATGTCAATGGAGTGATTTAGGGAACCCCACAGAAGACAAAGGATTTTTTTCTATTTCTTTGTTGTTGATAACAAAAGCAAAATATGCTTATTTAAACTGTAAATAATGTGACAGAGTATAAAGCAAAAAGTGAAAGAATCTTCCTTCACTTTCTCATGCAATTGCACAGGGATAACTAAGTAACTGCTGTTAAAAATGTGTTACTCATCTGTCTAGATCTTTTTTCTTTCTTTCTTTTTTTTTTTTTTTAATAGAGATGAGGTCTTGAGACGTTACCCAGGCTGGTCTGGAACTCATGCAGTCCTCCCACCTCAGCCTCACAAAGTGCTGAGATTACAGGTGTGAGCCACTGCAATTTTTTTTTTTTTTTTAGACAGAGTTTTGCTCTTGTCGCACAGGCTGGAGTGCAATGGCGCGATCTCGGATCACCGCAACCTCCACCTCCCAGGTTCAAGCGATTTTCCTGCCTCAGCCTCCCGAAGTAGCTGGGATTACAGGCGTCCACCACAATGCTCAGCTAATTTTTTTGTACTTTTAGTTGAGACAGGGTTTCACCATGTTGGCCAGGCTGGCCTTGAACTCTTGACCTCAGGTGATCTACCCACCTCAGCCTCCCAAGTGCTGGTATTACAGGCGTGAGCCACTGCGCCCTGCCAAGCTACTGCATTCTAACCACACACACACACACACACACACACCCCAAAATTTTATGAAGATTAAAGAAAACCTTTTATTGAGGTATAACTTACAATAAATAGTGCACATTTAAGTGTGCAGCTCCTTTAATTTTTTACATATGAATACATCATTGAGACTTTCTGTAACCCACTTTATACTGTAGTTTGCTTTTTTTTTTCTTTTTTTAGACAGTCTTGCTCTTTTGCCAGGCTGGAGTGCAGTGGCGCGATCTCGGCTCACTGCAACCTCTGCCTCCCAGGTTCAAGCGATTCTCCTGCCTCAGCCTCCCAAGTAGCTGGGACTACAGGTGTGCATCACCACGCCCGGCTAATTTTTTTTTGTACTTTTAGTAGAGATGGGGTTTCACCATGGTGGCCAGGATGGTCTCGATCTTTTGACCTCGTGATCCACCCGCCTCGGCCTTCCAAAGTGCTGGGATTTCAGGCGTGAGCCACTGCACCTGGCCTGCTTTCTTAACTCAACAATGCTGTGGTAGTTCTTCCATAGGGACATACAGATCTAACTCGATCTAACTCACGCTTTTTATGGTGGAATAGTATTCCATAGTATTAATTATGGTAATCTAATTAACTTTTCCCAATTGATGGATAGATTGTCTTCAATTTTATTATTTTTAGATATGATAGGGATCTCTATGTTGCACAGGCCGGACTTGAATTCCTGGACTCAAGGTATCCTCCTGCCTCGGCCTCTAGAGTAGCTGAGACTATAAGCATATGCCACTGCTCTCAGCTTTGTCTTCTATTTTTTTTTTTTTACTATTGCGTGTTACCAGATTTTAAATTTTCTTTTTTTTTTTTAATTTTTTTTTGTGGTGGAGTCTCGCTCTGTTGCCCAGGCTGGAGCACAATGGCATGATCTAGGCTCACTGCAACTTCCGCCTCCCGGGTTCAAGTAGTTCTCTGCCTCAGCCTCCCGAGTAGCTGGGATTATAGGCACCACCCACCATGCCCAGCTAATTTTTGTATTTTTAGTAGAGACAGAGTTTCACCATCTTGGCCAGGCTGGTCTTGAACTCCTGACCTCCTGATCCACTCGCCTCGACCTCCCAAAGGTCTGGGATTACTGGCGTGAAACACTGAGCCCAGCCTACATTTTTTTTTTTTTGGAAACAGAGTCTTGCTCTGTCGCCCAGGCTGCAGTACAGTGGTGTGATCTCTGCTCACTGTAACCTCCATCTCCCAGGTTCAAGTGACTATTCTGCCTCAGCCCCCTGTGTAGCTGGGATTACAGGCATGTACCACCATGCCCAGCTAATTTTTGTATTTTTTTAAGTAGAGATGGGGTTTCACCATGTTGGCCAGGCTGGTCTCGAACTCCTGACCTCAAGTGATCCACCCGCCTCAGCCTCCCAAAGTGCTGGGATTACAGGCATGAGTCACCGTGCCTGGCCTTAAATTCTATTTCTTTCTTTTTATTTTTTTCTTTTGAGACAGTTCTGCTCTTGTGACCCAGGCTGGAGTGCAATGGCGTGATCTTGGCTCACTGCAACCTCCTTTTCCTGGCTTCAAGCGATTCTCCTGCCTCAACCTCCCAAGTAGCTGGGATTACAGCTGCCCACCACCATGCCCGTCTAATTTTTGTATTTGTAGTAGAGACGAGGATTCACCATGTTGGCCAGGCTGGTCTTGAACTCCTGACCTCATGATCCGCCCTCCTTGGCTTCCCAAAGTGCTGGGATTACAGGCATGAGCCACTGAGCCTGGCTGCCTGGCTAATTTTTGCATTTTCAGTAGAGACAGAGTTTCACCATATTGGCCAGGCTGGTCTTGAACTCCTGACCTCATGAACCACTTGCCTCGGCCTCCCAAAGTGCTGGGATTACTGGCGTGAGCCGACTGTGCCTGGCCTAAATTTTCTTTTGTTTGAAACAGAGTCTTGCTCTGTCACCCAGCCTGGAGTACAGTGGTGAGATCTCAGCTCACTGTAACCGCCACTTCCCAGGTTCATGTGATTATTCTCCCTCAGCCCCATGTGTAGCTGGGATTACAGGCATGCACCACCACGCCCAGCTAATTTTTGTATTTTTTAAAGTAGAGATGGAGTTTCACCATGTTTGCCAGACTGGTCTCGAAATCTTGACCTCAAGTGATCCACCTGCCTTAGCCTCCCAAAGTGCTGGAATTACAGGCGTGAGCCACCGTGCCTGGCCTTAAATTTTCTTTCTTTCTTTCTTCTTTCTTTCTTCCTTCCTTCCTTCCTTCCTTCCTTCCTTCCTTCCTTCCTTCCTTCCTTCCTTTCTTTCCTTCTTTCTTTCTTTTCTTTCTTTCTTTTTTTTTGACAGAGTTTTGCTCTTGTGACCCAGGCTGGAGTGCAATGGCGTCATCTTGGCTCACTGCAACCTCCTTCTCCCGGCTTCAAGAGATTCTCCTGCCGGCCGGGCAAGGTGGCTCACGCCTGTAATCCCAGCATTTTGGGAGGCTGATACGGGCGGATCACGAGGTCAGGAGATCAAGACCATCCTGGCTAACACGGTGAAATCCCGTCTCTACTAAAAATACAAAAAAATTAGACAGGCGTAGTGGCGGGCGCCTGTAGTCCCAGCTACACGGGAGGCTGAGGCAGGAGAATGGCGTGAACCTGGGAGGCGGAGCTTGCAGTGAGCTGAGATCGCACCACTGCACTCCAGCCTGGGTGACAGAGCGAGACTCCGTCTCAAAAAAAAAGTGGCTCACACAGCAAAGGATGTGGCCAAGTCATGTATCTATCATGAGTCAGGGGGTAATTTGTAAAGACAAGAACAGAAAATGCCATGTATTTTTAGTAGAGACGCGGTTTCACCATATTGGCCAGGATGGTCTCAATCTCTTGACCTCGTGATCCACCCAGCTCAACCTCCCAAAGTGCTGGGATTACATGCGTGGGCCACCATGCCTGGCTTTTTTTTTTGTTCTTGAGATGGAGTCTTGCCTGTCACCCAGGCTGGAGTGCAGTGACATGATCTCGGCTCACTGCAACCACCACCTCCTGGGTTCAAGCAGTTCTCTACCTCAGCCTTCCGAGTAGCTAGAAGCTGGAATTACAGGTGCCTGCCACCACACCCGGCTAATTTTATTTTATTTATTTTTTTATTTTTTTTGAGACGGAGTCTCGCTCTGTTGCCCAGGCTGGAGTGCAATGGTGTGATCTTGGCTCACTGCAACCTCTGCCTCTCAGGTTCAAGTGATTCTCCTGCCTCAGCCTCCTGAGTAGCTGGGATTACAGGCGCCTGCCACCACGCCCAGCTAATTTTTGTATTTTTAGTAAAGACAGTGTTTCACCATGCTGGCCAGGCTGGTCTCGAACTCCCCACCTCAGGTGATCTGCCAGCCTCAGCCTCCCAAAGCGTTGGGATTACAGGCGTGAGCCACCGAGCCTGGCCAAAGTTTCATTATAAATTTAATGGCTGGGTGTGGTGGCTCACGCCTGTAATCCTAGCACTTTAGGAGGCTGAAGCAGGCGGATGGTTTGAGCCCAGGAGATCAAGGTTGCAGTGAGCTACAATTGCACCACTGCATTCCAGCCTGGGCGACAGAGCGAGACTCCGTCTCAAAAAAAAAAAAAAAAAAAATAAAAAAAAAAAATAAATAAATAAATAAATAAACGTTCCCTTCAAATAATACCTCCAAAAATGACAGATTTTGTAGGCAACTCATATATGCACGGCCTCTCATTCAAGTGTTCCTCGTTTTCCCACCTCCTCTATAAGATATAGAGGAAGGTTGGGGGACTGTCTGTGGATTGAACCGCCAGACTGTTTTCCAGACAGAAATCCCCCAAGATTGCTACACGGAGTGTGGGCTGAGCCTGCAGGAAACGATCCATCCTCTGCTGATGCACTGTCATCCCAGCCACAAGATCACAGGAAAAGGAGTGGTTGAGGCCTCTGGGAACCCAAAACCCCAGCTTCACAAGGACTGAGCTTGTAGATTTCCCTCATGGGCAAAAGGTTGGCTAGGAGCAGTCTTTTATAATCCCTCTTTTCTCACAAAAATCATCATCATCATCATTATCGTCATTATCAATATTTATCGAGCATTTCCTTCACACCACGAACTTTATACACACCACTTGTTATTTAACCTCACAATCTATGAATATGCTAACATTATCTCCATTTTACTAATGAGAAAAACCAGGTTTCAAGAAGTCAAGTAACTTGTCCAAACTTCACAGTATGGCCTAATAAATAGCAGAGTAGGGCTTGAACCCACTGACTTCAAAGCCCTGGTTCTTTTTTTTTTCTTTTTTTTTTAGATGGAGTCTCACTCTTTTGCCCAGGCTGGAGTGCAGTGGTGCGATCTCAGCTCACTGCAACCTCCGTCTCCCGGGTTCAAGCGATTCTCCTGCCTCAGCCTCCTGAGTAGCTGGGATTACAGGCGCGTGCCACCATGCCCAGCTAATTTTTTGTATTTTTAGTAGAGACGGGGTTTTGCCATGTTGGTCAGGCAGGTTTCGAACTCCTGACATCATGATCTGCCTGCCTCTGCCTCCCAAAGTGCTAGGTTACAGGTGTGAGCCACTGTGCCCGGTCTTAAAAGCCCTGGTTCTAAACCACTGAGAGGTGACAACGTGCTAGCAGCCCTCACTCATTCTGGGCGCCTCCTCGGCCTCGGCGTCCACTCTGGCTGCGCTTGAGGAGCCCTTCAGCCCGCCGCTGCACTGCGGGAGCCCCTCTCTGGGCTAGCTGAGGCCGGAGCCAGCTCCCTCTGCTTGCGGGGAGGTGTGGAGGGAGAGGCCCAGGCAGGAACTGGGGCTGCGCGCATGGCACTCGAGGGCCAGCGCGAGTTCCGGGTGCGCGGGGTCTTGGCGGCCCCGCACTCCGAGCGGCCGGCTGGCGCCGTGGGCCCAGGAAGTGAGGGGCTTAGCACCCTGGCCAGCCGCTGTGGAGGGTGCACTGGGTCCCCCAGCACTGCAGGCCCACCTGCTCTGCGCTCAAATTCTTGCCGGGCCTCAGCACCTGCCCGCAGGGCAGGGCTAGGGATCTGCAGCCCGCCATGCCTGAACACCCTCCCCCTACACCGTGAGCTCGCGGGGCTGGAGACTCCCCGACGGGGCGCCACCCCCTGCTCCGCGGCGCCCCATCCCATCGACCGCCCAAGGGCTGAGGAGTGCAGCTGCGCAGAGCGGGACTAGCGGGCAACTCCGCCCCGGCCCAGCACAGGATCCACTAGGCGAAGCCAGCTGGGCTCCTGAGTTGGGTGGGGACTTGGAGAACTTTTATGTCTAGCTGGAGGAGTGTACATGCGCCAATCAGCACTCTGTGTCTAGCTCAGGGTTCATGGATGCAGCAATCAGCACTCTATCTAGCTAATCTGGTGGGGACTTGGAGAAACTTTATGTCTAGCTAAAGGATTGTAAATACACCAATTAGCACTCTGTGTCTAGCTCAAGGTTTGTAAACACACTAATCAGCACCCTGTGTCTAGCTCAAGGTTTGTAAATGCACCAATCAGTGCTCTGTGTCTAATCTAGTGGGGACTTGGAGAACCTTTATGTCTAGCTAAAGGATTGTAAATACACCAATCAGCATTCTGTGTCTAGCTCAAGGTTTGTAAACACACCAGTCAGCAGTCTGTGTCTAGCTCAAGGTTTGTAAACGCATCAATCAGCACCCTGTGTCTAGCTCAAGGTTTGTAAATGCACCAATCAGTGCTCTGTGTCTAGTTAATCTAGTGGGGACTTGGAGAACTTTTACCTCAGGCTGGAGGATTGTAAATACAGCAATCAACACTCTGCGTCTAGCTCAGGGATTGTAAATGCACCAATCAGCACCCTGTCAAAACAGACCAATCAGCTGTCTGTAAAATGGACCAATCAGCGCTCTGTAAAATGGACCAATCAGCTCTCTGCAAATGGGCCAATCAGCAGGATGTGGGTGGGGTCAGAAAAGGGAATAAAAGCAGGCTGCCTGCGCTAGTAGTGGCAACTGGCTCAGGTTCTCTTCCACGCTCACGCTATGGGAGTTTTGTTTTTTTGATCTTTGAGATAACTTGCTGCTGCTCATTCTTTGGGTACACACTGAGTTTATGAGCTGTAACACTCTTCGTGAAGCTCTGCAGCCTCAATCCTGAGGCCACCGAGACCATGAACCCATGGGAGGAATGAGTAACTCCAGACGCGCTGCCTTAAGAGGTGTAATACTCACTGTGAAAGTCTGCAGCTTCACTCCTGAAGCCAGTGAGACCACAAATCCACCAGAAGGAAGAAACTCCAAACACGTCTGAACATCAGAAAGAACAAACTCCGGACATACCATCTTTAAGAACTGTAGCACTCATCATGAGAGTCTGGGGCTTCATTCTTCAAGTCAGTGAGACCAAGAACCCACCAATTCCAGATACACCACAGTATCATTGTACTACACGGCTCTCAGCACCACTGACCTTGGTATGGGAAAAAGCACAAGTGTGCATACCATCTTATTCTCCTTTTAGAATATTTCACCGGCGGGGGAGGGGGGAGGTCACACCTGTAATCCCAGCACTTTGGGAGATTGAGGCGGGTGGATTGTCTGAAGTCAGGAGTTCGAGACCAGCCTGGCCAATATAGTGAAACCCCATCTCTACTGAAATTACAAAAAATTAGCTGGATGTGGTGGTGGGTGCTTGTAATTCCAGCTACCCAGGAGGCTAAGGCAGGTCTTGAATTGCTTCAACCCATGAGGCAGAGGTTGCAGTGAGCTAAGATCGTGCCATTGCACTCCAGCCTGGGCAACAAGAGTGAAACTCCATCTCAAAGAAAAAAAAAGAATATTTCTCCAGGAGAACTCCACACTTGCACAATATCTTCTCCAAGGACAGAAGAGGGACAATATTTGTCCTTCCTACTGGATTTTGAAACCCTTTGCACTGAGTGTAGACTGTAGTTCTGTGACATACCATGAAGAGTGTGTGTGTGTTTTAAGGGAGCTACTGTCTTACCCAAAACCTGTGAATATAAAGTGTTTTTTCATGAATTGCTCATTATTCAGCCAGTCGTTAATGAATTCATTCAACAAGTGTCTCTGAGATGCTAGACACTGGGGATTAAAAGAGGAACAACAGAGACAAGATCTCTGCCCTCCAGAAACTGACAGTCTATTGAATGAGACAGTTGTCTAACAATCACAATCAAGTGTGATCAATCTCTGGTGACAGGACTCTAACCTAGAGGCATGTGCCTAATCTGGGGTGACTGGTTAGGGAAAACTTCCAAAAAAGTTGTGACTTTTAGGCTAAAACCAGACTGCTAATAAACATAAAGTGTTACAGGAAGTAAGTGGCAAAGCTACTGTCATTTTTTTACTTAGCAATTTCAATGAAGTGGGGCATGGATATGGTGCCAGATCCCAACAATAGAATAAATGCTGGTAAGCAGAACACATCCCAAATCTAATTACTTTAATGAGAGAGAACAACAGTACAAAAGGAATGTAAAATCAAGTATAATTCCTTGGATAAACCACTGTTCCCACTTTTGGCCATGAAAAAATGAGTTACTACAAACTGACAAAGCTTACCTTTCCAAATAAATAGATTAGCCTCTAATAGATAAGCTCTAATAGCTAACTTTTTTTTTTTTTTTTTGAGACGGAGTCTCACTCTGTTGCCCAGACTGGAGTATAGTGGCGTTATCTGGGCTCACTGCAGCCTCCCCTTCCTGGGTTCAAGCAATTGTCCTGCCTCAGTCTCCCGCGCAGCTGGGATTACAGGTGTGCACCACCACGCCTGGCTAACTTTTTTTTGGTATTTTTAGTAGAGACGGGGTTTTGCCATGTTGGCCAGGCTGGTCTCGAACTCCTGACCTCAGGTGATCCACCTGCCTCGGCCTCCCAAAGTGTTGGGATTACATGCATGAACCACCGTGCCCAGCCTCTAATAGCTAACTTCTTTTTTTGTTTCTTTTTTCTTTTTTCTTTTTTTTTTTTTTTTGAGATGGAGTTTTGCTCTTGTTGTCCAGGCTGGAGTGCAATGGCGAGATCTCGGCTCACGGCAACCTCCGCCTCCTGGGATCAAGTGATTCTCCTGCCTCAGCCTCCCGAGTAGCTGTGATTATAGGCATGTGCCACCACGCTTGGCTAATTTTTTTTTTTTTTTTTTTTTTTTGAGACAGAGTTTCTCTCTTGTTGCCCAGGCTGGAATGCAATGGCACGATCTTGGCTCACCGCAACCTCCACCTCCCAAGTTCAAGCGATTCTCCTTCCTCAGCCTCCCAAGTAGCTGGGAATACAGGCATGCGCTACCATGCCCAGCTAATTTTGTATTTTTAGTAGAGACGGGGTTTCTCCATGTTAGTCATGCTGGTCTCGAACTCCCGATCTCAGGTGATCCACCTGCCTTGGCCTCCCAAAGTGCTGGGACTACAGGCATGAGCCACCGCACCCGGCCTCTAATTTTGTATTTTTAGTAGAGACCGGGTTTCTCCATGTTGGTCAGGCTGGTCCAGAACTCCTGACCTCAGGTGATCCGCCCGCCTTGGCCTTCTGAAGTGCTGGGATTACAGGCATAAGCCACCGCTCCTGGCCTCTACTAGCTGACATCTAATAGTGGTATCATCTTACAGAGTCTAGAATGTTTTGAGACAATCTTACATTTAAAAACTATACCTTACGAAATACCAGAAAAAGGGATCATACTGATGCAGCTAGGAAATCAATAACAGGTTATTCAATACTGCTTCATCAGCCATTCTCATAAAACACGATGAGCTCCCCTATAGGGTTGCTGAGATCCGGAAATAGGGAGTTCCCAAACTGCTTGGGCTGTACTCTCTATTCAGTAGTACTTTTTACCACAGCAGTCATCTGTCTATTTATATTAATGAGACTGTTGTCCTTATCATTTAATCTCCAGCTATATCACAGCTGTCAGCTGTGGGAACACCTTTGCCAAGGGAAAGCCTCTAAATACTAAAATGTTTGCAGCACTAGGTTAACAACCAAGAGGGGAGATCAAACTCCAGGAACATGCAGTGTGCTTGCAATTTCAGTAAGGTAACAGAAGGTAAACCAGGGCCTGTATGATCCACATGGGGTGAGTGGGAAGAAAAATGACCCCAAGGCAAAATCAATTATATAAGGCCTGAAAATTCTTTACACCCTTTAAAAATTTATAATATTGTTTCTATACATATATCCAATGTACATACAATAAATCTTTAATGTTTGGTTCCATGAGTTATTTATTTATTTATTTAAATTTTTTGAGATGGAATCTTACTCTGTCACCCAGGCTGGGCTGCAGAGGCGCGATCTTGGCTCACTGCAACCTCTGCCTCCCAGGTTTAAGCGATTCTCGTGCCTCAGCCTCCTAAGTAGCTGGGACTACAGGTGCCCGCCACCACGCCTGGCTAATTTTTATATTTTTAGTAGAGATGGGGTTTCACCATGTTGGCCAGGCTGGTCTTGAACTTCTGACCTCAGGTGATCTGCCTGCCTCAGCCTCCCAGAGTGCTGGGATTACAGGCATGAGCCACCACGCCCGGCCAAGGTTCCATGAGTTTTGACAATTGTATAAACTTGTATAACCTCCAACCAAAACAATAGAAAGAACATTTCCATTACCCTAAAGAATTTCCTTGATCGCATTTTTTTTTTAAAGGCTCATGCAGACAGAATAATACTGAGAATGGGGTCTCATTGTGTTGCCTAGGCTGGCTTCAAACTCCTGGGCTCAGGTGATCCTCCCACCTCAGCCTCCCGAGTGGCTGGGACCACAGGCACGTGCCACTGTGCCAGGGCTCTGACTCTTTCCCTGACAAATCATCTCGCCAAAGTCACCACCTGACTTCACACAACAAAAATTCGTTTTGTCTGTTTTTGAACTTCATTTAATGGAATCATACAGCCCATATTCTGTTTTTGTTTTGCTTATCATTTTGAGATCCACCCATGTTGAGTGTATCAATAGTTTGACCTGTTGTTGGTGTTGAGCAGTGTTCCATTGTTTGAATGTGTCATAATGTGTTATTCCATCCTCCTGTGGATGGATACTTGGGCTGTCTCTAGTTTTGGACTATATACAAAAAAGGCTGCTATAAATATTTGTGTACAACTCTTTTTGGGGACATATATTTTCATTTTTCTTGCATACCAAAGAGTAGAACGGCTGCGTCATATGGTAGATGCATGTTTAACTTAATAAGAAATCACCAAACAGTTCTCCTAACTGATTATACCATTTTACATCCCCACTTGCAATGTATGAGAGTTCCAATTGCTGTACATCCTTGTCACCATTTATTTCTGTCAATGTTTTTTATTTTAGCCATTCTAGTGGGTATGAAATGATATCGTGATTTTTTTTTTTAAGGCTAGTCAGGTGAAGCAGTGGGCACGGAAAAGGGACAAAGAAATCTGTAACTGGTTGTGATCAATTAGTTGTAAACATCACATCATTCATATTAGCCGCTCATTGTGACTTTAACTTGCATTTCCTCTTATTTTTTTTTGTTTTTTGTTTTTTTTTTTTGAGACAGGGTCTCACTCTGTCACCCAGGCTGGAGTGCAATGGCACAATCTTGGCTAACTGCAACTTCTGCGTCCCAGGTTCAAGCGATTCTCCTGCCTCAGCCCCTGAAGTAGCTGGGACTACAGGCATGTGCCACCACACCTGGCTAATTTTTGTATTTTTTGTAGAGGCTGGGTTTCACTGCCCAGGCTGGTCTCGAACTCCTGAGGTCAAGTGATCCACCCACCTTGGCCTCCCAAAGTGTTGGGATTAAAGGTGTGAGTCACTGCACCCGGCCTAACTTGCATTTCCTTGATGATTAATGAATTCCAAATAATTTTAACATTATTTGAAAATTATTTGAAATTATTTGAAAATAATTTGAAAATTATTTGGAAATAATTTGAAAATAACACTTGATCAAAGAATAAATTCCAAGGAAAATTAGAAAAACATTGAACTGAATAAAAATGAAAACCCAACATATCAAACTTGTAGCGTGTGGCAAAGCAGTGTGCTTTTACTGGAAAGTGCTTTTATCAGGAAAAAAGAAAATTATAAAATTGGTCATCTAAACTCCTACTTTAAGAATCTAGAAAAACGGCCAGATGTGCTGGCTCATGCCTGTAATCCCAGCACTTTGGGAGGCCGAGGTGGGCAGGGATCACGAGGTCAAGAGATAGAGATCATCCTGGCCAACATGGTGAAACCCTGTGTCTACTAAAATACAAATATTAGCTGGGGATGGTGGCACATGCCTGTAGTCCCAGCTACTTGGGAGGCTGAGGCAGGAGAATCGCTTGAACCCGGGAGGCAGAGGTTGCAGTGAGCTGAGATCACGCCACTGCACTCCAGCCTGGTGACAAAGGAAGACTCCATCTCAAAAAAAAAAAAAAAAAAAAAAAAAAAAAAGGCCAGGCACGGTGGCTCACACCTGTAATCCCAGCACTTCGGGAGGCTGAGGTGGGCGGATCACCTGAGGTCAGGATTTTGAGACCAGCCTGACCAACATGGAGAAACCCCGTCTCTACTAAAAATACAAAATCATCTGGGCATGGTGGCACATGCCTGTAATCCCAGCTACTCGGGAGGCTGAGGAAGGAAAATCACTTGAGCTCGGGAGGTAGAGATTGCGGTGAGCTGAGATCGTGCCATTGCACTCCAGCCAGGGCAACAAGGGCAAAACTCCATCTCAAAAAAAAAAAAAAGAAATCAAACATTAGCTGGGCGTGGTGGTGCATGCCTGTAATCCCAGCTACTTGGGAGGCTGAGGCAGAATCACCTGAACCCGGGAGGTGGAGGTTGCAGTGAGCTGAGATCTCTGCCACTGTACTCCAGCCTGGGCAACAGAGCAAGGCTCTGTCTCAAAAATAAGTAAACAAATAAACTTAAAAAAAAAAGGAAGCTAGAAAAATAACAAATTAAAGTAGGTAGAAATAACAGAAGAAATCAATAAAATAGAAAATGGATTGAACAACAAATAAGGACAAAATTTTGTTCTTTAGGAGAATTGATAAATCCCTTGCTATATTTATCAAGGAAAAAATAGAGAAGGCACACATTACCAACATCAGAAATACAAAGGGACATCACAATGGATGCTACAGATAGTATTAGGTTGCTGCAAAAGTAATGGCAGTTTTGCCCATTAACCTAATAAAAGGAAAAATAAAAGGATATTATGAGTAACTTTATTCTAATAAATTGGACAACATAAATGAACAAATTCCTTGAAAAACACAAATTATCACAATTGACACAAGAAGAAAAAGAAAATCTGAATAGTTCCATACTTTTTTTTTTTTTTTCTGCAACATAGTCTTGCTTTGTCGCCCAGGCTGGAGTGCAGTGGCGCAATCTCGTCTCACTGCAACCTCTGCCTCCCGGGTTCAAGCAATTCTCCTGCCTCAGCCTCCTGAGTAGCTGGGATTACAGGCGCTCACCACCATGCCCAGCTAATTTTTGTATTTTTAGTAGAGACGGGGTTTCATCATGTTGGCCAGGCTGGTCTTGAACTCCTGACCTTGTGATCTGCCTGCCTCGGCCTCCCAAAGTGCTGGGATTACAGGTATGAGTCACTGTGCCCAGCCAACTTTTATTTCTTTTTTGAGACTGAGTTTTGCTCTTGTTGCCCAGGCTGGAGTGCAATGGTGCAATCTCGACTCACTGCAACCTCCGCCTCCCGGGTTCAAGTGATTCTCCTGCCTCAGCCTCCCAAGTAGCTGGGATTAAAGGCAGCACCACCACGCCTGGCTAATTTTGTATTTTTTTTTAGTAGAGACATGTTTCACCATGTTGGCCAGGTCAGTCTTGAACTCCTGACCTCAGGTGATTCACCAGCCTCGGCTTCCCCAAGTGCTGAACCTTGATATGAAAATTTGGTGAAGATATTACAAAAAAAGAAAATTATAAATCAATATCCCAGCTGGACGCAATGGCTCACACCTGCAATCCCAGCAGTTTGGGAGGCCGAGGCGGGCAGATCATCTGAGGTCTGGAGTTCGAGACCAGCCTGGCCTACATGGTGAAACCCTGTCTCTACTAAAAAATACAAAAATTAGCCAGGCGTTGTGGTGCACACCTGTATCCCAGCTACTTGGGAGGCTAAGGCAGGAGAATCACTTGAACCCGGAGACGGAGACTGCAGTGAGCCGAGATCGCACCACTGCACTCCAGGCTCGGCAATAGAGTGAGAGTCTGTCTCAATAAATAAATAAACAAACAAACCAATATCCCTCATGAACACAGATGCAAAAATCTGCATATCTGTTAATGCTGCAGTTTCATTTCTAGGAGTTTATCCTAAGGCACTCTTAGAGCTGTATAAAGATTAAGAGTCTGTTTATCAAGAAGAGTCATATGATTTTTTTTAAAAAAAGATCCTGTTTCTACAAAAAATAAATAAAAATTAGCCAGGCATGGTGGCTCCAGCTTATAGTTCCAGCTACTCAGCGGGCTGAAGTGGGAAGATCACTTGAGCCAGGAGTTGGAGGCTGACGTGTACCACTGCACTCCAGCCTGAGGGAGAGACAGTGACCCCATCTCAAGAAAAAAAAAGAAAAAAGATGAACTATAGGATAGCTAGGATATTTACCACAGCATTATTTTAATAGTAAAAATGGGAAACAAATGTTCCCCAAAATGTGACCAGTTAAATAAATATGGTACATTTATATGCTAGAATACAAAGCCATTAAAATAAGGTAGAAATATTTGAAACAGGAAAATTCACGATATATTGTTTATTTTCTTATTTGTTTTTTGAGACAGAGTCTTGCTCTGTTGCCCAGACTGGAGTGCAGTGGCGCGATCTCAGCTCACTGCAAGCTCTGCTTCCCGGGTTCACGCCATTCTCCTGCCTCAGCCTCCTGAGTAGCTGGGACTACAGGCGCCCGCCAACCAAGCCCGGCTAATTTTTTGTATTTTTGGTAGAGACGGGGTTTCACCGTGTTAGCCTGGATGGTCTTGATCTCCTGACCTCGTGATCCGCCCGCCTCGGCCTCCCAAAGTGTTGGGATTACAGGCGTGAGCCACCGCGCCCAGCCAATATATTGTTTATTTTCAAGGTAGATTACCAAACAGTATTATGCAATGACCCCACATTTTTCAAAGAAAAATATGTATTGATATTTATATGTAAGGGAAAAAAAGACTAGAAGGACATTAACCAAATGTCAAAAGTGGTTAATTATTGGATGATGAGAGTGTGGGTGACTTTTATTTCCTTCCTTTACTTATAGGTATGTCTTACAACAAATACATATTGCTTTTTTTTTAAGAGAGGATCTTGCTCTTTCACCACACCTGAGGTGCAGTGGAACCACCACGGCTCACTGCAGTTTTGACCACCCAGGCTCAAGCTATCCTCCCCACCTCAGCCTCCCAAGTAGCTGGGACCACAGGTGCGTGCTACCATACCTGGCTAATTTTTACAATCTTCTGTAGAGATGAAGTCTCTATATTGCCCAGGCTGGTCTGGAACTCCTGAGTTCAAGTGATCTTCCCGCCTCAGCTTCCCAAATTACTGAGATTACAGGCGTGTCCAGGAGCTTTTCTAATACAAAAGTTATTACTGAGAATAACTTTAAAAAAAAAATCTGTCGGCCGGGCGCGGTGGCTCACGCCTGTAATCCCAGCACTTTGGGAGGCCGAGGCGGGCGGATCACGAGGTCAGGAGATTGAGACCATCCTGGATAACAAGGTGAAATCCCGTTTCTACTAAAAATACAAAAAAATTACCCGGGCGTGCTTGCAGGTGCCTGTAGTCCCAGCTACTCGGGAGGCTGAGGCGGGAGAATGGCCTGAACCCGGGAGAAGAGCTTGCAGTGAGCCGAGATAGCGTCACCGCACTCCAGCCTGGGCGACAGAGTGAGACTCCGTCTCAAAAAAAAAAAAAAAGAAATCTGTCCAGTGGAGATTTTTGTACCCCTCCCATCACATTTCTTAGGAAGAAAATATCTGGGGCTGTGAGATGTTCCATTTTACCCTCAACCTCAACTATACCCACCCTGAACCACTGGATACAATTTTCTCTCACTGGGTGCACGGTGCTTCTGTCCTAATGGTCCAACCTTCTCAGTAGGTGAGGCAGTATGAGCTTTGCCACTCACCTACTGTGTGGCTTTTGGCAAGATCCTTCCCTTAGTTGGGCTCCAGTTTTTTCTTCTCTATAAATTCAGGAGCTAGAATCAATGATCTGCAAGGTCCTTTCTGGATGTAGCGAAAAGGAGACATTTAGAATCAGAAAACGCCAGGGGTAGATTTCAGAATGTGGGCATTACCTCCCAGCAAAATATTCTTTACTATTCTCCTGTGTAAGGCCTCTAGCCCTGGCTTGGCTCCGTATCTCACACCAGTCATGGTGTAGGGCTGGGCACAGGGTAGGTGCTCAGTGATTTAGCTTTTTGTCTCCATCTCCTAAAAAACAATTCCAAATATTCTAGGTTTGATTTTCAGCGGACCCTCCTGATGGGTATCTGGAGCACGAGGTTGGTTTTTTTTTTTTTTTTGGAGATGGAGTTTTGCTCGTCGCCCAGGCTGGAGTGCAATGGCGTGCTCTCGGCTCACTGCAACCTCTGCCTCCTGGGTTCCAGCGATTCTCCTGCCTCAGCCTCCCCAGTAGCTGGGTTTACAGGAACCTGCCACCACTCTCGGCTATTTTTTTTTTTTTTTTTTGAGACGCATTCTTGCTGTTGCCTAGGCTGGAGTGAACTGGCGTGATCTCGGCTCACGGCAACCTCCGCCTCCCGGATTCAAGCGATTCTCCTGCCTCAGCCTCCCGAGTAGCTGGGACTACAGGCGCCTGCCACCATGCCCGGGTAATTTTTGTATATTTAGTACAGAAGGGGTTTCACTGTGTTGGCCAGGCTGGTCTCGAATTCCTGACCTCGTGATCCGCCTGCCTTGGCCTCCCAAAGTGCTGGGATTACAGGCGTGAGTGACCGTGCCCGGCCTAATTTTTGTATTTTTAGTAGAGATGGGGTTTCACCATGTTGGCCAGGCTGGTCTCGAACTCTTGACCTCAGGTGATGCGCCAGCCTCAGCCTCCCAAAGTGCTGAGATTACAGGGGTGAGTCACCGCGCCCAGCCGTTGGTTTTAACTATTTGGGGCACACACTGTGATTTTTTTTCTGACGCAGCTGGTACAGTGCTTGCTTGTAACAATTTGCAATTCACTAAGCTGAGCAGAGTCTGGACACCTCGAAGGCACACATACATGCCAGTGGCTGAGAACACAACATTCAAATCCTCTCCATCTGGGGCCTTGGTCCGGAAGGCCAATCTCACTGCAACCCGAGCGGCTATGAGACATCTCCCTCGTGGCAGGTGCCCGAGCTGTAGCCACGCGGCCTCTGGAAAGAGATGTGCTAAGTCCCAGGACTTCAGAAGAGCTCTGTGACCTTGGCCAAGTCCCTTCCTCCTTCAGGAGCGCTGCAGTGGGCCTAAGTGCCTCCTCCCGGGACTAGTACGGGGACGGTCGTGAGATCTGGACAACATTCGCCTTTTAATATTTATTGATCTTTTGTGACACGCGCGTGGGTTTCCATCAGCAATGAAGTCAACGGTCGCGGCGCTGGAGCCTGCAGAACTCGCGCTCTAGATCTCGCGAGATCTCCGCCCAGGGCTTCGCAGCGTCACGCCCTCCGGGGCCGTGGCGGCGACGGCGGTGCGTAGCTTACTCACAGGGGCGGCCCGTATCCCTCCGCCGCCGGCGCGGCTCGGCCCTCCCTCCCCTGGCCCGCCAATCCCCGCGCCTCCCGACCTGCCCCTCGGTCGGGCCCACCCCGTGCTCCGACGGCCCCACCCCGGCGGCGCAGCCCGCCCGCCCGCGCGTCCCTCGGTCCACCTGCAGCAGGGAGGAAGACAGGCAATCCCTCCGGCTGTCCGACCAAGAGAGGCCGGCCGAGCCCGAGGCTTGGGCTTTTGCTTTCTGGCGGAGGGATCTGCGGCGGTTTAGGAGGCGGCGCTGATCCTGGGAGGAAGAGGCAGCTACGGCGGCGGCGGCGGTGGCGGCTAGGGCGGCGGCGAATAAAGGGGCCGCCGCCGGGTGATGCGGTGACCGCTGCGGCAGGCCCAGGAGCTGAGTGGGCCCCGGCCCTCAGCCCGTCCCGCCGGACCCGCTTTCCTCAACTCTCCATCTTCTCCTGCCGACCGAGATCGCCGAGGCGGCCTCAGGCTCCCTAGCCCCTTCCCCGTCCCTTCCCCGCCCCCGTCCCCGCCCCGGGGGCCGCCGCCACCCGCCTCCCACCATGGCTCTGAAGAGAATCCACAAGGTAAGCGGCCGGAGGTCGGCTGCGCTGCTGGCCAGCTGAGCAGGCTGCGGCCTGCACTTCCCGCCGTAGTCTCCGTCGGGCTCGCGGCCTCCTTGGATCTTGCTGCCGGTGCTGGCCCCTCGGGGCGGCCTCCATACCCCACTCCCAGTGATGGCGCCCGTGGAGGCCCCGGCGCGCAGCCCGCGCTTAGGCCGGAGGTGCTCTCGCGGCCTCAGCGTTCCTCCCCGGCTGCCCTTCCAGGCCCGCATGGTGTGGACTCTTAGGGCTTCTCTCCAGTCTGGGACTGCCGCTGCACTTGAGGGCCATTGTCGGGCCAGGATGGCGGGGTTGGGGCCGAGGGGGGCGCTGGGGCGTTGGGCGGCCCCTTCGACAGAGGTCGAAAGGGCTTCTCGCCCCATTTCTGTTCCCTCCTCCCACACCTGCCCTAGCTCCCTCCACAAAACCGCCTGAGCTCGGGCTGACAGAGGAAGCCGTTTTGCCCGATCCACAAGTATATCCTGAGTTCACTTACCTCTTGGGTGGCAGCACACATCGGTCCACCCTGCTTGTCCAGAAACTGTTAAGAGTTGGAAGTTCAGAAGAAAAAAAAAAGGTGACTTAATGAGGGAGGAGGGAAGTAGAGGGAGAATCATTTTATTCCTTGAGGTTGCTGTATGTAGTTAGAAACTAACACTTCCGTTTTGCAGGATTGGATCTAATAGAAAAGCTGTACATTGGCAAAGGTAGAGGTAGAAACCTGAACATTGAAAACCACCAGAGAAATTATACAAAAGTTCCTTTCACAGCCTCTTCGCAAAATGGACTTGACGCTATTAGGTGATATGTTTACCGAGACTCTTAACTGGGAAGGGGTTTTACTAGATTTTGTATTAAAAAGGATTTCTTTGCTCTTTAAAGTGAAGGGTTATTTAGTTATCAATAAGGAGGTTTTCCTAATAATACATCTAGACTATAAGATTGGCTTAAAATTTATTTTTTTTCCCTTTCTGATGTTGTAACCTCTTAGTGCCACTTTCATGTTTTTTTTCTTAGAAGTAGGGAGGCACCACTATTAATTTCTGTTTGGTGTTTCACTTGGCTACTCAGATTGGCTATATTAAACCGGTAGCTACTTTTTTCTTCAATACATCTTTTTCCTTTTAGTGGAGAACGGGGTCTTGCCGTGTTGTCCAGGCTGGTGTGGAACTCCTGGGCTCAAGCTAGCCTCCTGTCTCTGCCTCCCTTAAGTGTTGGAATTACAGGCATCAATCAGCCACTGCACACGGCCTATACCTGTAGCTACTTAGAAGTAGGTACTGGGGTTATCCATTCTGAATGATGGGATGGGGATGCAAGAGGAAGAGAACCAGTTTTTAGCTTGTCTTAAACTAAGTCAGAATACAGATTGATGATTTAAACACCTCAGCTCAGCGGTTGGTCCTCATTTCATTTTTGCTCAAAGACAGTGTGGAATCAGTCCCATTGGTTACTATAATTAGGTTAGCTCCTTAACTTCTTTTGACTCTGATTTCTAACAAATGAAGAAGGGCAGATTTTAGACAATAAATCTTGTACTAAAATGAAATGGTATTTGTTAAATACCATAAAGAAGCTTGAACCTTAAGCAAAGATGTCTTAAAGAACCGTTTAAGGGGCAGGGGAGCACACTGAGGAGTAGTCATCCAAAAAAAATATATACATATGTATTTTAAAGGCTTTTAGGAATTGCTAGGTCCTTATAGAATCTAACTGGGAAGTTATCAAATACCTGTAGAAGCTTGTCCTCTTATTTTATAACCTGAGAAAGAGCAAGTGGGTATAATGTGTAATAATTTACAGATAAAGAAATGTAGACCTGCCGGGCGCGGTGGCTCACGCCTGTAATCCCAGCACTTTGGGAGGCTGAGGTGGGTGGATCACGAGATCAGGAGATCGAGGCCATCCTGGCTAACACGGTGAAACCCCGTCTCTGCTAAAATATACAAAAAAAACTAGCCGGGCTTGGTGGCGGGTTCCTGTAGTCCCAGCTACTCTGGAGGCTGAGGCAGGAGAATGACGTGAACCGGGGAGGCGGAGCTTGCAGTGAGCCGAGATCGCGCCACTGCACTCCAGCCTGGGCCACAGGCGAGACTCCCTTTCAAAAAAAAAAGAAATGTAGACTTTAATCTCTACATTGAATTATATGTGTAACGGACTTTTTCAGAGAGGGAACTATCTCTTTGACACAAAACATACGTTTTAATTAATAATACTTGCTCTGGTAATATAGTTTCTTATGAGTTGCTACATATTTTCTAGAATAGATTTTCCTTAAAATATGCCTTTGTAAGATTTTTTTAATAAAATCAAGTTTAGAAATAATTTGAACTTTTTTGGGGGATAGAGTTTCAGTCTTGTCGCCCAGGCTGGAATGCAATGGCACGATCTCAGCTCACCGCAACCTCCACCTCCTGGGTTCAAGTGATTTTTCTGCTTCAGCCTCCCGAGTAGCTGGGATTACAGGCACGCACCACCACACCTGTCTAATTTTTGTGTTTTTAGTAGAAACGGGGTTTCACCATGTTGGCCAGGCTGATTTCTAGTTCCTGACCTCCGGTGATCCACCTGCCTCAGCCTCCCAAAGTGTTGGGATTATAGGCGTGAGCTACCGTGCCCGGCCTGAACTTTTTTTTTTTTGGAGACGGAGTCTCCCTCTGTCGCCCAGGCTGGAGTGCAGTGGTGCTATCCTGGCTCACTGCAACTTCCGCTTCCTGGGTTCAAGCGATTCTCCTGCCTCAGCCTCCGGAGTAGCTGGGATTACAGGCACTCCGCCGCCATGCCCAGCTAATTTTTGTATTTTTAGTAGAGACGGGATTTCACCATGTTGGCCAGGCTGGTCTTGAACTCCTGACCTCAAGTGTTCTGCCACCTTGGCCTCCCAAAGTGCTGGGATTGCAGATGTGAGCCACGTCATCTGGCCTGGCCTGAACTTTTAGAATTCAATATTAACCATTTTCCCCTAGTTTATTCCCTAGAGCTCTTCACAAAGTATGGCTTGACTTCTCTGAGACAGCTAGTGATAAGAAAAATGAAGTTTATTTTGGTATACCACTCAAAAAGATTGTGAAAACAAAATGGAGATTAATTTTTTTTTTCCAAACTCTTTGTACCACAATTTTAAGTTGAATAGCTGACTTCCTAGGCATGGATAAGATCAGTTCTATCTTATCTTCTGTCCTAGTAATGTGTCTGCAGTGGAATCCCCATTGCTTGGCTTCTATAATTGATCTTGAACCTTCCCAATTATCATTCCCTGAAAAAATAATTCTACTTAAATACCTTCTTGACTTAAATGTCATGAGTTGCTACATCTGGGTTCTGATAAGATTTTTCTAAGAAAAACTACATTTGACATGTGACATCTTCAGGAATTCAATATCTTGTTTCTTTGACAGAGGGACGCTATTCATGTCTGTGAATTTGGCAGTCTTTGAAATGCCATGTCTTTTTTGGAAAAAGCTTTTGATGGACTTTATTTTGATATACATCTTAAGGTCCCCTGACCTATACTATAAGCAGAGCATAGCAAAGAGGGTCATTATGAACATTGTGTGTAGTTCTGGGCAGGGCTTGGGATCCTTTGGGATTGTTGGTATCTACACCACATGGCCCCACCCTGCTATGTTTTAAGGTTTTCTGCTGACTTTTTAGGTCTTCAGCCTTGATTTTGATGCTTTGAGTGCCTGCCTCTAGCAGCACCACCCCCAGCCCTTTTCCAGTTGGCTGCATCTCATCTGTTGTGGGCTAAGAAACCAGATCACAGAGCTTATTAAAATTGTGTCTAAAATAAGATCCAGTAGGCTCTTGACTGAAGAGGGCTTCATGTGCTCTGTGAACTGTGTGGTTTCCTTGGCTGATCGGAGACCTTTCTGACTTGCTTCCTGTTTTTCTTCTTTACTTTTGCTATACAGATGTAGGAGGCTTTTTGGTGCTCTTAGAGTGCTGTAATGTTGAAGTATTTGGTTAATTTCTCTATTCTTGGGAAGGGTAAAAGGCTAAATAAATATCTTGATTCTTTGAGGAGTTGAAGACTGACCAGAGTTGGATACTAAAAGCTTTTCTTAACAGTAATAGTGCATTGTACATTTTAATGGTGTCCTACTAGTTGCAGATAACGTTTGGCATACATAGCTTTCAAACAAAGTAATGCCAGGATTATCACTTGATCTATTTCTGTGATAGAGATTTTTTTTCTTTCTTTTTTTTTTTTTTTGAGGCAGTCTTGCTCAGGCTGGAGTGCAGTGTCATGATCTTGGCTCACTACAAACTCTGGCTCCCAGGGTCAAGCAGTTCTCTTGCCTCAGACTCCCAAGTAGCTGGGATTACAGGCACTCACCACCATGCCCAGCTAATTTTTGTATTTTTAATAGAGACAGGGTTTCTCCCTGTTGGCCAGGCTGGTCTTGAACTCCTGACGTCAGGAGATCCGTCCGTCTCGGCCTCCCAAAGTGTTGGGATTACAGGTGTAAGCCACTGTGCCCGGCCTATGGCTAGCTTCTTTTAAGGCGTCTCAAGACAAAGTTCTCAATGAAATAAAGATTTCAGGTCATGCACAGTGGGTCATGCACAGTGGGTCACGCCTGTAATCCCAGCACTTTGGGAGGCCCAGGTGGGCAGATCGCTTGAGCTCAGGAGTTCGAGACCAGCCTGAGCAACATGACGAAACATGGTCTTTACAAAAAATACAAAAAATTAGCTGGGTATGGTGGTGGATGGCTGTAGTCCCAGCTAGGTGGGAGGCTGAGGTGGGAGGATCTCGGGAGCCTGGGAGGTAGAGGCTGCAGTGAACCGTGATCAAGCCGCTACACTCCAGCCTATGCAACAGAGTGAGACCCTGTCTCAAACAAACAAACAAACAAAAAGATTTCAAACTCTGATGTCTATAAAAGCCAGGCAGGTACCAAAGTGAGCAGAGAGAACTTGAGGGAGCTAGAAAATGCATGTGCTATCAGATGAGGGCAACTGCTAACCAGCTCCCTGCAAATGTTGCTATTGCTAAAATCTGTGGGCCCAGTGTTGCAATATCTTCCATTCAAAAAAAAAAGAGAAGCCACAAATCCAGATTTTTTGGCAACCGATTCAACTTAAAAAAAAAAAGAACAACAAAATACGCATTTTTGGTCGACATCAGTTTAGTATGTGGATTAAAGTAACCAGGGATTGGGGTTCATTAAGTAATCAGGAGTGTAAAAAGATTAAGTCATTTAAACAATACTTTCTGTATTTTTAAAAGTTTGAAAGTAATGCTTTATGTAAGATTAAGTTTTCTTGTTTGTTTGTTTTTGAGATGGAGTCTTGCTCTGTCGCCCAGGCTGGAGTGCAGTGGCATGATCTCGGCTCACTGCAACCTCCGCCTCCCAGGTTCAAGCAATTCTCCTGCGTCAGCCTCCCGAGCAGCTGAGACTACAAGCTCGCACCACCACGCCCAGCTAATTTTTGTATTTTTGGTAGAGACGGGGTTTCACCATATTGGCCAGGCTGGTCTCGAACTCCTGACCTTGTGATCCACCTGCTTCGGCCTCCCAAAGTGCTGGGAATACAAGCATGAGACACCGTGCCCGGCCTTAAGTAGTTTTTAAATACAATTCTAATTAACTTGCTTTTTTTTTTTGAGACCTCAGGTGATTTGCCCGCCTTGGCCTCCCAGAGTGCTGGGATTACAGGGATGAGCCACTGCACCCAGCCAATTTGCTAAGTTTTTTTTTTTTTTTTTTTTTTGAGATAGAGTCTCGCTCTGTTGCCCAGGCTGGAGTGCAGTGGCACAATCTCGGCTCACTGCAAGCTCTGCCTCCTGGGTTCACGCCATTCTCCTGCCTCAGTCTCCCGAGTAGCTGGGACTACAGGCATGCACCCCCATGCCCAGCTACTTTTTGTATTTTCAGTAGAGACGGGGTTTCACCATGTTGGCCAAGCTGGTCTCAAACTCCTGACCTCCAGTGATCCACCCGCCTCGACCTCCCAAAGTGCTGGGATTACAGGCGTGAGCCACTGTGCCCCGCCTTTTGTATGGTTTTGTGTGAGGTCTTGGGAAAACCAGTTTTGTAAATACATTGATCCCGTAGAAGTTTATGTATTACTCTTCCATTATGATCTGTTTCATGTTTTGAGTTTCTCTGTAGACTGACAATACACTTTGAAAATGTCTGAGATTGGGAAGTTACCGAAGCATGATCTTAAAGAAAGTAGTTGTAACGCTGAACAGTACTGTATTTTAAAAAATTGCTTAGGCTGGGTGCGGTGGCTTATGCCTGTAATCCCCCAGTACTTTGGGAGGCTGAGGCGGGCCGACCACCTGAGGTCAGGAGTTCGAGACCAGCCTGCCCAATATGGTGAAACCCTGTCTCTACTAAAAATACAAAAATTAGCCAGGTGTGGTGGCACTCACCTGTAATCCCAGCTACTCAGGAGGCTGAGGCAGGAGAGTTGCTTGAACCTGGGAGGCAGAGGTTGCAGTGAGCCAAGATCTCGCCACTGCACTCCAGCCTTTGCAACAGCGAGACTCCATCTCAAAAAAAAAAAAATTGCTTAAAAATACTGTAGGCCGGGCTGGGCGCTGTGGCTCATGCCTGTAATCCCAGCACTTTGGGAGGCCAAGACAGGTGGATCACAAGGTCAGGAAATCGAGACCATCCTGGCTAACACGGTGAAACCCCATCTCTACTAAAAATACAAAAAATTAGTCAGTGTGGTGGCAGGTGCCTGTAGTCCCAGCTATTCGGGAGACTGAGGCAGGAGAATGGCGTGAACCGGGAGGCAGAGCTTGCAGTAAGTGGAGATCGCGCCGCTGCATTCTAGCCTGGGCGACAGAGCGAAACTCTGTCTAGAAAAAGAAAAAAATGAAAATAAAAAATACTGTAGGCCGGGCGCGGTGACTCACGCCTGTAATCCCAGCATTTTGGGATGCCGAGGTGAGTGGATCACGAGGTCAGGAGTTCAATACCAGCCTAGTCAAGATGGTGAAACCCTGTCTCTACTAAAAATATAAAAATTAGCCGGGCATGGTGGTGAGCACCTGTGATCCCAGTTACTGGGGAGGCTAAGGCAGAGAGTTGCTTGAACCCGGGAGGTGGAGGTTGTGGTGAGCTGAGATCGCACCACTGCAGTCCAGCTTGGGCAACAGAGCAAGACTCCGTCTCAAAAAAGAAAAAAAAATACTGTACTAGAGGTGTGGTACCATATATTAGATTAATATTAGAGGTAAGGACTGATTGAATTCCTATCAAAATGATGAATTAACAGGTAGTCCTGTGGAGTATTGGGAACTTTAATAAATGGTTGTCTGAATATGGCTATTTAAATTAGTTCTATCTTGGATAGTTCTATCTTGGATACCTTCTTACTCCAAAAGGTGAGCTTCTTCACATAAGTTCTGGGAATTTTTTTTTCCCCACTAAAAAAGTATTTTTTATTTCCTTTACAAAAGATCATTGAATTAAGGCACTTTCTTTGGCTCTACTAGATTGTTATTTAAATATAATTCAAACAGCCATCGAGGATAACTGTTAATAAATCTAGGTTTTCTCTGAAGTCTCCCAGTGTATATTACTGTACTGATGACTGACAAGGAAGAGGTTTTGACAAGGTCCAATTCTGTATATTTCTCTTAAAATATCCTAGGCAGTTCCCAGGATAGGAGTATCTGACTCATGCCTCATGCTACCAGGAACCTTTGCAGCCTCATCCCAGAAATGCAGAAACACACTTGTTTTGTCTGTAGAAATAAAGTTTTGATGGTTAGATTTCCAGGCAAACCTTCAAAATCATGTTAAACTATAATATAGGGAAATAAAGTAGTGTTTGTTCTTCTGTCTGCAGAGTCAAGTGAGATTTTGGGTAATAGAATCATAAAATGTTAGCACTGCAGCACATCTCAGGGCTGCTGTCTGGAAAGGCCGTGTGACCTACCAGGTAAGAGTAGGTCTGAATTGAGAACCTGGATTTCTGGACTGTCCAGTGTATTTTCTGGCAAGCCATGTGTTATCCTTACATAGCTGTTAGGTATATAAATCCAGAGGATGCAGCCTTTTTTCTTTTGTTCAAACAATTGGATATTTAAACTGTGTCCTGGAACCTGAAGATCTTCCTCAACTTCCCTTTATATGATTGGCAAGGTTGCTCATACTGCTTGAAACTGCAAATTTAGGCTTGACACAGTGGCTCATGCCTGTAATCCCAACACTGGGAGGCCAAGGTGGGAGGATTGCTTGTACCTAGGAGTTCAAGACCAGCTTGGTCTGTAATGGGAGACCCTGTCTCTACAAAAGCGAAACAAAGTGAAACAAAATTAGCTGGGCATGGTGATGTGTGCCTGTAGTCCTAGCTACTCAGGAGGCTGAGACAGGAGGATCACTTGAGCCTGGATGAAAGGTTAAGGCTACGGTGAGCTGTGATCATACCACTGCACTCCAGCCTGGGCAGCAGAGCCAGATTCTGTGTCAAAACAACAACAACAACAACAAAACAACTATTGCAAATTTGGTGTTCTATTCTCACCACCACCACCACCCCGCCTTTTTTTCCCCCGAAACGGAGTCTCTACCTCTGTCGCCCAGGCTGAAGTGCAGTTGTGCAATCTCGGCTCACCGCAACCTCTGCCTCCCAGGTTCAAGAGATTCTCCTGCCTCAGCCTCCCAAGTTGCTGGGACCACAGGTGCATGCCACCACGCCCGGCTAATTTTTGTTTTTTGTTTTTATTTGAGATGGAGTCTAGCTCTGACGCCCAGGCTGGAGTGCAGTTGTGTGATCTCGGCTCACTGCAACCTCTGCCTCCTGAGTTCAAGCAATTCTCCAGCTTCAGCCTCCAGAGTAGCTGAGACTACAGGCGCGTGCCATGATGCCCAGCTAATTTTTTGTATTTTTAGTAGAGATGGGGTCTCACTATGTTAGCCAGGATGGTCTCGATCTCCTGACCTCGTGATCCACCCACCTCGGCTGGTTTGGAACTCCTGACCTCAAGTGATCCACCTGCCTTGGCCTCCCAAAGTGTTGGGATTACAGGCATGAGCCACCACCCCCGGCTTTCTGCATATATCTTTCATCAGAGTCAAATGGATTTTGTTTTTTAAGTGAAAGCAAGTTTATTAGGAAAGTAAAGGAATAAAGAATGGCTACTCCCTAGGCAGAGCAGCCTCAAATGGGTTTTTAATCTCTAAAAAGACTAAAAACCACTGTCCTTCCACCTTAAACATTATTTTAATCTCAGCAGATGAACAGAGTACCTGTTCTGCAGAGAAAATATAAATCTTACGTGTGAGTTGTTAGGGATTTCCTTCAAGGTATTAAAACAACAGATCGGCTGGGCGCGGTGGCTCATGCCTGTAATCCCAGCACTTTGGGAGGCCGAGGCGGGTGGATCGTGAGGTCAGGAGATCGAGACCATCCTGGCCAACATGGTGAAACCCCATCTCTACTAAAAATACAAAAATTAGCCAGGCACAGTGGTGGGCACCTGTAATCCCAGCTACTTGGGAGGCTGAGGCAGGAGAATCACTTGAACCCAAGAGGCGGAGGTTGCAGTGTGCCGAGGTCGTGCCACTGTACTCTAGTCTGGGCGACAGAGCAAGACTCCCTCTCAAAAAAAAAAAAAAAAACAAACACAGATTTCAGCTATCCACTTTAGAGTACTCACTGTGCATCAGGAATTACTTGATCTTTTCAATAATCTTTCAATAATTCTGTTCTCCCCAGGTTAGATAAGGAAACAGTGGGAGAAATAAACTTGCCTAACATTATATGGTTATGGTAGGAAGAACTAGGATTCAGATACAGGCGATCTTGACTGTAGAGCTATTGTGTCTCCAGATTTACTTGTTTTAGTCATAGCCCTTCTCCCCTCTAATCTCTAGAGAAGCTTTACTTTTCCCTTTGCCAAACTTAACTTTTGCTTTCCATCCTTTTCTCTCTCTCTCTTTCCCTCTTTCCTTCCTTCTCTCCCTCCCTCCCTCACTTCCTCCTTCCCTCACTCACTTCCTCCCTCCTTCCTTCCTTTTTCCTTTTCTTGTTTTTGCTCTCCGGTAATTGTCTTTGTTTTCATACTTCCAATCTCTTCTCCACTAACTCCTCTTAGCATCCAAACTTATCGAAGGTTTTCCCCTATAAAAAAAAAAAAAGCAGTAAAATAACTTTTTAAACTTCCCTCTTCCATAAGAGCTACTTCCTTCCTCATCTTTATCCTTCCCATCTCTGACATTTCAGTCCCAGAATTCTTGAAAGAATAGTCTATTCACTGTTCTGGAACTATTTAGTAAGGTCACTAATGATTACTTAATTGCCACATTCAGTGGATACCTAAGTTTTTATTTAACTTTCGTAATAGTTGACATGATTTTCATTCAGTTCCTTTGGCTTCTGATAAACTGCTTTCTTCTTCCTCATATCTGGTGTTTCCCAACTTTATTAGAATGCTTATCAAAGTAGTATTGTTGATGGAGTACAAGCCAAAGTGTATGAAATCATGCATACTTGTATTAAAATTGAGAGCACTGGCTGGATATGGTGGCTCATGCCTGTAATCCCAGCACTTTGGGAAGCCAAGGCAGGAGGATCACTTGAGCTCAGGAGTTCAATACCAGCCTGTGCAATATAGCAAGACCCTGTGTCTACAAAAAATTAAATTAGCTAGGTGCAGTGGCATGTGCCTGTAATCCCTGCTACTCAAAAGGCCAAGACAGGAGGATCGCTTGAGCCCAGGAGTTTAAGGCTGCAGTGAGCTGTGATCATGCCAGTGCACTCCAGCTTGGGCCACAGAGCGAGATCTGTCTCTTAAAAAAAAAAATTGACAGCACAAATTACCTCAGATAAATTAATTATTATTCTTTTTTTTTTTTTTTTGAGACAGAGACTTGCTCTGTTGCCCAGGCTGTAGTGCAATGGCGTGATCTCAGCTCACTGCAACCTCCGCCTCTCAGGCCCAAGCAATTCTCCTGCCTCAGCCTCCCAAGAAAAGAAGCTGGGATTACAGGCATGCACCACCGTGCCTGGCTGATTTTTGTATTTTTAGCAGGTTTCACCATGTTGACCAGGCTGGTCTTGAACTCCTGGCCTCAAGTGATCCACCCGCCTAAGCCTTTCAATGTGCTGGGATTGCAGGTGTGAGCCACCATGCCCCACCTGATCTCAGATAAATTAATTAAAATATATAATCAAAATAATGTCACAAACAGAATTATTAAGAATTATCAAGATGAGGCTGGGCGCGGTGGCTCATGCCTGTAATCCCAGCTCTTTGGGAGGCCGAGACGGGCAGATCATGAGGTCAGGAGATCGAGACCATCCTGGCTAACATGGTGAAACCCCATCTCCACTAAAAATACAAAAAAATTAGCCAGACGTGGTGGTGGGCACCTGTAGTCCCAGCTACTCAGGAGGCTGAGGCAGGACAATGGCGTGAACCTGGGAGGCGGAACTTGCAGTGAGCCGAGATCGCACCACTGTACTCCAGCCTGGACGACAGAGCGAAACTCCATCTCAAAAAAAAAAAGAAAAAAAAAAAAGTACTATCAAGATGAAACATCTGTCATTCTTATTTTGCTATCAGTTTTAAGAATAGTATTTTTCTTACATAATAAAAGTCATCCTCATCAGGTACTCCTTTAAATGTCTTACTGTATATTGTTTTCATTGCAGTATAATATGAAAATTTGTTTCCAACAGATACATTGTAGCAAAAGAAAGAATACAGACTGCATATTTTGCAGTTAGGCTGCTGCTGACATTATTAATTATCCCATCATGGATAGGTCACCCTAATTTTTCTGAAAAATGCCTGTTCTTTGCTTGTGTTTATTTTGAAATAATACGACTACTTGGGCTTAGGAATCAAAGGACTCTGCTTTCCATTTAAAATGTCTTTCTCGGCCGGGCGCAGTGGCTCAAGCTTGTAATCCCAGCACTTTGGGAGGCTGAGGCGGGCGAATCACGAGGTCAAGAGATCGAGACCATCCTGGCTAACACGGGGAAACCCCATCTCCACTAAAAATACAAAAAAAATTAGCCAGGTGTGGTGGCGGGTGCCTGTAATCCCAGCTACTTGAGAGGCTGAGGCAGGAGAATGGCTTGAACTCGGGAAGCGGAGCTTGCAGTGAGCTGAGATCACGCCACTGCGCTCCAGCCTGGGCGACAGAGCGAGACTGTCTCTAAATAAATAAATAAATAAATAATAAAAAATGTCTCTCTCCTAGATATAAGTCAATTGGGAATGAGTACACTTGAAATATTTAATATATAATAAGCTTCGATTAAATAACTTCTCTCTTTTTTTTTTTTGAGACGAAGTTTCGTTCTTGTTGCCCAGGCTGGAGTGCTATGGCGTGGTGGTGGGGGCCTGTAATCCCAGCCACTCAGGAGGCTGAGTCAGGAGAATTGCTTGAACCTGGGAGGCGGAGGTTGCAGTGAGCTGAGATTGCACACTGCACTCCAGCCTGGGCAACGAGAGTGAAACTCTGTCTCAAAAAAAAAAAAAAAAGTAAAATTTAGAAGAAAAATATTACTGTCTTTATTACTATAATACATATTAGTAATTAGTATCTCCTGGGGAATGCTGCTGTAGTTGTAACGCTTGTAGTTGGTCCTTCCTAGAATCATGTTCTCCGGTCTTTGTTCAGTGCCTTTGCTTATACAGAGAATCTCTTCTCACCCCATCCCCTACCTCCTAAATTCTTTATTCATACTTGGGGACCCAGCAGAAATGGCTTCTCTAGGAAGCATGCATGAGGCATACAGGCAGTCAGAGTTCAACTGTAGAATCGTTTCTTAGTGTGTAGACATGATTGATTATTCCCCTATTTAGACTGAACTCTCCTGGGCAAAGTTCTTGTCTTATTCTTCGTATTCCTAGTACCTAAAGCATGGTATTCTGTGTTTGCCAACAACATTCAGTGAATGCCAATATCAGGTGGGGTGGCAAAAAAAAAAAAAAAAAAGAAAAGAAAAGGTGGAATTTTGGAGCATTTGTGGCCTTAGGCAAGTCACTTTGCGAATTTTCCTGAGCCTCAGCTTCCTTGTCTGTAGAATGGGAATTGTACCCTGCAAGCCTGTGGGGAAGATTAGATAGAAGAGGGTTTAGCATTTTGGACTACATAAAAGATAATTTTGTTGTTATTTTTTACAAATGTGCTTGGCAGTTTTATTCACAGTACCCGATACTTAGAAACAACTCAGATATCCATCATTAGCTGAATATGTAAACAAAATGTAGAAAATCCATATACTGGATGGAGCATTACCCACCAATAAAAAGGAACAAATAGTGAAACAACCCTGCCACTTAGCAGTTTATTAGTTGGCTCCAAGTTCACCCTCCCGTACTTGCTCTGCTTTGACTAAATAACTTCTGAAGTATGTATTTCAGCTGGTGAAGAGCTGGACTCTTTCACCTTTGCAGTGAACAACATGTTGGGCTTTGTCAATAGAGGGCACTAGAGGGACATTACAGAGGAAAGGGGCTTCTTAGATTTGGTGGACTTTTCTTTTTTTAAGTTTTTAAATATTATCATGGTGTCTTAACATGCCAATAATGTTGACCTACGGAATTGGTATAATCTCAAAATCTTAGGTGTCAGTGTTAAATATATGTTTCACTTTTACTTCATCGTCACCCCAAGCAAAAAAAGAAAAACCTGAATGTGAAAAGAATGAAGTCTTATAATATTTCTAAACTAAAAAAGGGATTGAATCCCAGTATTCTTCAGCAAACTTCAAAATACTGTCACCTTAATATGTTTTTAATACATGTGATATTTTTGTAGGTCTAGAATTGTGAAATCAATTCTCTTAAACATCTTATTATAGAAGTGTCTGCTGCTATCCTTTGAGCACTAACCCCACCACCTGTAATGCATCATGCCAATATAAGTGATAGAATTGCTTTGCTAAATTCTTAAGGGCTTATGTCAGGGAAAAACTTTGAAATTAGCTGGGTACAGTGGCTCATGCCTATAATCTCAGTGCTTTGGGAGGCCAAGGTGGGAGAATCACTTGGCTGGGAGACCAGCCTGAGCAATTCAGCAAGACCCCTTCTCTACAAAAACTGCAAAACTTAGCCAGGTTTGGTGGCACACGCCTGTAGTCATAGCTACTGGGAAGACTGAGGTGGAAGAGGAGGATCTCTTGAGGCCCAGAGTTCAAGGCGGCAGTGAGCTATAATCTGCACTGCACTCCAGCCTAGGTGACAGAGCGAGATCCTGACTCAAAACAAGACAAGCCTTGAAATCAAAGTTGATTTTTACAAAAGCCTCAATGGTAGGAGTTTTAGATTTCTTAAAATAATAGCACACTAATGGAGTGCGTGATTTTCTTTAGATTAAATGTTTACATATTTATACCATCTGTATTAGTTTCCTAGGGTTGCCATAATAAATTACCACAAACCGGGTGGCTTAAAGTAACAGAACTATATTCTCTCACAGTTCTGGAGGCCAGCAGTCTAAAGTCAGTCTGTCTTCAGGTCCATACTCTGGATGTTCTAGGGGAGAATCCTTCCTTGCCTCTTCCAACTTTGGTGGATGTCAGCATTCCTTGGCTCCTTTGGTTTGTGGCTACATCACTCCAGCATCTGCCTCCATCTTTGTATCACCTTCTCTGTGTGTGTCTTCTCTTTTGTGTCTTATATGGCCACTTGTCATTAAACTTGCCCATCCACGTAACCCAAAGATGATTTTTTTTTTTGAGACGGACTACAGACACGTGCCACCACGCCCGGCAAATTTTTTGTTTTTTAGTAGAGATGGGGTTTCACGTTGTTAGCCAGGATGGTCTCAATCTCCTGACCTCGTGATCTGCCCGCCTCAGCCTTCCAAAGTGCTGGGATTACAGGTATGAGCCACTGCGCCCAGCCAGTAAATTCTTTTTATTACTGTAGTAGATGATACTTGATTAAATGCCATCTCGGGTGCTTTCATTGTCAACAAAGGTGCTCCCATCTCTAAGCTTACATAAAATGTAATTTTAAAAAGACATTTCTTTAGATGTACCTGTTCACATTTTTGTTAATAGTCTCTCATGTCTAGTTTTGGAGGCTGGAATGTTCAAGGGAGCCACAAAAATCTCTGTCAGTTGGTGTTTTGAATAATTGTTCTGAAATATACTCCCAGGCTTGAAACTTGGATCTGGCCTTTTTTTTTTTTTTTTAACTTGAATTTTTTTTTTTTTTTTTGCTCTTATGTTATTCATATGAATTTTGCAAATAGAGAGCCAGTCTTGTAGCATAGTAAAATTTAACAGTTTATGTGACTATTGATCTACCCATCTTATAGAGATTGTCTGTCTGTAGGAAGACGGTGGTAACCGTGGTCAGACTCATCATTTTGAACACTCTAGGTTAGTGTTGGAGAATTTGTAAAACAGAAACTTAACCACCTGTGCTTTGAAAGAGTAAAGTCCATGAAAAGTATTACTTTTAAGTTTCAAGGATTTACAGTTTTAGGTTAACAGTTTTTACATATTGTATTTCAAAACATCAGAGTACTGAAACTTACCTGTATGCTTCTTACTAAAAATAGTTCATGCAGGTTCTTTTGGGTGATCATAGTTTTACAGAGTATAGTAGAAAACAGGATGCCAGTTAGCATCTCTCTTTTTTTTTTTTTTTTTTTTTTTTTGAGATGGGAGTTTCACTCTTGTTGCCCAGGCTGGAGTGCAATGGGGTGATCTCGGCTCACTGCAATCTCCGCCTCCCGGGTTCAAGCAATTCTCCTCTCACATCCTCTCGAGTAGCTAGGATTACAGGTGCATGCCACCACGTCTGGCTAATTATTGTATTTTTAGTAAAGATGGGGTTTCATTATATTGGTCAGGCTGGTCTCGAACTCCTGACCTCAGGTGATCTACCTGCCTTGGCCTCCCAAAGTGCTGGGATTACAGGCATGAGCCACTGCACTGGCTCCTGGCCAGCCAGTTGGCATCTCTTTAAGGTCTCCACTATCCACCTATATTAAGTAGCACAGAAACACACCAAGTTAATGATACTAGCATTCATCTCCCCCCACCACCACATTTTCTCAAGCTTCGTACTGCGGTACATGTGTGATTAGTGTTACAGAAGAGGGTGTCAGTAACCCAGCAAATAAGTTCTTTAGGTTTCTGGTTTGCTATGTAGTTACTAAGGAGGGATTCAGCTGGTGGAGGAGATCCTTGCGCAAATGCCAGGAAGGAAGCCCTTTTCCTCGCATTTCAGTGTTTCCTTTGAAGCCTAGTGAGGGTGAAGTCTTTTGGCATAGGTGCTCCACCATCTGTCTATTCACATAGACTCTTCCCATCTACCTGGCTATGTGCCACCCTTGTTGTGGACATAGAGTGGGTAGAGAGCAGAGACCACTGCTTCAGTAACTAAAAATAGATGGAATTTCAGATCCTGACAGAGATTCTCTGTGGAGTCGCTACCACTGCTCCTCATCTCCTGGAGTTAGTTGCAAGGAACAGCTGTTTGTCTGATCTGCTTTTGGTACTATGTATACTTCCTAATACTTTTGTTCCCCTACTTGCTATAGAAGTAGAAGTAGTTTTACTGGAATACCTACGATTTTCCTGTCCTGTCTCTCTCATTCACTTAGTTATTTTCTGCCTTGGCTCTGGTTGCCAAAATTCTAAACTTCTGTTTTGTGTTTTGTGTGTGTGTGTGTGTGTGTGTGTGTGTGTGTGTTTTGACAGGGTCTTGCTCTGTTGTCCAGGCTAGACTGCAGTGGCACAATCACGGCTCACTGCAGCCTTGACCCTCTGGGCTTAAGTGATCCTCCCACCTCAGCCTTTCCAGTAGCTGGGACAGCAGGTGTGTGCTACCATACCTGGCTTTTTAAAAAAATTTTTGTAGAGATAGGGTCTTGCTGTGTGGCCCAGGCTGCTCTCAAACTCCTGTATTCAAGTGATCCTCCTGCCCCAGCTTCCTAAAGTGCTGGAATTACAGACAGCCACCCCACTCTGCTAAACTTCTGTTTTGTTAGGTATATGATCCCATGGCTGCAGTATCAGAGAATGAGGTTATTGCCTTTCCATGTACCTTATTTCGTTGACTCTGAAACACATCAATTGAAAGATGTACCATTATTCTACTAAGAAGGAAAGTATATTTAGTGCCAATTAAGCTGACATGCCATTGATTATATGCAGCTTGATTTCAGCTATGTTTTATTTTTGTTTATTTATTTATTTATTTATTTTTGAGACGAAGTCTCACTCTGTTGCCCAGGCTGGAGTGTAGTGGCACAATCTCAGCTCACTGCAACCTCTGCCTCCCAGGTTCAAGTGATTCTCCTGCCTCAGCCTCCTGGGTAGCTTGAATTACAGGTGTGTGCCACCACACCCAGCTAATTTTTGTATTTTAATTTTTTAAATTTTTTTGAGATGGAGTTACGCTTTTGTTGCCCAGGCTGGAGTGCAATGGTGCGATCTTGGCTCGCTGCAACCTCTGCCTCCCCGGTTCAAGCAATTCTCCTGCCTCAGCATCTTGAGAAGCTGGGATTACAGGCATGCGCCACCACACCCGGTTTATTTTGTATTTTTAGTAGAGATGGGGTTTCTCCATGTTGGTCAGGCTGGTCTCGAACTCCCGACCTCAGGTGATCCACCTGCCTTGGCCTCCCAAAGTGCTGTGATTACAGGCGTGAACCACTGTGCCTGGCCTAATTTTTGTATTTTTAGTAGAGATGGGGTTTTGTCTTGCTAGCAAGGCTAGGCTGGTTTGGGAACTCCTGACCTCAAGATGATCCGCCCACCTTGGCCTCCCAAAGTGCTGGGATTACAGGCATGAACAACTGTGTCCAGCCTCAGCTATGTTTTTTTTAAAAAGTCTTACAATCAGTGACAGTCACTGTAATTGTAACTATCTGGTTCTTCAACAGATATTTACTGGGCAGTTTTCATGGACCAGGCACTGTGCAAAAAGCTGGAAGTCAGGTCCCTATTTGTTACTGGGTCAAGAGACATTAAATAATCACATAGATGTTGGGCGCGGTGGCTCACATCTGTAATCCCAGCACTTTGGAAGGCCGCGGTGGGCAGATCACGAGGTCAGGAGTTCGAGACCAGCCTGGCCAACATGGTGAAACCCTGTCTCTACTAAAGATACAAAAAATTAGCCGGGCATGGTGGCACGCGCCTGTAATCCCAGCTACTCGGGAGGCTGAGGCAGGAGAATTGCTTGAACCTGGGAGGCAGAGTTGCAGTGAGCTGAGATCATGCCGTTGCACACCTGCCTGGGCAACAGAGCGAGACTCCCTCTCAAAAAAAAAAAAAAAAGTTGTTCCCATAGATAAGGCTCATGTCTGTAATCTTAGTACTTTTTTTTGAGACAGAGTCTCACTCTTGTCACCCAGCATTGAGTGCAATGGAGCAACCATAGCTTACTGCAGCCTCAACTTCCTGGGCTCAGGTGATTCTCCAGGCATGTACCATCATGCCCAGCTAATTTTTTGTATTTTTATTAGAGGTGGGGTTACATCATGTTGCCCAGGCTGGTCTCGAACTCCCGGGCTCAAGTGTTACGCCCACCTCAGCCTTCCAAAGTGCTGAGATTACAGTCGTGAGTCACCCTGCCTGGCCAATCCTATCATTTTGAATGGCTGAGGAGAGTGGATGGCTTGAGTCCAGGAGTATAAGGCCAGCTGGGACAGCGTAACAGAGTGAGACCCTGTTTCTACAAATTTTTTTCTTTTTTGAAACGGAGTCTCGCTGCGTGACCCAGGCTGGAGTGCAGTGGCGCGATCTCGGCTTACTGCAACCTCCGCCTCCCGGGTTTAAGCAATTCTCCTGCCTCTGGGACCACAGGCATGTGCCACCACACCCGGCTAATTTCTTGTATTTTTAGTAGAGACGGAGTTTCACCATGTTAGCCAGATGATCTCGATCTCCTGACGTCATGATCCACCCATCTCAGCCTCCCAAAGTGCTGGGATTACAGGCGTGAGCCACCGTGCCCAGCCACTACAAAATATTTTTTAAAATAAGCAACACCCAGGTGTGGTGGCATGTGCTGGTAGTCTCAGCTCACTCGGGATGCTAAGGCAGTATTGCATGAGCGTAGTTTAAGGTTTCAGTGAGCTATGATTCACACCACTGTTCTCCAGCCTGAGCGACAGAGTGAGACTCTGTCTCAAATAATAATAATCACACAGACAAATAGGAACTGTATAAAGTTGTTAAAGCAACCTGGGCTTTACCGTAGTACTTAATAAGAAATAAATTGAAATGGCGGAAAAGGGCTTCTGGGAAGGTCTCTAAGGGCAATATTTAAGTGAAGCCTGAAGGTGGATGTGGGGGAGGAGAGGATGGGAAGAATATTCTAGGCAGAGTGTTCCTATAGTCCTGGAGTGGTTGAAATTTAAAAGTTAATTAAGAAAAAGTAGACTGGGCGTGGTGGCTCACGCCTGTAATCCCAGCACTTTGGGAGGCCGAGGCGGGTGGATCATGAGGTCAGGAGTTTGAGACCAGCCTGGCCAAGATGGTGAAACCCCATCTCTACTAAAAATAACAAAAAATTAGCCGGGTGCGGTGGTGAGCGCCTGTAATCCCAGCTACTGAGGAGGCTGAGGCAGGATAATCGCTTGAACCCAAGAGGCGGAGGTTGCAGTGAGCCGAGATCACGCCACTGCACTCTAGCCTGGGTGACAGAGCAAGACTCCGTCTCAAAAAAAAAAAGTAGAGGTTGAGCATTCCTTATCCAAAATGCTTAGGACGCTAAGTGTTTCAGATTTTGAATTTTTTCGGATTTTGGAATATTTGCATATACATAATGAAATGAGATATCTTGGGGATGGGACCCAAGTCTAAACACAGAATTGATTTATGTTTCATATAGGCCTTGCACAATTTTTTGGAGCCTGAACATAATTTTATGTAGTTTGTTTGTTTGTTTGTTTGTTTTTGAGATGGAGTCTCGATCCGTCACCCACGCTGGAGTGCAGTGGTGCAGTCTTGGCTCACTGCAACCTCTGCCTCCCGAGTTCAAGCTATTCTCCTGCCTCAGCCTCCCGAGTAGCTGGGATTACAGGCGCGCGCCACCATGCCTGGGTAGTTTTTGTATTTTTAGTAGAGACGGAGTTTCACTATGTTGGTCAGGCTGGTTTCAAACTCCTGACCTTGTGATCTGGCCGCCATGGCCTCCCAAAGTGCTGGGATTGCAGGCGTGAGCTACTGTGCCAGCTGTTTTTTTGGGGTTTTTTTTTGTTTTTGTTTTTTTTTGAAGATAGAGTCTCACTTTGTTGCCCAGGCTGGAGTGCGATGCAATAGTGTGATCATGGCTGATGGCAGTCTTAAACTCCAGTGCTCAAGCCATCCTCCCAAGGACTGTAGGCACTGTGGTGTACAGGTGTATAGGCACTGCCGCCCAGCTAATTTTGTAGAGACAAGGCCTCACTATGTTGTCTAGGCTGGTGTTGAACTCCTGGACTCAAGTCATCCTTCTGCCTTGGCCTCCAAAGTGCTAGGATTATAGGCCTTACACAATTTTTTTTTTTTTTGAGATGGAGTTTTGCTCTGTTGCCCAGGCCGGAGTGCAGTGGTATGATCTTAGCTCACTGCAGCCTCTGCTTCCTGGTTTCAGGTGACGTCCAGCTAATTTTGTATTTTTAGTAGAGACGGGGTTTCACAATGTTGGCCAGGCTGGTCTTGGACTCCTGACCTCAAGTGATCCTCCCACTTCGGCCTCCCAGAGTGCTGAGATTACAGGCGTGAGCCACTGTGCCTGGCCTTTACACAATATTTTAAATAATTTTGTTCATGAAATAAAATTTAACAGTGTTTTAACTGCTGCCTACCACATGCGACCAGGTGTGGAATTTTCTACTTGTGGCATTATGTCAGCACTCAGAAAAACTTTCAGATTTCGAAGCGATTTAGATTCGAATTTTTTTTTTTTTTTTTTTTTTGAGACAGAGTCTTGCTCTGTCGCCCAGGCTGGAGTGCAGTGGCTCAATCTCGGCTCACTGCAAACTCCACCTCCTGGGTTCACTCCATTCTCCAGCCTCAGCCTCCCAAGTAGGTGGGACTGCAGGCATCCGCCGCCACGCCCAGCTAATTTTTTGTAGTTTTAGTAGAGATGGGGTTTCACCGTGTTAGCCAGGATGGTCTTGATCTCCTGACCTCATGATCTGCCCGCCTCGGCCTCCCAAAGTGCTGGGATTACAGGCGTGAGCCACTGCGCCCGGCTTTTTTTTCTTTTTTTTTTTTTTGAAGACGGCGTCTCGCTTTGTCGCCCGGGCTGGAGTGCAATGGCACGATCTTGGCTCACTCCATCTTCCGCCTCTTGGGTTCCAGTGATTCTCCCGCTTCAGCCTCCCTAGTAGCTGGGATTACAGGCATGTGCCACCACACCCGGGTAATTTTTGTATTTTTAGTAGAGACGGGGTTTCACCATGTTGGCCAGACTGGTCTCAAACTCCTGACCTCAGGTGATCCACCTGCCTAAGCCTCTCAGAGTGTTGGGATTACAGGCATGAACCATTGCATCCGGCCAATAACAATGTATTCTTAAAAATTGCTGAGAGTAGATTTTTTAAGTGTTTTCACTACCAAAAGAAGTAAGTATGTGAAGTAAATAAGTATGTGAGGTAATACATACGTTAATTAGCTCAATTTAGCCATTCTACAATGTATTCATATTTCCGAACAACATGTTGTGCATGACAAATATATACAATTTTGTCAATTTAAAGAAGTTGGCCAGGTGCAGTGGCTTACGCCTGTAATCCCAGAACTTTGGGAGGCTGAGGTGGGTGGATCACCTGAGGACAGGAGTTCGAGACCAACCTGGCCAACAAGGTGAAACCCTGTCTCTATTAAAAATACAAAAATTAGCTGGGCGTGGTGTCAGGTGCCTGTAGTCTCAGCTACTCGGGAGGCTGAGACAGGAGAATTGCTTGAACCCAGGAAGTGGAGGTTGCAGTGAGCTGAGATCATGCCACTGCACTCTAGCCTGGGCGACGGAGCGAGACTCCATCTCGAAAGAAAAAGAAGTTGTGAAATGAACAAAGGATAGTTAAAGGTAAAATAGGAAAGGTTCTTGAATGAATAGAGAATATGGTCATATGCCACATAATGACATTTTGGTCAATGACAGATGATATTATGACAGTGGTCCCATAAGATAATGGAGCCAGAAAATTCCTGTTGCCTAGTGACATAGCTCTTGTAGCGCAATTCCTTTTTTGAAAAAGTAAATTAAAAAAATAATAAGTTTATTATAGCCTGAGTGTACAGTGTTTATAAAGTCTGCAGTAGTGTACAATAATCAGTAATGTCCTAGGCCCTCACATTCATTCATTACGGACTCATCCAGAGCAACTTCCAGTCTTGCAGACTTTGTTCATGATGAGTGCCCTATAGAGGTGTGCCATTTTTTTACCTTTTTTTCCTCATGTTTTTACCATACCTTTTCTGTTTAGATATATTTAGGATACACAGATACTATTGTGTTATAGTTGCCTGCAGTATTCAGCACAGTAATATGCTGTATAGGTTTCTAGCCTAGGAGCAATAAGGCTGTATACCATGTGGCCTAGGTTATACCATCTCGGTTTGTGTAAGTACACTTTGATGTTCCTACAGCTACACATTTCTCAGAATGTATGCCTTTCGTTAAGTTTAGCATGACTATATTCTCTTCATAACACATTTCCATCTCAGTGGTTGCTAAAGTACTCAAAGAAACTCCTTGTTCTCTCGTGTTTTACACATTTACCCCAAAACACCTTTTTCTTTTTTCTTTTCTTTTCTTTTTTTTTTTTTTTGAGACAAGAGTTTCGCTCTTGTTGCCCAGTCTGGAGTGCAGTGGCGCGATCTCGGCTCACTGCATCCTCTGCCTCCTGGGTTCCAGCGATTCTCCTGCCTCAGCCTCCCTAGTAGCTGGGATTACAGGCATGTGCCACCATACCCGGCTAATTTTTGTATTTTTAGCAGAGACCGGGTTTCACCATGTTGGTCAGGCTGGTCTCGAACGCCTGACCTCAGGTGATCCACCTGCCTCGGCCTCCCAAAGTGTTGGGATTACAGGCGTGAGCCACCGTGCCTAGCCCAAAACACCTTTTTCATTCAAGTTCAGTAATTACATCATAATATATTGTGTATGTCACTATAAACTAACTTTTTTTTTTTTTTTTGAGACACAGGTTCGCTCTTGTTGCCCAGGCTGGAGTGCAGTGGCGCGATCTCGGCTGACTGCAACCTCCATCTCTTGGGTTCAAGTGATTATCTTGCCTCAGCCTCCCATGTAGCTGGGATTACAGGCATGCACCACCACGCCCAGCTAATTTTGTATTTTTAGTAGAGACAGGGCTTCTCCATGTTGGTTAGGCTGGTCTCGAACTCCGCACCTCACATGATCCACCCACCTCAGCCTCCCAAAGTGCTGGGATTACAGGTGTGAGCCACGGTGCCCGGCTGCGTGCAGGTCTTTTTTTTTTTTTTTTGAGACAGAGTTTTACCCCATCCCCCAAGATGGTTGGAGTACAGTGGTGAGATTATAGCTCACTGCAGCCCCAAACTTCTGGGCTCAAGTAATCTTACTGCCTCAGCCTCCTGAGTAGCTAGTACTACAGGAATGTGCTACCACATCCCCGCTAATTTTTGTTGTTGTTGTTGTTAATTTTTTGTAGAGACAGGGTCTCACTTTGTTGACCAAACTGATCTCGAGCTCCTGGGCTGAAGCAGTCCTCCAGCCTCAGCCTCTCAAAGTGCTGGGATTATAGCCATGAGTCCCTGTGCCTGGCCTATAGACTTTCTGTTTCCTGCCGCTATTGGTGATTGGGCTGAATGGACTAGACTTCCTTTTGGAAATTTTTTATGTGCCTTTGTAAGTATTTGAGCACTAATTCTGGTTGGTACCCTACTAAGCATTAATCCACTCAGACATTTGAGTGCCTCTAATGTTCCAGTCTCTACAGAATGCAGTGAAGAATATGATATACCTTGTCTCTCATTCAAGGAGTCATAATTAAACATTAAAGGGGTAGAGAAGAGTTTGTGCAGAGGTTAACTTTTGGTAGTTGTGGATAAATTAAAAATGAAACATAGGGAGGCTGAGGGAGGGGAATCACTTGAACCCGGGAGGTGGAGATTGCAGTGAGTCGAGATTGTGCCACTGCACTCCAGCCTGGCAACAGAGCGAGACTCTGTCTCAAAAAAAAAAAAAAAAAAAAAAAAAAGAAGAAAGAAATACAGCTATATAGTACCATATATGATACTAGATTTGTATAGTACAGTTAATAAAATAGCTTCCTAGGAAAAGGAGGCCCATAGAGAATAAAGAGTTAAGATCTTTTTCATCCTAAGAAAGATAAGTCTATTCTTTTTAATTGCAAATGTTTAATGTTGATGTTTTAAAACCATAACTGCTGTTGTGAAGATAAAGATTATCTGGGGTCTAGCTTAGAATTTTTTTTTTTTTTTAAATCTCAGAATTTCATATTGGTTTCTCCTTTGTGAAACTTTAAACGTGGTAGGCAAATTTTAATGTGTAAACTGCAATTTATTGGATATAAATAACTTATAAGATGGAACTCACTGACTTTAAAACTGCTTTTCCCATAGCTGACTTTTCTTACTTAACAGTGATAGACCTTATTCTCTGACTTCCTGATTCTAACTAACACCCTCCACCCCCTCTTCAAGTGTAGATCTGGTTTTGTATTTAAGGTCAATGATGAGTCTAAAAAAGAATTTTCTTAGGCTGGACACAGTGGCTTACGCCTGTAATCCCCACACTTTGGGAGGCCGAGGCGGGCGGATCACGAGGTCAGGAGATGGAGACCATCCTGGCTAACATAGTGAAACCCTGTCTCTACTAAAAATACAAAAAATTAGCCGGGCGTGGTGGTGGGTGCCTGTAGTCCCAGCTACTCAGGAGGCTGAGGCAGGAGAATGGCATGAACCCGGGAGGTGGAGCTTGCAGTGAGCCAAGATCTCGCCACTGCACTCCAGCCTGGGCGACAGAGCGAGACTCCGTCTCAAAAAAAAAAAGAATTTTCTTTAAAATGTCTATAGTTTTTTGAATTATTTGTTTTATGTTAGGGTAATCAGCATCTTCTTTTGTTAAACAGAATTTTAGTCCGTTTACTTTATCAGCATAAATACAATATAGTGCCTTGTTTAGTTTTTATAAAAAAATCTTTTTAGAGACAGAGTCTGTTGCCTAGGCTGAAGTACAGTGGCACTATCATAGTGTTAACAGGGGTCCTTGCTCCCAGAGCTCTCAAGATGGTGGTGGGCCACTTCCACGATGTTGGCAAGCCTCGTGTTCTCTGACCTGGGGTTGTTGGCCTCATGGATTCCAAGGAATGGAATCTTCGGCCATGCTGTGAGTGTTATATCTCTATTAGAAGCTGTGGGTCACGGAAGAGAACCGTAGAACCCAGTGACTAGTGTTCCAGCTGGATAGGATGAACCCAGGCACTTAGCCATGCAGGAACAATGGCAAGCCTTTAGCCCAATCGGGAGTGGCAATGGGTGCCTCACTGGATCAGGAGCACAGTGGACACCCTGCTCCATCCGGAGGGATGGAAGTCAGCAGCGGCTCTGCGACAGCAGCAAACAGTAGTGGTGGAAAGCGAGCGAAAGCTCAGCTCAAGCCATAACAAACATGGATGAGGCCGTGGTGGCTCACGCCTGTATTCCCAGCACTTTGGGAGGCCGAGATGGGCAGATCACGAGGTCAGGAGATTGAGACCATCCTGGCTAAGATGGCGAAACCCCGTCTCTACTAAAAATAAAAAAAATAGCCGGGCGTGGTGGCGGGCACCACCAGCAACTTGGGAGGCTGAGGCAGGAGAATGGCATGAACTTGGGAGGCGGAGCTTGCAGTGAGCCAAGGTCGCGCCACTGCACTCCAGCCTGGCCGACAGAGCAAGACCCCATCTCAAAAAAAAAAAAAAAAAAAAAACGGACCAGAAGAGTGCGGTTGCAAGATTTAATAGAGTGAAATAGAGTGAAAACAGAGCTCCCATACAAAGGGAGGGGACCCAAAGAGGGTAGCCATTGCCAGCTCAAATGCCTGGGTTTATATCCAGATCATTGTCCCTCCTGCTGTGCTCTCAGGCAGTAGATGATTAGCTATTTCTTTACCTCCTGTTTTTGCCTAATTAGCATTTTAGTGAGCTCTCTGATTGGTCGGGTATTAGCTAAGTTGCGAGCCCCGTATTTAAAGGTGGACGCGGTCACCTTCCCAGCTAGGCTTAGGGATTCTTGGTCTAGGAAATCCAGCTAGTCCTGTCTCTCCATAGCTCACTGCAGTCTCCAACTCCTGGGCACAAGTGATCCCCCAGCCTCAGCCTCCCAAGTGGCTGGGATTACAGATGTGTGCCACCATGCCTGGCTAAATGTTTCTATTTTGTAGAGATGGAGTCTTGCTGTGTTGCCTAGGCTGGTCTTGAACTCCTGGCCTCAAGCAGTCTTACTGCCTCAGCCTCCACTGCACCTGCCTTGCCTTGTTTAGCGTTTTTTTTTTTGTTTTGTTTTGTTTTGTTTTGAGACAGAGGGAGTTTTGCTGTGTCGCCCAGGCTGGAGTGGAGTGGAGTGCAGTGGCGCGATCTCAGCTCACTGCAACCTCCGCCTCCCAGGTTCAAGCTATTCTCCTGCCTCAGCCTCCCAAGTAGCTGGGGCTACAGGAATGTGCCACCATATCTGGCTAATTTTTGTATTGTTAGTGGAGATGGGTTTTACCATGTTGGCCAGGCTGGGCCTTGTTTAGCTTTACTTTCTGGGTTGTGATAGTGTAAGCTTTTAATTTTTATCTAAATATAGTAGTACAACAAATTAGATTATATAAATGACAAATTTTGCTAATATCTTTATATAACATATCATTAAAAGGGATAGGCTTCATGAGAAAAATCTTTTTTACCTAGAGAAAATATTGTAATCCAAAAATTAAGTATTAGCTGTATATTTGATCACTACTGGAAGCTGTCAACATTGTCACACAGATCGTATTTTTAAAGGATTTCCTGGAACCTGATGTAACTTCTTTTGTTTTTTGAGATAGGGTCTTGCCCTGTCACCCAGGGTGAAGTGCAGTGGCTACTCATTGCAGCCTCGACCTCCTGGGCTCAAGTGATCCTCCCAGTTGTAGATCCTCCTGCTTGTAGTTCCAGCGACTCAGCCTCCTGAATAGCTGGGACTACAGGTGCACACCACCATGCCCAGCTGATTTTTAAATGTTTTGTAGAGACAAGGTCTCCCTATGTTGCCCAGGCTGGTCTCAAACTCCTGGGCTGAAGCTATCCTCCCTTGGCCTCCCAAAGTGCTGACATTACAGGCATGAGCCACCACAGTCAGCCTCCCTTGCTTTAATCTTCTTAGCAGAGCGTCTTTGGTTTGCACCTGTAATCCCAGCTACTTGGGAGGCTGAAGTGGTAGAATTACTTGAGCCCAGGAATTCAAGGATACAGTGAGCTATGATCAGGCCACTGCATTCCTGCCTGGGTGACAGAGCAAGACTCTGTCTCTTAAAGAAAAAAAAAATAGCCCGGGCACGGTGGCTCGTGCTTGTATTCCCAGCACTTTGGGAGGCCAAGGTGGGCGGATCACTTGAAGTCAGGAGTTCGAGACTAGCCTGACCAATATAGTGAAACCCTGTTTCTAACAAACAGTACAAAAATTTGCCAGGCATGTTGGTGTGTGCCTGTAGTCCTAGCTACTTGGGAGGCTGAGGTGGGAGAATTGCTTAAACCTGGGAGGTGGAGGTTGCAGTGAGCCGAGATCCTCCAGCCTGTGCGACAGTGAGACCCTGTCTCAAAAAAATAGCCAAAAAACAACAGTTGCATACAGTGTTTGTTTTGATGGAAACAATTATTGAAATGAAGGCTGTCTAGAGTTTTTAAAATACACTTAGAAAGTAGTGATTTATTTAGAAGAAAATGGCTTTAATAGTTGAAACATCTCAATAAATAGCAAAATTAAATAGCAAATCATTTGTTGTATGAAACATTAACTATAGGGTTGACAAGGAAATTATAATTTAAAGTGGGGGTTGGTACTTTGTTTTTTTTTGAGACGGAGTCTTGCTCCGTCGCCCAGGCTGGAGTGCAGTGGCGCAATCTTGGCTCACTGCAAACTCCGCCTCCTGGGTTCACACCATTCTCCTGCCTCAGCCTCCCGAGTAGCTGGGACTACAGGTGCCCGCCACCACACCCGGCTAATTTTTTGTGTTTTTAGTAGAGACGGGGTTTCACTGTGTTAGTCAGGATGGTCTTGATCTCCTGACCTTGTGGTCCGTCCTCCTTGGCCTCCCAAAGTGCTGGGATTACAGGCGTGAGCCATTGCACCTGGCCAGGGGTTGGTACTTTCTAGTTAAAATGTTTACCTAATACTCGTGTATAAAAATATTTACCAAATCGTTGTGATAGTGAAAAATAGGAAATAAAGGATCTGTTGTGGTTTAGACATAGAGTAGCAGAATAAACAGTAGTAGAAAAAGGAACAAGCCAGCCTGGCCAACATGATGAAACCCCGTCTCTACTAACAATACAAAAAATAGCTGGGCGTGGTGGTGGATGCCTGTAATCCCAGCTACCTGGGAGGCGGCTGCAGGAGAATCGCTTGAACCCAGGAGGCGGAGGTTGCAGTGAGCTGAGATCACACCACTGCACTTCAGCCTGGGCAATAGAGCAAGACTCTGTCTCAAAAAAAATAAAAAAAAAAAAAAGAAAGAAAAAGGAACAAACTAGATCTACCTTTGTATCTTTGTGGAAAAATATCTCAATATTTTGAGGGAAAGCAAAGTACAGAAGAGTACATGCCATGTAACGCTATCTAAATAAAAGTTTAAAAACATGTAAACAGTACTGTCTTGTTTATGGACTCTTAGAAAAAAGTATAAAAGAATGCATGGGAATGATAAACACTGTATATTTAGGGTATTAATCAGTTCTGGGAGGGTACACAGGGGACGTAGATCCTAAGATAGTATGGCGATGTTAAGACTGGGCCAAGCTGGGTTGTAAGTTCATGGTGGGTATTTTCTCTTCTTCTTTTTTTTTTTTTTTTTTTTTTTTTTTTTTGAGATGTAGTCTTGCTCTGTCGCCCAGGCTGGAGTGCAGTGGCGCGATCTTGGCTCATTGCAATGTCCGCCTCCCGGGTTCCAGTGATTCTTCTGCCTCAGCCTCCTGAATAGCTGGGATTATAGGCATGTGCCACCATGCCCAGCTAATTATGCATTTTTAGTAGAGAGGGGGGCGTTTCTCCATGCTGGTCAGGCTGGTCTCGAACTCCTGACCTCAGGTGATCCGCCTGCCTCAACATCCCAAAGTGCTGGGATTACAGGTGTGAGCCACTGTGCCCAACCTATGGTGGGTATTTTCTTTTTCTCTCTCTCTTTTTTTTTTTTAAGACGGAGTTTCGCTGTTGTTGCCCAGGCTGGAGTGCATGGTGCAATCTCGGCTCACCATAACCTGCACTTCCTGGGTTCAAGCAATTCTCCTGCCTCAGCCTCCCAAGTAGCTGGTATTACAGGCATGCACCACCACGCCCAGCTAACTTTGTGTTTTTAGTAGAGACAGGGTTTCTCCATGCTGGTCAGGCTGGTCTCAAGCTCCCGACCTCAGGTGATCCACCCACCTCAGCCTCCCAAAGTGCTGGGATTACAGGCATGAGCCACCGCACCTGACCCATGGTGGGTATTTTCTATACTTTTAGTTGCTTTGAATCTTTTTAGAGGGAATACACAGTTTAATCTCAGATAAGCTTACCATGTCTGCTTATAGTTAGTTCAGGGAGAGATTGATATTGATACATGTTTCCATCGGTTTGTCTGTCTTTATACTAGAAGGCAACAATATTAAGAGAGAAATAGAAAATGAGAAAATGAGAGTGCTAAGGGATTAAGTCTATCAGCTGCAGATGATTTGATTTGTCAAATTATGTCTTTCAAACTCATGTAAGTTAATGAGTTACTAATATTTCCTGAGTTTTAAAAACTCATAATTTTAAAATATGTAAGCAGTTGTTTTTAAATATTAGCTTAAGTGTTATGCTGGGAACATAAGCAAGTAGTAAAAATTAAATTGTTTCTGTTGCAACCCTAGTTAAGATAGGAGTGAGGCAGGGAGAATGCAGGTACTATAGTAATGACAGACTGCTCCCCTTCAATCTGTCTTGAAAACCTGGGGCCGGGCGCGGTGGCTCATGCCTGTAATTCCAGCACTTTGGGAGGCCGAGGCGGGCGGATCCCTTGAGGTCAGGAGTTCTCAAGACCGGCCTGGACAACGTGGTGAAACGCCATCTCTACTAAAAGTACAAAAATTAGCCGGGCCTGGTGGCGGGCGCCTGTAATCCCAGCTACTCGGGAGGCTGAGGCAGGAGAATTGCTTGAACTTGGGAAAGACAGGTTGCAGTGAACCAAGATTGCTCCACTGCAGTCTAGCCTGGGCGACAAAGCAAGACTCTGTCTTACAAAAAAAGAAAAAGGAAAAAAATGAAAACCTGGAACACACCTTGGCCTTCTAAGTCTCATCTCTTTTTCCAGTTTGTGCCATTTTGCCCTTTGCCCTCCCGTGCTTTCCCCTCAAATCTTCTTGGTAGTGAGTTTTCTAGTATCACCTTTTATCTCTGATGCTTTTTAACTCATCAGACATAAAAGTAATGAGCTCTGGTGTGCATTATAATTCCTTGAGGCCTTGTTAGAACAGTTTGGCTCCACCTCAGAGTTTCTGACCTGGTAGTTGTGGGGTAGAGCCTGTGAATTTGCATTTCTAATAAGCTTCCTTGTGATGGTGATCCTGCTGTGTCAGTATCTCAGTTTTGAGAACTACTGGTTTAACTGTTGTTTCTTTGCAGTTCAGTAATCTTTTTTTTTTTTTTTTTTTTTTGAGAGATGGAGTCTTGCTCTGTTGCCCAGATTGGAGTGCAGTGGCACGACCTCGGCTCACTGCAACCTCTGCCTCCTGGGTTTAAGCGATTCTCCTGCCTCAGCCTCCCGAGTAGCTGGGACTACAGGCACGTGCCACGATGCCCGGCTAATTTTTTGTATTTTTAGTAGAGATGGCGTTTCACTGTGTTAGCCAGGATGGGTCTCGATCTCCTGACCTCGTGATCTACCCACCTTGGCCTCCCAAAGTGCTGGGATTACAGGCATGAGCCACCACGCTTGGCTGCATTTCAGTAATCTTAAAAGAGTTTCAGTAATCTTAAAAGAGGTTCAGCTTAATTTCCCAAATTAACATGATTCTCAGACATTTCTTTTTTCCTTTTTTTTTTTTTTTTTGAGGCAGAGTCTCGCTCTGTTACCCAGGCTGGAGTGCAGTGGTGTGATCTCGGCTCACTGCAACCTCCGCCTCCCGGGTTCAAGTATTTCTCCTCCCTCAGCCTCCTGAGTAGCTGGGACTACAGGCAAGCGCCACCACGCCCAGCTAACTTTTATATTTTTAGTAGAGACAGGGTTTCACCACGTTGGGCAGGCTGGTCTCTATCTCTTGACCTTGTGATCCGTCCACCTCGGCCTCCCAAAGTGCTGGGATTATAGGCATGAGCCACTGCACCTGGCCGATTCTCAGACATTTCTAACTTGTACATTTCTAATATTTTAGATCCAGATTTAAAGAACCATGGTACAGCAGAACACTCAAGTCCTTACCCTTGGGTTAGATACTTTGTATTTTGTTTTCTTATAAAATTGGGAATAGGTCTAAATGATCTCTTATGACCCTGAAATTTTATATATACATACATATTTTAATATATGTTTTAATATGTAAAATATGTAACAATGTATACATTGTTATATATACATTGTTATATATAACACACAAATAGGTATTGATGTATGTAATAAACACATATGTAACATGTAACATTAAAAGATATATTAAAATATGTACTTTTTTTTAGAGATGGGGTCTCACTTTGTTACCTAGGCTGGGGTATAGTGGCACGATCCACTGCAGCCTTGAACTCCTGGGCTCAAGCAATCCTCCTACCTCAGCCTCCCAGGTAGCTAGGACTACAGGCTCTCTCCACCATGCTGGGCTAATTAAAAAAAATTTTTTTTGTGGAGATAGAGTCTTACTGTGTTGACCAGGCTGGTCTGGAGCTCCTGGCCTCAAGCCATCCTCCCACCTTAGCCTCCCAAAGTGTGGAGATTACAGACATGAGCCACCGTGCCTAGCCCTGAAATTACAATGCTATGAATCATAATCTTTGTTTAAATATTTTCATAGTGTGATTTTAACCACCAAAGAGCCTCGATTTGTATAGCAATATTCAGACTACTAAAACTTGACTTTAGAGCCATTTTTCTACAAAGTTAATTATAACCTCTCTCAGTTTCCCATCTTGTTCCTTTCACCTTACACCATAGGGTGAGGACCAACAGGGTAAACAAATCTTTCCCATGCTATTTTTATTTTGTTTCATAATTGTTATGATTGGGGAAGGAGGGTGGTTTAAAAATAGCTTGTAAAGAAGCGTTAATTTTTACCAACTAATAGCTTAAGTTGCCTACTCAAGGATATAGTGAAAGGGAAATCTGCACATCCCTTGAAGGATGCCTTCCCCTCAAGGAATTTAGAGGGTTTCTTTTTGCTATAGTGTTGTGATATATATATATGTCTTAGGCTTTCAAAGTTTCAGTGTTCTACTTTAATTATCTGTTTTTTTTCTTTTTTTCCTTAAAAAATTTTGTTTTTTTGAGACACAGTCTCTATTGCCCAGGCTGGAGTGCAGTGGCATGATCTCTGCTCACTGTGGCCTCTGCCTCACGGGTTCTAGCGATTCTCCTGCCTCAGCCTCCTGGGTAGCTGGAATTAGAGGCACACACCACCACACCCGACTAATTTTTGTATTTTTAGTACAGTCCAGGTTTCACCATGTTGGCCAGGCTGGTCTTGAACTGCTGACCTCAGGTGATCCACCCACCTCGACCTCCCAAAGTGCTGGGATTACAGGTGTGAGCCACCGCACCCGGTCAATAATCTTTTTATAAATTGAGAATGTTCTACTTTAACTGTCAAAGTTCCTTACCCCATCACTTTTTTCTAAACATAATTATATATACATTCCTGCCTCAGTATCCATGAAAGGTTGGTCCCAGGTCCTTCCATGGATACCAAAATCTACAGATGCTCAAGTCCCTGATATAAAATGGCATAGTATTTGCGTATAACCTGTACACATCTTCCTGTATACTTTAAGTCATCTCTAGATTACTTATAAAACCTAATACAGTGTAAGTGCTCTGTAAATAGTTGTTATGCTGTGGTGTTTAGGGAATAATGACCAAAGAAGTCTGCACATGTTCAGTACAGACATCATTTTTTCCCCAGTGTATTTGACCCACAATTGGTGGAACTCATAGACACAGAGGGCTGGCTGTACTTTATTTCCCTATTGTTCTTTCTCATAAAATAGAAAGTTGAAATTAATGTATACGTTTAAAGCCAACTGTTAAAACACAGCCTTATATATTTGGGTATTATTTTTTTCTGCCCACATGTTCCGACTAGATCGATGCCTTTATTAAATTTTAAGATTCAACTTCAGTTTTCATCATGATGTAGAGATATCAGTTTTATAGATTGTATGTTTATTTGCCATAATTGGGTTTTCACTATTTAGATTACACCCCAAATGACAGTTTTTTTTTTTCCTTGAGTCGGAGTCTCGCTCTTGTTACCCAAGCTGGAGTGCAGTAGCACGATGTTGTCTCACTACAACCTCTGCCTCCTGGGTTCAAGCGATTCTCCTGCCTCAGGCTCCTGAGTAGCTGGGATTATAGGAGCCCCCACCACGCCTGGCTAATTTTTGTACTTTTAGTAAAGATGGGGTTTCGCCATGTTGGCCAGGCTGGTCTCGAACTCCTGACCTCAGGTGAGCCACTGTGCCCAGCCATGATGACAATTTTTAACAGCTATTTTAATCCACACTTACAGTCAGGATAATTCTTGCACAGACCCAGTTGGTTAAAAAAAGAAAAAGAAAATTTTAAAGGGTAATTTATTTTTCAAATGGGCAATATACACACTTTTATAAAATTCAAAATGTGTAAAAGCAATATATATAGTTCTCATTCTCACCCCTAAGCTTTCCTTCCTAAAGGCAATTATTTATTAACTAGTTTCTTGTGGGTTTTTTTTTTGTTTTTTGTTGTTTTTTTTTTTTTTTTTTTGAGACAGAGTCTCACTCTATCACCCAGGCTGGAGTGCAGCGGTGAGATCTGGGCTCACTGCAACCTCCGCCTCCCTCGTTCAGGCAATTCTCCTGCCTCAGCCTCCCGAGTAGCTGGGACTACAGGCGCGCGCCACCATGCCCGGCTAATTTTTGTATTTTTAGTAGAGATGGGGTTTCAGCATGTTGGCCAGGCTGGTCTCGAACTCCTGACCTCATGATCCGCCCACCTCAGCCTCCCAAAGTGCTGGGATTACAGGTATGAGCCCCTGTGCCTGGCGTTTCTTGTGTATTCTTGGGAGATATTTTATGCACATGTAAAGATGGATAGTTACGTGCTTTTTCTTTTTTAAAAAAGATCTGTTTCTGAATCTGAATGTCCTGTGTGTGTGTATGTGTGTGTGACAGAGTCTCGCTCTGTCACCCAGGCTGGAGTGCAGTGTCACAATCTCAGCTCACTGCAACCTCCGCCTCCTGGGTTCAAGCGATTCTCCTGCCTCAGCCTCCCCGGTAAATGGGATTACAGGTGTGCGCCACCACACCCAGCTAATTTTTGTATTTTTTTTAGAGATGGGGTTTCACCATGTTGGTCATGCTGGTCTCGAAGTCCTGACCTTGTGATCCACCCGCCTTGGCCTCCCAAAGTGCTGGGATTACAGGTGTGAGCTACCGTGCCCAGCCCAAATGTACTTTTAAGAATAAAAAACTGGCCAGGCACTGTGGCTCACACCTGTAATTCCAGCACTTTGGGAGGCTGAGGCGGAAGGATCGCTTGAGTCTAGGCATTAGACACCAGCCTGGGAAACATAGTGAGACCTTGTCTCTGCATTAAAATAATAATAATAATAATAATAGGCCAGGTGCGGTGGCTCACTCCTGTAATCCCAGCACTTTGGGAGGCCGAGGTGGGCAGATCACGAGGTCAGGAGATCGAGACCATCCTGCTAACACGGTGAAACCCCATCTCTTCTAAAAATACAAAAAAAATTAGCCCGGCGTGGTGGTGGGCACCTGTAGTCCCAGCTGCTCAGGAGGCTGAGGCAGGAGAATGGCGTGAACCCGGGAGGCGGAGCTTGCAGTGAGCCAAGATCGTGCCACTGCATCCAGCCTGAGCAACAGAGCAAGACTCCATCTAAAAAAAAAATTACATTAAAAAAAATAATAAACAACTTTGAGATAGGGTATTACAGTAACATTTAGTGTACAATTTGAGTTTTGACAAATATAGTTGTCCAATCTCTACCAAAATAATGATTTTGAACATTTCTATCACTCCTCAAATTTTCTTCATGTCTCTTTTATAGTTATTCCCCCCTCCAACTCCCTCCAGCCACTGGAACCATGGATCTGCTTTCTGTCACTATAGTTTTGCCTGTTCTAGAATGTCATATAAATGGAATCATACATCATGTAGCCTTATGTCTGGCTTCTTTCACTTAGCAGTATGCTTTTGAGATTCAGCTGTATCAGTGCCATCAGCCAAGGAAGTGTTGAATGAGTGTGTTAAATGTCTATTAGCCTAAGTTTGGCTTAGGGTTTTAAAATTATATTGGCTCCTGAAATGGACTGATGGATCTTGTATTCTGCTTAGATAAATCTTAGCTCTTGAGTTAAAAACCTTGATGTTATTCAGCATGGAAAAAAGTAACTCAGTTTGAAAGGGGCAAAAGATTAAAGCGAAATCAAAAGTAAAATTCCACTTAATGAACATGGCAGGACTTCAGAATTGTTCAATTGTTAAATTGTTAAATTCAAGTTATATTTTAATTAACAACCTGTTGCTATAGCAATGTCTTAAATAAAGCCAGGTGTTCTTAGTTATACCAACCTGTGCTGTCAGTAATATTTGAGAATGGGAACTATACAGTAGGCTATTACTTTTTTTCTTGAGATGGGCAGAAAATCTCTATTTTAGAGACATAAAATCTAAAATTTGAGATATTTGAGTAAGTTAATCGTTATCTCAATCCAGAGCCTTCTTTTTATTCAAACTTTATTTCTTTTTTTTTGAGACGAAGTCTCGCTCTGTCGCCCAGGCTGGAGTGCAGTGGCGTGATCTTGGCTCACTGCCAGCTCCACCTCCCGGGTTCACACCATTCTTCTGCCTCAGCCTCCCGAGTAGCTGGGACTACAGGCACCCGCCACCATGCCTGGCTAATTTTTTATATTTTTAGTAGAGATGGGGTTTCACCATGTTAGCCAGGATGGTCTCGATCTCCTGACCTCGTGATCTGCCTGCCTCAGCCTCGTGCTGGGATTACAGGCATGAGTCACTGTGCCTGGCCCTTTTTCAAACTTTATTTCTGTACTTTATGCTTTGTGTACTCCAAGCTTACAGACAGGATGAAACGACATAAGAGTCTAAATGGTTTTGGATTTAAAAAATCTTAGACTTTACTGTTTTTACTCTTGTAGTTTTAAAGTATAATCAAAACTAGTTCTTCTTGAGAACTTTCTTTTTGTCTCAAAAACCAAGCTGAGGGGAAATGGAATATAGTATGATTTCCTGCCTTGTGATTTTTCAGGCATCCTCACCCAATAACAAGTCTCAAGTTTCTGGGCTTTTATGTTTAAAAAGCTGAGAAGCTGGTAACTGGTTGTAAAGCATTATTCCAGGTAGACCAATCTCTGACTACAAAGCCTTTTTTTTTTTTTTTTTTTTTTTTTTGAGATGGAGTCTCCCTCTGTCACCCAGGCTGGAGTGCAGTGGCATGATCTCGGCTCACTGCAACCTCCCTTTCCTGGGTTCAAGCATTACTTCTGCCTGAGCCTCTCAAGTAGCTGGGATTACAGGCGTGTGCCACCACTCCCAGCTAATTTTGTGTTTTTTTAGTACAGATGGGGTCTTGCTATGTTGGCCAGGCTGGTTTCAAGCTCCTGGCCTCAAGTGATTGGCGCCACCTTGGCCTCCCAAAGTGTTGGGATTACAGGTGTGAGCCATCGCTCCTGGGAACTACAAAGCTCTATGGTGGCTTTTATTACTTCAGTCAGCCTTTTAAAATATATTCCTTTTTTTTTTTTTTTTTTTTTTTTTTGAGACAAAGTCTCGTTCTGTTGTCCCAGGCTGGAGTGTAGTGGCATGATCTTGGCTCACTGCAACCTCTGCCTCCTGGGTTCAAGCAATACTCCTGCTGTAGCCTCCCGAGTAGCTGGGACTATAGACATGCACCCACTACGCTCGGCTAATTTTTGTATTTTTAGTAGAAATGGGGTTTTACCATGTTCACCAGGCTAGGCTGGTCTCGAACTCCTGACGTCAGGTGATCCTCCCACCTCGGCCCCACAAAGTGCTGGGATTACAAGCATGAGCCACTGTGCCCAGCCTAAAATATATTCCTTCAAAGTTTTTTCTACTTTTAGAACCCTGGTAGTGGACTTCCACTGAAAGCATATCAACTTGTCAGATGGTCCAGTATAATTTTGGAACATTTATGACTTTAGGAGCTTGTCCCAAGTGTAACCTAATAGTTTTGAGGTACAAAAATTGGCCTTAAATTTTTTTTTTGAAAAATAATAAATGAAATGTTTACATTAAAACAATTTTGGCCAGGCGCGGTGGCTCACGCCTGTAATCCCAGCACTTTGGGAGGCCAAGGTGGGCGGATCACCAGGTCAGGAGATTGAGATCATCCTGGCTAACACGGTGAAACCCTGTCTCTACTAAAAATACAAAAAGTTAGCCGGGCGTTTGGGTCGGGCACCTGTAGTCCCAGCTACTCGGGAGGCTGAGGCAGGAGAATGGCGTGAACCCTGGAGGCGGAGCTTGCAGTCAGCTGAGATTGCGCCACTGCACTCCAGCCTGGGCGACAGAGCAAGACTCCGTCTCAAAAAACAAACAACAAACAAACAAAAAAAACAGTATTTTTGGCTCTTTAATACATAATACATGTTTTTTGTTTGTTTGTTTTTTTGAAATGGAGTCTCGCTCTATCACCCAGGCTGGAGTGCAGTGGTGCAATCTTGGCTTACTGCAACCTCCGCCTCCCTGGTTCAAGGGATTCTCCTGCCTCAGCCTCCTGAGTAGCTGGTATGACAGGCATGTATCACCATGCCCAGCTAATTTTTTCTATCTTCAGTAGAGACAGGCTTGTTGGCCAGGCTGGTCTCGAACTCCTGACCTCAAGTGATCTGCCCGCCTCAGCCTCCCAAAGTGCTGGGATTACAGGTGTGAGCCATCACGCCCGGCCCATAATACATGACACATGTTTTACCTTCCTGATTGTATTTATTTGCTAAGCTCTGAACAAAGCAAAAATGACCCACTTTAAAAAAATACACATTGCCTTGAAGAATCCAAAATACCTTAAAGATTCACCAATCTACTCATCTCTTACTCTGAAGGAATGCTCTTAAGAGAGTTTCACCAGCAGGACAGAGAATATTGGTAACAATATAAACTTTAGTAATGGATAAAAGGTACATTTATGTTGAATATATTTCTTTTCTTTCTTTTTTCTGTAGGAATTGAATGATCTGGCACGGGACCCTCCAGCACAGTGTTCAGCAGGTCCTGTTGGAGATGATAGTAAGTATTTAAAAGGAATAATGGAGTAATAGCATAACAGTGGTTATTTTGTGTGAAGAAACAATTATGGTATAGGGAAGAGGCAGTGTTTAACCCTTAGTGGCCCATGAAGGGAGCAACTCTATGTTCATCCCATTATCATCTGTGTTGTTCATTACATTTTGAATCTTCTGCCAGGTATTGGCTATGTAGTTGTTCTAGTCCTCTCCTACCTTACCTTCATCCCTTCTGGGTATTTTCCTGGAGTGAAATATTTAAGCTTTTACCTACAACTAGCTATTATTCTTGAGTAAGATAATACTAAGGATGATAGTATGTGTGTCTGTGTCTGACTTTCTACTGACTCATACTTGCGAAATCAGGTCTTTATTTATTTTTTTCTTGAGACAGGGTCTCGCTCTGTCAAGCCCGGGCTGGAGTGCAGTGGCGTGATCTCAGCTCACTGCAGCCTCTGCTTCCTGGGTTCAAGTGATTCTCGTGCCTCAGCCTCTCGAGTATCTGGGATTACAGGTGCATGCCACCACGCCTGATTAATTTTTGTATTTTTAGTAGATTCGTGGTTTCGCCATGTTGGCCAGGCTGGTCTCAAACTCCTGGCCTCAGGTGATCCGCCCGCTTTGGCCTCCCAAAGTGCTGGGATTATAGGCATGAACCACCACACCTGGCCAAAAGCAGGTCTTTATTTTTAATGTCCAATTTATCTGCTTAATTTTGTCTAAAAAGATGATCTTAATGCATACATTAGATGATAATTTCCTCTTTGTTCCACTTCATTTCAACATAATTTTTTCCCATATAGTGTCTTTTAACTTTTTTTAAAGAGGGGATATTTGAATGAGACTATGCTATGTGATGTAAAACTAATTCACAAAAAACTGTAACATTTGGTTGGGTGTGATGGCTCATGTCCCTAATCCCAGCACTTTAGGAGACCGAGGCAGGTGAATCAATTGAGCCCAGGAGTTCAAGACCAGCTTGGTCAACATGGTGAAGCCCTGTCTCTACAAAAAACACACAAAAAAATTAGCCGGGTATGTTGGTGCATGCTGGTAGTCCGAGCTACTTGGAAGGCTAAGGTGGGAGGTTTGCTTTAGCCTGAGCCTGGGTAGCAGAGTTTACAGTGAGCCAGGACCATGCCACTGCACTCCAGCTTGGGCGACAGAGTGAGACGCTGTCTCAAAAAATAAAAACAGGACGGGGCGTCATGGCTCATGCCTCTAATCCCAGCACTTTGAAAGGCCGAGGCGGGCGGATCACGAGGTCAGAGTTTGAGACCATCCTGGCCAAGATGGTGAAACCCCGCCTCTACTAAAAATAGAAAAAAATTTAGCCAGGCATGGTGACAGGCGCCTGTAATCCCACCTACTTGGGAGGTTGAGGCAGACAACTGCTTGAATCCAGGAGGCAGAGGTTGCAGTGAGCTGAGATTGTGCCACTGCACTCCAGCCTGCGTGACAGAGTGAGACTTACTCTCAAAAAAAAAAAAAAGAAAAAAAAATTTGTAACATTTAACAAATATTTTAAAGTATGCATACTTACAAACACTTGTGTAAATATGTAGATTCAGACCAAAATGAGTACATGGTTAAATTAGCTTATGTTTAATATTTTTTTGTTTGTTTGTTTTGTTTTTTAAGATGGAGTCTCACTCTGTTGCCCGTGCTGGAGTGCAGTGGCGTGACCTCGGCTCACTGCAAGCTCCGCCTCCTGGGTTCATGCCATTCTCCTGCCTCAGCCTTCCAAGTAGCTTGGATTACAGGCACCTGCCACCACACCTGGCTAGTTTTTGTATTTTTAGTAGAGACGGGGTTTCGCCATGTTGGCGAGGCTGGTCTTGAATTCCTGACCTTAGGTGATCCACCTGCCTTGGCCTCCCAAAGTTCTGGAATTACAGGCGTGAGCTACTGCGCCTGGCCTCAAATTGTTTTTTCCTGATTTTTCTTAATAATGTTGTGTCTGGGCCCAGCCCAGTGGCTCACACCTGTAATCTCAGTGCTTTGGGAGGCTGAGGCAGGCAGATCACTTGAGCCCAGGAGTGCGAGACCAGCCTGGGCAACATGGTGAAACCCTCTCTCTACAAAAAAATACAAAAATTAGCCTGGCCTGGTGGTGCATGCCTGTAGCCCCAGCTACTCAGGAGTTTAAGGTGGGAGGATCGCTTGAGTCCAGGCAGTTGAGGCTGTAGTGAGCCAAGGTTGCACAACTGCACTCCAGCCTGGGCAACGGGAGCGAGACTCTCTCAAAACAAAAACAACAACAACAACAACAAAAAACGGAAAAAAAGAATGTGTCTGGTCTGCTAAATCCTGAAGAATCAAAGCAAGGCCCTTTCACAAGGATTACTTTACAAATAGATAAATATTATAAATTATGAGTCTAAGTACATGTCATGAAAAAACTCATTTACATTATTATATTCTGACTTACCTAGCGTGAGTAACTATAGTATTTGGTACCAAACAAGGCAGGCTAAGTACTTAAACTATACAAAATAATTTAGTAAGTGCTGTTACACACGTTGTCTCATTTAAGCCTTACAACAACTCATTTAGGTGAGTGGAGTAGAAATTTTAAATTGTTTTAGAAAAAAGTCCCATGAGAATCTCATGGAGATTCTCCATGTGAACTCACTCTCAGGTTTTCTGATTCTAGTTTGTCCTTCCACTGTATCATATGGGCCACATACATCAGTGTACTCTTTCTATTCAGTTGGAAAAGTGCTTTTAGGTAAATTCCTCCAAGTTAAGAATGGCTGAAAATCTTTAATTAAAAGTGGTTGGAGTCAGGGGATTTGATTTCAATTTTGAAGTTTTCTTTAGCATGCTAAAGTAATTTGTCTTTGCTTTGCTTCTGCCATAGTTAGCACTATACATTTCTTTCTCAGGTTGAAAAATTGTTCCCTTTGGAGAGTTAAATAAAACTCTCCCACAGCCGAGTGCGATGGTTCACGTCTGTAATCCTAGCACTTTGGGAGGCCAGGAGTTCAAGACCAGCCTGGCCAACATGGTGAAACCCTGTCTCTACTAAAAATACAAAAATTAGCTGGGCGCGGTGGCGCCTGCCTATAATCCCAGCTACCTAGGAGGCTGAGGCAGGAGAATCGTTGGAACTGGGAGGCGGAGGTTGTGGTGAGCCGAGATCCCGCCACTACACTCCAGCCTGGGTGACAGAGTGAGACTCTGTCTCCGAAAAAAAAAAAAAAAAAAAAAAAGGCTGGGTGTGGTGTCTCACGTCTGTACGCCTGTAATGCCAGCACTTTGGGAGGCCGAGGCAGGTGGATTACCTGAGGCCAGGAATTCAATCAAGACCAGTCTGGCCTTGAACTCTGGTGAAACCCCGTCTACTAAAAATAAAAATACAAGAAATTAGCCAGGTGTGGTGGTGGGAGCTGTAATCCCATCTATTTGGGAGGCTGAGGCAGGAGAATCGCTTGAACCCGGGAGGCAGAGGCTGCAGTGAGCCGAGATCACGCCATTGCACTCCAGCCTGGGCAACAAGACTGAAACTCCGTCTCAAAAAAACAAACAAACTCTCCCAAAGCTAATCAGTAAGAGAAAAAAATAGATATTATTAGACTTCATCAAAATTAAATATATACAGGCTGCAAATGATGCCATCACGAAAGTGATAAAACATATAGAATGGAAGAAATTGTTGCAAGTCATATATCTCATAAGGGACATATATCCAGTATATTTTTAAAACTTTTTTTTTTTTTTTTTGAGACGGAATCTCGCTTTTGTCACCCAGGCTGGAGTGCAGTGGTGCGGTCTTGGCTCACTATAACCTTCGCCTCGTGGGTTCAAGCAGTTCTCCTGCCTCAGCCTCCCGAGTAGCTGATTATAGGCACGTGCCCCGCCGCCCAGCTAATTTTCGTATTTTTGGTAGAGATGGGTTTCACCATGTTGGCCAGGCTGGTCTTGAACTCCTGACCTCAAGTGATCCGCCCACCTCTACCTCCCAAAGCGCTGGAATTACAGGCATGAGCCACCCCACCCAGCTGTTTAAAAACTCCTATAACTCAGTATAAAAATAAATAACCAATTAAAAAATAGTCAAAGGATCCGAGTAGACATTTCTCCAGATAAGATGGCTAGTAAGCACACGAAAAGATGCTCAACATCATTTGTCATTAGGGAAATACAAATCAAAACTACAGTGAAGAAGAGCCAGGCACAGTGGCTCATGCCTGTAATCCCAGCTACTGGGGAGACTGAGACTGGAGGATCACTTGAGGCCAGGAGTTTTATGCCAGCCTGGGCAACAAAGCAAGACCCCATCTTTAAAACTAAAAATTAGCTGGGAGTGGTGGCTCATGGCTGTAGTCCCACCTACTCACAAGGCTGAGGCAGGAGGAACACCTGAGCCCAGAAGTTTGAGGCTGCAGTGAGCTATGATTTGGCCACTATACTCTAGCTTGGATGACAGGTTGAGACCCAGTCTCTAAAAAAAAAAAAAAAACAAGTATTGATCAGATCTTTCTGATGAACCCCACATAAGAGTACATCAAGTATGATTGGATAGCTAAATGTCCTTTTGTCATTTTATTTTTGTTATAAGGAGTCAGAATTTAATCTTAGAAGAAGGAAGAGAGAAACTGTTGGCCTTTTGAAACTTTTGAGCTCCTTTTGACTATCCTGGTACCCAAATCCCTCAGTACCACATGTTATTGATATTTAGTGTAAAAATAAAGTGGAGACTTGTGCTTTATTTTAAAACATCCAGATTTTAATGTTGATATTTAGTATAAAAATAAAGTAGAGATCTGTGCTTTATTTTAAAACATCCAGATTTTAATGTACTAGTAAATTTTTTTTCACTTTCCTGCAAAGATCTGGTAAGCAGGAAGAAATGTACATCCTGAAAGAAGTAAGCAGCCGGGCCCGGTGGCTCACGCCTGTAATCCCAACACTTTGGGAGGCCGAGGCGGGCGGATCACGAGGTCAGGAGATTGAGACCATCCTGGCTAACATGGTGAAACCCCGTCTCTACTAAAAATACAAAAAATTAGCCGGGCTTGGTGGCAGGTGCCTGTAGTCCCAGCTATTCAGGAGGCTGAGGCAGGAGAATGGCGTGAACCCGGGAGGTGGAGCTTGCAGTGAGCCAAGATCACGCCACTGCACTCCAGCCTGTGTGACAGAGCAAGACTCTGTCTCAAAAAAAAAAAAAAAAAAAAAAAGAAAAGAAAGAAACAAATAAGCTGAAGATTTAATGGCCATATATCTGTTTCCTTCTCTCTTCCCTCCCTTCCTTTCCCCCTCCTCCTCCCCTCCCTCTCTCCCTCCCTTCTCCCTCGTCTTCCTCTCCTCTGGTCTTCTTTAAAGGCAGGGGCTCACTCTGTTGCCCAGGCTAGAGTGCAGTGGCGCGATTGCAGCTCACTGAAGCCTCAAACTCCTGGGCTCAAGGGATCCTCCCACCTCAGCCTCCTGAGTAGCTGGGACTATGGGTACATGCCCCTACACCCCTGGCTAATTTAAAAAAAAAAATTGTAGCAATAGGGTCTCACCATGTTTCCTACGCTGGTCTTGAAATCCTGGGCTCAAGTGATCCTCCTGCCTCTGCCTCCCAAAGCCCTGTGATTGCAGCTGCGAGCTACCGCACCCAGCTTTCTTTTCTTTTGAACAGTTGGTAAATGTGACTCTCTTGAGATCTGTGCATTCAAGTGTAGGTCTCTGGGGATTCAGTCTCATACTATCAAATATTCTCACTGTCCCCTGCTGTTTTGTTTGTTTGTTTGTTTTTTTGAGATGGAGTCTCACTCTGTTGCCCGGGCTGGAGTGCAGTGGCGCAATCTCGGCTCACTGAAACCTCTGCGTCCCAGGTTCAAGCAATTCTCCTGTCTCCGCCTCCCAAGTAGCTGGGATTACAGGCATGCACCACCACGACCGACTAATTTTTTGTATTTTTAGTAGAGACTGGGTTTCACCATGTTGGCCAGGCTGGTCTCGAACTCCTGACCTCAGGTGATCCACCCACCTCGGCCTCCCAAACTGCTGGGATTACAGGCTTGAGCCACTGCGCCCGGCCTGTCCCTTTTAACCTCAAGGCTTCATCCAGAATACTAAAGAGTAATCATTCATCTGTGAACTTCACATTTAAACTCTCATAAAACAGATTATGTAACTTTCAGTTTGTGTAATTTGGTTTGATAGTATTAAACCAACATAGTGCTGGGAACTTATTTTTGTTTTTTACTATCAAAACTTTTTATTTTGGTCAATTTTGATCAATCCTAAGATGGATCATTAAATGAAAGATTTTTGAAACAGATGTTTATGTAAAATGTAGCAATATTTTATGCTTATGGTCCAGTATTTCATTCAGTAACTATTTTGGGGGTCCTTTTTACTTGAACCTCTAGTAATTCTTGAGCTATTTCTCTTTTCTTGAGACAGAGTCTCACATCGTCGCCCCCCTGGAGTGTAGTGGCATGATCTTGGCTCACTGCAACCTCTGCCTCCCGGGTTCAAGCAGTTCTCCTGCCTCAGCCTCCCAAGTAGCTGGGATTACGGGTGCCTGCCACCACGCCCAGCTAATTTTTTGTATTTTTAGTAGAGACGGTATTTCACCATGTTGGCCAGGCTGGTCTTGAACTCCTGACCTCGTGATTGGTCTGCCCCGGCCTCCCAAAGTGCTGGGATTACAGGCGTGAGCCACCACGCCTAGCCTACTTGAGCTATTTCTAAAAACATTGTAATGTGAGGCAGGTTTGGTATTCTGTCACTAGCTTCTCTGATTTATACTTCTGCCTATAAGAGCTAAGAGTCTAGAAAGGCTTCCAGAGAGTAACCTAAATCAGTGGTTTTAGTAGGTATCTTTATATTCAACCAGTGTGACAAAATTCTCAATTAAGATTTAAATGGTAGGTCTTTAAATGCTTTAATTACATTCATGTGAATGGGTTTTAGTTTCTCTTTCTCTGCCTTTTTTTGGTACTGTAGATTCTAGATCATTTTATGAGAGCCATAAAGATTATTTGTCTTGGTTGCTGCATTAGTAATTTTCTTCTTCCTTTTCCTTCTGCTATTTTAAAGACTTAGCCCTGTGTATGTGTTTTTGCTCATTTTTTTGATGATGGAATTTGACCTTAATAACAGTGAAGACAAATTAACATAGTGTTATTAGAATGTGAATAGGTTTTTATTCAGAGTTTAATGCCAATGGATTACATATGTTTAGTCCTGTTGGAATGTTAAACAGATATGATCTACTAAATTAAATAGATATGGATTACAGATGAGATCATCTATGATGTTGAGTTAAAAGTTCACAATAATGTAAGAATGTTCGGCATGGTACAGTGGCTCATGCCTGTAATCCCAGCACTTTGGTAGGCCAATGCAGAAGGATCGCTTGAGGCCAAGAGTTTGAGACCAGCTTGGGCAACATAGCAAGACCCGATCTCTACAAAAATAAAAATTAAAAAAATGAGCAGGACATGGTGACACTTGCCTGTAGTCCCAGCTACTCAGTTGGCTGACGTGGGAGGATTGCTTGAGCCCAGGAGTTTGAGGCTGCAGTGAGCCAAAGTTGTGCCACTGTACTCCAGTCTGGGCAGTAGAGTGAGACTCTGTCTCTTGGGAAAAAAAAAAAAAAACTTAAATATACAATATGCTAGAGTATCTCTAACTTTTTGTAGCGTGGGTATGAAAGATTGCAATATTAGTTGAAAATATTTATTTTTTTCCCCATCTTCTATCAAGAAGGGTATTCTGGCCCGGCGTGGTAGCTCACGGCTGTAATCCTAGCACTTTGGGAGACCAAGGTGGGCGGATTGCCTGAGCTCAGGAGTTTGAGACCAGTCTGGGCAACGTGACAAAACCCCATCTCTACTAAAAATACAAAAAATTAGCCGGGTGAGGTGTTGCACACCTGTAATCCCAGCTACTTGGGAAGCTGAAGCAGGAGAATTGCTTGAACCTGGGAGGCAGAGGTTACAGTGAGCTCAGATTGTGCCATTGCACTCCAGCCTTGACAAAGTGAGACTGTCTCAAAAAAAGAAAGAAAAAAAAGAAGGGTATTCTGGGTATTCTGGCTGGGCACTGCTGGTGGCTCATGCCTATATTCCCAGCAGTTTGGGGGGTCAAGGCAGGCAGATCGCTTGAGCCCAGGAGTTTGAGACCAGCCTGGGCAACATGGGAAGACCCCGTCTCTATTTTAAAAAAAAAAGAAGAAGAAGGGTATTCTTTCCATAATTATAAACATTGGCAGCTTGTTGGCATTTCTGCTTCAACCCTGTTGGGGATTCTGCGTTGTCCAATTGTTAGTAGATTTTGATCCCACAGCCTATTTGTGCTTTGTTTGTGTTAGTAGGAAGAACAGGGAATCACAAAAAAGGAAATATTTAGCTAAAAATTTCTGATTTAAGGCCGGGCCTGGTGGCTTATGCCTGTAATCTCAGCACTTTGGGAGGCCAGGGTGGGTGGATCACCTGAAGTCAGGAGTTCGAGACCAGCCTAACCAACATGGTGAAACCCAGTCTCCACTAAAAATACAGCAAAATTAGTCAGGTGTGGTGGCACACACCTGTAATCCCAGCTACTCAGGGAGCTGAGGCAGGAGAATTGCCTGAACCTGGGAGGCGGAGGTTGCAGTGAGCAAAGATCGCACCACTGCACTCCAGCCCAGGCGACAGAGCGAGACTCCATCTCAAAAAAAAAAAAATTCTGATTTAAATTTTTCTAATAACTTCTTAAGTCTGGTAGTAGTATTAGCAGGAAAAGAAAAAGATTGATCCTGAAAAGACTAGTGAAGATCTTGAATTAGTACCTAAATGGTTAATGGAAAATTTAATTTTTTTAATTGTCTCAATATTTTTATATTTTGTCTGGGTGTGGTGACCCACACCTATAATCCCAGCACTTTGGGAGGCTGAGGTGGGTGAACTGCTTGAGCCCAGGAGTTCAAGACCATCCTGGACAACATAGTGAGACCCCATCTCTTTTTTTTTTTGAGATGGAGTTTCGCTCTTGTTGCCCAGGCTGGAGTGCAATGGCACGATCTTGGCTCACCACAACCTCTGCCTCCCAGGTTCAAGCGATTCTTCTGCCTCAGCCTCCCGAGTAGCTGGGATTACAGGCAATGCGCCACCATGCTTGGCTAATTTTGTATTTTTAGTAGAGATGGGGTTTCTCCGTGTTAGTCAGGCTGGTCTTGAACTCCCAACCTCAGGTGATCCGCTCGCCTCGGCCTCCCAAAGTGCTGGGATTACAGGTGTGAGCCATCACACCTGGCTGCGCATCTCTATTTAAAAAAAAAAAAAAATTAATATTTTATTAAGTGCTTTCTTTCTTTTTTTCTTTTTTAAGTTGTTTTCTTTCTTTCTTTCTTTTTTTGTTTTTTTGTTTTTTTTTTGAGATGGAGTCTCGCACTGTTGCCCAGGCTGGAGTGCAGTGGCACGATCTCAGCTCACTGCAACCTCCGCCTCCTGGGTTCAAGCGATTCTCCTTCCTCAGCCTCCCGAGTAGCTGGGATTACAGGCACCTGCCACTACGCCCAGCTAATTTTTTGTATTTTCAGTAGAGACAGGGTGTCACCATGTTGGCCAGGCTGGTCTTGAACTCCTGGCCTCATGATTCATCTGCCTCAGACTACCAAAGTGCTGGGATTACAGGTGTGAGCCGCTGCGCCTGGCCTTAAGTGCTTTCTTAAAAAATAGTTTAGTGTATTTTAATAGCAAACTCAAAGGAACAGTACAGAGACAGACAACATTAAAAACATACTTGCATGTAGGGCAACTCAGAAAAATAGAGTGAATGAATGAAGAGTCTACCATACGATAAAAACGCTACAAACACCATTTAGTTGCCATCAATAAAAATTTACGGCCGGGCACAGTGGCTCACGCCTGTAATCCCAGCACTTTGGGAGGTCGAAGTGGGCGGATCATAAGGTCAGGAGTTTGAGACCAGCCTGTCCAACATAGTGAAACCCCGTCTCTACTAAAAATACAAAAATTAGCCTGGTGTGGTGGTGTGTGCCTGTAATCCCAGCTACTCAGGAGGCTGAGGCAGGAGAATTGCTGAACCCGGGAGCCAGAGGTTGCAGTGAGCTGAGATCATGCCATTGCACTCCAGCCTGGGCAACAGAGCGAGACTCCGTCTCAAAAAAAAAATATATTTTTTTTTTTGCTTGATATGAAAAAAATCCAGGAGGGTCTGGGCACAGTGGCTTATACCTGTAATCCCAGCACTTTGGGAGGCTGAGGTGAGGGGATTGCTTGAGCATAGGAGTTCGAGACCAGCCTGGGCAACGTAACAAAATCCCGTCTCTACAGAAAATAGAAAAATTAGCTGGGTATGGTCCCAGCTACTTGGGAGGCTGAGACAGGAGGATCATTTAAGCCTGGGAGGTGGAGGTTGAGCTGAGGTTGCGCCCTTTACTCCAGTCTGGGTGACAAGGAGTAAAACCCTGTCTCAAAATAAATAAATCTAGGAGAGCAGTGTACAAGCAGTGGCAGCATCAGCAGTCATGGCAGGACAAGAGTTTAGAAAGTTTCTTTCACTCTTTTACAGAGTATTGGTTGAAAGGAGTGCTGCCAAAACTATAACCAAAGGAGGCATTATGCTTCCAGAATAATCTCAAGGAAAAATATTGCAAGCAACAGTAGTGTTGACAGTTGTTGAATTTGAGCTCTAAAGGAAAGGGTGGAGAAATTCCACTAGTTAGCGAGAAGTTAGAGATACAGTTCTCCTAGAATATAGAGGCAATAAAGTAGTTCTAGATGACAAGTTTTCCTTCTTTTTTTTTTTTTTTTTTTTTTTTTTTTGAGATGGAGTTTCGCTCTTGTTTCCCAGGCTGGAGTGCAATGGTGCAATCTCAGCTCACTGCAGCATTCACCTCCGAGTTTCAAGTGATTCTCCTGCCTCAGCCTCCTGAGTAGCTGGGATTACAGACGCCCGCCATCACGCCCAGCTAATTTTTTATATTTTCAGTAGAGACGGGGTTTCACTATGTTGGTCAGGCTGATCTCGAACTCCTGACCTCAGGTGAGCCACCTGCCTCGGCCTCCCAAAGTGCTGGGATTACAGGCGTGAGCTACCACACCCAGCGACAAGTTTTATTTCTTATTTAGAGATGGCGACATTCTTAGTGTGTAGACTGAAATAAATCACTATTGAAATGACATCAACGTGAAGCTGCCCATTCCACTAAAGTTCTGAAATCTTTCATCATGTAAATAATTTCCATGTCTCTCTTTTATAATAAACCAATGATATAACTAGTGACAAAAATAAAATCCAACTGCTAGCATTGTCCAGAAAAAATTTACAGGTATGTTTATAATTGTTATAAAGGTGAACTGCTGAAACTTGTTCACCGAAATAGTTTGACTTGAATTAATGCTTTACATCCTCAATTTTATATTAGAAATTCACACACAAGTTAAAATGGAAAAACTGCCAATACCTGATTTCTGTCCCCTGTTTTTCCACTCGCAGTCATATATGTAGTTACCTTTTGACCCCGTGGGGGAAAATACATCTAACAGAGAACTATCAATAACAGAAAGAAGAAAAATAATTGTTTTTTTTTTTTTTTTTTGAACATGAAATGTTTCCCAATCTTAAGCACAGTCTCCATGTAATTGGCATGCTAGCTGGATGTCTTTTGGCATACTTGTTACATATTTGGCATGAGTTACACATAAGTTGGTGTCTTCATAAAGGCTCATCAGATAGGCCTCACTTGCCTCCTGCAAAGTAACAAAAGCCAGAAGTGTAGATTTGTTTCGAAGTCCTGAGCAACTTCTTGTATCAGATGCTGGAAAGGAAGTTTGCTAATCAGAATTCAGTGGACTTCTGATGAGATCTGTTTTCACAGAGTACCACAGTACCAGACCTGTAGCAGTGAGGTTTCTTTACTCTTCCAGTAAAGGGTGCACTCCTGTGAGTGACTTCTGTAGCTAATTGCTTCCTGGGTGCTTTACCACTGGGCCAATTTGCTGGTAATCTGCCTTGTACTAGTCATGATCTAGAGGCCCCCTTACTTATCCCCCTTCTCAGCAGACATTAGAGATGAGGGCGCCACTGTGGCAGGCAGTGCCTGAGAACACTTAAAAGCAGTGCTTTCTTACTATCTTACCCAACTCTTACAGCTTTGAGTGGAAATGCAGGTACAATTAATACTCTTCCATTATAACCACAAATTTAAATAACAGGAAAGAATTAAGTAGAAGAACAGGTCCCTTGACCAGTTGGTCATACTTTTGTCTAATAGTGTTTTTAGTCTTGTTATTGGGGGTTGTTAATTCTAGTTATCAATGTTTTATTTACTCAAATTGTAAGTATATTTGTGATTAAAAATAGAGTGAGACTCGTGTATGTGTGCATGCATGCGTGTGAGCATGTGCGTGTGTGTGTTTTAGTCTTGTTTTTAATTTTTTTCAGAAACAGGGTCTTGCTATGTTGCCTGGGCTGGACTTGAACTCCTGGGCTCAAGTCATCCTCCCATCTCAGCCTCCTGAGTAGGTGGGACTACAGGTGCCCACTTTTGTGTCTTTAAACAACATACAAGGGGCTTTTTATAGGACTTCCCTTGAAGATACTAGGTCCAGTTTTAGTGGCCCAGAATGGCTTTGTCCTTGGCTTACTCAGTCCATTAAATGGTCAGCAGAGAGTAATATAAGTGTTTGTAAGTACTAGTGAGGGCTAATCTAAGGAAGGGAGCCTCAGCAATTCCTATCCTTTACCTTTAACCCCTAATCAACAAGCTGCTATTTTTAGGTTCAAGTCCCAGTGAGCAACAAACCAACTTTAGGGATTAATTTGATATTAAGGAGGTTGGAAGGAACTTTAGGATTTGGACTGACATTCTGGTGGATTTTTATATGGCTTCTTAGTCTTCATGTTTCTTCTACCTTGTGACAAGAGTTACCTGGTTTGGGTTGTTCAAATATAACCCCAGTGACAACTTCCCTTAGGTTGCTCAGATCATAGTATGAATGGTAAGTGTGCTAAGTAGTAGCTTAATTATAAGTAAAAACTCTGGCTTTTGATCTCTCATGATGCACTTAGTAGCATGAGAACATGGAACAAGCATCATTTTCTGCATTTGGAAGATATTTATTTATTGAACAAGTTTATAACTTATTAGAAGTATCCCTGGAGCTTGTAATCAACCTTGGGCTTTCAGCTAATATTTTCTTCTTAAATTTTACTCCTTTTTTCTCTTTTTTCCTCTTTAACTTATCCTTTACATTAGGAGAGATGTTTTTCTTTCTTTAATGAGGGCCAGTAATGTACAGACCTACACAAGAGTTTTTAGAAATTTTTTCTCCTTGTTAAAACCAGTCTTTCTTAATTTGAGTATTATCTACCTTGACTTTACTGTTTTGTCCCCCGTATACCAGCATTATAAAAGGAGTCATGCCTGTAATTCCAGCTTTGGGAGGCTGAGGTGGGTGGATCATCTGAGGTCAGGAGTTTGAGACCTGGCCAAACGTGGCAAAACCTTGTCTCTACTAAAAATACAAAAATTAGCCAGGTGTGGTGGCACTTGCCTGTAGTCCCAGCTACTTGGGAGGCTGAGGCAGGAGAATTGCTTGAACCCGGGAGGCGGGGGTTGCAATGAGCCGAAATTGCGCCAGCGCACTCCAGCCTGGGCGATAGAGTGAGACTCTGTCTCAAAAAAAAAAAAAAAAAAAAGTGTATTATATGTAATTGTTTTGAAGAAATGATTTACCCTGTGAGGTAAAGAAATAACTGTTTAAAAGTAGAACTGTAAGCCTTGTCAAGAAGTTTGTCTACCTGACATGAAGTTTCAAGAAGTTTTAGCCCAAATACTTTCGGTTTTTTTTGTTTTTGTTTTTGAGAGAGTCTTGCAGTGGCGCAGTCATGGCTCATTGCAGCCTCCACTTCTCAGGCTCAAGCAGTCCTCTCACCTCAGCTTCTGGAAGTGTTGGGATTACAGGTGTGAGCCACCACACCTGGCTCTAAATATTTTTCATTGAGCACCTTATCAGTGTTCTAGGCCATTCTAGTCATTTTTCTTGTTTCTTTAGACTGTTAATTTATGTTCCTCATCTTGCTCATACTCATTATCATATTATTTATAAATGAATTTGGATTAGAAGGGGAATGATATGTTACTATGGCGTAGATACAATGTAGATATTGTTACATGGTGACTTTTTTCTTGTTATTTTTCAGTGTTCCATTGGCAAGCTACAATAATGGGGCCAGTAAGTATTCAGATTAATTTCAGAATAAACAGTTTATGTAATTTACTCATTTTAATCCCACTTTTCTTGTTATCAACAGAATGACAGTCCCTATCAGGGTGGAGTATTTTTCTTGACAATTCATTTCCCAACAGATTACCCCTTCAAACCACCTAAGGTAATTAATTGGAATGTGGCAGTTTTTAATGTACTTTCTATAATACTAATAAACTAGTTTACAGAAAGTTTCCTTTCTTTCTGTAGGTTGCATTTACAACAAGAATTTATCATCCAAATATTAACAGTAATGGCAGCATTTGTCTTGATATTCTACGATCACAGTGGTCTCCAGCACTAACTATTTCAAAAGGTAACAGTGGGTATTTGATATCAAGATAAAGCAACCGTGTCTTTTGTCTTTTTAGAGTTATTTATTTTTGAAAAGATTACTTATGTTTCTTTTAAGAAGAGATAGCAATTCTTCTTAATCTGAAATGGACCTTGAGAACTGAAAACGAGTTGGATTTTTCAAGCAAAAGTATTCCTTGGTGTAGTGACTAGTCTGTCAGTTGTGCTACTCTAGCATAGGTTAGAAGATGAACACTGGGCCTGGTGCCGTGGCTCATGCCTGTAATCTCAGCACTTTGGGAGGCCGAGGCGGGCAGATCACAAGGTCAGCAGATCGAGACCATCCTGGCTAACATGGTGAAACCCCGTCTCTACTAAAAATACAAAAAAATTAGCTGGGCATGGTGGCAGGTGCCTGTAGTCCCAGCTACTCGGGAGGCTGAGGCAGGAGAATGGTGTGAACCCGGGAGGCAGAGGTTTCAGTGAGCAGAGATTGTGCCACTGCACTCCAGCCTGGGCAACAGAGCGAGACTCTGTCTCAAAAAAAAAAAAGAAGATGGACACTGGTATGAATGTTTTTTTAGAGCATAAAGTAGAGCACAATTAACATCTCTTCCAACCTTGAGATTCATGAATGGAAAAAGATAGATACTATTGCAGAATAGGAAATAGACCAGCCCTTTAGACAAATGCCTATGCTGTAAACATAGACGTTAGGTTCTTGAAGAACAAAATATAGGTAAATATTTTACCAGCTCTTGTCTTTAGGTTTCTGTATCAATGAACTGAGTGATGTAGTTGTTGTCTTAATGTGTTGATTTGAAATTGTACAACCCTTCAACATTATTCCCAGATGAAATCACAGTTGCGTTACAATAATCTAGATTTTTTTTTTTTTTTTTTTTTTTTGAGATGGAGTCTCACTCTGTCGCCCAGGCTAGACTGCAGTGGTGCAATCTTGGCTCATTGAAACCTCCACCTCCCGGGTTCAAGCAATTCTCCTGCCTCAGCCTCCCTTGTAGCTGGGATTACAGGCACCCGCCACCACGCCTAGCTAATTTTTGTATTTTTAGTAGAGACTGGGTTTCGCCATGTTGGCCAGGCTGGTCTCGAACGCCTGACCTTATGATCCACCTGCCTCGGCCTCCCAAAGCGCTGGGATTACAGGCATGAGCCACCGTGCCCAGCCAAATAATCTAGAATTTATAAAGGAAAACAAAAACAAGTATTTATGGCCTGGCACGGTGGCTCACGCCTGTAATCCCAGCACTTTGGGAGGCCGAGGCAGGAGAATCGCTTGAACCCAGGAGGCGGAGGTTGCAGTGAGCTGAGATTGCGCCACTGCACTCCAGCCTGGCCAGCCTGGGGGACAGAGCGAGACTCCGTCTCAAAAACAAGAATATTTATCAGATCTCACTGCTGTACTCTGAAAGGTGATAAAAGAGTTCACTGGATGTACTTTTGTGAAAATGAAATCAGTTGTTTAAGAGAAAAATCAAATATGGTAATGGATTAATATGTTTAAAATATGAAGTACAAAAATCAGAAAAAAATTCAGATCCCAATAGATGAATGGACACAGGGGAACCAAAGAATAAATAAATGAATGTTACGTTCCTATTTTTTACCTTTTTAATTAACAAAGATATTTTTAAAAGAAGACAAAACACTAATGAGGTACATTGAAATGAACACTCATATTCTTCAAGTAGAGGTATAGATTTGTAGAGCCCAGTCTGCCAGTATGTGTTAAGAGACTTAATCATCCATGCCCATTCACCCAATAATTCTAGTTTCATTTATTTATACTAAGAAAACAATCCCAAATGCTGAAAAAACTTTGTATACAAGTACATTTGTGACATTGTGATTTAGTTCTGAAAATTGGAGGTTACTTACAGTAGAGGAAAAAATAGATCGGTTCCAGCACATGCATTTAAAAGAGTATTGACCCTGGCCAGGCATAGTGGTTCATGCCTGTAATCCCAGAACTTTATGAGGCTGAGATGGGCAGATGACTTGAGACCAGGAGTTCGAGACCAGCTTGGCCAACATGGCAAAACCCCATCTTTACTAAAAATACAAAAAATTAGCCAGGTGTGATGGTGCGTGCCTGTAGTCCCAACTACTCAGGAGGCTGAGGCGGGAGAATCACTTGAACCCGGGAGACGGAGGTTGCAGTGAGTCAAGATGGTACCATTGCACTCTAGCCTGGGTGACAGAGGGAGACTTTGTCTCCAAAAAAAAAAAAGTATTGATCTTTACAAATATTGTGAAAATAGGAAAATACTGTGCTTGAGAAAAGCAGAAAAAAGAAAAAAGGCATATACACTGTAACAAGAGTTACATATAAAAGTATGTTGAGTGTCCAGAAATAGACAAGCAATGTTAGTTTTGGTATTTGTGTGGTGAAATGTGGTGTGTGATTTTTTTTTTTTTTTTTTTTTTTGAGAGGGAGTTTCGCTCTTGTTGCCCAGGCTGGAGTGCAATGGTGTGATCTTGACTGACTGCAACCTCCGCCTCCCGGGTTCAAGCAATTCTCCTGCCTCAGCCTCCCAAGTAGCTGGGATTACAGGCACCCACCACCACGCCTGGCTAATTTTTGTATTTTTAGTAGAAATTATCTGCTTATAATTTACCATTTGAACCATTAAGTAGAAATTATCTGCTTATAATTTACCATTTGTTTAATGCATGTATTTAGACAGGAAGCAACATAGTTTCATGGTAAAGAACATAGATTCTAGATCCAATTGCCTGTGTTCAGATCTCAGATCCACCTCTTATTAAATGAGGCTAGAGACACATTGGCCCCTGTATTCCTCAGTTTTTTCATCTGTAGAAAAGGAACAATAATACATATTTCATTGTTGTTACGAAGATTAAAGAAGCAAAAACAGACAGTTAACTGGTTCCTTGTAAGTACTCCAAAAACTGGGGATAAAGGCACAGTTGTCAAAAGTGTTGGGTATTTGTCATGTTATCACTTGGATGTCAAGACTCAATCTTAAAAAAAAATTATTATTATTATTATTTGTTTTTTTTTGAGAAGGAGTTTCACTTTTGTTGCCCAGGCTGGAGTGCAGTGGCGCAATCTCGGCTCACCACAACCTCCACCTCCCGGGTTCAAGCCATTCTCCTGCCTCAGCCTTCTGAGCAGCTGGGATTATAGGGCATGTACCACCACGCCCAGATAATTTTGTATTTTTAGTAGAGACGGAGTTTCTCCATGTTGGTCAGGCTGGTCTCGAACTCCCAACCTCAGGTGATCCGCCCGCCTCAGCCTCCCAAAGTGCTGGGATTACAGGTGTGAGCCACTGCTCCTGGCCACAAATTAATTTTTTAAAGCAAACAAAACTCTGAGACATTAATTTAAAATTTTTGGAGTCCCAGGCAGAAATAAAAACAGGATGCCAGAGAACCACATTTTTTTAAAGTTATTACAACTTTAATGAAATAGTTTTTTAGAGAAGTGTCCCCTTTTCTTTTGGTAGGCCCCCTTACAATTCAAGAGCTACTTGAGAAAGTGTTTGTGGACCTGTGCCTGGCCTGGTGAGGGTCCCATTGGTTGCACTTCCTTCACCAAATAGCAATAGAGATGTAAATCTAGTAATGGGACCAAGATAAGTAGAATTGTGTGAGAGGTGTGTGTTTGGTGGGGTGAGGTGTTGGAGACACAAGATAGCTGAAATTATTGCCATACCTCTTTTTGTTCTTCCCCTTGCCTAGCGTTGATTTTTTTTCAGCTATTCCAAATGATAAGGACTGTTACAAGTCTGATTTGTTAGGTTCTCTCTATCTGGATAGCTATCCTTTAAAATAGTTGCAGTGCCATTTTGTTGAATTTGATTGTATTAACTGTCTCAGATTTAAGGTTTTAATGAGTCCCTTTTTGTAAATTGAATGTATGGGCAAGTAGTTCTATGAAATGCCTTAATCCTGTATATGATATTATTCCTTTAACATATAGTCTGTCTTCAAGGACAGAAATTTTGACCCAGTATTCACTCTACTTTGAAGGTCCGTGATGGGGACCTAAATATTTAAAAAACAAAAACAAAAACACTGAAAAAAACTGAAGGGAAGCAGATAAGTGTGCCATAAAGCCATTTGATTATATGTTTTTAGAAGTGAAAGTAACTGTTGCTGTAACACTAGTGAAAAAGTAATACTGGCCAGGCGCAGTGGCTCATGACTGTAATCCACTTTGAGAGGCCAAGGAAGGTGGATCACTTGAGGTCAGGAGTTTAAGAACAGCCTGGCCAACATAGTGAAACCTGATTTCTACCAATAATACAAAAATTAGCAGGGCAGGGTGGTGTGTGTCTATAGTCCCAACTACTCGGGAGGCTGAGGCACAAGAATCACTTGAACCTGGGAGGGAGAGGTTGCAGTGAGCCAACATCACACCACTGTGCTCCAGCCTGGGCAACAGAGCAAGAGTCTGTCTCAAAAAAAAAAAAAAAGTAATACTGATGAAGAATATATATAGGTAAAAGTTCAGTGAAGAGACTATACAGGTTATAGAAATAAGAGTTACTATCTTTACAGAAGAAGGTATAGTATATGTATCAGTCCATTCTTGCACTGCTATAAAGAAATACCTGAGACTGGATAATTTATAAAGAAAAGGGTTTTGCCAGGTGCGGTGGCTCACTCTTGTAATCCCAGCACTTTGGGAGGCCGAGATGCGCAGATCACTGAGGTCGGGAGTTTGAGACCAGCCTGACCAACATGGAGAAACCCCATCTCTACCAAAAATACAAAAATTAGCCTGGCTTGGTGGTGCATGCCTGTAATCCCAGCTACTTGGGAGGCTGAGGCGGGAGAATCGCTTGAACCCGGGAGGCGGAGGTTGCAGGAAGCTGGGATCGCGCCATTGCACTCCAGCCTGGGCAACAAGAGTGAAACTCCGTCTCAAAAAAAAAGGAGGTTTAATTGGCTCACAGTTCTGTGGGCTATACAGAAAGCATGGCAGCATCTGCTTCTGCGGAGTCCTCGGGAGCTTTTACTCATGGCAGAAGGCAAAGGGGGAGCCACCTGTCTCACATGGCAGTAGCAGGACCAAGAGAGAGATGGGGGAGGTGCCACACACTGTTAAACAGCCAGATCTCATGAGAACTCTATCACAAGAACAGCACCAAAGGGGTCGTGCTAAACCATTCATGAAGGATACACCCCCATAATCCAGTCGCCTCCCACCAGGCCCCACCTCCAACGTTGGGGATTACAGTTGAACATGAGATTTGTGTGGGGACACAGATCCAAACCATATCAGTATATTAGAAACCAAAATGAATTCTTCATGAAATCAAGAAGCTAAGTAGTGTACTAAAAATCTTTTCACAAGGTCCAGATAGCCAGTACTCTCCTTTCCTGGAAAGAAAGAAAAGCCCTTTCTTTAAAACCTGTCCTTTAAAGTTGACTTATTAGAATATTTAGAAGAATAAGTTAAAGGAACATTCAAAAATTTCTAACTTCCCTGTTGTCATTTCCAGGAAATACATGAAGTCTTTCCTAATTGATGTTAGAATGTTCTATGCTTGAAGAGGGCTTCAGGTGATGACACCTGACAATAGGAAAATGTTTTTGGAATGCCAGCTGCCAGAATTGTGGGTAACAGGAATGAAGAGTCAGAAAACATCTCTCCTGATTTTTTAAAAAAACTTTTCATATACTCTTAAGGCAAGGAAATAGCATTTTTGTTACCAAACTGAATAGGGCATGCCAACTATTTCTTTACTTCTCAGAAGCCCTTGATCTCTATAGGATAGATTTGGTAGGAATATGAGCGAATCCTTTCCCTGCTGAATTTATGTGTTGGGAGTAAAATGGGCTGAGAGTTATTATCTCTTGGTACAGAACACCTATTAGAGAAAAGAAAGATGGCTGAGCTCTATTAGCATTAGTATAGAAGGATTTAAATTTATTTTGTCAGAGGCTACTGAACTTAATGTAATCAGTGACTTTATGCCCCCTTTGCATTCAGTAAGGAATGCATAAGTTAATGATAGATATGGCCGGGTGTGGTAGTTCACGCCTGTAATCCCAGCACTTCGGGAGGCCGAGGCAGGTGGATCACTTGAGCCTAGGAGATCAAGACTAGCCTGGCCAACATGGCAAAACCCAACCTCTACAAAAAATACAAAGAAAATTAGCTACACATGGTGGCACTCACCTGTAGTCTTACCTGGAGAGTGAGGTGGGAGGATGACTTGAGCCCAGGAGGTTTAGGCTGCAATGAGCCAAGATCATGCCACTGCACTCCAGCCTGGGCGACAGAGTGAGACCCTGTCTCTAAATAAATACATACATAAATAAATAAATATTTTAAAACATAAGTTAATGACAGATTTGAACAAAGGAAATTACACTATTGAGATTTGTCTGCTACATCCCAGGTTGTCACCGAGGAAATGGCTTAGATGAGATTCTAAATTGTCACTGAAGAGAATTTGAGACATTCATAGAAGTATGTTGTATTCTCTGTAATGAGTGTATGACCATCCCCATTTAGGGGCAAGTGTTTGCATTTATGTTCTTGATTTAGACTGAATTGTTTTCAACTGAAAATTAAACAAAACAATTGTCTGAATGTGGTGCCTGCCACTGGAAAACAGTGATTGTTGGATTTTATGGTTGTCGTTTTTGCTAAGAATATTCAGTAGTGTGGCTGTCTTTTTTTTTTTTCTTTTTGAGGCAGGGTCTCACTCTGTCACCCAGATTGGAGTGCAGTGGTGTGAACACAGCTCAATACAGCCTTAACCTCTTGGGCGTAAGTGATCCTCCCACCTCAGCCTCCTGAGTAGCTGGGACCATAGGAGTGTGCCACCACATCCAGCTAATATTTTTATTTTTTGTAGAGACAGAATCTCACTCTGTTGCCTAGGCTGGTCTCAGACTCTTGGCCTGAAGCGATCCTTCTGCTGTGGCCTCCCAAAGTGCTGTGATTACAGGAGTGAGCCATCGCACTTGGAATTTTGAAAGCCATTTATCCTTGAATATGGGCTTCTAAAAAATTGAACTTTATGGGATCTGAAAAATGTTCTTGGTCTAGAATTTAGACAAAGTTCTAATTCTATTCTAATTACTAGCCAGGGACATTGAACACGTCACTGCACCTGTCTGGGCCAGCTCCCTTAGGAGTTCAGGCATAAAGACAGTCATATCAACTCTTCTTACATCATGGGATTGTTGTGAGACTTTGCACAAAGGGGCTTATATTTGTATCTGGGAGACCAAGATGTCATTTAACATTAATTTTCTGCTATTTGTTTTATTTTATTTTTTATTTTTTATTATAATTATTATTTTTTGGAGATGGATTTTTTGCTGTGTCGCCCAGGCTGGAGTGCAATGCTACGATCTCGGCTCACTGCAACCTCCACCTCCCAGGTTCAAGCGATTCTCCAGCCTCAGCCTCCTGAGTAGCTGGGACTACAGGCACACACCACCACGCCCAGCTAATTTTTGTATTTTTAGTAGAGATGGGGTTTTACCATGTTGGCCAGGATGGTCTCAATCTCTTGATCTCGTGATCCACCCCCCTCCGCCTCCCAAAGTGCTGGGATTACAGGCATGAGCCACTGCAGCCAGCCTTCATTTTTATTTTTTAATGACCTAACCTAAAGTCTGTTTAAGCTTCTTAAAATCCTTGTTGGTAGGCTGGGTGCAGTGGCTCACGCCTGTAATCCCAGCACTTTGGGAGGCCAAGGTGGGCGGATCACGAGGTCAGGAGATCGAGACCATCCTGGCTAACACGGTGAAACCCCCGTCTCTACTAAAAATACAAAAAATTAGCCGGGCGTGGTGGCGGGTGCCTGTAGTCCCAGCTACTCAGGAGGCTGAAGCAGGAGAATGGTGTGAACCTGAGAGGCGGAGCTTGCAGTGAGCCTAGACCGCGCCGCGCCACTGCACTCCAGTCTGGGCGACAGAGCCAGACTCCGTCTCAAAAAATAAAAAATAAAAAAAACTATTTGCCAGGTGTGGTGGCTCACGCTTGTAATCCCAGCACTTTGGGAGGCCGAGGCGGGTGAATCACGAGGTCAGGAGTTCCAGACCAGCCTGACCAACATGGCGAAACCCCATCTCTACTAAAAATACAAAAATTAGGCCAGGCATGGTGGTTCAAGCCTGTAATCCCAGGACTTTGGGAGGCCGAGGTGGGTGGATCACCTGAGGTCAGGAGTTCGAGACCAGCCTGGCCAACATGGTGAAACCCCAATTCTGCTAAAAAAAAAAGAAATAATAATAATAATAATAATCCTTGTTGGTTACTGTTAATATAAAGTTAAGTAAAACTTACAAAGCTGCTAGGCATTACAGTATAAATTCTTAGAATTTTCTCATGTTTTGGCGTCTCATGTTTCTCTCAACCCTTTGCTTTGATCCTCTGCTAATTTATATGATTTTTTTCATTCTAGTACTCTTGTCCATCTGTTCTCTGTTGTGTGATCCCAATCCAGATGATCCTTTAGTGCCTGAGATTGCTCGGATCTACAAAACAGATAGAGAAAAGTAAGTATGGCCTCAAGATGGAAAGTTATCTGTGGTGGGATGGAGATGTTTGTCACAAATCTTTCTTGTTTAAGGGCTGAATATCGGCCAGATATTTAAAGTGAAGTCCTAATATACTCTCCTGGGGCTAGAAAAGAGAAATATATGCATTGAGTATTATTATAAGTAGATGATGCCAGTCTTATCCCTGATTGTTTCACGTGACTCCTCTTGTCTACAAAAACTTTTTTTTTTGTTTGTTTTTTTTTGAGACAGGGTCTTACTCTGTCACCCAGGCTAGAGTGCAATGGTGCAGTCTTGGCTCACTGCAACCTCCGCCTCCTGGGTTCAAGTGATTCTCATGCCTCAGCCTCCCGAGTAGATGGGATTACAGGCGCAGGCCACCACGCCAGGTTCGTTTTTTTTGTAGTTTTAGTAGAGACTTTTACCATGTTGGCCAGGCTGGTTTCGAACTCCTGACCTCAAATGATCTGCCTGCCTAGGCCTCCCAAAGTGCTGGGATTACAGGTGTGAGCCACCACACCCATACAAAAACTTTCCTATGGTATATTTTTCAACAGCTTAATGCCTTATGCTTGGCTTTTGATATATAAAGCACTTTTCATCAAGTGCCCATTTGCCTGCCATAGGTATTTGTCAATTAATGGGAAAAGAGAATTGATTTCCTACCATTTGACATAATCTAAAGGAAGAAAGCAAATAAATGCCATTAGACGTGAAAGCCCCAAATTTCTTTTAAAAACAAAACTTGATGTAGAATTTGGGTATTTTAGAATTGTACTATGAATTATTGAACAGTGGTCAAGATATCAAAAGAGATAGTAGCTAAAAGTGTTCTAGTAGCATTTTTTCTTTTCTTTTTTTCTTTTGAGATGGAGTCTTGCTGTGTTGCCTGGGTTGGTCTCAAACTCCCTACCTCAGCCTCTGGAGTAGCTAGGATTATAAGCATGCCCACCATGCCCAGCACTAATAACATCTGTTTTATGTAGTATTCAGTGAAGTTATAAGAGGAACTAGATAGGAGAGGGTGGATAGTTCTTTTAGGGCCGGGCGCAGTGGCTCACGCCTGTAACCCCAGCACTTTGGGAGGCTGAGGTGGGCAGATCACAAGGTCAGGAGTTTGAGACCAGCCTGGCCAACGGGGTGAAACCCCGTCTCTACTAAAAATACAAAAATTAGCCGGGCATGGTGGCGGGCACCTGTAATCGCAGCTACTCGAGAGGCTGAGATAATTGCTTAAACTCAGGACGTTTAGGTTGCGGTGAGCTGAAATTGCACCACTGCACTTCAGCCTGGGCGACAGAGCAAGACTCACGTCTCCAACTTGAGTTCTAGTGGATTAGAGAGGCATAGATACGTTTTTGTTTTTAGTGGAGGTAACACTGGGAATGGGATATTCTAACAGTAGTTGGTTCTTGCTTTTTCCTATTTGTGAATTTATTGTCAAATTTTTTTGATTAGAGAACTGTTTTGTCCGATATTTAGAATTGTGGGTCTGAATGCTTACCAGAAGTCATTTCCCAAGTCATCATGGAGTAATGTTGAACACTGTTGAACAGAACTTTCCCAAACTGCACTGCCCCCACCCTCTAACCCCCCACTTTTTTTTTTGCAGAGACAGGGTCTTGTTCTTCAGCCCAGACTGGAGTACAGTGGCACAATCGTGGCTCACTGCAGTGTCAAACTCATGGGCTCAAGTGATCCTCCCACCCCAGCCTCCCCAGTAGCTGGGACTGCTAGTACATGCCACTACACCTTTCCAGCCTCCCCAGTAGCTGGGACTGCTAGTACATGCCACTACACCTGGCTAATTTGTTTTTTTTTTTTTTTTTTTGTAGAGACAGGATCTCACTATGTTGCACAGGCTGGTCTCTAATTCCTGGCCTCAAGCAGGCCTTCTGCCTCAGCCCCCCAAAGTGCTGCTGTTACAGGCATGAGTTACCGTGCAAGGCCAGCATACCCACCCCCACCCCCCCCCCTTTTTTTTTTTTTTTTTTTTTGAGGCAGGGTCTTGCTCTGTTGCCCGGACTGGAATGCAGTGGCACAATCACAGCTCACTGTAACCTCAACCTCCCAGGCTCAAGTAGTCCTCCCATCTGAGCTTCCCAAGTAGCTGGGACCACAGGCAGATGCCATCACATCCAGCTAATTTTTTTTTTTTTGAGACAGAGTCTTGCTCCGTTGCCCAGGTGGAATGCAGTGGCACAATCTTGGCTCACTGCAGCCTCTGCCTCCCAGGCTCAAGTGATTCCTGTGCCTCAGCCTCCTGAGTAGCTGGGATTACAGGCGCACATCACCATGCCTGGCTAATTTTTGTGTTTTCAGTAGAGACGGGATTTTGCCATGTTGGCCAGGCTGGTCTGGAACTCCTGACCTCAAGTGATCCAGCTGCTCCAGCCTCCCAAAGTGCTGGGATTACAGGCGTGAGCCACCACACCCGGCCTAGCACCCGTTTTTTAATAGGAGAATTATAGAATCATTTGCTCTGCTTACTTTATTCAAATGTTCTTCTGAAGCAATAAACCCATTCATTTTGTCAACCAAATTGTTGAAATTAGTTCTACCAGAACCAATTGTTTTATTGATATGAAAGGAAAGTTTGGTTTTTTTTCCCCCTTTTTTTTTGAGACAGAGCCTCACTCTGTCACCCAGGCTATGGTACAGTATTGCAATCTCAGCTCACTGCAACCTCTGCCTCCTGAGCTCAAACGATCTTCCCACCTCAGCCTCCTGAGTAGCTGGGACTATAGTCATGCGCCACCACACCCTGCTAATTTTTGTATTTTTTTGTAGAGACAGGGTTTTATCATGTTGCCCAGGCTGGTGTGAAACGCCTGGGCTCAAGTGATCCACCCGACTCAGCCTCCCAAAGTGCTGGGATTACAGGTGTGAGCCAACATGCCCAGCCTTCTGTCGGTTTAATCATTATTAGTATATGAGTTCAAGAACTATGTAATGTAGAATCATATAATTTCAAGTACTTTAAATGAATGAATTGAGTGGACATCTTTTGTAGAAATAGGCCAATCAAGTATGGAATAAGGTATATGCCAACAAATACTAAAATTTAATCAGAACCCTCTATAAGTAGCAATTAAAGGAGACTTTCACATTTTACAGCTCCTTCCCATTATCATTGAATTAATCCTTATCAGAAATTTGGGATAGAAAGGGGCCTTTCCTTGAATGTCCTATAAGCTACTCTCTTCAAGTTACTTGATGGGATAATGAATGGAATCTGTTGCTTACTGACTCCACACCTATGTTAAGCCAAGCTTCTCTTTGTGTGTACAGGTACAACAGAATAGCTCGGGAATGGACTCAGAAGTATGCGATGTAATTAAAGAAATTATTGGATAACCTCTACAAATAAAGATAGGGGAACTCTGAAAGAGAAAGTCCTTTTGATTTCCATTTGACTGCTTTCTATGAGCCCACGCCTCATCTTCCCCTGTGCACATGTTTACCTGATACAGCAGTGCTGCGTGTTGTACATACTTGGAACAACAAACTAGAAATACTGTACTTCTGTACCAACATTGCCTCCTAGCAGAGAAGTGTGTGTGTGACAAGCCAGTTCTACAGGCATTACCTAGGTGTGAGACTAAAAGCTTTTCTTATTGACTTAAATTTGGATAACAGCAAGGTGTGAGGGGGGTGGTGGGTATGGTGTGTGCTTGGATGGGAAAGAAAAGGCTCCACTCACCTATAGGAGATTATTTTTAAGTGGAATCCATTTAAACTCAAAACAGTTATGAAAAGCAAGGTGAAGAACATGAAGCTGTGTCTGTATTCATTTTATTCCGAAGGAGCTACGTCTTAGGTGAAAGTTATGACCAACCAGATTAAACTCTACCCACATCCTGCATTTTAAGGTCTAAGTTTAACTGGTCAACATTTAAATGGATTGGAGCTATTAGTACATCAAGTGTGATGGGCTTTGTTCCCAACTCTTTTACATCTCCCTACCCCTTCAACCTTTGGCCTTTCAGCCCTTCTTTCTCTCTTCCATATTCTTTGGTTTGTATGTGGTTTCTCAGTTAATACATAGCTAATAGCTCTTATTTTTCTTATGTTTTTAACCGCTTAGGTCTATTTGGATGTAAGGGTGAAAATTCATTTGATGGAAATACTTGTGTATATTTAAAGACCCAATTGCTCCTCTGGAGCTTGTACTTTCAAGAATGATTAATCTGTGTAATAAACTGGTTACTACAGTCATTACATATAATTTTGTGTGAATAGGCTTTTTCATTTTTAAGAAGTTTGTCTAGCTGAGATTAGTGGTGGATTTTCTCCCACTTCTGAAATGTTCATTTATACTGGTTGCATTTTAAGATCATGAAACAATTCCAGTTACATTGTAAAAAGGATATCTTACGAGTAATTTTATTGAACAAGTTAGAGGCATAAGCTTAAGAGCATTTCCATGAAACAACACATGCAGCATTCCAGGAACTTGATTGTTAAATTCAATAAGAAATTTGCTTTATTAATGAAACTAAGCTGCATTTCATCAAAACCTTGTGACATTCCCTTGGTACATAGGACATAAAACACAGAGGCATTGCTATTTGGTAAGTTAAGCTTCTGTGATTGTAATTATAAAAGAGCAACATTGACCAAACCTGGGAAACAAGAGCACAGTCTTGTTTGGAGAGTCTACATAATTACTTTGCACTAACATTTGCAGGATGTTCACACAATTTTAAATTGTACTGTATGTGGCTTTTTGAAGTCTTCCCTTGACCCTAGTAAAATATAGCTTGAAACTTGTAAACAACTGTGTTTGCCAGAAACATCATTCATGTGAACTAGGCAAGTTACCTTTTTTCCCCCCTTCTTTTCCTAATTGTAAACTAGGCCAACCTGAAAGCCATGGCTGATGCTCTAGCCATCAGGTTCTTTCAAATGCATCTTTACACTCTTGCACAAAAGTTAAGGAATAAATGTCCACTGCTTTTGGTTTTAAACTTGTTCACCTTGTCTTATCTCTCACTGTCACTGCTCCTCCACCTTGGAACTTGTGTGATAAAACCCAAAACCTCTTACAGTTCTCTTATAAGCATTTCAAGCATCTCTTATTAGCATCCTTGACTTTGCAGAAAAGGCTTAACTGTTAACAGTTGTGGGGAAAGGAGTTAGAATTTAGCTTAAGCCTAAAATCACCCTGTATTCTCAGTATTATGGGCAAGTGGGACTTCATCTTTTTTTTTTTTTTTTTTTTTTTTTAAGAGAGGGACAGGGTCTCATTCTCTTGCCTAAGCTGGAGTGCAGTCGGAGTCATGACAGCACAGCTCACTGCAGCCTCAACCTTCTAGGCTCGAACAATCCCCCTACCTCAACCTCCCAAGTTGCTGGGACTTATGGTACATGCCACCACACCTGGCTAATTTTTAAATTTTTTTTAGAGACAGGAGTCTCACTATGTTGCCCAAGCTGGTCCTGAACTCCTAGGCTCAAGTGATCCTCTTGTCTCAGCCTCCCAAAGTGCTGGGACTAGAGACAGCCACCATACCCAGCCTTCCATCAATTATTGGCTTGCTATTAACTACATACTGTTGACCGTGGGTCAGTTGCACAGATCCTGAAAGCTCATTCTGTATTTGCCTGTCATCTTAGAGAGCAGCCAGCTTATTACCATTTATTAGATCATAATATGGATATTTTCACAAGAGTGTTCTTAAGTATTTTTAAGTGCCAAATGAAAGCCATCCTCCAGGTGTGCAGGTGCCAATTGAAGGGGTTTGGATGGTCACAAACAACATTAGGCCCTTGAATGGGGTTTGGTCTTGCCCATTTGAGTATGAAGCTTCTTTGGTCCAGTCTGTGTATATGTGCCTGGCCAGAAAGAAAGCCCAGTGAGAGAAGCCACCTTTCCCACTCACCAAAAACAACAACAACAACAAAAAATCCCTCAGGGTTGTTTTCATCTGGACCACATTGCTCTTCACAGAAGTTTCTATGACTTTGTCGTATGTAAAATCCAGTCTGTAGCAACCTTGATTATCTTGGAAAAGTTACAGGAGAACGTCAAGTGTATGGTTTCCTTTTGTTTGCTTCTTAATAGCCCAAAGTACTTTGTCAAGTTAAAGCTGGGGCAGTGTCTTTTGGTAAAATGAAGTCACTTCAGATACTTATATGCTTTGCTATTGGCGAATCAGTAGTCAAAGGTATCATTGTCCTGCGAGTTTATGCACTTTGAGTAGTACAGAGACTTGGAAGGAGGGCGGTAGGGGTGGGGAGAGAGAAGTTAGGAAGGTCTGTGAAGAGAAGGAAAAGGTAGTTGTCAGAGAGAGACCCTTTCTCTACACTAACCTAGCAATAGAGGCCTTCTTTTTCCACTTCCAACTGCTAAAATACTCTGCTTTCTGAATCATTCCTCTTTGTTTCAACAAGTTATTTTGAGACCTGGGTAGCTTGTCAGGAGAAATGGATTATTTCTAAATTATGGCTGGAATGCCTATAAACTGTCCCTTGTCTGTAATTAAGGTGAAACTCTGGCTTTGTCTCTGTGTGCTGTATGGCACCCCTTAACTACCCAGGGTAAGTTTTGAAGAGGAGAACTCTCAGCTGGGCCCTGTGGCTCATGCCTGTAATCCCAGCATTTTGGGATGCCAAGGTGGGCGGATCACCTGAGGTCAGGAGTTCAAGACCAGCCTGACCAACATGGAGGAACCTCGTGTCTACTAAAAACACAAAATTAGCCGGGCATGGTGGCACATGTCTGTAATCCCAGCTACTCAGGAGGCTGAGGCAGGAGAATCGCTTGAATCCGGGAGGCGGAGGTTGTGGTGAGCCGAGATCGCGCCATTGCACTCCAGCCTGGGCGACAAGAGCAAAACTCAGTCTTAAAAAAAAAACAAAAAAAACTCTCTTCTCATTCCCAGGTCTTCAGGATTATAAACACATCTTTCCTTCCTTCCAAATCAGGAGTAAGCATTTTTATTACTCCTACAGAAAACTGTAACTAGTGTTAGGAATCCATCTCCTTTTGATTTCCTCATTTTCCCTTTATGAAACACTATTTCAAGTGATGGGTTATTTTGGTGAGTGATGTTAGGCAGGAGAAAGCAGGTTTGTTTTTTGTTGTTGTTGTTTGGAGACAGAGTCTCACTGTCGCCCAGGTTGGAGTGTAGTGGTGCGATCTTGGCTCACTGCAACCTCCACCTCCCAAGTTTAAGTGATTTTCCTGCCTCAGCCTCCTGAGTAGCTGAGATTATAGGCACATGCCACCCACGCCTGGCTAATTTTTGTATTTTTAGTAGAGACGGTTTCACCATGTTGTCCAGGCTGGTCTTGAACTCCTGACTTCAGGTGATCTGCCCACCTTGGCCTCCCAAAGTGCTGGGATTACAGGCATGAGCCACCACACCCAGCCAAGAAAGCAGATTTTTAATATGAAAATAACTGAAGGTAGCAAACTATTTGCACTATACATCCAGCAAGAGGAAATAGACTTCCTTTGGGGCACTCCTGGAGCTAGTCCCTTCTATTTTCCTTTTCTTCCCTTCCTTTCCCTTTCTTTCTCTTCCTTTCCCTCCCTTCCCCTGCCCTTTGCCTGCCTGCCTGCCTGCCTCCCTCCCTCCTTCCCCACTTTCCTTTTTCTTTCTTTACTTTCCTTCTTTCTCTTTTTCTTTCTCTCTTTTCTCTTTTTTTGTGTGTGGTTTTTTTTTTTTTTTTTTTTTTTTTTTTGAGAGAGGGTCTCACTTTTTTGCCCAGGCTAGAATGCAGTGGTGCAAACATGGCTCACTGCAGCCTCACACTCCTGAGCTCAAGCAGTCCACCCACCTCGGCCTCCCAAAGTGCTGGGATTACAGGCATGAGCCACCTCGCCCAGCCTATTTTCTTTTATATTGTGCATGCACTTAGATGAAAACTGGCTTTCTCCATCCCACAAAAACCTTCTTTAAGTGTTTCCCTGGCACTATAACCTTTTTTAATCAGGACTGGTATAAGTGGTTGATATTCAGGCCCCTCAGTATATTTCCAGACCAATTTCTCAGATGGGCTTAGAAATAGGGAAATGAGACGGGATCACATTGTCAGGGTTACTATTCATGAAGCAATTCCTTCATTGCTGGCATATTTTACCTTAGTCAATGTAAGGAGAAAAGCTCAATGGTTAGGACTAAGTAAGCCTTTAAGGCCTTTGTCCTCTGGCTGAATGTATAATACAATCACCAACCAGCTTTGCTCTTTCTATGTCTACTCCTGGTCTGGGTAAGGCAAAGGCAGACATTTTTGTGATGAGCAGTCACTTTTCATTAAATTAAACTATTTGTGGATCTTTATCTGATCAGAGACACAGCGTAATCTGCCTCTTAGCAGATGTAAAACTATATGAATACCTTAGTGCCAAGACAGCAGCTTAATAGTTTTCCTTGATTGAGTGGTGGTTTGTGTGTTTGTTCTTAACGTCCTGTGTAAGTTGTTATTGGTAGAATGGTTTTTTCCAGAGCTGAGGAGCCTGATTGCCCAACATTGTACTCTGAAAGCAAATGGTTGATCCCATTTGGAAAAGCCAAGAAGAGGCCATTGAGTGTCCAGCCCAGGCCTCCTGTGACTGCTGTACAGGAAAGAGCAGCAGCAGCCTTGGTGAATGTACCATGTTCCTTTCCCAACTTCTAAGGATGCGAGGAGTGACAACTGCCATTTTCCCAGGCACACCTCTCCCTGCCCTGAGCCACTTGTTCTCAATTCTGTTTAAACTTCCTTTTTGGTACTTAAAAATCTTAAATCTTAAAAAGATGTCACCCTTCCCTAAACTTTAGAGCCTCTGGAAAATGTGAGTGGGGAGGGTTTGGTTTTTTGAGTTAAAACCTAGTCTTCAAATTGCCAGCTTTCCTTGGGTTTAAAGTTCTCCATAGAAAATGAGATTGCTTTAGAAGCTCCAAAGCTCCTGGGCCCTCTGACTTGGAGGTTTCTAGAAACAACCCACAAATACAATCTGACATTTGGGACGCAGAGCCAGCACCATCTTGGGTAAGAGAAGTGTTCCATGTTTGAGGTAGTTGGCAAATGCTAAGCTACCTATGTGGTGACAGTTGTCTGGAGCTTTTCCCATCTGATTAAGGGGCAATACTGATTTGGTCGTTGTGGGCAGTTTCTCCTCCTAGCCAGCATCACTGCCATCTTGGAAGGTGTGGCTACCTGTCATGTGTTGCACAGAGAGTCGAGGGGAGCTGGCCTCGTTTGAGAGGGCACCTGAGACTTTCAGTCACCTGCTGCAGAGTGACAGAAGGAACAAGGGAAACCAAGGCTTTCCCAAACTTGCCAGAGAAGGTGAGCTTTTTGGAAGGATGGTTCCAAGTGACCTCAGCTTAGTCCTCCTTTGGAGGAAACAAGGCAAGTTGGGGAGGCTCTGGTGCATAACAAGTTATAGGGCAGGTACTGTTTCCTGGATTCAACCTCCAAGCTTCATAAAAAGGCAGTTCCAGCCAGGCGTGGTGGCTCACGCCTGTAATCCCAGCACTTTGGGAGGCCGAGGTAGGTGGATCACCTGAGGTCAGGAGTTCAAGACCAGCCTGAGCAACATGGAGAAACCCCGTCTCTACTAAAAATACAAAATTAGCCAGGCGTGGTGGTGCATGCCTGTAATCCCAGATACTTGGGAGGCTGAGGCAGGAAAATCTCTTGAACCGGGGATGTGGAGGTTGCAGTGAACCGAGATCCGAGATCGCGCCATTGCATCCAGCCTGGGCAACAAGAGAGAAACTCTGACTCAAAAAAAAAAAAAAAGGGCGGGGGGCACTTCCTTTTGAAGTTTCAGATGTATATTGGAGGGAGCAGAATTCCTTTGTGATTTCTTCCTTAATACATTGTGTCCCTGAGGTGGTCCCTGTTCTTCCTGTCTCCTGTCAGCCCCCTGGCTCAGAGGACGGCTGAATGGAGTTGCATTTCAGTGCCCACAGATGGAGGTGATGACTGAAGTGTGTTTGCTTATGTGGGGAGTGAGATGATGGCTTTGGTGTCTGAGTGGATGCTAGTGCCTTGAGTGGCCAGCAGAGGGCAGTGGTGACCCATAGCTGTGACAACCGTGAGGCGTGTGGTCAGTGAATCTGCATGGGCACAACCTGAGAGGGGCTTTTGTTGGAGTGGGGAGATTCTTTCGGACTTAAGCTTTGTGCGTGGTATATCCAGAATCAGATGGGCCAGTGCCAAGTTCAGTCAGGTTCTCAGCCTTACAGTGAAGGAAAAGGTTAGTGACTTGTATTTCAGCCCAAAGCCTACTGGAAGTGTCAAGCTGCCAGCTCCCCTCTGCCCTCCCCGTTGCTATGGCAGCCATGTCTCTGTGTGTGAATAGGTGAACCAGGCTCCAGGTTAGGACCTCTGCCCACCTAGCTCCAGGTTACATGCAGGAAAAGATCTGTCTATTGCTGCATGTGAACAAGGAGATCCCATATTTCTAGCAGGTCACAGAGGCAGCAGTCCATTATCACTTGCCTGCCCACCTACCCTGGGCAACCAGCACATGGCTCCTTAGACCTTGAAGATGGAGGCCTGGGGACAGAAGGAGCAGAGTTGGGGGCTAGTGATAGGGCCTGGGAAATGTTCTTGTCTGTTTCAAGTTTATCTTGTATTTTGGGGCCCTGGTCTCCTCAGTCTTCCAGCCCAACAGGTGTGAGCGTCCAGGGCCACCACCCGGAAGCCAGCTGCCTCTTCATGGGGAAATCTTTGAAATTCAAGGCTTGGCCATCTGGATATGCAAATGTTCCAGATTTGCTGAGCCCACCAAGTGGCTGAGCCCCCCATGCCTGGGGCCTGTCAGCCACATTCTCCATGGCTCCCTCCTTCTAACAGGGACAGGGGCAGGCAGGGAATCTAAATTCCCAGGTCAAGGAGTTTATTTGGGAGCCCCAGGCAGGGCTGTGAGAATTAGCTACCACTGCCCCTAGATGGGGAAAGCTGCCTGGGTGCTGTTGGTACCTAGAACCTAAGCTTTTGCCTACTGATAGACTCTAAGGAGAACGGTGTATTGAGAGCTCCACGAGTCCTGCTGTAGTGCCTAATCATGTGAGGGATTTTGCTGGATCCAAAGGAATCTCAACTAAGAAAGTTTCTGGAATAAGGAGGGAAGCCTTGGGTCTAGCCTCGCTAGAGGGTGGGAGCTACCTGCAGGGAAAGCTGCTGACTTCCTATTATGTCAAACCCAGGCAAATAACTGGAGCTTAGGCAGTTGGCCCCCAGAATTGCTTATTCTCCCCCAGGCCTCCCTCTGGGGCTGGTTTTCTGGCTGTAGCAGGAGGTATGTGTTCTCTGAGTGGGAAAGGAGTGGGGTCAGGGTCAGGGCGGAAACCCGGGAATTTAGATTCCCTGCCTGTCCCTGTCCCTGTTAGAAGGAGGGAGCCATGGAGAATGTGGCTGACAGGCCCCAGGCATGGGAGAGCTTAGGCCAGCCTGTATGTGTGTGTGCAGAAGGGGACTGCACATGTGTTCAGGAGCTTGAGAGTGAGAATTGTGAGCATGTACACTCCTTAGTGTTTATGCATCAGGGTGTGATGCATAAACACGAAGGCTCTGTAGCCTTTGAAGAACAGGATCAGATCTGGGTTTGAATCACAAGACCATGGGTTTTCAGTTGGGCAATAAACTTATCTGTCTTTTGCTTTGATTTTCTCATCTAGAAAACGGGCACTTGGTCACCAGCCTGACCCATAGGCAATGCTTGGTGGAAAATGACCTTATCAAATTAAAGGGTTGTGACCGTGGGTGCTTATGGTTCAGGGAGGTAGGCCTGGACAGTGAGACATCTTTCTTGGATTCCTGTACATGCTAGAGGTTTGCCCTCCTTTGAGCTGGGCTAGCTCCTGGGACATCCAGGGACCTGGGGAAGACTGGCTGGGCCCTTTTGCAGCCTATGGCTCACATGCCCACTTGTTAAGGCCTGCAAGAGTGTGCCCACAAACAGGGTGAGCAGGCAGAATAATGGCCATGGCTAGCCAGACTGTGTGTCCTTGCCCAGTGTCTGTCTGTCCTTCCCCTTACCTTGGGGGACAAAAGGGAATCCAGTTGTCCTGCCTGGTGAATAAAAGCCTGGGGTTGGGGGAGGATTTGCCTCCAGCCACGGAGGAGGGGTATGCTGTGGAAGGAGGCCAGATCTCCCCCAGCTGTTTCCCAGCTCTGTTTGAAGGGGAAGGGAGAGGGATAAATGACTGGGTGATTGTGGCACCTACAGCCAGCATCTTTCCTCTCCACATTCTAGGTCACAGGCCCACACCTCTCTCCCTAGTCAAAGAGAGCCTCTGTGAGGGGGTTGAAGGGTGTCTTGGATCTGTGGGCAGGACTTGGGATCTGGGCACAGAGAGGTTGGGGAATTAACAAAGGTCACACAGCCAGGCAAAACTAGGGAATGTGGGGAGTCATTCTAGACAGGACCTTTAGGGGGAGCTCCCTGGCTACAAGAGATTTCCTGGAAGCCCTTGGGTGGGCCCAGGCCTGAACTGAGGAAGTGAGGGCTACAGCCCAGCTGGCCTTGCACTGGAACCACAGGAGTGGCCTTTAAGGGTGTGCTGAAGGACTGATGAATCTTGGCCCTGTTCCCACACACATGCACCACTGGGAATGGGAGTGGGGAGATTGCTGAGCTCTGGGGCCAGCCCTGTTTCCTGCTTTGGATTTGGAATGGGGAGAGCCTTTCTGGGGACTGAAACTGGTGCTTCAGCTTCTCTAGGGGGAAATGGAGAAATGGAAAGGGGGACTGACAAGGGATAGTCCTTAAGGAGTTTATTTGGGAGGCTCTGGGTCCCTTTGTAACTAGGTGGGTGACCTTTAGGAGGGAAGTGCTTTGTGTTCTACAGCTTTCTGAGAGTGGCAGGAAATGGGGCCAGTAGCAGTGCACACTAGTTGGGTTGCACCTGGTGAGAGATTAGGGGTGGTTTCCCCACCAAGGTCTCTGAGCCAGAGCTTTCAGCTGCATGAGCACAGCCTGCTCCCCCTGTGGAGGGGATTCTGGGGTGGGTGTGGTTGTATACTGGGGGAAGTGAGAATGTGGCCTCTCTGTGGGTGAGTGCAGCACCGTGAATTGTGTTTGTAACACTTGAGTTGTGTTTCCCAGGTGTATGTGATGGCAGAACTAGTTTTGCTGCTGGGGTGAATCAGGTTCCTGGAAGGGACTGGACTAACATGGAGAGAATGATGCTAAGTAGTTACAGTCATTATTATATACACATGACTTAGTAGTATAGAACCATTAGCAATGACCAAGACCACCTGTGTGTCGAGTGCTTACCATGTGCCTGGTGCTGTGCTAAGCACCTCACCTGCAGTGGCTCATTTAGTCCTGTCAGAACCCTGCAAGTTCATGCTGGTTTGCCTGGTGTTTGTTTATTGTGCCATGTTGGGTGGGGTATAATTTTATTCAAGTTGGAAGATGCAAAACAGCTTTATCCCTCTCTTAGTTACTGGGGTGCAACTTATGGCAGCATTTGCCCCTGTCATATTCTATACTTGGGCTCCTGGTCCCATCCTTTTGCCAGTATGGGCACCATTGTGTTGTACAACGTAGAGACCTAATTTGACAATGTTCTTTGAGGTAGTGGTGATGGATGATATGACTATATGACTTTTTTGCTTTGTTGTGTGACTGTTGTGCACCCAAAGTATGTAACTCCCTACTGCTGTGTGGTTGAGACCAGCTACTATATGACTCATTTTGTGTCCCGGTGATATTGTAGGTGTCTAGTGTAGGGACATCTGTTGTGGTATGGTGAACTGGTTGTGAATAGTGTGACTGTATGTTGTATCATTAGGTGTGTCTGACCCTGTTGTGTCCTGTTCTGACTTGTGTCAGAGACTGTTGTGGTGTCACTCCGTGTGGTGAGCGTGCCTCCTTTGTGGTGTGGGTGGCCTATGGTGGTGCTTCCTTTCACAAATTGTGTGTCCGTGTGACACCCCCCCCCCCCTCAGCCGCTGTGCCCCTTTGCGGGTCAGTGTGTTGTTTGACCTCGGCCGCGGGTGCCCCCACCCCTGCCGGCCCCGCCGCCCCTCCCCCGCACCGTCCGCCCGCGCCGCGCGGCGATCGATCGCCATTGATTGTCCCTGACGAGCTGCTCCACTTTCCAGCCAATGTCAGGAGGGGGGATCTCCGCCGCCCTGGCGGTGTCATTTCCACACACTCCCTGGGCTGCCGCCAGCGCGGGCGCCTCGAAGAGCCGGCCTGGATCGCCCGGAGCTCGGGCTGGACCGCCCACACCGCGCGAGGAAGCCCCCGATGGCGTGGCCCGACCCCAGTCTGCCGGCCTGCCCGCCCTAGGCCTCTGCACCCAAGCCCCCTTCCCAGCGCTGGTGGATGTTGTCACCACAGGAGTTTAAGCTGGGCCGGGTATGGGGAGGGACGCTGTGTCGGGTGCGCCCTGCGCTTGCCCTGGTGGGGGCGCGGGGCTGTTTCCGGCGGGCGGAGGCGCCAGCAGGCCAACTTTGCCGCGGCCCAAACAGATGCTAATGATTTTCCGGGAGGCGCCGGTTATCTCTGGCCCCAGCCGGCCGGTGTGCTGGGACTGGGCTCCCGGCACAGACACCACCTCGCCCCCCACCCTCACCCTCCTGAGCCCCACCTAATAACCACTTGTCCCCGAGTGGACGGGTTGGGGGGGCGTCGGGGGGAGTCCGCAGGCTGCCCCGGGTGTCCTGGAACTGTTGCTGTGTGGGATTATTTGCGCCTCCTCCACCCAGGATGCTACCGTCTTTCTGAGCACTTCGCAAAGCCAAACACACACCCGAGCACGGGAAACTGAGGTTCATAGAAGCTCGGCCCAAGGTCATGCCGACCCATTCCCTGCTCAGCTGAGTGGGTCACCCTCTGAAAACCATCCCGTCGGAGGACCCGCAGCCCCCTGTCCCCTTCTCGCTCAGGGGCCTGAGCCAGTTTCCAGACTCCCCGGTTGGAAGTGCTGACGTGGCTCTGGGCAGCTGTCTGGGGCCGGGAAGCGGGGCAGATGTCACGCAGCCCAGGGGAGGAGGCGGCTCCGCGGGGAGGACAGGCTGGGCCTCAGGCCTGGCAAGACTGCCTCCTCCCCCTAGGGCCTGGCTCTGCCCGCCTGGGGCTGGGGCACAGCCATGGGCCAGGCTGACCTGCTTCCAAGTCTAGCTCCAGCTCTTCGGTGTGGCTACCCGCAAGTGCTAGAGCCTCTCTCAGCCCCTTTCTCTCCTGCTAGAGAATAACAGCACCTGCTTTGAGTGGGTGTGGTCCTCTAGTGAAAGAGGTGTGCAAAGCCCAGCCCAGTGCCGGGCACACTGTTCCTGCTCAATAAATATCAGCTGCTAATATTACTGTTGTTGTCTCTGCAAGTAGGAACTTGGTGTGTCTAAATGCAAAACTGAATCCTGAGGGTGCAAACCAGCTTCAGAGGTCGTTCCAGCCAGCCTCCTGCCTCACTGCCCCTGGCCCTCTGCATTTCTCATGCCTGTCTAGCTTTGTGCCTTCCTGCTGCACTGTCAGCCCCTCTTGGCTTTGCCTACTGCCAAGCTGACCCCTCCTCCGTCTCTAATCCATGTGGTTCCCTCCTATCTGGCGGCCACATTGGGTCCCTCGAGCAGCACAGCCCCCTGGGAACAGCAATCGATGGGGCGGAACAGCCTCCCTGACAGATGGACCCACGGAGGCTGGGCTGCTTCAGCAGAGCTCCCTAGGAAACCGGAGACAGGAGCCGAGCCACCATGGCTGCCTCCTAAATAGAAATGAAAGGCAGTGGGCAGATGAGGAGGAGGAGGAGGCCAGAGCTTCCAACCAGCCCCCTGGAGGGGCTGGAGAGCCCCTACCCTTTTCCATAGTCCTAAAATCCCCGTGTGGGGAGGGCTTTGTAGAGTATGCCTGGAGGTGGGACTTGTGAGCCCCTCTCCACACGCAGGTGAAGAGCTTTGCCAGGCCCTCCATCGTGGACACCTTTTCTAATAAGCCCAGAGGCTGGTGTGTGGGTAGGGGGTGCAGGCAGGCAGCTTACCACATTCCTAGGGCCACAAAGGGCCTTGGAAGTCAGAATGGCAGAAGGGCCTTCTCTGCCTGTGGGGGTGGGAGATGATGAGCCCTGGCCCCTGCATGTGTGGTGGGGGATGGAGAATGCCTCCTGCTACCTTCCATACTCCCAGATCAGTCAGGGAATTCCTTCCAGGGTTTAACCTGGGATTTCTCAACTTCACACTATTGACATTTTGGGCCATTTAATTCTTTATCTTTTGCATTGTAGGATGTCAGTAATGGTAGTGACAACCAAAAATGTCTCCAGACATTGCCAAACATTCCCTGGGAGGTTCTCTAGTTTAGAACCACTGGTCTAACCTCAGGACCAGTCCCCTGGAGGAAGTGGTGAGGACTCCCATGGGGATGCCAAAGATCTGCCATAGTAGGGGAGAGAGGCCTTCCAAAACAGCCTTGTCCCCTGCTGTCTCGGGCCCAGAAGGGTGGGAGATGCCCCCCCCCATCATGGTCCCAACTGCCAGGTTGGAGCAAACCATGCTTGCCTGAGATGGCAGGGCTGTTGGCGTCACTGCTCAGCTGCGCCAGGCCTGGTGCCAACACCTCACTGCTGAGGCTACGAGTCATGGGGGCGGGGGAGCAGACACGGTCAGTGGGCACTGGGCTGCCTAGGTGTCCTTCTATCTAGTCAGCTTGAGATAGGGTTAGCCAGCATGGATGACCAGCCTTTTCCCTTCCCGTGGCACCCTGGCAGTGTCTCTGCTGCCTCCCTCTAGGTCGGTTTTGGGCTGGTGTTGGGGCTGGCAGAGCTAGTGGGGGCTACTGCTACTGCCGAGTAAGAGAGAGGATTATGGACACAGGTCCTGCCGGCCCAACCAGCTGACAGCTGGGCCACCTGAGCACTGAGCAACTGTCCCCTCCAGGAAGGTGGGAGGGAGGAAGGCACTATGGGTTGGCTAAACGGTACAGAGTCCCCTAACTCACAGCCTTTAAACCAGGGGGTTGGGGAGGGGGCTCCCTCTGGAGACATTTTCTTCCTCTTCCTGCCCAGGAAGACAGGAGGGAAAGCACTCTAGTGCACAGTCTCACTGCCGGGAAGTTCCTATATCTGTCTAACCTACTTCTTTTCTTCCTATAGCATCAGCCCTATAATGGCCTGCAAGCTCTGACCCCAGCAGAAACTGGGCCCAGCATTGCAGGCTTTCTGGCCAGGGTGTGCCCTCATTCCTGGGGAAGATAACTCATCCATGGGAGAAATCTCAGTCAGAATACAGCTCGATGGATCCCTGTGTGTGGGGAGGAATGAGGGTGCCTCAGTGGACAGGGCTGGGGGATGGAGAGGAGCATTGGTGCCAGTTGACAGACTGCCCCAAGACACACTGAACCCAGCACCAGCCTAGGGGGTCCCAGGGCAGGGAGGAAGAAGTGACTGGGAGGTGGGCAGTGGCTTTGTAATCAGAGATGGCCTGGCGGGCTAAGGCGGCAGCTTGGGGCTGGGGTTTAAAATAGCGCCTTGGCCTGGCTAGGACCTGCCCGGGATCGGGTTCGGGTCACCCGCAAGGCAGTGTGGCCACCACCATCCGGCTCGGGTTTCTTGCCTTCCCAGATGATTTGGCGGTGGAGGAGGGGGCTCACCCAGGCAGATGGATCTAAGGAAAGGAATCCAGGTGTGGCCACTAGAGCCCCCACAGCAGGCCCTGGTCCATCTCTCTTTTTCCTGTGCCCTTCCCCCCGACATGGAACAGACTTGGTCCAGCCACATCCCGATGCCTTCCCTAAACATTTAGCACCAACTGGGACCAGGCCCTGGACAGCATGGAGATGGGTAAGGCCTTATCCCTCTCCTGAGCCCCAGGAGTGCACAGAGGGAGAGATCAGTATGCATTGTGATCCTGTCGCTCCCATGTTTCACTGATGTCCCAGACTGACTCTGAAAGTCCCTAGGCCTGAGGAAAAAAAACCCCTCCCAGGCTGCAGCAAGAGCGGAAGGTGGAGCCTCAGGTAAGCCTTCCACCTGAGAAAATGGCTGCAGTGGGGAGGGGAAGATGTCCTCAAAAGCTAGTGATCATCCTAGAACATTCCCTAGGATGGTCCACTCCCCTAGTGTTCCCTGGAGGGAGTGACCAAACAGAGTGATCTCCCCCATCCCTCACCCCTCCAGCAAAGATCTCAGGCATAGGTCTAAGAGTGTATTCTGGTAATTCTGTCTCCAAGTAGGGTGCCCACTTCCTCAGGCCAACTCAAGGAACAGGGAAAGGGATCAGGGGATATGAAGGGGGTGTCCCCTCTTTAGTATTTCAAGGGAAGTAGATAGTTACAGCCCTACCATTCCCCATTAGGCCATTTGAAAGGGAAAAAAGTTACTTCCAACAATAAACAGTTCCATCTAACCACAGCCCCACTGCTGCACTCTCCCTTGCTGTAGTCTCTGGGCCTCTGGACACAGTTGCAGTCTCTGGGCAGTGGCCTTTGGAGCCTGGCAGGTAGGGATTCTCTTCACTTTCTCCTCCTTCCCCTGGATTGAGGTGGGTGACACAGGAGGCCAGCCAGCTCAGGACCAGATCCCCTCTCTCTAGCTGGAGCAATAGCCAGCCCTCCTGACGGAGCTCACATATATCTAAAACATCGTCTTGTAGATCTTAATGATTTCTCAACAGCCCCTGATTGAAGCATGCCCAATTTAGCAATGCCGTAAGTAACTTTTTATATTTCCTTAGGGAATCATTTCACTTATGAATCTTTTCTGAATCTGCAATCTCGATTAAAAGTTGATGTTGTTTTTTCTCGTCTCCTCGGCTTCTGAGATGCCTCCCTAGTGAAAAGGGTGGTAGCACCATCAATCCTCCTCATTAGTCTGTCTGGAGAATTTTTCTTGAGGGTGGGGTGGGGGACAGCAACCAAGTCTCCTCTGTCGTGGCACCTAGCGGGGTGTGACCTGGGGGAGGGTTGCCCTCGGGGAGGGGCTCGGAGAGGTGGGGGGGGCATTGACCGTCTCCTGCCCACATACACTCCCCCATCTGCCCCCATCTCAGGGGCCCCTGACAGTGTTTCCGTGGGAGAGAGGGGTTGTCCAGCCCATTCTGCCTTTAGGGTGTGTCCTCACACCTGTAGCTTAGGAATTTGAGGAGAGGGCTGAACCCCATTCAAGGCTCAGCTTGATAGCACAAAACTGGACCAAATCCAAGCTCTTTCCTGTACAGCCGCCATAGCCTGGGTGAATCAGTCATTCCCCTCTCAGAGCCTCAGTTTACTTATTTGCAAAGTGGGAATGAGATTGCTAAACAGATGACCTAGCATGCTGGTGAAGGGATCACTTAACACAGTGCCTCTACAAAGGGTCCTGTCCCAATTCTGAACAGTATCTAGTTCTTTTCCTCATCTCATTCACCTTCTAGTCCTGGTGACGCCTTTGAGGTGGAGTGAGTGGGTCTGGCATAATTATCTCCAGGAGGAGAAAGGACTGGTGGGATTGGGACTTGCCCAGGGGTTGCCCCAGGAAGCCCACCCAGAGGCCTGCCTCTCCTGAGAGGCAAAGGGCAGGGATGCAAGACGGCTGGATGGCAGACGAGGATGAAAAGCTTCCGGATTCGAAGGAAGCAGCGTCCCCACAGAAAGCCCTCCTGCTCCCCTCCCTGTTGCTAGCTGGGGGAAGGACTTGCCCAGGTGCTGGGACGTCTGGCTCTGACCTCTAACCTTTGACTTCTGGGCTGGGATGGGCATTCTCAGGACCAGAGTCATGACTGGGGGTGGGGCCCAGGGCACCCAGCGGCGGCTGGGCTCTGGGAGTTAACGATTTACGAGGGGCCCTTTCTTGAGGCCTCCCTCCTCCCAGGCCTGGCAGGCAACCCGTGACTGCCCAGGCGGCTAGACACAGAACCAGTCTCACCAGTTCAAAGAGCAGTTCATCCCGGGCCCACCCCCAAGCACTGTCTGAGCACCCCATTCCTTGGAGTCTGAAGGGAAGGGCAGAGTAGGGGGTGGTAGCTGGGGTCTTGGGGCCCCAGGTCTGAAGAGAAAGAGGCTGGGCCATTTTCGGAAGTCTCAGTGCGGGCCATTTCTGACCCTGCACTGCCCTCCAGGACCAGATTTGTAGAGAGGAGGCTGAGCCCCACCCTGCCTCCTCCAGCAGGCCTCCCCCACACCACCACACCCTAGCCTTCAGGCTTTGGGTCGGGCAGGGCACTTTCAGGGCAGGCTGGCTTCTCCTGCCCAGGGCACCCCTCCTCCAGGTGCAGGGCTCCAGATTGGGACACTGTGCCTCTGCCTCCCCTAAGGCCCCATTCAGTTACCTCCCCACCTCTCAGCAATGCTCTCCCTCCCTCTTCCTGAAGTGTGGCAGGGAGGCTGGAGCCACAGCTTTGGCCTCTGGGAGCACTCAGTCCCACTCCCATAGGACAGAGTTGAACCATGATTGTGTCTAGAGAAGCCAAGGGTTATTGTCAGGGGCACAACAGCCCCCAAACTGTCCCTCTCCCCATCAATATCCCATATACAGGCTGAGTTCCCTGTGCCTCACTGAGAACAGGGCTGTATCTGGTTGTCTATGGCGTGTATGTAGCTGTGCCTGGGCAATGGGAAATATAGCTTGCTTCCTGCTTTCTCTCAGCCTCTGTCCCCAGAGTCATTTTGTTCTGGGACTGGAGTCTTCCTTCTGTCCTCATCCCTTCCCCTCTGTTTACACAGGTCAAGGCCAGGCATTGGCCACCAAACTGACTTCTCAGGAATGGGCAAGCCTGGGTTACTTGAGAGACTTGGCTTTTTGAATTTTCATTTCACAGCTCTCTGCTCCTTCAGACGTCATGGGGGTGGGGTGGGGAGGACCTAAAGTCCAGTGGTCAGTGCGTGAGGGCCCAGACCCAAAGGCCCGGGGCCACAGTCTGGTGCGGTTAGGCTCCTCCCTGCCTCTGCCCGTGTTTGCACCCCCAGGCCTGCCCTGGGATTTTGGCTGAGGTCACAGTCCAGCATGACCCCACTGAACACTATCCTGTGCCCTGCCCCAGCAGGCAGGGTTTCAAATGCCTTTGCTCCCATCCTTTGTGATACAGGTGACAGAACTGGGGCCCAAAGAAGGGTAAACCTTAGACTGAGTTCCAAATTGGCCATCTTTATTGGAGATCCTAACTCCCACACTCCTCTCCATGTGGCCATTTCCAGTCACTGGATGTTTAATCAATGACAGATATTAGCAGATAAATGGCAGTCATGGAAAATGCCTCAGACAAGGCATGGATTGAAATCCTGGTTTTGCTACTTTGTAACCTCACACAGGTGTCCAAGCCTGTGGATTTAATAAGCCTATGTTCAAAAAGCAATTAGCATGGTCCCTGACAAGCAAGAGCTCAGAAAGATTCTGGCTACAATTGTTATTACTGGTACCTCTTTGGAGGCCAAGCTTCGGGCCCAAGGCAGGTAGGGGACTCCTCCTTACCTTCAAAGAATTTTCATGGCGGGAGGTGGTGGCGAGGGGACAAGTAGTGAGATGAGCAAATAAAAGCTATTTCTGTGCATTGTGGTCACTGTGGCCATAGGAGGGGTCCCAAAGCCAGATGAAGGACCCAAAGCCAGGCCACAGAGTACATCTGTCCTGTGCATGCACTGCAAAAAGGCACCTAGCAAAGGGAGCTAGGAAGCTGAAAGGCAGTCTGTGACCTCCTTCATGGTTTCCTGTATCTGCCAAAAGTGGGTACCTTTTTCTGATTTGCACAAAGGCTAGTGGTGGCCCTGTAGGTATGGCCCAAACTCAGGCTGGAAGTGGCAGTCTGAGATGGTTCCCAGGTGATATGTGCTCCTGGTCTTCCATGAGGAGTTCATGAGGTGAGCTTGATGAGGCCTATCTTGGCAGAGGGAATGGTACATGCAAAGCTCTGGAAATCTGGAGAGGAGTCTTGGGGTGTCAGAGGGAACTGCCAGTGTTAGATGGCATTGGTCAGCAGGGCCTGGCAGGGAAGAGAGTCAGTTAGGGAAGCCAGGCTGAGTAGGGTAGTCTGTGAGGAACCACTGCAGGATGTGAAGCAGATGAGCCTCACTGGAGGCTGTGGAAAGCCTCCCTAGAATAGCACATGGCCTCAGGGGTTTGAGAACAGCTCTGATGCCAATCTCATTTCAGTTTCCTCATCTGAATAATGGGGATGACATTATTGCAGGGGCTGCTATAAGGGCTAAATAAGATAATGTACCTTAACTGTTTAGCACAATGCCCTGCTCAGGGTAAGGGCTGCACAAATACCAGCCATGGGTATTATCAGCAGGATCCAGGAGAGCACACTCCAGGGTCCCGGGTGGACGCACCCCTCCCTAGAAGACAAGGCTGGTGATGCAGGGGCCATCTCCCCCAGCGGTGCTGGAGACTGAAGGAGCTTCTTCCTGACTTGAAGGCTGATTGGTTCAAAAAACTCAGCAAAAAGTTTAATAGCAAGGTGAGACTTCAATTCTCCTTTTTGAGGTAGGCAGAGGTGGGAGAATAGTGAACCAAGCTTCCCTTCTTCTTGGGGAAGGGGGCTGTGGTGGGGACAGTCTCACCCAAGGGCAGAGATCCTCACCCCATCCTTCCTGGATGTCCCCCGCTTGTCTCATTGGCATCTGTGGTGGAGAGTTCTTTGTGGATGGCTTGCACATGACATTTTCTGTTTCTGTAACACTTTCTGTGTGGACAATTCTGTCCTTTTCCTCTGTGGCTCCCATATGGGTTGGATAGGTGACAGTCTAGGTCTCCCTCCCAAGGTGTTAATTTCCAGCAAGGGAAAACTCCAAGATCCACCCCCTAAACTGGGCCAGACAAGTCAACACCCCTTCCCTGAGGAAGCCATCACCACTGGGACCACCTGGCCTTCCTCCATTGCAGCCTGTGGATCCCTGGCCTCCCGCCTGAGTTGGGGGTGGGGGTGGAGGCATAAGTCTGAAAAAAAAGTGGGTAATAGTCAGCAGTTCCCTAAAGTAGAATTACTACCCACCCTCTGCCATGGACCCCAGCATAAAGCTTTTTGTGGGGCGTGCATGACCTGACTCTGTACTGGCGTTAGGCTTCAGGAGATCTGTGGAATAGAGTTTGACTTCATGGATCCTAACCCTCTGAGACCTGCTGCTGACTCCCAGGGAGCAGGTCCTCCCTCACAGTCTGTGCCTCAGCTTCCCCAGAAAAGGTAGATGGAGGTGAGTTAAATGCTTGGAGATCCTACACCTGGGCTTTTGCTTCCTTTTTCCTTGCACGGTCAGTGCCCAACACAGTGCCTGACATTCACACTGAGGCCCAGCATACCTATCTTTAAGCAGTTTGGAAGTGATCTTCTGGGGGTGATGGGCGTCTTAAAACGGTTTCCATAGCAAGCACCTTACTTTTACTCACATGGGATGTTTGTTTGGAGGGGGGCATTAAAAGGACTGCTGGCAAGGAGGAGAGAGACTAAACGCCTCCCCAAGGGAGCCATTTCTTGGCATAGTAGTTAAGGGAGACCACTTCTCAGCATTCGGAAGGAACTGGTTGGGAGCAGGTGTCCACGATGTCTGGGGAGGGGTCACTTCGTGTGGTCTTGGATATCAGGAGTGGCAGAGAGGCAACACATTCCAGATGAGCTCTGCCCTTTGACACCTCCCCCCACCCCACCCCGGCTGGGTCAAGGCCCCAAGGCCACATATAGAAGGCGTGGAAGGTGGGCACCAGCTGCTGCTGCCAGGAGATCCATGCTCCATAAGCCCTCGCGCCAGCCTCGGAGACAGCCAGGCTGCGCAGAGCAGAGGAGAGGAAGCAGCGAGGTGGGAGACAGTTTCGCTTCTCCCACCGAGGCCGCGCCTGTGGCTGCAGGCGCCCGGATCGCCACAGTTAACTCCCTGTTATCTGGGCCCCAATCGATCTCAGGCTGTAACGTTTAACCCTAGGCTGACTTCCCCAACCGCCCTCCCCCTCTCCCTCCCCTGCTTGGGTCTGGGGACTGCGTTTTCTTCGCCTCGCAGAGGAAGGTCGGCCTTGCACAAATCCGCCCCCACGAATCCCAAAGAATTGGAGAAAACTTCCACTTTGGGATTATATGCAGTTGGGATTATATGAGCCCGGGGCTTGCACCATGGGTACGTGAGGTGAAGACATCTGCAGCAGCAGGATTAATTAGCCTAAGATGGGCATATGGAGGCCACTGATGGAGTGAAAGCGGGATATGCGGGCCCAACTCTGTCCCCACTGGGCGCCTACTCTGGCAAGGCTGAGTTTTCCTTCTGTCTTTCAATCAGTACCTATTGAGCGCTGCTGTTCCAAGCATTGTTTCGGGTTTTGAGTGCGTAGGCCATGGTCTCAGGGCACCAAATGTACGTAGTCGTTTTAGCCCCGGGACTCAAGAGTTGAGGCTGATGCCTGCCTGAGAGATAAAATATCCTTTCTCGGATCAGTTTCCTCACCTGAGAAATGGGAACGGGAATCTCCGCCCCTTTTCTCCCGGGGCCCTAGTGCCCACTGAATCCATTAAGGAGCTCTTGGAAGGGTGGGGTCTTGGAACACGCGTCTACCTCCCAGGACCCTCGACTAGGAATCTCTGGCCCGCCGCGCACCTGAGCTGGGGGGCGCGGCCAAATTCTCCCTCCCGGTCCTCGAAGCTTCTGGCCCCGCTCTAGAGGGGGCAGAAAGATAGCAGATTTCCCCGGAGGTGCGTCTCTAAACCCAGACCGCCTCACCAAAGCGGGGAGGTCGTCCTTTTTTTTTTTTTTTTGTAAAGTTGCGGGAAATAGGCGAAGACGGGGCGCGCAAGGGAGCTGAGCCTGGGTGGACCGCGTCAGGGCGCGGGGAGCTCGAGGCGCAGCGGCTGCAGCTCCGGCCTCAGAGCCCGCGGCGTCCAAGTGGCCCGAGCTGCGCTGGGAGGGAGGCGGCGGGAGGAGGGAGGGGAGCCGAGGTGGAGGGGGTTGGGGGGAGGAGGGAGCGGCGAGTCCGGTCCGGGTTTTGCCGGCAGCCCCCGGGCAGCGTTCATAGCTCCTGCCCGGGCGGGCGCGCGGCGGCGGCGGCAGAGGCGGCTGAGCCTGAGCGGGGATGTAGAGGCGGCGGCAGCAGAGGCGGCACTGGCGGCAAGAGCAGACGCCCGAGCCGAGCGAGAAGAGCGGCAGAGCCTTATCCCCTGAAGCCGGGCCCCGCGTCCCAGCCCTGCCCAGCCCGCGCCCAGCCATGCGCGCCGCCTGCTGAGTCCGGGCGCCGCACGCTGAGCCCTCCGCCCGCGAGCCGCGCTCAGCTCGGGGGTGATTAGTTGCTTTTTGTTGTTTTTTAATTTGGGCCGCGGGGAGGGGGAGGAGGGGCAGGTGCTGCAGGCTCCCCCCCCTCCCCGCCTCGGGCCAGCCGCGGCGGCGCGACTCGGGCTCCGGACCCGGGCACTGCTGGCGGCTGGAGCGGAGCGCACCGCGGCGGTGGTGCCCAGAGCGGAGCGCAGCTCCCTGCCCCGCCCCTCCCCCTCGGCCTCGCGGCGACGGCGGCGGTGGCGGCTTGGACGACTCGGAGAGCCGGTAGGTGTCGGGCCACGGCCCTCCCTCGACCCCCCCCGGAGGCCGGCCCCCTCCCCTTCCCCGCCTACCTCCCTCTCCTCCCCCGGGGTTCGGTGCGCGGCCGGGGCCGGAGTTCGCTGCAAGTCGGCGGAAAGTTTGGCTGCGCGGGTTCCCCCGAAGTTCAGGTGCGGAGAGCCGGGGACGGGGAAGGAGGGGTCCGTATTTGGGAGGGGCGGGGGGCGCCCGCACCGTAAGCCGCGGAGCCCCGGAGCCTGGGAGACCTAGCGCCGGTGATCGCTTGGTGGCCGCTGCTATACCCAAGCCTCCCTAAGCCGCAGTATGCTCGGTCGCAGATCACTGAGTTCAGACAAAAAGAGGGGTTTTAGGGTCTGGGACGGCGGCTTGGGCGCCGTGGAGTGGGGCTGGGACGCTCCTTGCGGGGTGCCGCCCCCCTCCCCCCCACTACTCCAGTTCGCGGGCGCTGGGGCAGCGGGCGCCCGGGGTCCTCACCTCTTGGCGTTGGGCGGGCGCTCAGCCTGCGGGGGCGGCTGCTTGTAGATCTCTGGCGCGCACTCCCCCCATCAGACCCCGCTCGCAGCCCTGTGTTGAGGGGCGACGTTAACTGCTCTGGGCGCCCTCGACCACGCGTGGCTGAGCCTCCCCCACCACTTGGAAGAAGCGGCGGCTACTTCTGCATTTTTCCTCCGGCTCCTCGCCCCCGCTGCCCGCGGGGTGCCCGGCGGGCTGATGAAGTTTGACCTTTTTTTTCCATCAAAGTATCTCCCCCACCACCACGGTGCCCCGCGGCCCCTCCCTCCCTCCTTTCCCAGCCTTGGGGAGTCTTTTGAGCTGTCTCCCGAGCCCCGCGTGGGCCACGCAGCGTGCAGAGCCTGGGAGGGAGAATGGGGGTGTTCCTCTAGCTGCGGAACTGTGGGGGGCGTACGTCCCCGGCGCCTGCCACGCTGCACTGGCCCCAAATTTACCCATGAAGTTCGGCCCGACCCCCCTCCCCTTCGCTTCCCCGGAGCGGAGTGAGGGGCTGAACCGCCGCGAGAGGAATGTGTTAATTTTCTGGCTGGGGGAAGTTGTCCTCGCCCGGAATGGGCTGCTTTCCGGCGGGGAGCGCGGGGTGCGCCTGGCTTTGTTTATTTGTAGGATCGACGGAAAGCGAGTGACCCCGGTTTTTAAATGGGGGGCCACCTTCGGGACCTGTCAGAAGAGCTGAAACGCCCAAAGTGGGAGCAAGATCTCTTTTTGTTCTTTTTTCCCCCCCGGGAATCTGAAGGGGTGCGCGGAGTTGGGCTGGTGCCTCGGGCTGCAAGGAAGCACCAGTAAATTTGGGGGGTTCTGTAGTGACTCATTCGGAAAGACCCGCTCCCTGAAGTCTCCCGCGACGGGGGTCTGAAGGTTTGGCAACCGCGCCCTCCTTTGCCCCCTGGACTTTGGGTGGTCTGAGAGTCGCGCCTTCGGATGGGGGGGGAGCTAAGGGGGTGACCAGCGGACCAGACTCCTGACCCCCACCTTTCCTCGCGCGGCGGGCGCTGTTTGGAGCCCTTGGATTTGTGGTGGGCCCTGTCCCCCCCACCCCCGCATTTTCTTTGGAAGCGTTGGGGAGGGGGCGTGTGTGAGATCGCTCGGCCCTCGCCCCCGCCGGAGCCGCCCCAGGGCCGCCGGCAAACAGAGTCCCTTTCAAGTTTTCCGCTGGGGCCGCCTGGCGGGGGCTGCGAGCGCGGTCGCTGCGGACTTGTTTGGAGCGCGATTTGAACGCCCGGCTCCACCTCAGCTGCCCCAGGCCGCGGGGTGGGGGGCGTCTGTCCTTTGCAGTTGGGAGTATTTAAATTAGACGTCTTGGGGGACCTACTGGCCTAAGCTTCACCTGATCCCCCTCCTGAAAGATGCCCGTGCCTTGGTTTCCAACCGCCACTAGAAAACCGGGAACTGAGACCGAAGCCCCCTCTAAACCCCTTTCTGAGAGCCGTGCGGGGAAACTCAGGCCGGCGGGCTACCTACCCGTAACTGCGTATTGTTGATTTAGCAGTTTCCCTAGATGAGAGTCAGGCTGGAGCTTGGGGGGGTGGGGAGTGGCCCGCTCTGCAGCTGTCACCCCCCTCCCAGAACGGAAATTGTCCTCTCCTTGGGGAGGAGGGAGAGGGGGTGATGGTTTGATTTTTGCCCTGGGAAGAGATGGGAACAGCTGAAGGAGATTGGCCTCCGAGTTCCCAGCCAGCCCCCGGAACTTGGGTAGAACCCCCCTACCCCTCATCCTCGCAGTAGCTGGGTCTCTCCCAGGGACGCCCCTAGTCAGCCTTGGCCTCCCTCTCCATGCCACCTCCCTTTCCAAGGTGAGCCTCTGCAGAAGACAGACCCTTGGCTGGCTGGCTGTCGGGTTGGTGCCTTATTTATGTGTGTATCTGGTCCTGGCCGTTTTCCCCGCTCAGCAGGTGACCCTGGCCAGGGCCTCCTATCTCTCCCGCGACAGAGCCTGTTGACTTACCCGAGGGCCAGTGGCCTCGTCTTTATCACGTGAGGCCTGGAATGTCCACCCAGCTGGGCTAGGCTGGGCTGGGCTGGGCTGGGGTGGGTGGGGGAAGGGGAGGGGAGGATTCTGCATCCAGGGCACCGGCCAGCACAGGCCCATGTTCCATGGGTTCCCACTGTGACCCTCAACTCTTGCTGCCCCTTTCCTGCTCTGCCTGCCTCCTACTCATTTGGCACATGTGAAACTGAGACCCATAGGAGTGTGGGGGCAGGCTTGTATCTGGGTGAAGAAACAAGTCCAGGGGAATGAAATACCCTGCCTTCTTCAGGACTGACTGCACCTTGTTGTTTATGGGAGGATGGAGTGGAGGGAGTCTTGCTAGGAGGGAGAGAGGGATGTGGGCTGGGCTGACTTTCCAGGTTGCAGGATAGGGTGGAGGAATGAGGGAATACGGGTGAGCCAGACCCAAGCCTGGGTTCCTAGAGCCCCTGTCTGGTGGCTTGATCATTTAGTCCGAATTAACAAGCATGATGCTCTGGGGCATGCCCTAATTGAACAAGAATGGGGGGGTTCACACATTGTTATTACGTTACTATTGCCCACTCTTTATATGTTATTCATTTGTTGGCCCAATATGTTTGTATTGAGCACCTACTGTGTATCAAACCCCACCCTTCTGGTGGTACACAAATGAATCACTGCTCCAGCTCTGGAGGCAGGCCCAGGATAGAAGCTCCGCCCCGTTTCCCCGCCCCCTGGGGCCCTGATTGGGGCTTTCCCTCTTTTCTTTTTTCTGGGGCTCTCCCTCTCTTACCCCCACCACCTGGTCCCATCCTAGCCGCCGGCGCGCGCGCGCGCGCGCGCGCGCGTGTGTGTGTGTGTGTGTGTGTGTGGCTGTGTATGTGTGTGTGAAGTGTCCTTGATTAAGTGTATTAATAGTTAAACTCTCACTCATAGCTGGAACTCACCAGACCACAAAAAGCCTCCCCCGTTACTCACGCGCTACTGCCCAACAAGAATATCCCACTAAAGTTTTTTTCTGCTTTCTCTTACTTCCCCCTCACCTCCCCCCAACGCTGAGCCCACCCTTCCTGGATTCGAGCAATGAGAAAGGACTGCCCCCTAAAGACCCAGGAATCTCCAACCCTCCACCTGCCCCCTAAAGCCAGAGGCAGTGTCAGCTGACAGAGATGAGGCTGTGTGGGCACTAGTCTGTTGTTCTGGGATGTGGGAATCTGGGTGATGTGTGCTTATGACTCAGGACATGTGTGTCTCTAAGTAGTGTATCTATATCTGTGAATCTCTGTGTTGAATGTCTGTCTCAGGGTGTGGGAGTCTGAACATACATGGATTTATGAATCAGGGCATGTATATTTGTCCTGATCTAGAAGTGTGTGGATCTGTAGTGTATGTGTACATGTGTGTTTGTGAATCTGAGATTGTATTTCTGAAGATTGGCTATGTCCCTGTGAATCTGGGAATGAATATATTCTGTGAGCTGTGTGTGCTTGGAATTTTGGAGAGTTTGGATTTGTGATTTGTGTGTATCTGTGTGCTTTGTATATGCTTATAAATCTGGGGGATCTGACTCTGAGTAGAGTGTGTCTGAATTGTGAATGTGGGAGTGGGCCTGTCTGTGCTGTATGGACAGTGGTTTCTCTCTGTCTGTGGTGGCGGCTGGCTATGTTTTCCTTTCTCTTTCTGTATCTCCGTCTTACTGAATCTCCCCCTCTGGTTGTTTGAGGCCCTGAATGTGTGTGTAGCATGGAGTGTGTGTGTGTAGAACTGAACCTCTCACACCCAGTCCTTCCCCCTGCAACCCCTACACCCCTTCCCTCCCCAGCAGTAACTGGGCAGCCTCCCCGTCTGCCTGCCTGCTGGGAGTTTTGGAAGCCGCAGAGGGAGACAGGCTGGGGCTGGGGTGACAGCGTGTATCCACGGCAATGGTAGCATGTGATTACGGGAATAAAAGGATTTTAAGGTCATGGGTGGGTTTTCTGGAGGGAGGGGGTTGTGCCCCCACAACCCACCATTTGGTGGAGCCAGTGGCAGCAAAGGGCCAGCCTGTGTGTCTCCATGCTGGGAAGCCTGCCCCTATGCAGGTGAATGTGGATATGTGGGGCTTACCTGGGAGTGTGAGCACATGCTTGCACATGTATGAACGGAGCCTGTGAGAGCATGTGTGTCTGGCTGCCAGATCCCCAGATGAGAGTCCATAGGCTTGTTCCCTGGGGGAGGATTCCCAGGAAAACTTCTTGCTTCTGGGTATTACATGGAGCTGGAACCCCACAGTCCTCTGTATGTTGAGAAGCAGTCTGGTCCCAACCTTTCCCTGTACCCATACTCCCAACCCCAAGTCTAGTGTCTCTGGCCAGAGACTGACTGGGCCAAGTCACCTGGGCCAGGCCACATCTTGGGGTGTCAGTGCCCTGGCCCCGCTCCAGCCCCTGTAATTGCATTCTGCCGCCTAATCCCCCGCCAGCTCAATTAGATCGCAAATTCTTCTTCATTTCCTGCCTCTGATGCTGGCCTCCCTCTGGGCTCACAGGGCCTAGGAGGGAGGGAGGGGATCCTGCCCCGCCTTCCACAGCACTAGGGGCTCTAGAGAGGTGATTAGTTCCAGGCACACTGGCCCCAGAGCACAGGTTAGAACCCTGGGGACCAACAAGACAGGGCTCCACTGGCCCTTTTTGGGTCAGCCTCAGTATCCTCACACTAGGGCAGGGCTGGTGTTACCTGGTATGGGGGCTCTGGGTAGACCAAGCAGATCACTCTAGCCAGGACCCTAGCTTGTACCCTCACCTGGGGCTCCTACAGGCTCTGCCCCTCTCCCATCCTCAAAGCAGTTGCCATCTCCCCAACCCCCCACGGCAGTTGTGACCTTGTTTTTGACCTTTTCTGGGTGTCCCTTGTCAGAGCCAATTGAACCACTGAGCTCCACTGCTACCGGCTCCTCCTAACCTCCACCCAGACAAGTGTGTATGAGCAGTGGCTCTAGAGTCCATCAGATCTGACTCCAAATCCTGGACATGTCACTGCCTAGCTGGATGTGTGACATTTGGGCCAGTTGTGTTATCTCTACAAACCTCAGTTTCCTAATCTCTGAAATTGGACGGTAAGAGAATGCCTGCCTCACAAGGTCATTTTCAGATGGACACAGATGGTTGCATAGTGCCTGGCAGGGAGAGGTGCTCACCTACAATCTGTATTCAGTAAACACTGGCTTTTATAGAGACAAGGAATGCATGTCCCCCGTGAATCCTAAGAAAATAACATGTGGCTCACACCTCGCACTTCTGTCTCCATTCAGCTGATTACCAGGTGTGTGACCGTGGGTGCATCACTTTGTCTGACTTTCTCTTCCTCATCTGTAAAATGGGACTGATAATAGGACAGACCCCATGGGGCACATGGTAGCCTTCTCTGAGATGATGTGTGCAGATGCTTGGCCTCAGTATGTTTTCAAGGTGTTACTTGCCTTCTTTCTTTCCTCACCCCAAGCCTAGGGTGGGGTAGAGCTGGTGAAGACACAGGCTCAGGGACAAGGGGACTGACCCAGGTGGTGAAGCTAGTAATGGGGCCAGGCTGGGGTAGCGTGGGAGGGCTGGGGGGTGACCTGCTGGCTCAGCTGAGCTGTGAGGCCCAGCCGTCCCTCCCCACAGGTCTCTGTGGAAAGTGGTGGCTTGGCTGATTTTTCCTGGGAAGGAGAAGCTGGATGTCTCCCGCTCCTTCCCCAGGAGGTGCCGTGGCAGCGGCTGTGTTGACAGGCCTCCTGGCTTTCTTGATAGGGTGGCTGGCAGCTCTGGAAGGCCGGCTGTACCCAGATCAGCCCTAGGGAAGAGGGAACTGCAGAGGTCTCCCTGCCATCACTAATCCCCGAGGCCCATCCCACCCTCAGCCTGTCCCTCCATCGCAGGAGGAGAGCTGGGGAGACTGGCTGTGATGGAGGTGGTGGAGAGACAGGCCAGAGGTGGGGCAGCCCTCCGCCTCAGGGTTCCCCATTGCTCCCTGGCTAGTCTCCTGCTTCCTATGACCTTTGTCACTCACTGGCCTAGCTCTTCAATATTTCATGGCCCTTCAAGCCGGCCCCCTACCCCAGCCCACACAGCCCCCTTTGTCTCTGCCTGCCACCCCCCGCCGCCCCCCTGGGCATCCCTGCCGCTGAATTACTGACCCAGAGGCTGCCTCTGCCTTCTCCTAACTGTCCCCCACTGTGCCTGCCCCTGACACTTTCCCTATCCCTCCTGACCTACCTCCCCACACCTCTCCTTGTGACACCCTTCATCTCTTCGGGATTCTCTCCCCTTCGCTGACATCTCTGACCATCTCCCTGCCCTTTTCCTCCATTTCCCTCTTTTGTTGGCCTCCTCCTTCCCAGTGGAACAGAAACCGCGGCAACTGGTCCGCCTGCCTGTCCACCCCCCAACCACTGTCCACCCCTTCCTGCCCCCTCCCCCACCAGCTGTGCCGGCCGGCCGTGAGAGCTGGTTTTATTTATTTTTCTGTTTGTTTGGGAAGAGGGCAGTGGCGGCTCTGGGCCCTGGCTGCTGCGCTCTGCTTAGAGCAGCGGGCAGGCGGGCCTCACTGGCCTCCCAGGAATGTGGCTGGGACGCCCCAGCTATATTTACTCCCCTCCAGCTGCCGGCCCCAGCAGGGCAGAGCCAGGCCTGCCTGGTGGCCCCCGGGGAGCCCTGTACCCGCCCTCCTCTGTCTGGCAGACCCTACATCGCCCTTGGGCCCAGCACTCCCTCCCTTGCCTGTGACCTTTTCTGACCTCCTCAGACGTGCCCAGCCTGCCAGCAGGAACACTTGTGTGCCATGCCAGTACGGGCGTAATGTTCGGGCACTGGGGGCCTGGGTTCCTGTGGGGCAACCCCTAGCGGCCCCTACACACCCAAGTAGGGGCCTAGGCTGGGCCTGTAATCCGATGGCCAGAACTATGCAAAGCATCTTTCCAGGCCTTTCTCTGTGGGCCTGGCCCCTGCTCTTGCCACAGTCCCCTTGGCTCTGCTGTGATCACTGGCAGGGGTGGTGTCAGGTGGGGGCCTCAGTGGGCTTGAGTGGCTGTGCTCCTGGCATCACTGGATCCCCAGGTCTCTCACACAGGCACACATATGTACGTGTAACACACCTAAGTGCTTACATACACACACATGTGTGCAGAAAGACACCCTCACCCATGAAAACATGCTGGCTTATACCTTCCTTGCAGGCAGGGCCGTGCCTCCTGTCATTGATCCCCTCATTCATCAGATGCTTATTGGGGCTGCTTATTGGGCCTGCTCCTTGCCAGCCTTGCAATGGGATATGGCAGTGATTACTTCTTGTACCCCCAGTGCCTGGCACCAAATAAGTGTTTGAAGAACTTTAGCTGCTGCTGTAATCAGTTGCGGCCCCCGTTAACTGCTATTTTGTTTTTGTTTTTGTTTTTGTTTTTTTGAGATGGAGTCTCACTCTGTCACCCAGGCTGGAGTGCAATGGCGCCATCTTGACTCACTGCAACCCCCACCTCCTGGGTTCAAGCAGTTCTCCTGCCTCAGCCTCCCGAGTAGCTGGGATTACAGGTGTGCGCCACCATGCCTGGCTAATTTTTGTATTTTTAGTAGACATGGGGTTTCTCCATGTTGGCCAGGCTGGTCTCGAACTCCTGACCTCAAGTGATTCACCTGCCTCGGCCTCCCGAAGTGCTGGGATTACAGGCGTGAGCCACCACCCCCGGCCAACTGCTATTGTTGTAATAGATTGTAACAAAGCCAGTGGTAATGGGTAGCCCAACGAAAGTCCTCTCTGTGGCAGGCACCATGTTAACAGCTTTCTGACTTTCACTTTTTTTCATCCCCACAGTAGCCTCAGGTGACATGGGCCCATACCTGGGACAGATGCATGTTGTTAGCATCCCCATATACAGATAAGGAAACTGAGGCCTTGGGAGTTTGTGGCTTGCCACTGCCTAGTGGGATGGAGTCCTGGCAGAGCCCTTGACAGGCTGTTGGCCTCTGTGTGCTGTTTCCTGCACCTTCCACACTATCTGGCACACAGAAGGGACTCCTTAAATGCTTGCTGGGCACAGGCCTTGCTCTTTCCTCTTTGAGGCCCCCATAACCCTTGGCAATGGGCTGGATGTGTTGGGAGATGGGCTGATAGGCTAGTTGGGCAGACAAAAGTGAATGAATGAATGACTGGATGACTGGTGGTGAGGATAAGTACTGTCAGGGGACACTGGGGTAGGGGGTTGCTGGTGAACAGGCTGGCAGGTGGAGACCTACTGGCCCTGTGGAGGATTCTGGGAAGCAAGGTAGGGGCAAGGCGGAGAGATGTGGCCAGAGAGCAATAGGCTGCTAAGCCAAGCCAGTGGGGCGGGTCCTATCTTCTTTGAGGACCACAATTTTTCCATCTGTCAGATGGGCTTGGGAGCCTTTGTCCTGGCTGGCTGCCGGCTGGCCTGGGCTGGGACTGGCCTGGGAGGTGAGGGGACTGTGGCGGGAAGGAGGAAGCAGTGGGTGGTGAAGACAGGAAGATAAAGCGTGGAGCTTGGCTTGGAACCTGAGAAGCAGAGACCAGCCCTGACCTGACGCCCGCCCTCCCTCCCTCCTAGCCGCAGGATGGGGTGCAGGCATGCAAACCCCCCACCACCCACTCTCACTCTGGTGCGGGCTGACTTCCTGACATCTGTGGCATTAGTGGCTGTGTGTGCCAGGAGGAGGTGGCCTGTCCCCTAGGACTAGACCAGCTTCTCTCCAGGCCAGGGGCTCCCGACAGCTTCATGCCAGTTCCTGTTGACTCTGATGGGAGAGACCCAGCCCCTCTCCTGCCTGACCCACCTCCCCCAGAACTAGATGGGAAATTAGTTAACTGGGCTCATAGCAGTAGGCAGAAGTGGACCTGGCCCCCTTTCTTCCTGGGGCGGTCAGATCTTGGTGGCCTAGAATTTCTTAGTCATGGGAGTCTAGAATCATAGATAGAATGCTTGGAATGGAGGCATTTTTCAAGTCAGGATTCTCGTTGGGATTCTGGAATCACAGAACCATGGATTTTGCTGCTAGAAGGAAGTGTAAATGGTCATGTTTCAGTCTCCTTGTTTGATGCTAGGGGACACTGAAGCTCTAGGGGTCAGGCTGCCCTGAGGTCACAGGGCCTCTTGTCCTCAGGTGACATGAGCCCATACCTGGGACAGAAATACCTGTTCTGCCCCTAGCCAGCCCCTCTCTGGAGCTCTAGCCGGTGTGGAGAGTGGGCTGTGGGCCCAGTCAGGCAGTGGGGGGATGCGGCTGGCCCACAGGCACAGGAGGGGTCCTCTTGGCGGTGCCCGCCCGCCCGCTGCCCACGCTTCCCGAGGCACCAGCGTGAGGAGGAAATGCAGGCTGTTGCTTCCAGCAACAGCCGGCAGGGCCGGGCGGCTTCCCAGCTCCCCCTCTGACTCATGGCCGCCTGCAGCTCCCCCTCCCTTGGGGTCCTCAGCAGCCCCATCTGTGCAATGGGGAGAGGAGGCTTTTTTCAAGGTCTAACATCACCCTGACAATACCTTGGGATTCTTTTCAAGACCACTGTTGAACTGTAGGAGAGTTAGGAGTGTCATCTAGAGCAGCCTAGCTGGGCGTTTGAACCCAGAACACTGAGAGATTCTGTTTGGAGTCATCCTAATGCCTCCAGAAGCCTGGGAGGGCTCAATTGACTCCTGAGGCAGAAAGTGTGGTGGGAGGCAAAGGAATAGTGAAGGGACCTGCAGTCAACCCCTTTCAGGAAGAGCACAGTGGGGGATGCGTGGCTCTCTGGGCTCTCCCTGACCTTGGTTTGCCCATCTGCAGAATGGAGGTGGTTACCCATGAGGTCATTCATTCAGTGTCTGTGCTGTGCCTGGATGCTGGGGCTAGTGGCAGATCGGCTGGGAGGGGAGGATTCCTCTGCTGCAGACGGGTAGGGGTGTGACTTGGTGACTCCCGGGGAAGGACTGAGGTGGGGGGAGGTAAGGAGCCGGCCAGTGAGGCGCGGTGTCCAGCGGAAAATCCCAGCTGTTGTCAGGAAGTGTTTCCTCCACTGGTCTCCTGGGAGGGAGACAGGCTAGCAGGAAGGAGGGCAATGGGGGCAAATAAGGCCCCCAGCCAGTCCAAGTGGAGACATCCCAAGCCTGGCAGCTGGGCGGGTGTGCCCCGCACACTGCAGGAGGGCTGGAATGCACCCCCCATGCTCTGAGGCTGGGCCTATGCTGGGGGGCTGGGACTGCCAAGAGGGGCTGGGCCCTCATCCAGATTTCAAAGCCTTCCCCAGGGGCCTTGTGGTGCCCTCCACCCTGTCCTGAGCTGCCGCTGCGGGGGTGGCAGATGCTGTTTCATCGGTCGAGGCAAGTGGGAGCCCTCCGGAAGGTCCTCCTGGGAGGTTCCGGGGGGCAGCAGGGGTGTCCGGGGGCAGTGGGGGTGTCGGCAGCTGCTGCCCCGCCTGGGCTGGCTCTCAGTGGCCTCCCAGGTCCTTTAGGCCCCGGGGCCTGGAGGTGGTGCTTCTGCATTGAGGCTGGTCCCTCCTGCCCTTGCTTTCTCCCACTGCCCACCGAGCTTCTTGGTTGGCTCTGGCCCCCTCCATCCCTGGCTGTGTCTGCAAAGCCCCCCGGGAAGGCAGGGAGGAGGCGCAGCAGGCTCAGAACAGCGGGTGCCCGCGCAGCCAAGTATTTGCTCGAGCTGTCAGAGACAGACAGGCATGTGGGGAATTTGGTGCGTGTGGGGCTGGGGGAAGCAGCCGGGTGGGCAGGCAGGCAGGAGGAGGGAAGCTGGGGCTGCCTCCCAGCCTGTGGAACCCTGCAGAGACCACCTCTCCCCAGTCCTAGAGGCAAGCTGCATCCAGGCACCTTCCTCCTGCCTGTGCCAGTGCAGTGAGGGGAGCGGGATGATCCTGTGGGGTCTGATAATAGCTCTGACACGGGGAAGGGGGTGCCTTGTCGAGGGCCTGCAGGCTCAAAGAGGCTCTGGTGGAGTGTGGAGCCAGGCAGGAATCCGGGTTGTGCCCGACTGTGGCCTCCAGGAAATAGCAGCTGTCATGCTCCCGCCCCTCCACCCCAAGCCTGGCACAACTTGTTTCCTGGCCAGGATCCGGCCAGGGCAGATTGGAGGAGCCTGGTATTGCCCGGCCTGGGCAAGGAACAGGCAGGATGCAGGGGCCATGTTTATAAGCCTAAAGGCGTTTGGGGTGCTCTGGGGAGGGGACCTCAGCCCTTATCTCCTATGCGAAGACCCCAACCCAGTCACCTTTGTGGTCTACACTCCAAAAGCACCCATTAGGTAGGGTAGGGCCCAGAGCTGAGTAATGCTTGGTTTTTCGTAGCTTGAGAGCCCAGAGAGGGGGATACGCTGCCCCAAGGTCACACAGTGGGCTCCTCAGCCTTCCCCTCTACCCTCATGTGGGTGGGGCCACTGGGAATTGGTGAACATGGGGGGGTTTGCTGGGGTGGGGGGCCTATATTTAGTCAGTCCTGCAGAGCCAGGGCGCCTCTGGGAGCAGCTGCTGGGGTTGGGGGGAGTACACAGACAGAGGCCTAGAGCTGCATTTAGTCTGGACAGAAATATCCTCCCCCCACCCACCCACCCACTGGCTGGGAGGCCAGGCTGCGGGCCTGTCCCCTGAGGGGCAGCTTGCCTGGGCCTGGTGGCCGGCGGGACAGGCAAGATGACCCGATAGGCTTTTCCCAGCTCAGGTTTCGATGAAACAGGAACCCCGGAGCTGCAGCCTGGGCCGAGGGGGCCAGGGCAGCCGGAGTCTGGGGGACCAGGACAGCCTCCCCCACCTCCGCCCTCATGCTCTTCCCCATGCTGCAGCCTCCCCTTTTCAGAGGCCTGGGGAAGCAGCAGGTTATTTATCAAGCCAGCCTCCCCGCCGCGGCTGCCCGCGCCGCCCCCCCACCTCTTGCGCTGTCGGCCATCAGCCCAGCAGAGCAGGGTGAGCTGGGCGGGCGGGCGGCAGGATTAGCTCAGGAGACGTGAGTCACCCCATCCCCAGCAGCCCCGAGAGGCCCTGCGGCCTGGCAGTTAGAGTGCACACTCACGCACCCCACACGCGGCACACCCAGGCACACACTTAGGACAGACACAGTCACTTGCAGCACACGTAGTTCCACACGACTCAGCACACCCAGCCGACACGCGTGGTACAGACTCGGTCACATGCACCATGCACACACAGCTCCCATGTGGTGCTCCAGAAGCACACTCACGGTTCCAGCCACAGCCCAGCCTCTGGCACACACACCCACTGGCACGTACCTAGGCGAATGCACATACACAGGCACACATAGGCGTGCACACATAGGCCACTCTCACCCCATTGGCCCCACACACTGGGGCCTGATCATTCTCAGGCCATAGCTTACCCCTAGATGATGCCATAGAGTGGGCCAGGGCACTGGCACACACAGGCGCAGCTGCTGTGGTCAGGGCTCTGTTCCCCTAGACGCCCCGTGTTTAGGCTTACACGGAAGAGGCCCGGCCTTCAGCCATGTTGTGTCCACCGGGTTCTGCAAGGTGTGGGTGGGGAAGTGGAGATGGTTTTTTCCCATAGCCAACCTGGCTCTGCCCTCTCTGGGGAGGAGGTCCAAGTATCAGGCATGAGAGTGTTAAACCCACTGCCCTCTAGTACGGGGCCTCTGGCCCAGGCAGAGTGGGTTGGGTACATGGGGGAGAGATACAGGGGAGCTGGGAAAAGGAAAGGCTGGAGAAGGAGTGCCAGGGAAAGTCGATTTCCCCAGGACCACTAAGTGGCCAGCTGGTTCCCTGACCTGGGGCATGGGGTCCTTGGGAGGTGACAGGGTGTGCCAGAGATGGGGGGAAGAATGAGACCTCTGATCAAATGGGCCCAGGAGTCTTTCTGCCTACCTTCCCTGCTTACCACACACCTGCTTCTCCCTGTCCCCTTAGTTGCCAAGGCCCTCATTATCCAGTGCCCCCACTTAGATTTTGGCCATGTCCCTGGTTCTTAGTCTACAGCCCTGCAAAATGGGTACAGAGCTGGCTTATGTATAAGGAAGTCCTGGGGTGCTGAGAGCTGAGGGTATGCCCTCAGGGAGCCTTTTTAAGCCTCTGCCCGCCTTTGGGGTTGGGGCCTGCCTTCCTTGCACTGGGCAGAAATAAGGATATACCCCTTTTCCATATGCTGCCAAAAAAAAAGCCGTTTTTCAGATGAGAGAAGTGAGTCTGATGGGAATGGCTTCATGGTCATGAAGGGCTTTGGATGCAATCTCCTAACACCCAGACTACCGGTCATTCTGGGCCTACAGTACTGAGACAGCCTAGCAGTGGTCAAAGGGCATGTGGCTATAAGGACTCAGGCCCAGTTGGGCTCCCTCCTCCTGGCCACACAGTTCTCCATAAACGACTGGACCGTGGTTGAGGAGGAGAGAGGGACCCAAGCATCCTGAGGGACACAAACAGCAGTGGCCAGTCAGGAAACTGGATGCCCGTGCCGCGGACTCTGGAGTTGGACAGGCCTGGGCTCCACACCTGGCTTGGTCGCTGCCTGCTATGTAATCATGGGCCAGTCTGCTCACCTCTCTGACCTCATGTTTGTCACCTGTGAGATCGGTATGACTCTCATCTCTGTCTCAAAACCGCAGGACCTGAAGTAGATGGTGGGGTGTGTTGTCATCAGTTCTCATTATGTCACCTGGATCTCCAGGCGAGCATGCCCCTCCACCTGCTCCACTAGACCTGGCATTTTTCTGGGGGTGGCATCCCACAACAAGGGCTCCTTAATTAGAATGTCTTGGATTTAGCCTTCTCTAGGGCTGTTCTCAGATGGGGATGCTGAGGTACCTGAGTGAAGAGGCTGAGCTGGGGGCCAGGGGTTGGGGGAGGGATGGGAATGGGTTGGACCCAGGGCAAAGGAACCCATGGGTGTTGGGTGGAAAATCCTGGAGGCTTCCTAATATCAGAGGGAGCAGAGAGAGCCGACTGTAGTTTCAAGGCTTTCTCTGTCTCCCACCCCCTATGCTCACACAGCAAGGCTATATGTTAGACTTGAGCAGGGACTTCCAGGTGGCAAATGGAGCCTTTGCAGGGTGGCGAGAGGCTTGGGATGTGCCTTTGTGGCAGGGCTGTCAGGGCTGTGGGAGATCTAAGAAGAGCCGACATGAGCTGGCAGGGCTGAGGGCGAGGGAGGTAGGAGGAAAGGCTGTCTAGAAGTGTAGGTAGGCCTTCTTCCTTTGGGCAGAAGAGGAGATGCAAGCCTGGCCAGTGGGGTGCTACCCTCGTTGTAACCTTCAGGCTTCTACCACATGTCCATCCCCCCATGGTCCTGCAGGCTAGACGGGGAATGCTTTGTATTTGGGGCTGGGGAAACTGAGGCATGAAGGATTGCCTCAGAGCTCAAAAGCAAATGGTGAGAGAACCAGGGCCATGACCTGGGTTACCCAACACGCCTGGCCTGACTTGTCCGTGACGTTCACACTTATGCTGGCAGATGTGGACAGTAAAAACAACAACATGGCTATCCTTAGTTGAGCACCTACTGCATGTGGACGCTACACTGACCCCTTCACATAGGTCCTCTCCAGGACCTGACGAGGTGGGGGCTGTCAGCGGCTGCATTTCACTGGCTAGGGGTTGGGCTCAGCGAGGGTCAGCAACCTGTCTGAGGTCACCTAGGCTGGAGGCTGCAGAGCTAGGAGAGGAATCCTGACTCCAAAGCCCCACTTGGACCCTGGCATGGCCTGAGCCTGTGTCTCTGAGATGAGGGGCTCCCCTCGCCCCATTACACACAAGATGTGTAGTGTTCCTAGTTGAGCCAGCCCCCTCCCCCATGCCCAGCTCCTTAACTCTCCTAGGTCCCTCTGCTATCTCAAGGCACTTTCCAGGTTTGAACCTAAGAGCATTGGAACTGCTAACCTAACCCCTTAACTCCAGGGAGGAGGGTGGATGGGTGGGTGGGGGATCCCCTGAGGAGCAGATGGATGCCCCTTGGGGTTTCTGGGTTCTTCCTGCAGACAGGTTCTGGGAAACTCCATGGTTAGGCCTGTGGAAGCTGCCTCGGGGCCTGGTCAGGGTTGCGCACCTCCTCCACCCCCTCCCCAGGGGCTCCATTTCCCTCTCCTGGGCACCCTGCAGGGAGGAGTTGAGCAAGTGCCCTTGAGCTGGCACTTCCTCTTTGGTATACAGGGACATAGCCACAATGACCCCCCATCCCGTGGTCCGTGTGTCACTTAGCACCAGGCGCTGCATGGCCCTGGGTCAGGGCTCACTAAAGGTCACTTCATCGGGTTGACTTTACTAGAGGCTAGTCCCAGCCTCAGATCATTTCCCCTTTCTGGTCTCAGTTTCTTCATCTGTGAAATGACTGTGCGAGTCTGCCCTGCGTGCTCTCTGAGGCAGGGGTAAGTTCATTCCCCGCAGACAGACACACTTAGGAGCTTTGTGACTGGTGTTCCAGTCCCCCAGGCCCAGAGCTCCTGTAGCCCTGACACCTGCACAGGGGTCCAGGGGAAGAAGTGTGGGCTCTAGAGTTGGGCCAGCCTTCTTTTCAGCCTCACCTCCACTGTCCACACTTGCTTGACCTTGACCCACACCAGTGCCCCACTCAGCTCTGAGCCTCAGTGTCCTCATCTGCAAAATGGGAGAATCATGATGCCTACCTCTGTGGGTTGCTGTGACCATCAAACAAGATGATGTGGACAGAGCACATGGCACAGAACTGATAGAGTGTGGTGACAGCGGAGCCCTTCCCCCCAGACTATCCTCCTGGTCACTGTACCCCAGCCTTGGTCTTGAGGATTCTGGGAAGGAGATGGTGCCAATCTGCTGGCTCAGCCAGCTTGGCCACTGACCTTCAGAGCACCCAGGCTGTCAAGGCCGCCAACTGCCTGCTGGGCGGGCAGGGGGGAGTGCCAGCCAGCTCCTCGCCTGACGCTGCCCGCTCCTGCTCCCACTCTCCTCTCCCTCTCTGCGCCTGTGTGTGAGCTAATTAATCTCAGCCCCTTTGGGAAATTAGAACGCCGCAGCCGCGGCCTCCTCAGCCTCGCGGTGCTTGTGCTGCTACTGGGCCATGCCAAGACCCGCTGTGGTTTAGGGGCACCGGGGTGGGGGATGGGGGCACCGGGATGAGCTGGGCCGGCCATGGGTCTCCCAGAGCCCCCACCTCCTTGCTGGAATGCTCTGGTCTCTCAGCCCCCTCCTTTCCCAGATAGCATCCATAAGGATGCCAGGCCAGTGCCCAACTGTGGTAAAACCTAACCCCCAGTGGCCTCTCTGACCTGGTCCCAGGGCTGTTATGGCCACCCCCTTACACCACATTCCATCTCATTGCAGGGTCCTCTTGCCTGCCCAGCTTGGGCTGATGGAGACAGATGTAATTATGGAATTTTGCTTGGGAAATTAATTTGAAAAAGTTAATTAATTGGTGGTTCCGGAGGTGGCGGGCTCCACGCCCGGCCAGTCTTGCTGACGTCAGTGCTGACCCACTGGAGACGTGCAGCTTCCGGGCAAGCTGGGCAGAGGGACCCCGGTGACCTGGCTGGGCAGCCCTGGAACAGGTAGATGGACAGCGAGGAGCAAAGGGCAGACCAGTGTCCTGGCCCAGAGTGGGCACCTGGGAAGGGTTTGTTGACCAGACCTGCTGAGGATAAGAACCCGGCCACTTGTTTGTGTGTTCAACAAGCCGTTGTCAAGCTGCTATGGTACACTGACCCCAGTGTCTCAAGTGCCCCCAACCAAAAATAGACCAGTTCTTCCAAACCCCTTTTCTCAAGGAAAACCTCTAAACCTATTCTCAAAGGCTTTTTCAAAGGGCTCAAAGGACATTATCGGGCCAGTGTGCAGATGAAGCCACTGAGGCTCAGAGAGGGTGGGCCTTGCCCGGCTTCTCAGCAGTGTCCTCCAGCAGGGTGGAGCAGAGGTGGGTAGAGCTCAGTCTCATTTCCAGAGGACGTGTGCCCCAGCTTCAGAATCCCATGGGCGGCCTCCTCCCAAGTATGGGTGATAGGGGCCTTGAAGTTGACTCTTCCCAGGGAGGAAGCCACAGAATATGGCCAGCCCCTTCACCCCCTTCACCCCCATCCCTGTGTGTGCCTGTGGGAGCTTCCCCTACTACCCCATCCAAGCCTCAGAAGACCCCCATGCCCCAGGGGTCTCAGGGTACACAGAGACCCCCACTACCTCCTGGACCTCCTGTGGGTCTTCTGACCACAAGCCTCAGCCAGATCAAGTCCTAGTTTCTGCAGGAGCGTGGGCTTTGGTGTGGTCTTTGTCCAGACAGGAGAAGGGTCAGGGCTGGGGCAAGAATGGCCAGGCCTGGGACAGGTCAGGGATACTGAGCCACAAAGAGGCCAGGGAGATGAACGTGGGCGCTCCTGAGCTATGTGGCCTTGGGCAGGTCCCTTAGCTTCTCTAAGCCTCATTTTGCTCATGCGGGAAATGGGGATGATCACAGATGCCATTCAGAGAGCTGCGGAGAGGTGCAGGGACGCATAACCACTTGAAGTGGTGCTGGCTCTGGCGCAGGCTGTTTCACTGCCCAGTGGAGGCAGGCTGGGTGGAAGAGCAGTGAGCTGACTGAGACTGTGCTGTGGCTGGGGCCTGAGGACCAGTGGGTTTTGAGAGGGGAGCCTGGTGCATGTGTCAGAGGAACTGAAGAATACAGGAGATGATATTTGTGAGACCCTGGGCCCTGCTCCAACGGAGTCAGCCCACCCAGCATTTACCCTCTGACTTGTTTCTTGTGTTCCCTCACCTCCAGGATTTCCAGGGGCCAGGTGGGCCCTGCTCAGTTTAGTATGCCTCACCTCCCATAGCTGTTCAGGATCAAAGGGAGCATCATGGGCAGGCTGAGCTGGGCACTTTGCATCCCTGTCACTCTGATGTGGTCTGTAGTTCTGGGTTTCTTCAAGGTCCAACCCCAGTCTTGGGTTTAAGTGGGTCACACCCACTCCCTGAGCATCCTGTGTAGGCTGGTTATGGGGTCAGAGGAGAGGCATTTCCTCCTCCCACCTCACCTCCTCCAAGAAGCCCTCTGGGTACTGCTCCCCAGCACTTTGCCCATTGACTGAGCACTCAGGGTTCTCTGCACAGACTTTTTTAAACCTTTCTCTGTGTGTCCCTACACTGGGAGCTCTCTGACCACGGGGTCCATGGTATCTCCTGTCTATCCTAGTGCCCAGCACTGGGTTAGCACTCAATGTGGGGGCATAGGGCTCTTGTGCCCCTATTTTACAGATGGGTCAGTTAAGGCCCTGCAAGGTCACACAGCCTGTTGAGGGGCAGAGCCAGCCTGGTTCAGGTGGGTGTGGGGCCACTTGGTACCGGCTGGGGTCTTCTTTCAGGCCTCAGGACCATTCCTAGGCTTCCTTAGGCCCTGCAGCTCCTGACCCTCCTGGCACTATTCCTGGAGGGTGAATAGTCAGTCCTGTGCTCTTAAGAGCTTGGGGGTTTGGGGGTTAAGGGGTTGTGGCATCAGACTGAGGGTCAGAGGGCAGGCCTATGAGCTTCAGTTTCTTCATCTGTAAAACAGATCTTAGTGTTTGGGGGAGCAGGGGTGGCTGAAAGAGATCACGCATATGTTGTTCTCGCCATCCTTATTATTACTACTGACACTGTTATTTTGTTATCATTACATTATTATTCATGCTCCCAGGGCCCCAGCAGCTGCGGTGGCTCCAGGCCTGGATGCAGAGCTCTGGTGTGCTGAAAAGAAGTTGCAGTTCCTAATTAGTCAGCGCTCCAAGGAGAGGGCCTGGGTTTTAATTTTTGCTGCAGGGTCCCACCTGCCCGAGGCCTCCCAGCCCCTCTCATCCCTTCCTGGGCTGGGCCTGCGGCACCCTCCCCAACCTCAGGTAGGGGGCCTGGCCCGAGGCAAAAACCTCCCCAAATTTCCCCTGCCACTCCCTCCGCCTCCCAGACCTCTGGGGCCATGAATCATTTATGAGGCAAAAATGAAACCAATTAAGGACAAACTTTGAAAGCCTCTAATTGCTGCGCCTGGTGGCACCGTGGAATGAGGGGAGGCCAGCCTTCTCGGTGCGGAATCTCCTTGGCCCAGGCCTTCCCAGGCTGCCCGTCCCGCCGCGGCTCAGGGCGCCTCCCGGCTCCCTGCCGCCTCCCAGCCGGACGCGGACGTGCCTGCGCGGCTCTGGCGGCCGCGTCTGCCGCCCCGGCGCCCGCCCGGGTCCCAGGCCGACTAATTAGGCCCGGCTACCTCCCGCGCCGCCCACTGCCCGCTCCAGGCCCGCTGCCCGCTCCAGGCCCGAGGTGATGGCGGCTGTTCCTGCCGTTCTGGGGCCTGTGCCCCAGAGCTGGCCGCGTTTCTCGGGGCGGGAGCCAGCTCTGCTCGCCTGGCTTAACCCAGACGAGCCCAGGACGCCCTATCCCTGAACCCCATCGTGGCGTGCAGGTCTGAGTAGGCTCTGGGCCATGCCGGGGTACCTGGCTTGGAGGCTCTCTTCAGTCTCGGGAGAGATATGCTTATCCCAGGCGGAGCGGAGAAGGCTGGGGGATGACTGATAGGGGGAGTCGGGAGGGGATGTTGAGCCCTGAGGTGTTGCACTGAGCACGGATCCAGTTCCTCTTGGCTTTGCCACAAACACAGTGACCTTATGTAGAGTCCTTAGCCTCGGTTTCCCCGTTTGTAAACCATCAGCACCAGCCCATTTTCTCCTGAATTTGGGATTTAGGGAGCTGGGCTTTGTATACCCCTCCCAGTCTCCTCTCTTGGGGGGTTGCTGAGGGGGTGGAGGTAATGTCTGGACCTAGCAGGGCCTGCCTTACTGCCATGAGCCCTGGATGCCAGTGGCCAGCCTGCTCGCTGTGCTGAGGGCCAGGCAGGCCCTGGGCACTGAGGCACGTTGTTTGCTGAAACCAAATTTCTGTGCTTGTGTTTTTCCATAATTATATTAGCAGGTGGGATTTTTCCTCGGGGAAGCAGTGGGAGGGGGAGCGCCATGGCAGTGTCCCCGCCCGCTCTAAGCGTGAGCTCACACTCAGCTCTGCCCGCCTGCCGTAATGATTTTTTAATTATGCAGCCAGTGCTCGGAATTGCTAATCCCCCTCCAGCCCTGCATCCCCTCCTGCAACTCACACCCCAGCCCCTGGCTGATGTCCCTAGAGTGGCGGTGCCCAGCCCCGTGCCCATCACTGAGTGCTTGGGACAACCGCCATAGCGGGAGAGAGGGTAGGTCAGGAAGGGCCGGAGGGGCGCCCCTCCGCCATCTGCAAGTGACAAGACTTGTGGCTCTCTTTGTCTCCCACCCTACCCCTAGACCCAGCATGGCTCACACCTGCCAGGACAGCTATGGCTTTAAATGAGTTTGGGGAGTGATCGGTGCCCACACCAAGTGATGTGGCCACACTCATTTCATGGACATTAGCCTGTCTTCCCAGCCTTGTGTGACCCCAAGGACACAGGCACACAAGTACAATTTTTGTCACACCCATACTCACGCTTTACTTCCCTTCTACACACACACTCAGCCCCACAGCCAAGCTACACACACACACACAATGGCAGGCTCTGCGTGCTTCTCACACATGTAGCCTTACCTGAGGGCGGGGGCACCCTCAGGAGACCCCACTGCTGCCTCCTGTGCCCTGCAGTGGCCCTGCTCCCACTCCCTTGCCTCCAGACCCCCCAACCCCATCCCCATCCACCCTACTGGGAGGTGCTCCGAGGTCTTCTGGCTCCCGCCTCATGGGGTGGCTGCCTGTGGCTGGGGCCAGCCTGAGCCTCCATCGACCCTGGCCTGGGGGAGGTGCTGGGGGGGTTCTGCAGCACTGTGGCGGCGGCTCCTCTCCAGGCGCCCAGCTGTGGCATCTGTCAAGGTCAGATAGCGACTCCGGAACCAGCCGGCTCGGCCCCATGGCCCCTCTCGCCTCATTATTTTTGTGTTCCGGGGCTGCGGCGACACCTCCCTCCCTCCTCCTCAGCCTCCCGCCTCTCGCCTGCCTCCCCCACGCCTCTGCAGGGAGGGCCTGCGGTCTGGGGGCTTTTGTTTTCCAGTTTTTTCCACGCTCAGGCCAGGCAGGCGGGTAGACACTGGCCAGAGCTGTTGGACCTTGAACAGCAGACAAGACAGGTGTCCCCCTTAGAGCTGGGACAGATTCTCAGCTAGTGGAACCCTGGGTTGGTTTCTCAGAGGCACAAACTGAACCTGGATGGAACCAGCCCCCACCACAGCCCAGGTGCACCTGTGGGCAGCTTCCTGTTTCCATAGGGGCCCTAGCAGCTGGCACCAGTTCCTGTCTACACCATCCCCGTCCCAGTAGGGCCCCAGACTCATACAGCCCAGAGCTCCTGACACAACTCACAGTGCATGCGGACATACACACACTGGCATTCATGCGGCAAAGATGTGTTGACACGTACAGACCAGAAGACTCCACAAACATCCTCTCACCACGTAAACCACCCTATTCGCACACACGTGCACTTGGACATCCATGTACATTCACAGACTTGGGTCGCACACACATGCCTCCACTTTACCCTCAGGGAGGTCACAGAGTCAAAGATCTCCCCCAGCACTGCTACATGATCCCCATATATGCTTTAATGCTGTGGTCTGTAGAGGGCGACATCTTGAGACTACACACTCAACCGGGCACATTCACAGTCCACTGGACACACACACAGTTGTGCAGCACACCTCCCAGGTAGACACGCGAAAACACACTGTATGCATTGCTCTCGTCACCATACACACTCCAGCCCCCTGAGCCCGCTCCCAGGTGCCCAGCATCCTTGGGTAGTTATGCCACCCGAGGGGCTTTTGTCCCCCGAAATACTGGGAAGTGAGCTTGAGGCCTCAGCTTGCTGAGCCCTGTGTCCAGGGAGCCTCGGAGAGTGGGAAATGGTTTGACAAGGACTGCCCGGCCCCTGCCCAACCTCACTGTGTACACCACTTTAGGCCCAAGAGCGCCAGGATGGCGTGGGATGGGGCGGGGGGTTCCAGGTGTGTCATGATGGGCTTGGTGGCTGCTGGCAGAGGCAGACTCTGGGGGGTGACCTCAGCTCTGTCTCTGGGTCCCTCCTCCCACCTCCAGCCCCTGATTTGGGTGTGTAAATGTTGGAGGAATGGGGTGTGGGCAGACTCCAGGCCCCCAGGGTCTCTAGAGTGGCCCTGGCCATCCCCTCTCTTCCTCCTCCAGCTGTGGACTGCTGTGACTGCCCCCGGGAGAGGAGCTAGATGGAGGCTTAGCAGTGGCTGGGCCCCCACCCCCCAGGAAACTCAAAACCCTGGGCCAGCCGCGGGTGGCGGGTTGGGGCAGGCACAAAGAGGGCCTCTGTGCGGCCGGCTGGGCTGCCCACAGGATTCTGGGGGAGGAGGCCGGAGCCGGTTTCCGTCCCGTTCTGCTTCCTGCGGAGGCTGCGGAATGCCCGGAGCTCTGGCCCAGCCTGCCCCGTCTGGCCCACCCGCAGCCCCTTCCCCATCTTTTCCAGGGCCTTGGGGTACAGCTGCAGACTTCTCTGCAACAGGGCCCTGAGAGCCACCCTCCAGGACCCAAGGGAAACCTAGGGGATTTCCCCAAGCCGAGAGCTGAACTGGACCTCACCCTTTAGCTGAAGTCTTCCTTCCCTCCATGTGCTGTGGAACCCTCAGCCAGGGTTGGAGCACCAGGCCCTGGAGTCACACAGACCTGGGTTTAAATCCTGGCTCTGCCACTTACTGACCTTGTGACCTTAGGCAGGTGGCTTTATGTCCCTGAGCCTCAGTTGCCTCATCTGTAAAATGAGGATAATAATAATTGTAGTAGAATCCGGTGAGAAAATGCATGTGAAATGCTTAGCACAGTGCCTGGTGGACAGTGAGTGTGCATTATTAGGACCTGCTGTTTATTTTTTTTTATTTATTTGTTTGTTTGTTTATTTATTGTTTTGAGATGGAGTTTTGCTCTTGTTGCCCAGGCTGGAGTGCAATGGCGTGATCTTGGCTCACTGCAACCTCTGCCTCCCAGGTTCAGGCAATTCTCCTGCCTCAGCCTCCCGAGTAGCTGGGATTACAGGCATGCACCACCACGCTCGGCTAATTTTTGTATTATTAGTAAAGACAGGGTTTCTCCATGTTGGTCAGGCTGTTCTCGAACTCCCGACCTCAGGTGATCCACCTGCCTCGGCTTCCCAAAGTGCTGGGATTACAGGCGTGAGCCTGTACAGGCCAGGGCCTGCTGTTTATTTTAATGTCCTCTGGGGAACTTAAGAGTGGAAGGGACTGGATGCTCCTTGCCACGATAGGTCTCACCTCTTCTACGGTTCAGTCTCAGCCCTGCGTCCTGCTCAAAACCCTTCTCTCAAATCAGTTTCCTATCTGCAGATCATATCAGTGACTGATCTCGGCCTCTGGGGCCTTCCTCCTGAGGTCTGGAGGGTGGAGGGGATCGCTGTCTGGAATCCTTTTTTTCCCCTCTGTATCTCTACCTCCTTCCCCATGATATGCCCTGGGATCGTGACTTCTGCAGTAGTTTGGGGTGAGAAGCAAGAGCCATTCCTTTCCATTTTACAAATGGGAAACTGAGGCTTAGTGGCGGAAAGAGCTTGGTCAAAGTCACCAGTCAGGGAGGGACAGGGTGGAGCCACAAACCTAGGCCTCAGGCCTCCAGTTCCCTAGCCAGTCCTAGGCACATATGCCTCCCCCAACCCCAGACACACAAACACACCCCACACAGGAGCCCCAGAAGGACAGTGCGCCATCTCTGATTTCTTGACTCGTGCATCCCTGGACTAGCCTTCCCTGGCTTGTCCCATGGTGAGGCCCATCAGTAGGGAGGTCCTGAGGGGGTACGTGGGCCTGATTTCTGATTGGTGTCAGCTCAGAGATCACCACATTGGGAAATGTTTACTACAAGATTCAGGGGATCCCAGATAGACAAGGCGTCATTACACCTGCTTAAGCAAATTGCCTGCTCTAAATGGGGCAATAATAGGACTTCCTTCAGAGATTGGGTATGAGGATAACATGAGATAAAGCATGGACAGTGTGGCACATAGGAAGAGCCCCATACTTGTTAGCTATGGTCCCAGGTGACAGATGGGAAAACTGTCTCAGAGGCCAGTTTTTTCCCAAGGTCAAAAAATGGGGAAGGGTCTTCCTGAACCTTTGACTCTTCCAGGAAAGGAACCTGGCCTGAGGGAGGTGCCTATTGAGGAAAGGGCCTGTCTTTATCAGAGGCATCCCAGGCATCTCAGTCCCTAGAGCCCCAGGTCAGAGCTTACTCCCTGCCCGGGGCCTCAGTGTTGCTGTGCATGAATGGGCTGATCCCCTCCTCCAGCTGTTTTGGGGAGCACCGTAAAACAGAACAGAGCCTGGCTGGGTGCGGTGGCTCACGCCTGTAACCCCAGCACTTTGGGAGGCTGAGGTGGGTGGATCACCTGAGGTCAGGAGTTCAAGACCAGCCTGACCAACATGGTGAAACTCCATCTCTACTAAAAATACAAAAATTAGCCAGGTGTGGTGGTGTGCGCCTGTAATCCCAGCCACTCTGGAGGCTGAGGCAGGAGAATTGCTTGAACCTGGGAGGCGGAGGTTGTGGTGAGCTGAGATCGGGCCACGCACTCCAGCCTGGGTGACAGAGCAAGACTCTTGTCAAAAAAAAAAAAAAAAGAGAGAGAGAAAACAGAGCTCTACATACTCCAGGTTTGCTCAAACCCTTTAGTCCTCAGGCCAAGGCATGGTTGGCACCCACCCCAGCAGGAGGGGTGTAAGAGGGTCAGGGGTGTGGAGTCGGGGATATAGAAATGCTGTCCCTTGTTCTGTCCTTGGCAGTCAGTCTTGGGGTGACTCTAGTGGGGTTGAGGCCATGTCTCACCCCAGGCCACCCTCTGGGTGCTCGCAGTGGCCAGTGTGTGGGGGTATGTGTGTCCATCCATAGCTGGATGTGTGCCCTGTGCTCTCCGCCTGGGGCTGCGTTTCTCCCTGCCTCCAAGACCAGTCTCCCTGGGCTTGAGCAGGGCTTCTTTTTCCCTCTGGAAACTCCCCAGGCTGAATCATGGAAATCAGAGACGGGACACCCTCCCTTCCACCCCATTGCCCAGCTTGGTTCAACCACCATAGCCTGTGGTCTGCTTTGCCCACCATCAGCCTGTCTGCGTATTTTGCCTCACTTGGAGGCAGGCCAAGGAGACCGGCCCACCAAGGTGGGGGGGAGGAGACAAGGGCCGGGATGTCAAGTGCTGCATGGAAGCGTGGAAAGTGGTGCATTGAGCCAGGGTGTGCAGCTCTGCTGGGCCAGTGTTGGGGGTCCTGAAACGCAGCCTCTTCCACGAGCCTCCCTGGGCAGGCAGAATGGCTGCAAGGCTGGTCAGCCAGCAAGGAATGGCGGGGATGGTGCCTTGGTCAAACCCTGCCCTTGGTAGTGGTGATGGTTGCACAACTTTGTTGATTTACTAAAAATCATTAAATTATATGTATACTTTAATGTGGCAGAATTTTATAGTATGTAAACTATACCTCGATAAAACTGTTTTTTAAAAATCCTGCCAGCCAGGCGCAGTGGCTCACGCCTATAATCCCAGCATTTTGGGAGGCCCAGGTGAGAGGATTGCTTGATCCTCATAGGAAGACCTCATCCCTACTAAAAATTAAAATAATAATAATAATAAAAATTCTGCCCTTGGCCTCAAGGCCCTGCACAACTGGGACCCTGACAGCCTCATAGACACACCTCACATCTTCTTCCCCACCTGCTTAGGCTCTCTTTCATGCCTTTGTCCCCTCTCATTGCTTCTCCTTATCCTTAACTCTCAAACTAGCAGTCCCTTCCTCCAGGAAGGCCTCAGATAGCTCATTGTGTCCCCTTCCGGCTCTTGTTTCACGCTGGTTCATGTGACTGTGGGCCCAGCTCCTGTGCACTCCTGGAAGGCAGTGCTGGGGTCTGGGTCTGTGTGCTCTGCTGTCTCTCCGGTATCATAAGGTACAGGGCTGCTGTCGAGGTAGGTGCAGGGAAGATGTGTGCAAAGGAATATCTAGAACATCCAGCTGTGGGCCACCTGTGTACATGTCTGTGTGCAGATGGCACTATGTCATCCCAGGATGTCCCCTCCTTCCCAGTGCTTTCTGGCCCGAGAGTTCAAGATTGAACCCTGCGGGGGGTGAAGTGAGGCTCTTCTAGGGCTGAGGGTTGAATAAGGGCACTGCCACCACCTCCAGTGACCTCACTGCCAGCTGGCATTATGATGTCACTGGCTTAGCATTCCAGGCCCTGGGCATCTCCAAGTGCCCCAGGTGGGGGCACTCTCCTGGGGTCTGTGACAGCTTGCCCCCAACCACGGAGAGGTGACAGGCACGGTAACAATCCTGGGGAGTGAGAGCAGCCTTAGGGGTACCTAGGTCACCTGCCTTGGGCCACTCTGTCAATTGCAAAAGTGGCCACAGAACAGGGTGACTAACACTTGGGCTCTGGGTTCAAGCTCTACCCCTGCTAGGCACCAGCTGTTTGACCTGAGGCTGACAGCTTGAACCTCTCTGAGCCTAAATTTCCTCATGTCTGAAATTGGCAAATAGTTTCTGTCTCCCGGGGTTCTGGGGAGGCATTCAGAAGCTAAGACATGTAAAGCATAAAAGCACAGGGCCTGGGACACAGTAGATACTCAGTAAATGCTGGTTGATAGGATCCGTTGGTTAAGGAAACCAGAGTGGCAACACAGGTGGTGGGGGCTGGCTAGAAGGGGGCAGGCTCCGTGCCTTCTGGGGCTGGCCAGAGCCTTAGGGTAGAGGCACGGGGTGGCCTCCACTGCCAGGAAGGTGGCCCCAGGTATGAGTCTCCCTCCTTCCAGCTCAGCCAGTTAGCTGGAGCCTACAGGAGGCATTGGGCCCTGCAGCCATGCTCTGGGGCCAAGAACCCATTACCCCCCACCTCCTCCTCGGTACTCCCCAGTCCTCCTCCCCAGCCTCCTCCCCACCTCCTCCCAAGTCCTCCTCCCCTGTCTTCTCCCCACCTCCCCCCAAGCCCTCCTCCCCACCTCCTCCACAGTCCTTCTTGCCACCCTCCTCCCCACCTCCTCCACAGTCCTTCTTGCCACCCTCCTCCCCACCCTCCTCCCCAGCCTCCTCCCCCCAAGCCCTCCTCCCCACCTCCTCCCCAGTCCTTCTCCCCACCCTCCTCCCCAGCCCTCCTCCCCAGACTCCTCCCCACCCTCCTCCCCAGGCCTCCTCCGCAGATTCCTCCCCATCTCCTCTCCAGCCTCCTCCCCACCTCCTCCCCAGCCTCCTCCCCACCTCCCCCCAAGCCCTCCTCCCCAGGCTCCTCCCCATCTCCTCCTCAGTCCTTCTCCCCAGTGTCCTCCCCACCCTCGTCCCCAGCCCTCCTCCCCAGACTCCTCCCCATCTCCTCCCCACCTCCTCTTCTCAGGCCTTGGGCTACACAGTGGGTCTGATCTGGTCTCCTCGCCACTTCTCCTCTACCCTTCCCTCTGCCTCCCTCTCCTGTGGGCATGCCCAGCTGCCTTCTGGGATTCCCTCCTTAGGGCTGTTTCCTTGTCTTTTAGACCCTCAAGTCCCTGAGCCTGGACAAGGTGTCCTGGGTCCCTGGGTCTCTGAACCCTGTTACCCCAGACACTGCTTCCCATGACACTGTCTCCACTAACCTTGACCCTCTGCCCCTTCCTCTCCAGCTCCCCTTTTCTCTGATCCTCCCCTCTAGTTCTCTGTCTCATGATTCTGTCCCCACCACCTGTCTCTATTCTGCCCCCGCATGCCCCTCTGCCCCCCAGCTTTCCATGACTCGTCCCCCCTCAGCCCCCCGTGCTCTGTCCCCGCCCGTCAGCCCCTGGTCCCAGCTCCCGGCTGGCCGGCTCCTGCATGGACAAAGGGGTCCTTTGTGGGCTGACCGCGGCTGGCGGGGCGGCGGGGCGCTGGCTCCGCATTGCTGATGAAACGGAGCCCTTTGTTGTCCCTCCTCAGGCGCAGTATTTCTTTTTGGGGGCTGGATGTGTTCCTGGCAGGGCCGATGATGGATGCGCCCGCCGCCGCCCGCCTGCCCGCCAGCTTTCCCTCCCGCTCATTCCCGCTCCGCTTCAACGCAGCCCTGACTCCTCCCCTGCTGCCTGGGCACTGCCAGGCCCTTCCTGGCCTGGAAGGGGATGGCTGTGTGCCCTAGAGTAGAAGACTGGGACCTGGGAGAACGTCCCCTCTATGTCCTCCTCTTCCATGAGTAGGGCAAATGGGGCTTTTGGTCAGGGGTCCACTGGGACCAGGACATCAGTTTTTCCTAAGGTCTGAAGGAGAAGATGAGCCAGGTATCAGGGCCGATTTGGAACAAGCTTGAGGACCAGATGTTCATGTCTGTCTACTCTGGATTTGAAAACAGAGTTGTCCCTGTGAGCCAGTCCCTCCGTGTACCCACCTCCCTTCAACTTCTGTGGCTGAAAAACCATAGTGTTCTGCCTGCAGCACCTGTTTGGTGACATATCACATCCTCTGGTCCCAAGCTCAGTATGTCCCAGGACCTCAGAGGCTGGGGGTGGGTGGGCCCTGAAGAAGGATAGAATAGTGGAAGATCAGAGAAATTCCAAGAGAGGAACAGAACATGAGGTTTGGTCCCCACCAGGAGAGACTCAGGACGGAGACAAAAGCCGAGACACTCAGCCAGAGCGCCAGCCCTGAGCGCAGGCCGGCTGTGTTGGAAGGAGCTGACTTCTAATTGACCTGCCCGCCCCGCACGCAGAGCCAGATCCTGGAGCTGGGAGGAGGGAGGGGGTGAGCAGAGCAGGAACAGCGTTAATGCAGCTATCGATTTCTGCCACCAGCCAGCAGGCCGCAGAGGCGGGGGACGCACACAGGGGCTGGGGCGCAGCCTGCTCCCCTCCCCATCTCTGCAGCCCACAAGACACCTGCCTTCTGCCTTCTCCCCTCACCCAGTATCTGGGCTGCCGGGGTTGTCGTCCAGGGCAGGGCAGATGAGCTTAGTTGGGCAGGAGCTGGATGAGCTGACTTGACGGTTTTTGTCCCTGATCTCACTGACCCTGGTCCCCAACAACTAGCCAGGGTCACTGATTCCTGAAAGGGTCACCAGTCTCTGAGGAGAGGGGCTGAAAAGACCATCCTGGTCTTGGCCGTTATGAGGTGGGAGGGAACACAGCTATCCTTGGACACACATGGTCTTCTTGCTTCAGCTCTGACCTCTGATGCCCCCCAACCCAGCCTGGATTCCCTGCCAGGGCCCCCCGGCTCTGTCCTGGTGGAATCTGCCATCTTGCCCAGCTCTTCCTCCTCACCCATTTCCCTCTGCTAGGAAGGAGCCCTAGGTGGTCTGGTGCCCACTGGGGAGGGACAGGGAGTATCTGACTGTTGATGGCGGCTACTCGCCTCACCCTAGAGACAGAGCTTTTCCTTTCCCCACACCCGGTCCTCTTTGGCCACTCCTTAGTCCTGGGGAAGCCCCCCCTCCCCCCCGCTTGGGGCCTCAGTTTCCCCCTCTGTAAATGCAGAGGGTTGGACTAGATGCTCTCTTGGGACAGGCTTGAGTCCTGTGACTAGGGGGGTTTTGGGGTTGCCTGGGGACAAAGATCCAGTGTGTGCTGCCCTCAAGCCCAGGGCGTGATGGGGCCCGCCAGATGTGCGCCTCCCCCTTGAGCCTCCAGCTGCTCTGGGGCTGGGCCCTGTCCTCCCACCCCTCTCTTGGGGCATGCTAGGCCACAGCAGGCAGACAGGGAAGCAAGGCTGGAGAGCCGGGACTGATGAGGAAACCGCCGCCTTGCTCCATCTGGCCCAGTCCCTTCAGCTGAGGAGGCAGCTCAGACGCCTTAGCCTTGAAACCTGAGTAGAGCAGGCCCTGCCCCGGGATGGGCTGCCTTGGAAATATGGAGGTGGCCAGAGGACAGGCTCCTGCTGGGCTCCATTCCCTTGAGGGTCACGCCTACTCCTCAGTGCCAGCCTGCCCCAGCCAGAGGTCCCTCCTGGCAACAGCCCACCCCGGCTCTCTGGGTTCTCACTGAGACCTCCACCCAGGCCCTACTCTGCAGGCCTTGTGAGGCCTCTGCCCACCACCGCCCCCAATCTGGGAGCCAGGCCAGAGCACCACAGTGAGGCCTGAGTAGAGACAAGAATGAGGTCTGAGACGATAATGATTGTGGTTCGGGGGTTGAGAAGGAAGCGTGTGCCAGGGTGTGCACAAGCATGTCCTCTCACTGTGGCAGGGGACGGCTGGTCCTCTGGCCCTGTGCTGCTCGCCCTGTAGCAGGCGGGGAGAAGATCCCTGAAATAAGGGTTCTGCACTCATTGGCAAACTGGGTTACACAAAGGCAACCAGGTTCCTTTGCCTGCAGGACATGTCAGAGCCTTGAAATAACTGATGTGTATTAGTAATCCCCAGATGAGGATCCAGGGGCAGCCTTCCAGACTTAATGATCTGTACCATCAAGCACTCTTCTCCTCAGATGGAGAAGGAAGATTAGGATGTGGAGGTGGTTTTTTTCTTATTTTTATTTTTTTGACAGGATCTCACTCTGTCATCCAGGCTGGAATGCAGTGGCATGATTATAACTCACTGCATCCTCAACCTCCTGGGCTCAAGCAGTCCTCCCACCTCAGCCTCCTGAGTAGCTAGGACTACAGGCATGTACCACCACACCTGGTTAACTTTTGTATTTTTTGCAGAGATAGAGTTTCACCATGTTGTCCAGGGTGGTCTCAAAACTCCTGAGCTCAAGCGATCTGCCTGCCTCTGCTTCCCAAAGTGCTGAGATTACAGGTGTGAGCCACTGCACCCAGCTAATAAGCATCTCCAACACTCTCCCACCCCAGCACAAGAAGGACTGCCTGCTTCTGGCAGGTCTTCCTAGACCCTAGCAGAGCAGATTTGGGCTGTGGAGGCCTGGACTAGGGCCTCCACCATGCCGCTTGGTGGCTGTGTGTTCATAGACTGGTAGTTCTCCTAAATCTTGTTTCCCTCATCTATAAAGTAGATTACCAGCCACTGCTTCTAGAGTTCTTGTGGGTCTTAACTGAGATAGTACAAATAAGAAATTTCTCACCAGGATGGATCTGGTGCTTAATAAATGCCTGGTCAAGCACATGGTGGTCAGGATGACAGGACCGTTGATAGTGGCGGTGGTGGCGATGTTGAAGGGGGAGGTGTTCACTGCTGCCCTGACCCTGTATCCTCTTGTGACAGAGTGAAGACATTTCCACCTGGACACCTGACCATGTGCCTGCCCTGAGCAGCGAGGCCCACCAGGCATCTCTGTTGTGGGCAGCAGGGCCAGGTCCTGGTCTGTGGACCCTCGGCAGTTGGCAGGCTCCCTCTGCAGTGGGGTCTGGGCCTCGGCCCCACCATGTCGAGCCTCGGCGGTGGCTCCCAGGATGCCGGCGGCAGTAGCAGCAGCAGCACCAATGGCAGCGGTGGCAGTGGCAGCAGTGGCCCAAAGGCAGGAGCAGCAGACAAGAGTGCAGTGGTGGCTGCCGCCGCACCAGCCTCAGTGGCAGATGACACACCACCCCCCGAGCGTCGGAACAAGAGCGGTATCATCAGTGAGCCCCTCAACAAGAGCCTGCGCCGCTCCCGCCCGCTCTCCCACTACTCTTCTTTTGGCAGCAGTGGTGGTAGTGGCGGTGGCAGCATGATGGGCGGAGAGTCTGCTGACAAGGCCACTGCGGCTGCAGCCGCTGCCTCCCTGTTGGCCAATGGGCATGACCTGGCGGCGGCCATGGCGGTGGACAAAAGCAACCCTACCTCAAAGCACAAAAGTGGTGCTGTGGCCAGCCTGCTGAGCAAGGCAGAGCGGGCCACGGAGCTGGCAGCCGAGGGACAGCTGACGCTGCAGCAGTTTGCGCAGTCCACAGAGATGCTGAAGCGCGTGGTGCAGGAGCATCTCCCGCTGATGAGCGAGGCGGGTGCTGGCCTGCCTGACATGGAGGCTGTGGCAGGTGCCGAAGCCCTCAATGGCCAGTCCGACTTCCCCTACCTGGGCGCTTTCCCCATCAACCCAGGCCTCTTCATTATGACCCCGGCAGGTGTGTTCCTGGCCGAGAGCGCGCTGCACATGGCGGGCCTGGCTGAGTACCCCATGCAGGGAGAGCTGGCCTCTGCCATCAGCTCCGGCAAGAAGAAGCGGAAACGCTGCGGCATGTGCGCGCCCTGCCGGCGGCGCATCAACTGCGAGCAGTGCAGCAGTTGTAGGAATCGAAAGACTGGCCATCAGATTTGCAAATTCAGAAAATGTGAGGAACTCAAAAAGAAGCCTTCCGCTGCTCTGGAGGTAACGGCGCCTTAGAGGGAGGTGTGTGGGCTCTTGTGTCTGTCTGGCAGTCCAAACCCACCCCCATCCCCTGACCCCACTTTTCCTACCTGGGCAAGTGTCTGGGGGATGCCCCCTCCCAGTCCTTGGGGCCTGGGGGTCTGGCTTCAAGACACCAGTTTACTGCCCCAAAAGTCAGAGCCACATTCTGAGAATCCTATCAGGCCATAATTTGCAAGGCAAGCATAAAACTCCAGGCAAGGACCTAGCATTCTCAGCCAGGCCCTGGGATTCTGATTCCTCTCCTGGGTTCTGGGTCAGGTATTGAGATTTCCATACAGGTCCTAAGTTTCTGATGCTCAGACATGGCCTAAAGCATCCAGTCCATGACCTAGAACTCTGGGTCTCTCCCCTGCCCTGTTTAAGGGATTCTGTTTCACGGGCCCTGTGCCCTTAAGCCCTTCATTTGCCCCTCCAGGGCCATCTTTCCCCCAAGGCCACCCAAGGATAGAGCTGTTCCAGTGCTGGGTGCCCTGCTCTGAGGCCTGGAAGGACCCTTGGTCTGGGCACCTAGTTGACAGATTTTTGGGGCTGGGGTAAGGGGAGGTGACCATGAGCCCGGAGTGGACAAGAACCTAGCCACTGTAGGATTGGCTTGGAGAAGGCAAGGGGTTCCCATGCTGCTATCTCTGCACCCCTGTGGCAGGGCCCGTCCCTGTGCCCCCAGATGCAGCAACCTAGCTGGAGTGCCAGGCCTGGGTACAAAAGCATCTTTTCAGCCTGCAGTCCCTGCCCTTGTCCCCGCCCCTCTATGAGTGGGCTTGACGCAAATGTCCAGAATGGTTGGAAAACAACAGTGGTATATCCCAGCCATGGCCTCCTGGTTACCCTCCCCCAACCCCAGCCCCAGCCCCAGCCCCAGCCCCAGCCCTTCCATTTCTGCTCTCCTATGTACACACAAAGGCACCCACTTTAGTCCAGTGTAGACACACATGCACACACACATAGACACGGCCGCTTGAGAAATAGCTCAAATACCCACCTCCCACAGCTCCATACCACACAGCTCAGCATAGCACGAGGCACACACCCATATGCACACCCGTCGCACGTGCTCACACGCTCATTTACAGAAACATGCCACAGCCACCTGGCGCTGTTGCCTTTGGGCCAGGGGAAGGGACTTCTTCTCTGGAAGGAGGGTTCCTGGGCACAGTGGCTCAGGAGGCCTCAGAGTCCTCGGGGCCTTCCAGCAGCCCAGCAGGTCAAGCGCCTCCTTTGGCCTGGCTGGGGTGGCAGGAGCTCCGAGGGGTGGCTGCTCTTCCTCCATGCCTGTCCCTCCGCCATGAGGCCATCCATGGGGGAACGTCTTTGCTCCAGGCCTACCCGGACCCTGACTGAACTCTCTCCTTGTTTTTGTCTCCCGCCCCCGCCAGAAGGTGATGCTTCCGACGGGAGCCGCCTTCCGGTGGTTTCAGTGACGGCGGCGGAACCCAAAGCTGCCCTCTCCGTGCAATGTCACTGCTCGTGTGGTCTCCAGCAAGGGATTCGGGCGAAGACAAACGGATGCACCCGTCTTTAGAACCAAAAATATTCTCTCACAGATTTCATTCCTGTTTTTATATATATATTTTTTGTTGTCGTTTTAACATCTCCACGTCCCTAGCATAAAAAGAAAAAGAAAAAAATTTAAACTGCTTTTTCGGAAGAACAACAACAAAAAAGAGGTAAAGACGAATCTATAAAGTACCGAGACTTCCTGGGCAAAGAATGGACAATCAGTTTCCTTCCTGTGTCGATGTCGATGTTGTCTGTGCAGGAGATGCAGTTTTTGTGTAGAGAATGTAAATTTTCTGTAACCTTTTGAAATCTAGTTACTAATAAGCACTACTGTAATTTAGCACAGTTTAACTCCACCCTCATTTAAACTTCCTTTGATTCTTTCCGACCATGAAATAGTGCATAGTTTGCCTGGAGAATCCACTCACGTTCATAAAGAGAATGTTGATGGCGCCGTGTAGAAGCCGCTCTGTATCCATCCACGCGTGCAGAGCTGCCAGCAGGGAGCTCACAGAAGGGGAGGGAGCACCAGGCCAGCTGAGCTGCACCCACAGTCCCGAGACTGGGATCCCCCACCCCAACAGTGATTTTGGAAAAAAAAATGAAAGTTCTGTTCGTTTATCCATTGCGATCTGGGGAGCCCCATCTCGATATTTCCAATCCTGGCTACTTTTCTTAGAGAAAATAAGTCCTTTTTTTCTGGCCTTGCTAATGGCAACAGAAGAAAGGGCTTCTTTGCGTGGTCCCCTGCTGGTGGGGGTGGGTCCCCAGGGGGCCCCCTGCGGCCTGGGCCCCCCTGCCCACGGCCAGCTTCCTGCTGATGAACATGCTGTTTGTATTGTTTTAGGAAACCAGGCTGTTTTGTGAATAAAACGAATGCATGTTTGTGTCACGAAGCACCGCTGGCTTCTTGCTCTCCGGTTTTGGGGGGCTGACTTGGGGGCCGTTCCTGAGCAGGGATTGTCTGGGACCACCTGGAGGAGGAAGAAGGATGGCCCAGGGACATTTAGAATGGGAATTTCTTGGGGAAGAGAGGCCTCTGGATCCAGAATGGGGGAGAGCAGGAGCAACCAGCCCAGCAGACAGGAGGGAAAGGCTCTTAATCTGGAAGTCACTGCCTGGTTGCACCCCATGCCTCAGAACCTGGACCTCCAGGGACCTTCACTCACTTGGGGCCACCTCTGTTCACTCACCTAAGTTCATCAGGGCCTGATGAGTAAAGCAACCAGCACCACGAGGCAGGTGGGGGTAAGGCTGAGCTGCCTGTTCAGGGTCTTCTTTCTTTCTTTCTTACCTGGCAGGGATCTAGTGCTCCCGCAGCCACCAATGTCATTCTCCAGGGAATAGTTTCAGCTCGGCTTCGTGGGGACCTGGCTGTACACACACGCCTATTCCTCTTTAGGCCTGAGGGCTGCTAGGCTGAGTTACGGGGGTGTCCTTGGCTTTGACTGTCCCCACTCTCAGAGGGTTTGTTGGTACAAGGCTGCTGGGGACCTCAGAGGTCAAATGTCTGGGGAAGTCACCACACAGCCACATGGTCTGGGCCAGGGCAGCCTGAACAGGAAGGGGTGGCAGTGGCATGCCCCTCCCTGTACATCACAGAGGCCAACCTGAAGGAGGAGGCTTAGCCATCCACTGGGGGAGCGTTCTTCTCACCCAGCTGCTTTGAGCCTGGCTGAGATGGAGGCTAGACTTCAGGAAGGACTTCCTGACAGTGTTGGGCACTGGCTTCAGGTGGGTGAGAGCTGGAGCGATTTCTGAGGCTGAGTGGGCAGTGAGGTGGGGGAGATGGGCTATCTCTGCCATTGTCCTGAGAGGAGAAAGCAGCCATGTTGGGTGGGGGTGGCGCTGACCCCCAACCCCTTCCCAGGTGTCACAAGCTCCCTTCGAGCGCCAGGGCCTCAGCAGCCTGGCCTGGCACAGCGGGGGCAGGCAGGGGCGGTGGGAGGCAGCTTTCAACTTCAGCTCTGCCTGGGAAAAATTCCCTTTCATGTGGCTGCCTGTGATCTCTCCAGGCGGCTCTGCCGAAGGGGGGTGTCCAGCAGGGAGTAGGGGGAGGTGTTGCAGCTGGGGGGCACCCTCACCCCCAGCACAAGGCAAACAGCGGCACCTCCAGAACCTCGAGGAGGGTGGGGAGGGTCCTCCTGTGGGGAGTGGGGGGAGCCTGGCCAGCAGGGGGCACCGGGCAGGAGGCCCCTTCCTGCCTCCGCCCGCTGCTGGCAGCACACAGGCTGCAGATGGCCTCAGCCGGCCCTCGTTGGCACACCTACAGGTGTGGGGTGGACGGCTCTGTTGCCAGCCCAGAGGGGGTGCTGTGACTCAGCCGGCCTGTACCTTTCAGTGTGCCAACCCACAGCCCAGCGTGTCTCCTGAGCCCACTCCCCAGCACACGGCCGAAACTCAGAGCTCCTCACCTGTTCCAGCTTCACACTGCTTTGTGGAAATGGTAAGCCAGCCCCTCTGTTTGGAGGCCAGGGGTGGGGACAGCTGTGAGGCTGGCTGAAAACATGCTGAGGACTCAGTTACCTCATCTGGGAAACGGGACAATAATTGTTTCCCCCATAAAGTTGCCTGAGGATGAAATGCGATCACACTTGGGAAGGGCCTGACTTGCAAGCTCTGTCAATGGCAGCTGGTGTTGCTATTTTTAAACTATTATTCACCTAAATCTCACCAAGATGTCCCTCACCTTCTGCCTGGCTGTGTGTCCTCCCTGAAGCCCTGGCCACCCCCACCTCCCACCTCCCACTTCCCACCTCCGTAGAGTGACCCAGCCTCTGGCCCTTCCCCTACCTGGATGCAGCCCGACCCCAGCCTGCACCAGCTTTCTGTCTCTCTGGCTCACTCTCTGCATGTCCTGAAGGTCTCTTTCGGTCCCTGACGCTCCTGTGTCTTTGGGTCTCCATCTTTCCTGATCTCTAAGCCTCTCCGTGTCTCTGGGTCTCTGCCCCTCCTGTCTCTCCATCTCTGTATCTTGTACTCTGTCTGTTGCAGGCTCACCCCTGCTGTTCCCCAGCTGACGGAGACTTCCTTAGAGGCAGGCTCCCTGGCAGGGTTGTGTACCCAGCTCCCCTCCCCTCAGGTGCCCTCACCTCTCCTCTGCTACAGTTGGGAAACTGACTTCCTGGTGACCCAGGAGCCTTTCCTCCAGGTACCCTGTACCCTGACCTGGGTGATCTGGCATTTAGAGCCAGCTCTAGACACAGAACGGTGGGGGTTTGAGAGGCTGGGTGCACACACTGGGCTGGAGAGAAGTCCAGCCTCCAGGTAGCCCCTGCGTGGACGTGTGTGTGTGTGTGTGTGTGTGTGTGTGTGTGTGAGTGATGCTTTAAGGGCCTGACAATTGTGTGAGGCTTTGTGCAGTAATGTGGCTATGTGTGACATCGGGTGTGATATGCAAATGGGTTTGTGACAGTTTATTGGAGACTGAGATGTGAATGGGTTAGTGTATGTCAGTGGCCACACTTTGGAATGTTCTGTGACATTGCGTGTGTACTCTTGTGACATTGTACAGTTCTGTAACAGACCCAGTGTGATACCGGCTTGTACAACTGAATGTGTGACTTTGGGTGATTCTGTGTGAGTGTGTGACATTGAGTGATTCTATGTGAGTGTGTCACTTTGGGTTTACAACACACGTGGCATTGCGTGACCCTGTGGCAAAACTGGGTGGTTCAATAAGTGTGTGACTTTGTGTCTGTGTGGCCATCATGGATGTGGGCTGGGACTGACCAGGGATTGTGTGTGTGTGATGTCTCCGTGTGACTATAGTGTGACCCTGTGATGCTGCCTGCATAACCCTGGGTGTGTGGTCATGGCTTTGTGTCAGTGTGCACCTGTGATCCTCTCAGTGTTGCTGACACTATTGCCTTGTGTGTCTGCCTCCAGCACTTCCTGGGTCTCCGCCCTGAAAGCCTCTCTAGGGAGAGAGTGGGGGATCTGACAGCCCCTCTCACCTGCAGCCTGTGCCCTCGCATGGCCCTGAGGCCCAGTCTGGATGGGGGAGCTGGCGTGGGGGCAGCAGGCGCAGTTCCCACGGCCGCTGCGGCCCCTCTCCCAGCCCCATCACCACCGGCTTCAACTCCACAGAATATCCTGGCAACCCCGGCCTCTTTGTTCTCTGAGGCCGCCAAAGGCCTCCCCCAACCCCAGCCTGCCCAGCGCCTGCCAGGCGCCCCCTCCCCCGACAGCAGCCAGTCTTGGCCTGACCTAGTCTCTAGCTGCCTTTATCCCCCACCCAGACTGAGGCGCCTGTCCCATGCCCTGGACCTGACTCAGGACTCCAGACGAGGCCTTTGACCCTCTGCTCTGAGCTTGCTGTGGTTGCGCTGTGCAGGAAGAAGGAAGAAGGATAGGTCCTGTGGCTGTACTGGGTGATTGTGGGCCAGGAGCTGGGCTGTCTATACGAGTACTTCCCCTTGGCCCAAGGCTGGTTGGAGGCCCAGGGTTGGTTTCAGTTTGTCCAGTAAGTTTACTTCTTTGGCCCCCAAAAGTCATCAGGACAGAAATTATTACCCATTTTATTGGTAAGAAACTGAAGCCTAGAGAGGGTATGTGACTTCCCCTATAGCAAGAGCAAGATGGTAGCAGGGACCTGATTAGAACCCAGGCTCCTGGCTACCTTGAGAGAAAAATCAGGTACCTCCAAAAGAATGGAAAGGGGGCCTGGGAGTCTGGACACATGGGTCCCTGCTTATTTCTTGGTCACCATGTGTCAAAGCCGTGTGTGTGTGTATGTGTGTGTCCTTGCTAGATGACCTTGGCCAGGTGCCCTTACCTCTCTGTGTTCCAAGAAAGAAGGACAACATAGCCAGGGGTTGTGGGGTGGTGAGCTTGACAGGGTGCTTTGCAGAGCCAAAGGTCACCTCACAGTTAGTAGTGCCAAGACCCACGCCATCTCCAACAGGCACAGATTCTGGCTCGGGGCCCCAGCCACCATTCCCAGGCTCAGCCCAGCTTTGTACTGCCACAAAAAAGGAGGCAGCGATGGCTACATGGCTCGGCTGTAGTCAAGGCCACTTGGGTCTGACTTGATTGCAGCACAGGCTCCCACCGCCTCCCAGGTGCCAGAGATGGATGGATGGAGGTCACTGCACAGCCTGGCCCCAAGCCCCCCCCCCGCCCACCCGCAGCCCTGGGCTGACCAGCCACTGCTGAAGACAGTCAGCCAGGGTTAGGGGAGGGACAGGCAGCCACCAGCATGGTAATAACCCAGACCTTGGCCCTAACATCCTGCAGGCATGGCACAGAGAGGCCCAGCTGTCCCCTAGGGTCACACAGCCCTGCAGGGAGTCCTGTCCCCAGAGGCCCACATCTCCCTTGAGGGCTGTTCCTGCCATGCAGGAGTAGAGAATGGCTGGAGAGGGTGGTGGAGGTGCAGGAGGGTCCCCTGAGGCTGCCGGCCAGGCTGCCAGTGCAGACACTTTCATCTCTTTCTGCCTGTCGACCTGCCATCTCTCAGTGGCATTAAATTCCCCTCCTGCCGGAGAACAAGGGCTGCCTCAGATTCCAAGCAGCAGGGTGTGAAGATAGGGCGGGCCCAGAGGAGGTGAGCCGGGTCCTCCAGGGCTCCAGGCCTGGGTGCAAAGCGGCTGGACTCTCGGGGCACAGCTGAGGGGTCCAGGTGGCCGCCTACCGCAGCCTCCCAGTGCTTCGTCAGATGCTGCTTCGTTTCCTGTTGCCATCTCCCACCTGTATGATGCCTTCCTCCCGCCTTCGGAGCTTTCTTGTCCCTTGCAAGCTGGGTCAAGTGTCCCTTGCCCCCCGCCCCCCACCCCCAGCCCATCACAACACTGGTCATTCTTGGTGACATCACCTGGCCTCAGGGCTATGGTCTGCAGCTCAGTAAGGGCAGCGCTGGCACCCAACACATGGAAGGGGTAGGAAACATCTGTGGGCTGAGGAAACACATTCTCTCCTCTTTCTGGACATTATTTTTCTCTCACGCATTTCCAGCCTAACTGGGGAGCTGTCCACAGGTAAGGGAAACTTACTACAAAGAGCCTCCTTTCTCCAGTCCCTGGAGCCTCCATACCCCTTGGCTAGAGACCTTAAACAAGATCCTTCTGCTTCAAGGCATAGAGCCTGTGGCCTGTGCACCAGGGACTGGGCCATTCCATTGCACTGACACACTCACAGCAACCTATGAGGGGGGCTTTAGGCGGTTCTCTCCATTTGACAGATAAGAAAGTTAAGGCTCAGAGAGGTAGCGAGACATACAAGGTCACACAACCAGGTTCGTCTGCTTTCGGAAGCTAGCCCTTAAGCACCTGGCCATGCTGCAGGCTTTGGCTGGAAGGACCCCCTCCCCCATCCCACAAGCTGCCTGTGATCGTGCCCAGATGTGGGATTAGGGTTGAGTATTACTTACTTCCTTAAACTTGTCTGCACTTCTTTTTGTTTTTTGTTTTTTTTTTTTTACCTTTGCTATTCAAATTGGAATACCGAATTTATTAATACATTTATTTAAGTTATTTAACCAAATGTTCTCAAGCCCAGAAAGGTCTGGAAACAAAGGGCACAGTATGGAGCGAGGATAGGGGATTAGGGGGTAACCTAGGATCACCGCCCCCTCCCCTGCAATGACAGGGCGTGGGTATTTCGGGGGCCCGAAGTGGGTACAGCCTGAATCCACAAAGGCTCCTGCCCACCGCTCCCCCTGGTGTCTTCCCACCAGGCTCCCAGCCCCTCTTCCAGCTTTGAGGCCTGCCCGGGAGGGGCACCCCCTGTGGCTGTTTTGGCTCTGCAGCAGTGGGTCCACAGGCAGCTGCTGGGAGTCTTGGGGAGCGGCTGCAAGGGTGAGGGCGAGCAGTGGCCGCTGCCGTTGATAAGGCGACGGAAGCCTCAGGAGCGAGGACGCAGTGAAGCCATGGAAACACGGCTGAGGTGTGAGGCTGGCTCAGCCGCTTCCCCCAGGTGGCCACCTCCCAGGCCTGGCGGGGCCCCGCGAGACAGGTCCTGCCACTGGCTGCCTCGCTCCCTGCCCTCCTGGGGGCCAGGTCTGGGCTGCTGACTGGGCTAGCTTGGTGTCACCCAGCCATCTCCCCAGGGCCAGGCTGGGGTCAACCCTGGGTCTGAGTAGGGAGGGCTGAGGACAGTGGCAGGGGCCTTCTGAGTTCTCAGGCCCCAAAGCCCCCTTAGCCTGGTCAATCCCTCCCCTTCTACCACCTACTCCTTTCCTATAAATATGTGTGCATTATTTACCTTAAGCATTTTGATAAATCATAATAGCAGAGACATCTGCTGTCAAAACTGCAAACTGCATTTGGGGCTCAGCTGGTGAACGATGAGGGCTAGAGGCCAGGGATATAAGGGCTCTGATGGCCTGGGGGAAAAAATAGGGATGACCCCACCCCTCATCCAGGGCTGGGCCTTGAAGGGGACCCAGGCCCCATCCTTTGGGACCCCTCCTCACCAGCCACTTAATCACAAAACCCTCCCAAGGAAGCTATCCACCACGCCCCAACTGTGTTCCCTCCTTCCTGCCTCCCTCTGCCTCAGAATTAATGCAGCAGTGACAGCGGCTGAGAAGTCCCCCAGAGCGGAGATTAACTCCCAGGGCAGCGCGGGCGGGGTTGGCCATGGGAGGCTTGGGGGTGGGGGGTCTGACGCACAGGCCTGGCAAGATTAATCACCCTGCAGCCGGCCTCATCACGAGGGCGCCCAGAGCTCCGGGCCCCCACCTCGAGGAGGGGTGCTGGGTCGAATGTCAGGAGTCTGCTCTGCCTCCCGCAGCCCTCATGGCCCCCAGTCCAACTCGTGGGAGGATTCTGGGAGCTGAGTTTCCTTCTCTTCCATTTTGCTGGCCCTCAGGGACCCTAAGGACCGAGCAGCAATCCCGTGGTCTCATTCCCTCCCCCAGTTTCTGGCCTGGCTCAGCAGCCCTGCAATGGGGGAGGCTCTGACCCTTGCCTCCCTGCCTACTTCTTGCTGTCCCCACTGGCCCCGCTCCCATGGCTCCCCGAGACTGCCAGTTCCCTAACATAGAGCTAGAGGTGGGGGCCACTGAAAGAGGTCCCTGGACCTGCTGTATTTATTTGGGGGACTCAAAGAGATGTGTGATGGATCCGATGGCTCTGGACCTGCTATCCAGCCAGCCCTCTTGAACTGTCCTGGGGGGCTTGTGGAGATGGTGGAGAGAGATACAGAGTGAGTGGGCAGATACAGATGAGGCTACTGGGTGATAAAGCACTGGGGTCAGTACCTGGGAACTGGCCTTTGTCAGCCAGTCACTCACTTAGAAAGTCTTTGAGGGGTTGCAGCAAGTGGAATTGAGCTTAGACATGAGAATAAGGTTCCCCAGGCAGGTGGGACCTAAGAGAGGCTGAGCTGTTTTGCACAGAAGACTTCTAAGGTCAGAGTTGGCCTTGACTCTGTAAGTGAGAGCTGGAGTACCCTCTTCTACGCACCCACTGCCCTAAGTGCTCCCATCACAATCCTGCTGGGGTCACACTGGGTGAACTCACCTGTTCACTTGCTGATCTTCTGAACTAGAAGGAGCACTCCTGGAGGGAGGGGCTTGTCTGCCTGGCAAATGCCAAATGCTCAATAATGTTGAATCAATGGATGAATTGGAGGAGGACATGGGTTGGCCTGTTGTATATGAGGGGCTGGGGAAAGAACTGTTAGGTCTGAGCTTGGGGAGCCCAGCTGCAGGGCCACAGGCTGGCGAGTGCCAAGAGGAGGCCCCAAGAAGTTCCAAGAGAAAAGGGGTTCTGGAGCCAGGCACCAAGTGGACATTCACAGGCTATGTGACCTACAAAGGCTTTCCTTTCTGGGCCTTAGTTTACTCATCAGCAAGTAACATTGCTTTTCAGATATCCTATGAAGGTGGAATGAGAAATCCTGTGTGAGGTCCCTGTGAGCTCTCTAGCCTTGTACCCCTTGGTAGGCAAGAGATTTGAATGCATGGGAAGAGCCAAGAAGGCTTCTTGGAGGAGGTGAGTGAAGCTGAGCCTCGAAGTACCATGCTGCCTATCTAGGAGGCTTGGAGACTGGTACTTCTGGGGCAGTGAGGAGACCACACTGGAGAGAGCCCAGGGAACGATGGGCCAATCTCAAGATCCAAGGCAAATGGGTATATTTTGTCTTGGGGACAGTGGGAGCCAATGATGGTTCTGGAACCTTTGGCCTTTAGGCTTTGGAGGGGCTAACATGTATCTGGAGTGAAGCCTTTAGTCAATCTGGGTATGTGGGGCAACTTCCCAACCCCACTCTGGGGCCCTGAGACTGAGGTAGGAAGTCAGCTGGAGGCTGATTCCTGACATATCTCCTTCCAGAGGAACCAAAACATATCCCATGTTAAAAAGTGGAGGGCTGGGCCGGGCACGGTGGCTCATGCATGTATCCCAGCACTTTGGGAGGCCAAGGTGGGCAGATCACCTGATGTCAAGAGTTCTTGACCAGCCGGCCAACATGATGAAACCCCATCTCTACTGAAAATACAAAACTTAGCCAGGCGTGCTAGTGCACGCCTGTAATCCCAGCTACTCAGGAGTCTGAGGCAAGAGAATCTCTTGAACCCAGGAGATGGAGGTTGCAGTGAGCCGAGATCATGCCACTGCACTCCAGCCTGGGCGACAGAGCAAGACTCTGTCTCAAAAATAAAGTGAGGGGCTAGGCTTGATCACAAGTAATCTGTTAGTGTGGGGGCCTTGAATACTCATTACAGGATGGGGAATCCAAGTCACAGAATGGCCAGGCCGGTCAGAGAGCTTCGGGACCCACACCCTTCCTGGAGGTGGGGATAAGGGGACATCTGGCCTCATGCCTAGCCTAGAAGCAGCAGAGTCCTGGGCTGGGAGGCAGGGGGATAGGATTTCCATCCAAGCCCTACCCATAGCTGGATTCATGATCACATGACCAAAGGCATAGCCAGCCCTTCCTGAGCCTAGCTTTCCCAATTAGTGCAATGGACCTTCCAGTATCAATCAGCCACGGTTCTAGACCTTTTCTGGGGGTCCAAGACTCAGGAGGGAGCTGCAATTTGGGGGTCCTTCACTCTAGCCCCTCCCCCACCCACATGCTGGGCCCCTTCCCTTCTCCTGCTCTTCCACCCATACTCCCCTCACCCCTGACCCTGCGGCCAGTAGCCTCTGCTGCTGTCATCCGTTGTCATGGGAACCTTGCAGCGCTGACCTGATGCAGGCGAGAGCTGGCCTGGAGCTCCTAGCAAGGGAAGCTGAGGTTAGCAGGGGGCAGATGGGGGCACCTGTCCCTGCCAGCTTAGCTGGGTGCTGACACACTCCCAAGGGAATGGGGCATTGAAAGGACGGCCTGGATGGGTGTGGGCAGGGGTGCAGGGGGTCAGGGCCTGACTGCCCCCAGTCATTGGGGTGCCTGCTCCTTTTCAGACCCACCCCCACCCAACCCGGCTCCAGGCTGCTGGTGGGAGGGAGGGGTGGTGGGGACCTTCCCATTTCCCTCACTGTCGATGGGAGCTCAGAGCCCTGAGCTCAGCTCATTCTCGAGACTAAAAATACTAGGGAGGCAGCAGCAGCAGCTCCCCCAACACCCTGTCCACTGCCGCCCCACTCCCAGTAATAGACACACACACATACACACACCAAGCCCAGCCTGGACCAGATACCAAGGTGCTACTTAACCATACTGTGCCGTGGTCCATGGAGATTCCCAAAGTCCTGGCCCTGTGTGAGACCCAGATCTGGGGTCAACTTCCACCTCTGACCCCAATTTGCCATGTGATTGTGGGGTAGTCCTCTGGCTTCTCTGGGCCTGGTTTCCCCTTTTTTTGTGTACTAAGGGAGCTACATGGAAGAGGGGAGGCTCAGGAATGGAGTAGAGGGTCAGGGCCTTAGCTGCCCCATCTCATTTAATTACTGGAGCAGTCCTGACAGCTCCCTGAAGTATGTATTGAGTCAGAATCTGCTTTTCCTAGATGAGTACACTGAGGCCAGAGATGGTGGCTCAAGGGATGCTACTCCAGGCCTTTGAGCTCCAGGTGGCCCTCTCCTGCCCTGCAGTGGCCAACTGAGCTACTGAGACCTCCAGGCATTTGTTGAAAAATAGATCTGTGCCCCACAGTAGGGCAGGAGGTTAGTGGCTTCAAATCTCAGAGAAGTTCCCGGTTCTGTGTGCATGACTGGGAATGGGGTGGGGAGGCCGTACTGCCCTCTGCCCAGGGTCTGGGTGAAGCTTGAGGTGAGTGTTGACAATACCTGTCTGCCAGGTGCTTGGCCAAGGCCAGGGTGAGGGTCCACACTGACCATCCAGGATGGGTGTGGTTGAGATACAGATGAGTATCCACACTGTTCATTTGGCCAAGGCCTGGCTCTGTGTGAGACCCATATTGTTCATCTACCTGGGCTTGACCAAGGCTGGGGTGAGTGTCCATGTTACCTGCCTGCCCAGCCTGGCCGGGGCTGGGTTGAGGGTTTACACTGCCGGGTTGGAGATAAGGTCAAGATGATTAAACACACCGTCCATTTGTCCTGGGCCTGAGTCTTCTTTCCACCAGTTCTAGGCTCAGGATTTTATTTTGGGTTTCATATTCTCTCTTCTTTCCTGGAAATTAGAATCATCTTGTCTGCTCATTATTTCTGATTTAGAGGAGGCCCAGTTTCATCTAGGGGCCAATGGGAGAAAGATGGGAGCCCCTTGCCATTTCTGGGACCCTCCAGGAGGAACCAGGGAAAATCCATTATAGAAATCACAGCCACTGGGCACTGAGAAGCCTGGAAAGCCAGACCCTGGCCTCTGGGATGCCTGAGAGATCCACTGCTGTGGGATCTGAGTCACTGAGTTCCTACACTTCTCCCCACTAGCCCTGTCACCCAATTCCACTGACATCTTGAGAACAACAAGACATACTTCTCCCACAGACCCGAGGCCTCACAGTTTGAAGCCAGTATCTGCAGGACCAGAGTCTGGATTTTCTGAGGGGGGCCAACCAATACTGCAGTGCAGACAGTGGACTTTGTGCCCCACACCCTAATTTTGCAATGCCAGCTCTTCCCTTCAGCTGTCATGTGTGACCCTGGGCAAGACACTTCATTCTCCTGGTTCTCAGTTTTTCCATCTGTAAAACAGGTGTTTATACCTTACCTGTTGGTAAAGGTTGGGACAAGGATTAAATGAGATAGTCCCATAAAGTGTCTGGCAGAGTAATAATTCTTTCTGGAGGCTAGCAGGGAAGGGGCATGCTCCAAAAGAATTCTGGGACATGTGGTTGGTTGGTTTTTTTTTCAGAGGCAGGGTCTTGAGCAGGCTGGAGTGCAAATAGCATGCTCACTGCAGCTCACTCTCAGGCTCAAGCAATCCTCCCACCTCAGCCTCCTGAGTAGCTGGGACTACAGGCACGTGCCACCATGCCCAGCCAATTTTTTTAATTTCTGTAGATATGGGGTCTTGCTATGATGCCCAGGCTGGTCTCGAACTCCTGGGCTCAAGTGTTTGTTCTGCCTCTGCCTCCCTAAGTGCTGGGATTATAGGCATGAGCCACCACAATTGGGCATTTGTTTATTAATTAGTGCAGTGCAGGGAGTTGTGTTGGTTGCTGGGTCTCAGGGCCTATAACCCCAGCTGGGATCCCCTACTTTGAACTAGGGGCCTCCAAAACAGAAGCAATGTCCATTAGTTTTGTGAATGTGTTTTCAGTCCATGAATGGATGCTCTTAGGTAAAACATTAATAAACTGCATCACGTTGTTGGGGAAAATTAAATGTAAATTAGATAATTAAAAACGAAGCTGATGCCCGCTGCTTGGTGCTATTACCTCTTATTAAAAGTTATGAGAGGTGGCCCTGGGTGGAGGCTGGTTGCAGGGTTCCAATGAGGGTGGGGGCAGCAAGGGCCTGCCTACTGGAGCCCAGTGTGATCTTTAGAAGAGGCAGACCTAGAGGATGCTCTGGTATGGGCGCTGGAGAGCTCTGGGTGTGCTGGGGCCACAGCCCTGTTGTCTCTTGTGGGTGCCTGGGTCAGTGTCTTCCCCTTGCCAAACCTCAGTATTTCCTTATCTGTACAGGAAGGATAGTAACAGAACCTACCTCATAGGACTGAGGCAGAGACTAGATGAGATGATATGCAGAAAGTACCCAGCCTAGTAGATCATCTTAGGTCAGGAGTTCAAGACCAGCCTGGCCAACATGGTGAAACCCCATCTCTACTAAAAACACAAAAATTATCCGGGTGTGGTAGCATGGGCCTGTAATCCCAGCTACTCAGGAGGCCGAGACAGGAGAATCGCTTGAATCCGGGAGGCAGAGGTTGCAGTGAGCCGAGATTGCATCATTGCACTCCAGCCTGGATAACAAGAGTGAGACTCAGTCTCAACAAAAAAACAACAAAAAAAGAAAGTACCCAACCTAGGGCCCGGTACATAGTAGGTGTTCATTAAATAGCCTTGATTGCCAGGGATATCATCAACACCGTCATCATGACTGAGTCCCTTCCAGCAGCTGGCCCTGAGCCGAGGGCTTTACAGATATCTGTCACCATTAGCACATGGTGCTGTCGTCCCATTCTGCGGAAAGCAAGGCTCAGGCTAGGGGAATAAGAGTCCAGGGTCACACAGCCTTTGAGGTAGGTGGCCTTGCTGTATTTCAGGTTCCTAGAGGAAGAGCCCTAGGAACAGCACTCCCACACAGTGCTCTGCTTCTCGAGCTGAAGAGGTTTCATTGACTCCTTTTTTCTGCACCTGCCCTGTGCTCCTGGCCTGGTCCGGTAGCGGGACGGGGGCGATCAGTCTGGAGAGAAGACAGCCCCAGGAACTAAGTCCCAAAGGAGTGTTCTAACCAGAGCTTGTGGGAGATAGACGGGCCTCCTTGGGCGGCGGGGGGCTGTGACTGCGGACTGCCCCGAGGTGCGAGCTGGTTCAGTGTTCTAAGAAACTGAGAGAATGGAGGATGGGCAAGGCAGGTAGCAGGACCTGCAGGAGCAGAACGGGGAGGCTGGAAAGCCTGGGGCCAGGCCTGTGGTGGGCAGGGGAGGGTGCATGATGAGGGGGTGGGAACACGGAGCGGGTGAGTCACCGTTTCTGGGCCAGGCAGGCGGCGGCTGCAGAGCGGGGGGCGCATTCCTGGCTGGCAGGGCGGCCGGCACTAATGTCTTTCCCACATGGCCCCGAATTCCCCGCTCGGCACGATCACACGGGCAAGACGCTCCCGCGGCCACCCCCGCCCCAGCTGCCTCCTTCCCACAGAGCAGGGAAGGGGGAGGGAGTGTGGTGGAGGCTGGCGGAACCGGCCCCTCCTGGGGCGGGGTGGGGGTCTCTAGCGTGGCCTCCCTGGGGCCTGCGCCCACGGTGTCGGCACGCGATGAGCGACTCACAGGGCAGCTGCAGTCACAGTGAGAGCAGGGCCGCGCTTGTGAAGCGGAGAAGGAAGGAGGCCGGGAACCGCCTTGGGTCTTTGGCCACGTCTCTCCTTCCCTGGCCCCCATTCACCCACCCCCGCCCTGGGTCAGGCTTTCCCTCGCGCTGCGGCTGTCGGAGGGCCGCGGCCGGATAGGGACAAGCGGCGGAGCAGCAGCAAGTCCGGCCGCCTCCGATCCTACGCCTTCTGGCCCTCCCCTCCTTCCCGACCTCTGGGCCTGGCTGGTGGGGGGCGGAGTGGGGAGTGGGGGGACTGTGCCGCTGCCGCTGCATCCGGCGGGGGCCTGCTGGGGTGGTTCCTGGAAGAGGCCACACCCAGTCCCTCCCTCCGTGGGATGGAGGCCAGCCCTTGCTAAGGCGAAGGGAACTAGGAGCGCCGCTCTCCCACGCAGCCCCTGTCCCCAGGCCAGGTCCTGGAGAGGGGGGAAACTGAGGCTGCTGAGAGGGCGGCCCACCCAGAGCTCCCTGTGCTGGGAGAGGTTGGCCGCTGTCCCTCCCAGCTGGGCTCAGAGGCGCTAATGAGAGTTAAATGTAGGACGTGAGTCACCTCTAGGAGGGGGCTGGGACCACCCCCAGATGTGGGTCCAGACGCTCAGGCTTTTTCCTACTCCCCTGTGTGTCACCCCCTACCCTTGGCAGGGTGGGGCATGAGTTCTGACCTTGCTGACCAGGCTCTGTCACCCTGGACCAGCCTCACTTAAATGGCTGGCTGCCTCAGGAGCGGGTGCTGTGGGACCACAGGAGACTCTAAATCCCGGGATAGGCCCAGTGGACCCTGAGGACTTAGGGGATGGACCAACACCTGGGGTCTCTAGTGGCCGTGAGCCCTGGGGTGTGGTCATGGGTCTTGGGATGGGGGTGGGCAAAGGGCCCAGGCCACCCTGAAGATTTCCCCACCCTTCTGCCTGCCTGGCTTTGCTCAGGCCACGAGGCTCTGACCACACAGGGTGCCTGTTCCCCCACTCCCCAAAGTCCCACTCTCTGACCTTCAGCCGGCACAAGGACCTCAGTCTGAAGTCCTTATGGCAGGGCAGGCAGTTTGTGTGTGTGTGTGTGTGTGTGTGTGTGTGTGTGTGTGTGTACACACGTGTGCCTCTGCGGCTGGGTCTATTTGTGCCGCTGTGTGTATTTATGACTGAATGTACAATCGTGTATATTTATGTGTGACTGGCTGTCTCTGAGGGGTCTCTCAGTGTTGCAGGGGGCTTGACAGGGAATGTGCATTTCTGCGTCTGTATCTGTTTGTTCCTTCTATGTCTACATGTGGGTCTTTCTGTGTGACTGTGTTTGTGTCAGCCTGGCCCCATCTATGGGGTCCCTGCCTCCTCAAGCACCCCACCATCACCAGGAGCCACAGGCATCTGGGAGGAGACTCGGGAGGTGAAGCGCCTGCTGTTCCCCAAATGGAATGGCTTAGCTGGGTGGGCAGCACCAGGGGGTGGGCGTGGGCAGCCACAGGAGAGAGAAAAGTGGAGGCCGGGGAGGAGCCCTACTCAGCAGTCCCCTCCCTGCTCCCTCTGCTCCCAGCTCAGCGCCTCCTGGCAAGAGCTTATTTGCATGGTATTTACATTTCATTTGCATCGTGTTCAATTAAAAACCTGACCAGCTCCCGCCTGCCTGGCGCTGCCCGCCCAGCCTGGTGAAAATGTTGGTTGGGCATGACAGCCTTCCCACACCCCCCCCACGCCCCCACGGACTGACCGATGTGGGAGGGGTCCTCCCCTCATTGAGATCATGCAAGTCACCCACTCTGGGAGTGAGAGGGCTGGAAGTCCAAATGGAGAAACTGAGGTCCAGAAAAGGCTGCCTTGAGCTCTAGGCTAAGGGCCAGTCAAAGCTAGAAGAATACTAGTAGTTAACAGTTGCCCCTTCATGGAAGAATCTCTGTGCCAAGAGTGGTGCCAACACCTGGTGTGCAATATCTCTTTGGAACTTTGCTACCCCTTGAGGTCAGGCCTTCCTTGCATTATCCTCATTTTCCTGATGAGAAGACCAAAGGCTAGAGGGGCAAGTCCAACATCACTCAGCCAACCTAGAATTCAAGTCTCTGTCAGTATGACTTCCAAGTCCATGCTGCAAACACATGAGCATGGCTGCCAGAAGACTGGTGCCTCCTGCTTCTGGCAAGTGAACACAACTCATTATTTCCAGGGTCATTGGCTCCAGGATGGGCTGCTGCAGTGCTCACCCTAACCTGGAGGCTGGCCTGGCTGCTGACTGCTTCATAAGACTGAGAGCCATACCCATTCCTGGCTATAGGGTGGAAGGCTCTCCCTGTGGCAGTCCTTCCTGGCACCTGGCCGTAGTCTTTCCTATTCCAAGACTGCCCTTCCTGGGCTCTAGCCAGAGTGGGTAACTTTGTAAAAGGCAAGTAAAGACTCTGATAACGAAACAAACTCTAGGAGGAAGCTCATATCTGAGCTAAAAGTGAAGGATGGGTGGAGAGACGAGATGGGCCCATGGAGACATCCAAGGCACCAGAGCAGGCCTGGCAGGGAAAACTCCCAAGACCTCTCCTGTCCTAGATCAGGAAGCTTCCTGAAGGCCCCTCTCACCTAGCCAGAGCTGGGCTGCTGTTTGTCATCTACACAGGTGGAACTCTTAGCATTGGGGAGAAAGTGGGGGTCCTTAGGCTGCCCATGGAGGGGTCATCCAGGGTCTAGAATCCAGCCCTGGGACTAGGGCACCCTGGTGTTGACAGGCCCCCAGTGCCCACCCTCCTCTGGAAGGACTACCTTTCACCTCTGCCACCAGCCTTAAGGCTCTAGAGGGACTCTACCTACCCCTGGTGCTGAGGGACTAAGCCAAGCAGCTAACTCATCCTCCCTGACCACAGTGATTGGTTCAGAGATGGACATGTGACTTGGGCCTGACCAATCAGGCTGAATCCCAAGGTTTGGTTAGAAATACTGGGAAGAGGCCGGGCGCGGTGGTTCTCGCCTGTAATCCCAGCACTTTGGGAGGCCAAGGCGGGTGGATCACGAGGTCAGGAGTTCAAGACCAGCCTGGCCAACATGGTGAAACCCCGTCTCTACTAAAAATACAAAAAATTAGCCGGGCGTGGTGGCCTGCGCCTGTAATCCCAGCTACTCCGGAGGCTAAGGCAGAGAATTGCTTAAACTTGGAGGGGTGGAGGTTGCAGTGAGCCGAGATTGTGCCACTGCACTCCAGCCTGGGAGACAGAGCGAGACTCCGTCTCAAAAAAAAAAAAAATTACTGGGAAGAAGTAGGGGTTCTCTGATCTGGTAGTGTGGGAATCTGGGGCCACCTACCTTTTGAGGAGAGCTACCCATGAATGAAGCCAGCAAAGGGATACTGACCCTTTTAAACTTGAAGCCAAACACTCTTCTACTTGAGCCTTAGAACGAGCCAGTAGGGTCCAATTTTGCTTAAGCCAGTGTGTGTTGGCTTTTTGTCATTTGCAGCCTGAAGGTCTGACCAGATAGTGCATGCCTTGCCCATTTCACCTTCAAGCCTTTGTCCATGCACTTCTCCTCTGCCTGGAATCGGAGAGCCTTCCTCTTGCCCTCTCCTGACCAGCCATGCCTGTGTTTTGAGGCCCAGCTACTCTCCTCCAGGGCGCTGGCTTCCATGCGGTACCCTCCTCTTTTGGCCCCACCCTCCTGGAGAGTTACCTGGAATTCTGACCCCCAGCTTGGTGCTCAGTGTCTATGCCTACAACTGCTGTGTTAATTTCCCTTTCTGGGGGCTTGTATCACACAGCCCCAAAGTAGGTTGTAAATTCTTGAGTGGCATGAGCTGAGTCCCCTCCTACAGAGAGGGGTGATAAAGTACAGTGGTTAGAAGCTTGGCTTTGGCGTCAGGTAGTCTCAGCTCAAATTCTAGCCCATCGGTGTGACCTTTGGACCAGTCTCTCCTTTTCTGAGTTTCCTGTCGGTCCACCCCCCCCAGTGCCGAGGGCGCCACTGTGAAGCATTCACAAACATACTCTCTGCCCTCAGAGGAGCTAAGGATGGAAGTTGGGGCAGTGGCCCCAACCGGGAGCAGCCAATCAGGAGGCTGAGGTGGTCCTTCCCAGCCTGCCAGCACTCGGCTCTTGGGGGAAGAACCCCCTCCACCCTCACACACTTCCTTCCAAGGCGCTAGGGGACCTTGGTCGGGGGAGGTCTGGTCGTCCCCTCCCCCTTCCGCCCCTTCCTGTCGTCCCTTCGAGCTGGCGCTGCTCTGAGTTAATCTCCTTGCCCGTCAGGGGGTGACAGGAGGTGTCTGTCATTCGAAGCTGAGGCCGTCAGCCTTGCCGGCTAATTGGGGCGCGGGCACCAGGAGCACGGGAAATGGCCGGAGGGAAGGAGAGGGAATGAGAGGGGAAGCCACCCTCACCTCCTACCCACCAGCTTGGGGCTGATCCACATGGCTACTTAGGGGAGGGAGAAAGGAGGAAGGGACTGTGGGATGGGAACTTTGTGACCTTGGGCATTGCTGTTCCTCTCTGGGCTTCATATTATCATTCATAGTGATAACAGCAAGCCTTTAATGAGCAATTACCGTGTAAATCAAGCACACCTGATGAAAACCTCTGATTTTTTTTTTTTTGTTTTTTTGTTTGTTTGTTTGTTTTTTGTTTTTTTTTTGAGACGGAGTTTCGCTCTTGTTGCCCAGGCTGGAGTGCAATGGCTTGATCCCGGCTTCCTGCAACCTCTGCCTTCCGGGTTCGAGCGATTCTCCTGCCTCAGCCTCCTGAGTAGCTGGGATTACAGGCATGCGTCACCACGCCCAGCTACTTTTGTATTTTTAGTAGAGACAGGGTTTCTCCATGTTGGTCAGGCTGGTCTCAAACTCCCCACCTCAGGTGATCCACCCGCCTCAGCCTCCCAAAGTGCTGGGATTACAGGCATGAGCCACCGCACCCAGCACCTCTGATGGTTTTCTACAGCCCTTGGAATTCAAGCCAGACTTCTCCCAAGGTCCTTGAGGACCCCCAGTAGCCATGCCTCTTTCCTCCCTGCTCCTTCTGCTCCAGCCACTCCAGCCTCCCCACAGAGCAAGCTCTTCCTGCCTCAGGATCTTTGCACTTGCTGTTTCTGCTCTGTGGAACACCCTTTGCCTACCTCTTAGCATGGTTGGCTCTGCATTCTTCAGGTCTCAGCTCAAATGACACCTCAGAGACAAAGTCCCTGACCACCTTATCCAAAATCACTCTCTTGGCCGGGTGCGGTGGCTCACACCTTTAATCCCAGCATTTTTGGAGGCCAAGGCAGGTGGATCACTTGAGGTCAGGAGTTTGAGACCAGCCTAGCCAACATGGGAAAACCCTGTCTCTAATAAAATACAAAAATTAGCCAGTCCTTGTGGCGGGTGCCTGTAATCCCAGCTATGCCGGAGGCAGAGGCAGGAGAATTGCTTGAACCTGGGAGGCAGAGGTTGTAGTGAGCCAGGATCCTGACATTACACTCCAGCCTGGACAACAGAGCAAGACTCCATCTCAAAAAAACAAAACAAAACAAAACAAAACAATTAAAATCACTCTTCCACCTCCAGTTACTCTGTTATGTCCCCCTGTTACCTTATCCTATTTATAATTTCACAGCATTTGCCATAATGTGAAACGACTTCATTTTTACATTCATTTTCCCCCTCTAGAATGGAAACCAATGAGAACAGGGACCTTGTCTGTGCAATTTACTGCTGAAGCCCCAGTGCCTGAAAGAATGCCAGGCACAGGCCAGGCACAGTGGCTCACGCTTGTAATCCCAGCACTTTGAGAGGCCAAGGCAGGTAGATCACAAGGTCAGGAGTTCGAGACCAGCCTGGCCAACATTGTGAAACCCTGTCTCTACTAAAACTACAAAAACTAGTTGGGTATGGTGGCAGGCGCCTGTAATCCCAGCTACTTGGGAGGCTGAGGCAGAATTGCTTGAAACTGGGAGGCGGAGGTTGCAGGGAGCTGAGGTCGCACCACTGCATACTCCAGCCTGGGCAACAAGAGCAAAACTCCATCTCAAAAAAAAAAAAAAAAAAAAAAGGCTGGGTGCAGTGGCTCACACCTGTAATCACAGCACTTTGGGAGGCCAAGGCAGGTGGATCACGAGGTCAGGAGATCGAGACCATCCTGGCCAACATGGTGAAACTCCGTCTCTACTAAAAATACAAAAATTAGTTGGGCTTGGTGGCGCGTGCCTGTAATCCCAGCTACTCGGGAGGCTTAGGCAGGAGAATCGCTTGAACCAGGGAATCAGAAGTTGCAGTGAGCCGAGATCGCGCCACTGCACTCCAGCCTGGGCGACAGAGCGAGACTCCGTCTCAAAAAAAGGAAAAAAATAAACTTGGTATTATGTCCATTTTGAGGTGAGGAAACTGAGGTTTGAGGAGATTATGTGACTTTAAGTTATCGTAACTGGACTGAAGCCTGAGACTGTGTGACCCCAGAGCTGTAAGGGCTGTGGGAATGATTGTGAGGGTCTCTGCCAGCATGGCCACTCAGCTGAGCTCAGGCTGGTGAGGAGGACGCACACAAGGAGAAGACCCAGGGCCCAGGAGAGTCCACTCCATGGTAGAAGCTTCCTCTGGGAACTCAACTGAGGGCAGCAGAGGAACTGCTCCAGGGCCTGGGGACAAGACCCAGTGTGCTGTGTGTAGATGGTAGATGGAGCTGATGGTGCGCTGGGGACCTCCATGCAGGCCTGGCATTTTGCCTGCCAGGGCAGAGGTAAGGATGCAAGTGTAGGGGCAAGCAGGGGGAATCTCCATCTCCCTCTCCAGTCTGCATCTACCTTTCATTCCCCCTCCTGCCTGTCAAACTCCTGCCTCCTGGCCCTGGCATTCAGAGCCTCTCACAACCCAGCCTTGCTGCCTTTTCTCTTCTCTTCTACTGCCGTGGTCCTTGACACCCTGGAGAAGTCCCTGCCCACTGTGCTTTCAGTCATGTCTTGTCACTTTTTCCACCCATCCTTTGTGTGTATTTATTTATTTATTTATTTGTGAGACAGGGTCTCACTCTGTCACCCAGGCTGGAGTACAGTGGCATAATCAGGGTTTACTGCAACCTCGACCTTCCAGGCTCAATCCATCCTCGCACCTCGGCCTCCCAAGTAGCTGGGACCACAGATGCATGCCACCACACCCACCTAATTTTTTTTTTTTTTTTTTTGAGACGGAGTCTCGCTCTGTCATTCAGGCTGGAGTGCAGTGGCGCGATCTCAGCTCACTGCAAGCTCTGCCTCCTGGGTTCACACCATTCTCCAGCCTCAGCCTCCCGAGTGGCTGGGGCTATAGGCGCCTGCCACCACACTCGGCTAATTTTTTGTATTTTTAGTAGAGATGAGGTTTCACCGTGTTAGCCAGGATGGTCTCTATCTCCTGACCTCGTGATCCTCCCACCTCAGCCTCCCAAAGTTCTGGGATCACAGGCATGAGCCATCGCGCCCAGCCAATTTTTATATTTTTTGTAGAGATGGGCTTTTGCCTTGTTGTCCAGGCTGGTCTTGAACTCCTGGGCTCCAGTGATCCTCCTGTCTCGACCTCCCAAAGTGCTGGGATTACAGGTGCGAGCCACTGTGCCTGGCCTGTGTGTGTTTTTTAAAAATTATTTGTAGAAACAAGGTCTCAGGCCTTGGGTCTCACTGTGTTGCCCAGGCTGGTCTTGAACTCCTGGCCTCAGGTGATCGTCCCACCTCGCTCTCCCAAAGCACTGGGATTGCAAGTGTGAGCCACCATGCTGGCCCTCTAACCCATCCATTGAAGCCCAACACCTGTGCTGCCTCCTCCAGGAAGGGCTCTCAGGTTAGTGTTTGTGCAGTGGTTGTCTTCAGGTCTGAGGATCCCTGCCAGGCTGTCAGCACCCTGTGCCACCCTCAGCACCCATCACATGGCTGGCCCAAAGCCACTCAGTAAGTATCCTGTTGCCTCCCCTTATCTATGGACCCCAGGTGAACCCAGCATTCTGAGTTCCTGGGTCTCTGGTTCTTACTCAGGTACCCACTGGGTGCCTCCAAGCCTGAAATCTCCATCTGACATAGCGACAGGGGATGTGTGGGCTGCAAGATGCTGCTGCTAACCACAGTCCTCAACTGCAGACATCTCATGGCCAATTAGACCCCAAGGCACTCATGGCTTGGGAACAATGATGGCTGGATCCAATCAAGACAGGTTATTGGCCTCTGTTAACTCACATGGGTCACACCTCATCAGCCAATCACAGGAGCTCCCTCCTTCTATATTTTCATATCAGGCTCTCTTAGGCGGCTCTGACCTGGTTAAAGCTCCAGGCTGAGGCTGGGCTGTTTCCAGACTCTCCCCATTCTCCCCCCAGGATCGCAGAGCCACAGTTTCTTTTCTAGTCCTTGCTACCATCCCATTACTGGCATCTCCATTTCTTCCTGTCCCTCCCCTCTCTTTCCCCCCAGACAAAGCAGCCCAATCAGAAGGGTGTGTAGGGGTGAGCTCCTGAGACGGCAGCCTAGCCCTGTGTGAAGAGAGGCTGGGGCGTGAGGCTCCTGCTAGGTGCAGTCGAGCCAGCCTTCAGCAGTAGCAGCTGTAGCAGCAATGCCTCCTTTCCCTTCTCCTCAACCTCAGGCTCCCAGGCAGGCTCCCAGATCGGGGGTAGTTCCTGCCGCACTGCTCTGCATGTGTGTGTGCGTGCTGCCTAGGTTTCCTGCCCTGACCCACCACACTTCCCCCAGGAAGGGATGGAGGGGAGGGAGGGGCAGAGATGAGGGCAGGAGCCTTCCCATCTCCCTCACCAGCACACTGGAAGTAGACAAGCTTATGTGGAGCCTAAATGGGTCCCCCAAGAACCCTACCCCCTGGTCTGGGTCGGCAGGTGGGTGGGCTTAGGAGCCCAAGAGGGGGAATAGGGTGCCAGCGCCAAGGCCTCTGTACATTTTGATGTTAGGTGAACAGCATGCAAAGCAGATGCAAATATTATGCAAAGTAGAACTTTCTTTTTCTAGTCCACAGCTCTGAGGTTCTCTGAAATGGGCTGAAAGGGGGGCCCAGAACCCAAGGGGAGGTGTGGAGGTGAGGGCAGGTATCATCACTGCTTTGTCAAGAGGTTGCCACACTGAAGTATACCTACTGTGTACCTAGAACCCGGCTGGGCTTGATTCAGCCTCTGTCCTTGAAAATTCAGGCACACAGGGAAGTCAAGGGCAGAAGGGGCAGATCCATCTCTACAGGATGTCGGTTGAAGGCCTTTAAGAAGCATTTGTCCATTAAATGACATATGAGGCCAGATAGCAGAATGGCTAAATTCTCCTGTTCTGGCTTCAGCCAGGCCTGGGTTTGATTTCCAGCCCTACCACTTAATGGCAGATCTTGGGCAAGGCACATCACCTCTGGAAGTTTCTGTTTGTTTACTCATACATTAAGAACAATGATTGTGCTGGGTGCAGTGGCTCATGCCTGCAATTCCAGCACTTTGGGAGGCTGAGGCAGATGGATCACCTGAGGTCAGGAGTTCAAGACCAGCCTGGCCAACATGATGAAACCCCATGTCCACTAAAAATACAAAAAAATTAGCCGGGTATGGTGGCAGGAGCCTGTAATCCCAGCTACTCGGAAGACTGAGGCAGGAGAATCGCTTGAACCTGGGAGGCGGAGGTTGCAGTGAGCTGAAATCACGCCATTGCACTCCAGTCTGGGCAACAAGAGCAAAACTCCATCTCAAAAACAAACAAATAAACAAACAAACAAGAAAAACCAGCTGGGCGCGGTGGCTCATGCCTGTAGCCTGTAATCCCAGCACTTTGGGAGGCTAAGGCGGGCGGATCATGAGGTCAGGAGTTCAAGACCAGCCTGGCCAACATAGTGAAACCCCTCTCTACTAAAAATACAAAAATTACCCAGGCATGGTGGTGCATGCCTGTAATCCCAGCTACTTGGGAGGCTGAGGCAGGAGAATCACTTGAACCTGGGAGGTGGAGGTTGCAGTGAGTCGAGATCACGCCACTGCACTGCAGCCTGGGTGACAGCGCGAGACTCTTTCGGAAAAACAAAAACAAAAAATTGTACCAATCTCATGGGGTGGATGGGGTGGTTGTAAGGACTCGATGACATGTATGTGTGACATTCACGGACCAGAGCAAAGTGCCTGGCCCTGGGTAAAGTTTCCATAAATGGGAGTTGTAATTTAGGCCTCCACCCCGACCCCTCTACCTGCCCTGCTCAGCTCCTTCAGCTCCTAGAGCCTAAAATGCCATAACTAACTGCAATTCAGGAAAGAGTCTAGGCCTCTGCCCGAGGGCAGGGCCTGCATTTGCTTTTGTCTGTCCCCACCACTACCCTGGGCCCTGGAGGGTCACTCAACTGATTGAATGCGTGATAACTGAATGGTCTCAACTCTTCAGGCAGGCAGTGGGGGAGGGCTCACCTTGAGACCTTTGAGCAACTCTTACTGTAACCAGAGGATGGAGAGTTAGGGTCCTGAGATGAGGAGGATCCCAGCAGACGGTTTAGTGAACAAGGACTGGGTCGGTCTCTTCCCAGTGACCTCCACCCCCTCAAACAGCCTTCCAAACAAAGGTGTGTGAGGGGAGCAGTGGTTGATGGGAGGAGGAGCTTCTACCCTTAGCAAATGAAAACAAAGCCAGAGGTCGGGTGGAAAGGCCAGGCTGTGTGTTGAGGACTGTTCTGGTACTAAGAGGCAGGTGTGTGGGGGTGGGTGGAGTAGCAACAACCCCCACAATAACAGCCAACATCTATAGAGCACCTACTCCTCCCAGGCTCAATGCTAAACACTTCCACCTTACATCATACTCAAACCTCACAATGACAATCTGGATTATGATCCCATCCTTTTCTTTTCAAATGCTTGAGGAAATTGATCTAAATGTTTACCCAAGGTCACTCAGCTAGTAAATATCACTACTGGCATTTCAACCCTGGCTTCTTGCTCCATAGCTTTATCCTTAACCTCTTAAGCTGGGCCTCCATGCTCCCAAAGACCGACCTAGGTTCAAATCCGGCCTGTTTCAGCAAACTTCTATCACTCTACCTCACCCACACATCCAATTCATCTGCCAAAATATCTCTAAGCCAGCAACCTCTCCACCACCATCTTTCCCTCGCTATCCCAACCCCCAGCCCCTCCTCCCAGGTCTCCCTGCTTGATCCTTTCCACTGGTCTACAGGGTGGCCAGGGGGATCTTTAAAAAGTTTAAGTCAGATCTCCCAGCTTAAAACCCACTGAAGGCTGCCATGGCACTTTGCATAAACCCTGGCCCCTCAGGGGGCCTGCAAAGCCCAGCCCTATAGGCATACCCTTTGGGCTTACAAAGGCCTTCCCCTCACCTTCAAGAGGCACGTTCTTTGCAGCCTTGGAGCCTTTGCAGCCTTGGAGCCTCTGTGCCTGCTGTGCCCTCTGCCTGGCATGCTCTGCCCCCTCTCCTTTGCTTGGCTGGCTTTTCCTGGTCTTTCAGGCTCCAGCTCAGATGTCTTCTCCTCAGAGGCCTCCCCTGACGACAATAGCTCATATGGACCCCTCCCTGAAGTCAGTCTCACATGACCTACTTTAATGTCCTCATGGCTCCTCATGCTCTCTGAAGTGATCATGGTCAACTATTTGTTTACTTGAACGTGACTAGAACGCAAGTTCTGGGAGGCTGGGGACAAGACTGTGCTCTCGTGTTCCCATGGTCTAAATAGTGCCTAGCACGTAGTAGGCACTCAGTAAACATCTGAACAATATGTAGTTGGTGTGACCTGGATCAAGAAGTCCCAGCCTCAGCTTCCTTTTTCTGTTGGGCTCTGCCTTCTCTCAGCCTCCCAGGGAGGCTCTGGATGAGATCAGAGATGGCAAAACGCTCCCTCCGGGAGAGGGAGGGCACGGCGCCCGCCCGGGGATGAGGTCAGTGCAGCAGGCACCTCTCCTCAGTGCAGGAGGCAAGCAGAACCGCAAAGATCATCTTGGCCAGACCCATGACCCTGGAATCCCAGACGGGCAGGGCAGGGTAGGGCGCGCGACCTCTTCCCCTGGTGGGAAGGTCCTCCCGGCGGGGCCTCCTCTTCCCCTCCCCGGGGAGGCAGGTGGAGCTGCGTCCTCATCTTTGTTCCCATCTGGAGCGCGTTTGGCGCGGCGTGGCGGGGGCGGGGCTGCGCCCCCGCGGTGCCCGGAGAGACTGGCCCGCCCGCTTATCTGATCTGCGGCTAATTGAAACTCCCTGCTCGCGAAGGTCAGCTCGGTCCCCTGACAGCTGCCGAGCCGAGCCGGGCCGGATGGAAAACCCGGGCTGTGCAGGGCCCGGCGGGGCGCTGAGGGGAGGGGTTGTGGGGGGCTGCCTCTGCGGCAAAGTAGACAAAGGCGGCCCCTCCCTCCCTGTGCGCGCTGCTGGGGGTCGCCAGAGGTAGCGGCCTTCGCCCTCACCCTGCAGGGTGTTCCAGCCGGGGTCACATGGCCTAAGGCTACAGAGGAGGGGGGCGCCCTTAATCCCTACGTGCCCGCCCACCCCGCTCCCACGCCGGGGCCCTGTCTGGGGTCTCTGGGAGAGTCACCCCCAACTTCCTGCCCCCACCCCGCCTCCACGCCCCGGCTCTGAGACTTCCTGCCTCCCCGGCTCCGGGCAGCTCTGGCTGTGGGAAGCTGGCGGGGCGGGGGCGGCCCGATCCCCTCCCTCTGTGCACTCGACGGGGCGCTGGGGGTCCGGGAGGAAGTGTGCACGCTGGGGGGCACGGCTCAGCCCAGAAGCCGCCATCCGGTGGGTCAGGTGCGGCCTCAGCCTAGGAGGGCGGGCGGGCAGGCCTGTTGCTAATGGTGCTGGGACGGGCGTGGGGGGGCGGGGGGATGGTAGCGGGGGAGCCTCTGGGAGCCCCGTTTCCAGGGTTCCGGGTGCGGACGTGGCGAGCTCTGGAGACTGCAACCCCGCCCGCCGCGCCCCAGGCTGGCCCAGTCCCTAAGCAGCCCGCACGCGCCTCCCACTAGCCGCCTGTGCGCCTAGGCTGAGGTGCTGGGGAGCTCCCGAGGCGGAACTCCTAGCCTCCGGGCTAAGCGCGCGCCCCTATTCAAAGTCTTTAGGGCCTTGGCTTTCACAGCCAAGAAGAAATAACTCCAACCACAGATTTTCAGAACCACGTGCCAAACACCATGATAGGCGTTGAACGTATTTTGTATCAATTAGGCCTCACAACAATTCCATTTTGCTGATGAGGAAGCTGAGGCGCAGAGAGGTGGTGACTTGGCCGAAGTCACACAGCTAGTAAGTTATCGAGGCGGGGCTGGGCTCTGACTCCAAAGCCAGCGTTGTTAGCCTCGGGTGGTCGCGTCTTAGCAAGAGCTCTGCAGTTGTGCGCCAATATAGGTCGATTACCCAGGGCATCCACGAATGCAGAGAGCCCCTTGGCGGCGTCTTGCCGCACGTGTTCTTGTCTTGGGGTTGGGCACGTGTTTCGTGGTGCAGTCCCGCGTGTTAGAGCCCGGGGACAGAGGTATAGCCTAGCGCACTGGTGCCCAGGTGCGCCATTCGCGGTTGGGACCTGGCAGAGTCATATGGCTGGGGCCTGAGCCGCGAGCAGGGCGGAGCGGGGGCGGAGAACTCGGAGCTGAGTCCACGCGGGCCGCGGCGCCTGGGAGGCCGCAATCCCGGCGCCTGCAGCCGGCGAGGCGCGGGGTGACGCGCGGGGGCCCAGCTACCGTGACCTCCTCCGCGGTTGCCATGGAGACCGTGCACTATAAATAAAAAAAAAAAAAAAAAAGGAGGAGGAATTTCAAACCCGTTTTCTACGGCGCTTGGCGGGAGGGGGGAGGAAAGCTCTCTTTGAATCGAGTTTCCCATTTCACCTTCCCAGGCGGCGGGAGCGCTTCCCCCGCAGCCCAGCCGGGAAATTGCCGCCCCTCACGCCGCGTGGCGCCCCCTGAGGAAGCTAATTAGCGCAGCCCAGGGAGCTGGAGACAGGGGGACAGAGCCCCGGGGGGCCAGGACCCGCCTCTTTTGTGTGGGGGGGAAGCGCCTACAAATTGCCCCCCATCTCTCCAGGCGCGCGCAGCCCAGCGCGGGCCGGGGCACCGGGCGCAGGCGGGAGGTCGCATCTGCAGCTTTGGCGCAATGAATCAGGCGCGGCCGCCGCCGCCGCCGCCGCCGCCGAGCGCGTCTGGCATCCGGAGTCTCCCGGGATCGAAAATAATTTGGGCAAAGCGGTGGGAGGTGTGTGCGCGCGCGCTCCGAGGGGAGGGCGGGGGAGCAGGCCGGGCGGGGTGCGCGGGGCGGGGGGAGGTGCCATCCGACAGCCCCGCTGTGGTGAGAACAGAGTTGACACTTCTTTCCTTTCCACTTACTGCGGCAAGTACTGCGAGGAAGCTTAACCCTCTCGCTACTTGGAGGGTTAGAGGCGCTGGGAGCGCCCTCATGAGGGCGCGCCGTAGGGGTGGGTTCCAGGTGTGCAGACTCCTTTGGGGTGGGCTATTGTAGCGGGCTGGAGTTAGCCTTCTAGCTCCTCAGACGAGCGCTCCTACCCGACATTCCTCAAGGCATCCTTCTGGGGCTTTCTTAATCCTTCCGTTTGCCTTCCCTGCATCTGGCTAGTGTCAGCGCTATGGCCTCAGTTTCCTCACCTATACAAGAGGGTGGGGGTTCTATAGCAGCTTCCCTGTCGGTCTGGTGACCCTGGTTTCGTGTCGCTCTCTCTGGCTTGATCCCTGGGCCTGGCAGGGGTGAGCCGGTTAGGGCAGCCGGGGGTGCAGGAGTCAGAACCTGACCCTCCTTGTCTCCCGCCAGCGCTCTGGGCGCCGTTCATCAAAATGGCCGGGTTCCTGTTTTTGCCTCTGAAGGCAGAAATGTCACTGCCGCTGCATTAAGCACGCTCGGCGGGAACTCGGTTTGGAGCGAGGAGCTGGCGCTCAGCCCTGCCAAGCTGCCTGCCGCAGGGGGGTGGGGATGGGCTGGCTGGCCAGCCGGCCTGGCTGGGGTCAGTCTTTGTCTACGAGGGGCTCCCACCTTCCTGTCGCTCTAGCCCGACATGGCCCACTCCCCTAAACCGTGCTGGTTGCTCCCACCCCACTCAAGTTTGGCGGGGGTCGGGGGAGGCGGGGGAGGGATTAAAGGGGAGGATCTGTGCCCCTCTGGCTCAGGGATAGCAGGGAGGTGATTGGGCAGAACTCATTTCGTTTTCCCCACCCCCATAATTGGCAACACCTCTGGAATTCATGGATCGTCTCCCCATTAATGTTGCCCATTTGATGAGGAAGGAATGGTAGCCAGGCCTCAGGGCATCCTCAGTCTTCTGACCTGAAGTTTCCCCAGAAGGGCTTGGGGGAGAGTGTGCATTTCACCTTTTCCTAGCTTCTTTCTGGCCAAGGGATCCCACCACCCCAGGAATTCTCAAATCCTGGTGCACAGCAGACCACTTGCCCTTGTGAGCACGCAGATGTGAGGAGGAGGGGGCAGGCCAGTGTGGAGAGTCTGATTTAGTGGGTCTGGAGTGGTCCTGTCATCTGCACACCTCACGAGACCCGAGGGAAGGCTGCCACCCTCACTGAGAGGCATATTGGGAGTCCCACAGAAATCGGAGGTGATGGAGTCTAGCAAGTCACTGAACAATGGGAGATTGAGAGAGGGATCACTCAGTAAGGTAGGAACTTGGTGGTTGAGAGTGTGGGTTCTGGACTCAGGAGGACCAAGCTTAAATCCTGGCTCTGCCACTAATTGACTGCATGCTGGAGGGCAGATGACCCAAACTGAGCCTTGGTTTCCTCAATTGTAAAATGGGGGTAACACTGATGGTCCCTAACCCCACCAAAACAATGTGTGGCTTCTATGGGACAGTGCATGGAAAGTGCTGAGTGTAGGTCCAGGTACTTAGTAACTGCATGATATATGTGAGCCTCTGTCGTCATTGTCATCACTATTAAAACTATTGGAACTCAGATTTGTAGTTCAGACTTTAGTTTTGGGGTAGAGGAGAGTCTGGCCCAGATGTCTCTGGTTCTCCAAGTCTTGTCCTTTAGGGGTCTACCAGGTCCTGGGCAGGGAAGAGTGAGAGTGGGGTAGGGGTCAGTCCCCTGGGTGTGGTCTCATCTGTGGGACTCCACTCCCTACCCCAAGCCCCAGTGCCTTAGGTCTCTTTCACCCTTGGGTGTCCCCTCACAGCTGCCACTTGGAGCTACAGATGCCCACTGGGCACTGGCCTGGCTAGTACTTGAGGGCTTGCCTCTCCTAGACCCATATCCAGCCTTACTTCTCTATGAAGCATCAGGTTCTGTGATGGTGGTACAAGTGCCCGGGTAAATTAGGCCCCTGAACCCTGGGTGGTGGGGGACAGGGAGTGTGATGTTGAGCATGTGGGGTGCAGGAATAGGACACCCAAATTGGAGCAGCCTTTGGAATGTGGAATCCCACTTCCCTCTTTGGAAAGATAGGTTGAGGGGAGCTGAGTGAGGACATAGTACTAATGTGTGCCTGGAATCTAGGGCTGATGTCTGTTTCATTCAGGATATTTGGGACTGCTGGTTTCAGAATACAGGAAGGACTAACTGAAAACCAAGACTATGCACTGGGGAGGATCCTGGGGCAGATGCCTTGGCATGGGAGCATTCTTTTTTCTTTTTCTTTTTCTTTTTCTTTTTTTTTTTTTTTTGAGACAGAGTCTCACTCTGTCACCCAGGCTGGAGTGCAATGGTGTGATCTCGGCTCACTGAAACTTCCACTTCCTGGGTTCAAGAGATTCTCCTGTCTCAGCCTCCCGAGTAGCTGGGATTACAGGCGCACGCCACCATGCCTGGCTAATATTTTGTATTTTAGTAGAGACGGGGTTTCACCGTGTTGTCCAGGCTGGTCTTGAACTCCTGAGCTGGGGCAGTCCACCCACCTCGGCCTCCCAAAGTACTAGGATTACAGGCGTGAGCCACCGCGCCCGGCCTGGCATGGGAGCATTCTAACTTGACTTGGGGAAGGGGTGTCTGTCCACTTGAGGCTGCCAGGTGGCTGAGGCTAAGATGACCTCATAGAGCTCCTTCTTGGACTGTAGGCAGCAGAGGGCACCAGCTTTGGACCCTACTCTTCTCACGCGTGCTTGCACATCTGCCCATGCTCAGTCACACTGACCCAGATTCATACTGGCCCATATGTTCTCATGCCCCCACATGCATATTCATGTACATGCTAACGTACATGTGCACATATGCTATACCACCACATGTACAACACACGTGTATGCTTATGCATGCACAGGTACACACAGGTACACACTTGGATATCCAGATGCACACATACTAACTTGCACATGGATACCCTGATGCACCCATGCATACATTAACACCATGTACACACACACAGTAACAAATGCACACACATGGGCAAACCCACAGCCATTTGCTCTTCCATCAGCGAATTCGTGTGTATGTAAACTGTATCTCCCGTGAGAATAGGGCTATCTTTGTTTATTGTCAAGTCCCCCAAGATAAGAGAAGTCTGTTTAATCTCAAGGCTCACATGCTTGGTACTTGGGAGGTATACAATACAGTATTGTCTGGAATATGTGAGTAATTGTATAAGTGTATATGGAAGTGAGTAACCTATGGTGAATAATAACCATAATAGTAAATGCCACCCCCATTTATTGAGTAGGTACTATGTGCTACCAGTACCATCTCATCTCAGCCCCATATCAACCTATGAGGCAAGTACTTTGTTTTTTTTTTTTTTATTTTTTGAGATGAAGTCTTACTCTGTCGCCAGGCTGGAGTGCAGTGGCGCGATCTCAGCTCGCTGCAACCTCCACCTCCCAGGTTCAAGAGATTCTCCTGCCTCAGCCTCCCAAGTAGCTGGGATTACAGGCACGCATCACCATGCCCAGCTAATTTGTATTTTAGTAGAGATGGGGTTTCACCATGTTGGCCAAGACGGTCTCAATCTCCTGACCTCGTGATCCACCCGCCTCTGCCTCCCAAAGTGCTGGGATTACAGGCATGAGCCACCGTGCCCAGCTGAGGCAAGTACTCTTATAATTTCTGCTTAGGCGTTTGGGAACTGAGGCTACAAGAAACAGTCATTACCTGTATTGGCTTGCTAGGGCTCCCGTAACAAAATACCACAGACTGGGTGGCTTACAGTTCTGGAAAGCAGATGTCCAAAATCAGGGTCTTGGGAGCACCCTTCTGAGGGCTGTGAAGGAAGGATCTGTTCAGGCCTCTTTCCTTGGCTTGTAGATGGCCACCTTCTCCCTGCGTCTCTTCACCTTGTCTAACCTCTGTGTGTATCTGTCCAAACTACCCCTGCTTATAAGGACACCAGTCATATTGATTAGGGCCCACCCCAAAGACCTTTTTTTTTTTTTTTTTTTGAGATGGGGTCTCGCTATGTTGCTGAGGCTGGAGTGCAATGGTGCGATCTCGGCACACTGCAACCTCCATCTCCTGGGTTCAAGCAATTCTCCTGCCTCAGCCTCCTGAGTAGCTGGGATTACACGCTCCTACCACCATGCCAGGATAATTTTTGTATTTTTAGTAGAGACAGGCTTTCACCATGTTGGCCAGGCTGGTCTCGAACTCCTGATCTCAGGTGATCCACCCGCCTTGGCCTCCCAAAGTGCTGGGATTACAGGCATGAGCCACTGGGCCCAGCCTTCTTTTTTTCTTTTTTTGAAACGGAGTTTCACTGTTATTGCCCAGGCTGGAGTGCAGTAGTGCAATATTGACTCACTACAACCTCCACCTCCTGGGTTCAAGCGATTCTCCTGCCTCAGCCTCTTGAGTAGCTGGGATTACAGGCATGTGCCACCATGCCTGGGTAATTTTGTATTTTTAGTAGAGATGGGGTTTCACCATGTTGGTCAGGCTGGTCTCAAACTCCTGACCTCAGGTGATACACCCGTCTCAGCCTCCCAAAGTGCTGGGATTACAGGTGTGAGCCACTGTGCCTGGCCAAAGACCTCATTTTAACTTGAATTTCTCCGTAGAGACTCTATTCCCAAGTAAGGTCACATTCTGAGATACTGAAGGCTTATTAAGGACTTTAACTTATGAATTTTTGGAGGTACCCAATTCAGCCCATAACACTACCTAAGTTTGCACAGCTAGGAAGTAGTGTAACCGGGATTTGATCCCGAGTCTGGAATGCCAGTGTCCATGGTATCACTCTACTAAGTGGTGCAGAGTTTGGTGTGTGTGTGTGTGTGTGTGTGTGTCCTGGTGGTTGCTATCTGATGCTATTATTTCCCGCTAGCAGGTGGGCATCTAGAGCCTGCTTGCATGAAGGAGTTGGCCCCTATTCACCCTGGCTTGCTGGTGCGCTGGAAGCTTTCATGCTTCTTCTGTCATGGCATGGGCACCCAGAACCATCTCCCAGGGCTGTGGTGGTCAATGCTGCCCAGCCAACACTGATAGGAGTGCCTAGAGGGGGAAATGGGGGGCCAGGGAGCTGCTGACTCCCACCTCCCCCCACCACTAGCCCCCATCTTCTCCAATGCTGCAGCCTCATTTCAAAGGCTTAGCCTATTCAGGTGGGAAGCTGGAGCCATTTTGGAGGTGGGTAGGGGCAGTCACGAGGCCTTCCTGCATCAATCAACTGGAGCAGCTAAGACCAGGCGGGCCTGTGCTGACCTTTGTCCATAGCCTGAACCTCTCCTTGTGCCACACGGGAGGCAGGGGGGCTGGACCTCACCCTTCTTGCTCCTCTGAGCTTAGCTGGAGGCCTATAAAAGAGCCCTGGCTAAGGAGGGAGACAAAACACCTAGTTTGATGGGGAGACACAGCCTCAGTTCTAAGAGGAGCACAGGCTTGGGAGGGAAGGCCTCTGCCTTCAGGAAGTTTTCAGTCTGAAAAGTCCCAGGCTCTCTAAGCCTCACTTTGCTCATCCAGGAAGTGGGGATGACAGTGTAGTCAGCTGTGAGGGTTCCAGAAGTTATGTTGTGGAAGGACCAGGGACCAGGATCAACATGGATATCTTAAACCATGCATAGCCACAGCATTCAGGGGGATGGTGATGATGATGATGATGATGATGATGATTATTATTATTATTATTATTATTATTATGGGTAATATTTACTGGGCACTTACTAGACCTCAAGTCAAATGCTAAGTGCATGCTTTACCCAATTAACTCAGTTAATCCTTTTTTTTTCTTTTCCTGAGATGGAGTCTAACTCTGTTGCCCAGGCTGGCGTGCAGTGGTGTGAGCTCGACTCACGGTGACCTCCCCCATCAAGTGATTCTCAAGTGGTTCAAGTGATTCTCCCCGCTCAACCTCCAGAGTAGCTGGGACTACAGACATGCGCCACCACACCTGGCTAATTTTTTTTTTTTTTTTTTTTTTTTAGACAAAGTCTCGGTTTGTTGCCCAGACTGGAGTGCAGTGGTGCAATCTTGGCTCACTGCAAACCCACCTCCCGGGTTCAAACGATTCTCCTGCCTCAGCCTCCCAAGTAGCTGGGACTGCAGGCACGTGCCACCATGCCTGGTTAATTTTTGTACTTTTAGTAGAGATGGGGTTTCGCCATGTTGGCCAGGCTGGTCTCTAACTCCTGACCTCAAGTGATCCTCCCACCTTGGCCTCCCAAAGTGCTGGGATTACAGGTGTGAGCCACCGCGCCTGGCGTAAGTTTTGTATTTTTAGTAGAGATGGGGTTTCACCATGTTGGTCAGGCTGGTCTCAAACTCCTGAGCGCAGGTGATCTGTTCTCCTTGGCCTCCCAAAGTGCTGGGATTACAGGCATGAGGCACTGTGCCTGGCCTTAATTGTTCTAAGAATTCTGGGAGGCAACTTTCATTATCATTGCCATTTAAAAAAAATATGGAATGCTTTATGAATTTGCATGTCATCCTTGCACAGGGTCATGCTAATATTCTCTATGTCATTCCAATTTTAGTGTATGTGCTATTGAAGCAAGCATTATCATTGTCATTTTATAAATGAAGAAACAGCCAGGCATGGTGGCTCACCCCTGTAATCTCAACACTTTGGGAGGCTGAGGCGGGTGGATAACTTGAGCTCAGGAGTTCAAGACCAGCCTGAACAACATGGTTGATATGATTTGGCTGTGTCCCCACCCAAATCTCAACTTGAATTGTATCTCCCATAATTCCCATGTGTTGTGGGAGGGATCCAGGGGGAGGTAATTGAATCATGGGGGCTGGTCTTTCCCGTGCTATTTTTGTGATAGTGAATAAGTATCATGAGATCTGATGGATTTATCAGGGGTTTCTGTTTTTGCTTCTTCCTCATCTTTCTCTTGCTGCTACCATGTAAGAAGTGCCTTTCACCTCTCACCATGATTCTGAGGCCTCCCCAGCCATGTGGAACTATAAGTTCAATGAAACCTTTTTTTATTCCCAGTTTCGGGTATGTCTTTATCAACAGTATGAAAACGGACTGATACAGTAAATTGGTACCAGGAGTGGGGTGCTGCTGAAAAGATACCCAAAAAAGTGGAAGCAACTTTGGAACTGGGTAACAGGCAGAGGTTGGAACAGTTTGGAGGGCTCAGAAGAAGACAGGAAAATGAGGGAATGTTTGGAACTTCCTAGAAACTTGTCAAATGGCTTTGCCCAAAATGCTGATAATGATATGGACAATAAGGTCCAGGTTGAGGTGGTCTCAGATGGAGATGAGGAACTCGTTGGGAACTGGAGTAAAGGTGACTCTTGTTATTTATTTATTTTTTTAATTTATTTTTTTTTGAGACAGAGTCTTGCTCTGTCACCCAGGCTAGAGTGCAATGGCACAATCTGGGCTTACTGCAACCTCCGCCTTCCAGGTTCAAGCGATTCTCCTGCCTCAGTCTCCCAAGTAGCTGGGATTATAGGTGCCTGCCATCATGCCCAGCTAATTTTTGTATTTTTAGTAGAGATGGAGTTTTGCCCTGTTGGCCAGGCTGGTCTCGAACTCCTGATCTCAGGTGATCTGCCTGCCTTGGCCTCCCAAAGTGCTGGGATTACAGGCGTGAGCCACCACACCTGACTTTTTTTTTTTTTGAGATGGAGTCTCGCTCTGTCACCCAGGCTGGAGTGCAGTGGTGCAATCTTGGCTCACTGCAAGCTCTGCCTCCTGGGTTCATGCCATTCTGCGTCAGCCTCCCGAGTAGCTGGGACTATAGGCGCCCGCCACCACGTTCGGCTAATTTTTTGTATTTTCAGTAGAGACAGGGTTTCGTGTTAGCCAGGATGGTCTTGATCTCCTGACCTCGTGATCCACCCACCTCAGCTTCCCAGAGTGCTGGGATTACAGGTGTGAGCTACTGCTCACAGACTTTTTTTTTTTTTTTTTTTTTTTTTTTTTTTTTGAGACAGAGTCTCGCTCTGTCACCAGGCTAGAGTGCAGTGGCACAATCTTGGCTCACTGCAACCTCTCTCTGCCTCCTGGGTTCAAGCGATTCCCCTGCCTCAGCCTTCCGAGTAGCTAGGATTATAGGCACATGCCATCACGCCCAGCTAATTTTTGTATTTTTAGTAGAGACAGGGTTTTACCATGTTGGCCAGGATGGGCTCAATCTCCTCACCTTGTGATCTGCCCGCCTTGGCCTCCCAAAGTGCTGGGATTGCAGGCTTGAGTCACTGCACCTGGCCTCTTGTTATGTTTTAGCAAAGAGACTGGTGACATTTTGCCTCTGCCCTAGAGATTTATGGAACTTTGAACTTGAGAAAGATGATTTAGGGTATTTGGTGGAAGACATTTCTAAGCAGCAAAGCATTCAAGAGGTGATTTGGGTGCTGTTAAAGGCATTCAGTTTTATAAGGGAAGCAGAGCATAAAAGTTTGGAAAATTTGCAGCCTGACTATGCGATAGAAAAGAAAAACCCATTTTCTGGGGAGAAATTCAGGCTGGCTGCAGAAATTTGCATAAGTAGTAAGGAGCCTAATGTTAATCCCCAAGACCATCGGGAAAACGTCTCCAGGCCATGTCAGAGACCTTCATGGCAGCCTCTCCCATCACAGGCCTGGAGGCCCAGGAGGAAAAAGTGGTTTCATGGGCCAGAGGCAGGGTCTCCATACTGTGTGCAGCCTAGGGATTTGATGCCCTGTGTTCCAGCTGCTCCAGCCATGGCTGAAAGGGGCCAATATACAGCATGGACTTTGGCTTCAGAGGGTGGAAGCCCCAAGCCTTGGCAGGTTCCATGTGATGTTGAGCTTGCAGGTGCACAGAAGTCAAGAACTGAGGTTTTGGAACCTCCACCTAGATTTCAGAAGATGTATGGAAACTCCTGGATGCCCAGGCAAAAGTTTGCTGCAGGGGCAGGGCTGTCATGGAGGACCTCTGCTAGGGCAGTGTGGAAGGGAAATGTGGGGTTGGAGCCCCCACACAGCTGGGGGACTGCCTAGTGGAGTTGTGAGAAGATGGCCACTGTCCTCCAGACCCCAGAATGGTAGATCCACCAACAGCTTGCACCATGCACCTGGAAAAGCTGCAGACACTCAACGCCAGCCCGTGAAAGCAGCCAGGAGGGAGGCTGTACCCTGCAAAATGACAGGGGTAGAGCTGCCCAAGACCATGGGAACCTACCTCTTGCATCAGCGTGACCTGGATGTGAGACCTGGAGTCAAAGGAGATCATTTTGGAGCTTTAAAATTTGACTGCCCCGCTGGATTTTGAACTTGCATGGGGCCTGTAGCCCCTTTGTTTTGGCCAATTTCTCCCATTTAGAATGGCTGTATTTACCCAATACCTGTATCCCCATTGTATCTAGGAAGTAACTACCTTGCTTTTGTTTTGTTTTGTTTTGTTTTGTTTTTTGAGACAGAGTCTCACTTTGTTGCCCAGACTGGAGTGCAGTGGCATGATCTTGGCTCACTGCAACGTCTGCCTCCCAGGTTCAAGCAATTCTCCTGCCTCAGCCTCCTGAGTAACTGGGACTGCAGGCGTGTGCCACCACACTCCACTGATTTTTTATTTTTAGTAGAGATGGGATTTCACCATATTGGCCAGACTGGTCTCGAACTCCTGACCTCAGGTGATCCACCCGCCTTGGCCTCCCAAGATGCTGGGATTACAAGCGTGAGCCACCGCACCTGGCTTTTTTTTTTTTTTTTTTTTTTAAGACAGAGTCTCACTCTGTCGCTCAGGCTGGAGTGTAGTGGTGTGATTTCAGCTCACTGCAGCCTCCACCTCCCGGGTTCAAGTGATTCTCCTGTCTCAGCCTCCTGAGTAGCTGGGACTACAGGCGCATGCCACCACGCCCAGTTAATTTTGTATTTTTAGTAGAGGCAGGGTTTCACCGTGTTGGCCAGGCTGGTCTCAAATTCCTGACTTCAAATGACCCACCTACCCCGGCCTCCCAAAGTGCTGTGATTACAGGTGTGAGCCACTGCACCCAGCCACTTGTTTTTGATTTTACAGGCTCATAGGTGGAAGGGACTTGCCTTGTCTCAGATAAGACTTTGGACTGTGGACTTTTGGGTTAATGGTGAAATGAGTTAAGACTTTAGGGGAGTGTTGGGAAGGCATGATTGGTTTTGAAATGTGAGGACATGAGATTTGGGGGAGCCAGGGTCGGAATCATATGGTTTGGCTGTGTCCCCACCCAAATCTCAACTTGAATTGTATCTCCCATAATTCCCACTTGTTGTGGGAGGGACCCAGGGGGAGGTAATTAAATCATGGGGTCCGGTCTTTCTGTGCTATTCTTGTGATAGTGAATAAGTCTCATAAGATCTGATGGGTTTATCAGGGGTCTCCACTTTTGCTTATTCCTCATTTTTCTCTTGCCAGCATCACGTAAGAAGTGCTTTTCGCCTCCCGCCATGATTCTGAGGTCTCCCCAGCCATGTGGAACTGTAAGTCCAATTAAACCTGTTTTTGTTCCCAGTTTTGGGTATGTCTTTTTTGTTTGTTTGTTTTTTTGAGACGGAGTCTCTCTCTGTCACCCAGGCTGGAATGCAGTGGTGCAATCTTGGCTCACTGCAAGCCCCACTTTCTGGGTTCATGCCATTCTCCTGCCTCAGCCTCCCGAGTAGCTGGGACTACAGGTGCCCGCCACCATGCCCAGCTTATTTTTTGTATTTTTAGTAGAGACGGGGTTTCACCATGTTAGCCAGGATGGTCTCAATCTCCTGACCTCGTGATCCACCTGCCGCGGCCTCCCAAAGTGCTGGGATTACAGGCGTGAGTCACCGTGCCCGGGCAGTTTCAGGTATGTCTTTATCAGCCATGTGAAAATGGACTAATACAATGGGGAAACCTTGTCTCTACAAAAAATACCAAAATTAGCCAGGCGTGGTGGTACACGCCTGTAGTCCCAGCTACTAGGGAGGCTGAGGTGAGAGGATCGCTGGAGCTCAGGAGGTGAAGGCTTCAGTGAGCTGTGAGTGTGCCACCACTCCAGGCTGGGTGATGACATGAGGCCCTGTCTCAAAAATAAATAAGTATATGAAGAAACAGATCCACTGAGATGGACTTGCCCAGTGTCACACAGCTGGAGAGTGAGAGAGTGGAGGTTTGACCCTGCTCTGAAGATTTCACTGGCTGGGTGCAGTGGCTCACGCCTGTAATCTTAGCACTTTGGGAGGCCAAAGCAGAAGGGTAGTTTGAGCCTAGGAGTTCAAGACCAGCCTGGGAGACCCTGTCTTTACAAAAATTACAAAAATTAGCTGGGCATGGTAGCAGTCACCTGTAGTCCCAGCTACTTGTGAGGCTGAGGCTGGAGGAGCTCTTGAGTCTGGGAGGTCCAGGCTGCAGTGAGCTATGATTGTGCCACTGCCCTCCAGCCAGGGTGATAGTGACACCTTGTCTCTAAAGAAAAAAAAAAGGTTTCACAGTAGGCCCTGCAGTTGTGTGAAGACAGGGATCTGAGGGTGGGGGCCTAGGAGTAAGGACTACAATGGCTGGTAATGGCCCTAGTTCTGGGGTCCCCACCCTTTGAGCCTATACCCAGTCCTTAGAGGTGTAGGCCGAGGAGTGTTCTTTGTCAAGGTGAACCAGGCCCCTGTCTCTGGATGTATTTTTTATTTTATTTTATTTTATTTGAGATGGAGTCTTGTTCTGTTGCCCAGGCTGGAGTGCAGTGGTGAGATCTTGGCTCACTGCAGCCTCTGCCTCCCGGGTTCAAGCAATTCTCTGCCTCAGCCTCCCAAGTAGCTGGGATTACAGGCTCCCGTCATCACTCCTGGCTAATTTTTTGTATTTTTAGTAGAGACAGGGTTTCACCATCTTGGCCAGGCCGGTCTTGAACGCCTGACCTCGTGATCCACCTGCCTCAGCCTCCCAAAGTGCTGGGATTACAGGCGTGAGCCACCGCGCCTGGCCATTTTTTTTTTTTTTTTGAGACAGAGTTTCACTCTTGTCACCCAGGCTGGAGTGCAATGGTGCGGTCTCAGCTCACTGCAACCTCTGCCTCCCAGGTTCAAGCAATTCTCCTGCCTCAGTCTCCTGAGTAGCTGAGATTACAGGCGCCTGCCACCACGCCTGGCTAATTTTTGTATTTTTAGTGGAGATGGGGTTTCACCATGTTGGCCATGCTGTTCTCGAACTCCTGGCCTCAGGTGATCCATTTACCTTCTTCCAAAGTGCTGGGATTATAGGCGTGAGCCACTGCGCTCAGCCTGCCTCTGGATTTTTGAAGTTGGTCCTTACAGCTCCCTGTGAGGTGAGAACTATTCCTGTTTTATAGATGAAGATACTGAGACCCAGAGTCGGAGTCAGTCCCCTAAGCAAGTCAGCAGGGCAGTGCGAGTCTCAAACTCAGGGCTCCAGACTCCATGTTGATATTCTTTCTGCTAGAGACAGGTGTCTTCAGGTAATTTGAGAACAGAAGTCCTTTTTGCTTCCCTTCCCCAACCCTGGGTTGCCACAAACGTGAGACTAAGGACAGGTTAGGGGAGGATGCAGATCCTAAAAACCAACTCCCAATAGTAACACCAGTGTTAATTTAACAGCGGACGTGTATTGACAGCTCACTTTGTGCTGGGCATGGTGCTTCTGTGTGCATGTGTGTGCAACCTCAGAATCCTCCTCAACACAGTGCTTCAGACAGCCACTGTCAGCCAATGGGAAAAGACACAGGCCTGAAGTTCAGATCAGCCCATGGTAGTGAGCACCAGGCATGAGCCAGGCACTGGGGAGAACAAGGCCAGCATCTAGGAGGCAGATGTGAGACAACGGCGATAGTGTAGGGGAACAGCTAGACTGTGGGGACACAGACATGGGGCCCCTGATGTCAAACTGAAGGGTTTGACAAGAAAGGTTTCTTGGAGGAAGTGATATTTCAGCTGAACTTCTCTTAGGGGTTCCCCAAACCAGACTATGCCCCATCCTACCTCAAACCATCCATCCTCCAAGATGATGAGAGTTAGGGGTTCAAGAGGATTGAGCCAGGCAAAGAAGATAGGGTGGGAAGGAAGAGTTCCCAGTTCTAGGCTGGGAGAATAGCACCCCAGAGGCCTGAAGCAGGAAGGAGCCCAGCCTATCTGTGGAAGATGCTAAATGAGGCAGGGGGTGGAGTATAAGGGGGCAGAGAGAAGGGCAGGGGAGGGCATTCATTTAGGGCACTGCAGACCAGGAGAAGAGGTCTGGGCTCAACGTAGTGGCATGGGGGTCCACTGAGATAACTTCCCATCCCCCATCTCACATGTTACTTTCCTATCTCTAAGACCCTCTCACATCAGCCAGATTCACCCAATACTTCTTGGGAGTAGGTGGAGCAGGGGTCACCGTGGTCATTTTACGGATGAAGAAACTGAGTCTCAGAGGTTACAGTGCTGGTCTGCTTTGCCTGGCTGGTAAGAGGGGCAGTGGGCCTGGGTTCTGAGCCAAAGTTCTGGACCGTTCGCAGGACCATCAGTGTGGATTCTGAAGGATGGATGGTATGGAGTAGGGTAGGGCACAGTCTGGTTTGGGGAACCCCTAAGGGTGCAGAGGGAGGGTGAGGATCCCTGCCAAAGCTCCAGGCTGGAGGGGACTGCGTCCTCCTCCCTCCTGCAGTCCATCTCCAGTGGCCGGCTGGGGTGAGTCAGCCTGGATGAAGTCACCTACTTCCATGCAGACTGTGCCCCCTGACCTGGGAGGCGCCTGTCAGGGGCACCAGCCGAGACTGAGGACAGGCTGGGCAGCACTCCAGGTCGCTGTGTGGCAGCTGATTTAGGGGGCTGGAAATGTCCAGAGCCATCAGAAGCAGCTGGGCGTCTGGGGCCTTGAGGCCCGTAAGTCATGCTGCTGCCTGCCGTTCCCTGCATTGCTGTGAAGCCTCACCGGGGACTGGGCTCATCAAAATCAGTTTATGCCAAAGGAAATTAATTTTTGCCTCTCTGAGATGGGGTGTGGGGAAGGGAGGTCAGCTCCAGAGGCAGGCCTGTAACAGCACTGCAGGGAGGGGTTGGATACTACAGTGTGCCCACGATGGCACTGATCGAAGAGCCTCGGGGCTAGAGGGCCTGCCCATTCTACAGAGCGGGTGACTGAGGTTTCAAAGGAGCCTCCTAGTCTTTGGGACCAGAACCCAGATTTTGTTCTTTATTAATCTGTCTTTATTCATTTCTGTCCTCCTTCACTGCTTCTCTTCCTTCTTTCCCTCTCTATCTCCATAAGTATTTACTGAACACCTGCTATGTGCCAGGCACTGTCCTGTGTGGTAAGGACACAGAGATGCACAAGACAGACCAAGTCCTCCTCTCATGGAGCATGCAGTCTGGTTGGGTAAGACAGACTGGTCATAGCTAAATAAGAAAGTATCAGACAGGGAGGAGTGCTAGGTGAGCATCAAATTAGAGTGATGTGATGCGAGGCACAGTGGCTCACACCTGTAATCCCAGCACTTTGGGAGGCTGAGGCGGGTGGATCACCTGAAGTCAGAAGTTCGAGACCAGCCTGGTGAAACCTTGTCTCCACTAAAAATACAAAAATTAGATGGGCGTGGTTGTGGGTGCCTGTAGTCCCAGCTACTCAGGAGGCTGAGGCAGGAAAATCACTTGAACCTGGGAGCTGGAAGTTGCAGTGAGCTGAGATCGCACCATTGCACTCCAGCCTGGGTGACAGAATGAGACTCTGTCTCAAAAAATAAATAATAAAAATAAAAGCAAAAATTAGCTGGGTGTGGTGACGCACCTGTAGGCCCACCTATTCGGGAGGCTGAGGTAGGAGGATCGCTTGAGCCCAGGAAGTTGAGGCTGCAGTGAGCCATGATTGTGCCAGTGCACTCAAGCCTGGGTGACAGAGCAAGATGCTGTCTCAAAAAAAAAAAAAAAAAGATAAAACAGGAGATGTCAAAGAAACCTTCAATGAGGCAGCTGGCCCAGATCCAGGATCTCCTTCCACTCTTCTTGAGTCCCAGGCTTCTTTGTGGTGAAGGTGAGCAGCTGGGTCAGCGCTTTCCCAGCCCAGCTTTGCTTGTGTCCCTGTCTGTCAGGAGCCCTCAGCGGCTCCCCATTGCTCAGTAACAACAGTTCTCAGTTCTTGAGTGATTACCTTAGTCTGGGCATAGGGCCTTTTTGTGAATCCCTACAACAACCCTACTAGGCAGATACCATTATTATTTCCATTTTACAAATGAGGAAACTGAGGCTTGGAGAGAAGAGATTTTTGCCAAGGTACCTCAGCTGGTTGGTGACAAAGCCAGGATTCAGATTCGCTGGGCCATTAGTTGCCACTGCTGATAGAATGAAGTCCACTGCCTTCCCTGGAGTCGCAGCCTTGCTCTTATCTGCTCAGGACCCACTTTCCCACCATCCTGTGCTCCACAGACTGAACAAACAGCCACTTCCATCTCCCTAAACGCTACACAGGTTCCCACCTGAGAACCTTTCTTTGCCTGTGCTGTTCCCTCCACCTAGAGTCCCCTCGCCTCTTCACATAAGCAAGGGGGTGCCCTTTATCTCTTATGCCCCCACAATTCTATTTGTGAGGCTCTATGGCCCCTTATCACACACATTTTGTGTGCCCAGGGATTGGAGGTGTGACAGACTGGTATTTAGGTCTAAATCTTTTTTGTTTTTTTTTTTTTTGAGATAGAGTTTTGTTCTTGTCACCCAGGCTGGAGTGCAGTGGGGTAATCTCGGCTCCCTGCAACCTCCGCCTCCCGGGTTCAAGCGATTATCCCACCTCAGCCTCCCGAGTAGCTGGGATTACAGGTGCGCACTACTACGCCTGAGTAATTTTTGTATTTTTAGTAGAGACGGGGTTTCATCATGTTGGTCAGGCTGGTCTCAAACTCCTGACCTCGTGATCCGTCTGCCTGGGCCTCCCAAAGTGCTGGGATTAAAGGCGTGAGCCACCGTGCCTAGCCTTTTTTTGGAGATGGAGTTTCGCCCTTGTTGCCCAGGCTGGAGCACAGTGGCGTGATCTCAGCTCACTGCAACCTCTGCCTCCCGGGTTCAAGCGATTCTCTTGTCTCAGCCTCCTGAGTAGCTGGGATTACAGGTGCGTGCCACCACACCCAGCTAATTTTTTGTATTTTTAGTATAGACAGGGTTTCACCATGTTGGCCAGGCTGGTCTCGAACTCCTGACTTCAGGTGATCCAGCCACCTTGGCCTCCCAAAGTGCTGGGATTATAGTGTGAGCCACTGCCCTTTTGTTTTGTTTTTTTAAGAGACAAGGTCTCACCCTGTTGCCAGGGTGGAGTGCAGTGGCAGGATCTTGGCTCACTGCAACCTCAATCTCCCACGCTCAAGTGATCCTCCCACCTCAGCCTTCTGAGTAGTGGGGACTACTGGTGCGTGCCACCATGCTCAGCTAATTTTTTTTTTTTTTTTTGAGACGGTGTCTCACTCTGTCGCCCAGGCTGGAGTGCAGTGACGCAATCTTGGCCCACTGCAAGCTCTGCCTCCTGGGTTCATGCCATTCTCCTGCCTCAGCCTCCCCAGTAGCTGGGACTACAGGCGCCGGCCACCACGCCAGCTAATTTTTTTGTATTTTTAGTAGAGACGGGGTTTCACCGTGTTAGCCAGGATGCTCTTGAACTCCTGACCTCGTGATCCATCCGCCTCGGCCTCCCAAAGTGCTGGGATTACAGGTGTGAGTCACTGTGCCTGGCCTAATTTTTTTTTTTTTTTTTTGAGATGGAGTCTTGCTCTGTCGCCCAGGTTGGAGTGCATGGCGCGATCTGGGCTCACTGCAATCCCTGACTTCCGGGTTCACGCCGTTCTCCTGCCTCAGCCTCCCAAGTAGCTGGGACTACAGGTGCCTGCAAGCAAGCTCGGCTAATTTTTTGTATTTTTAGTAGAGATGGGGTTTCACCGTGTTAGCCAGGATGGTCTTGATCTCGTGACCTCGTGTTCCACCCGCCTCGGCCTCCCAAAGTGTTGAGATTACAGGCGTGAGCCACCGCGCCCGGCTAATTTTTATATTTTTTGTAGAGACAGAACCTCCGTATGTTGCCCAGGCTGGTCTCGAACTCCCAGGCTCAAGTGATCCTTTCGCCTTGGCCTCCCAAAATCCTGGGATTACAGGCATGAGCCACTGTGCCTGGCCTGGGGCCTGGATTTAAATCTTATTTGTATTACATATTGGCTCTGTGATCTTGGGAGGGCAACAAACTTTATAAGCCTCAGAGTTTTTGTTTGTTTGTTTGTTTTTTATTAATAAATTGGGGCTGTAGTGGGGAGCAAATAGATGATGAATTTAAAATGCTCAGCATAACTCAGGAGGCTGAGATGGCAGGATGGCTTGAGCCTAGGACTTCAAGGCTGCAGTGCATTGCCCTCCAGCCTGGGTGACAAAGCGAGTCTTTTAGGCTGGGTGTGGTGGTTCACGCCTGTAATCCCAACAATTTGGGAGCCCAGGAGTTCGAGACCAGCCTGGGCAACATAACGAGACCCTGACTCTAAAAAAATTAAAAAATTAGCCAGGCATAGTGGCATGTATCTGTATTCCCAGCTACTCTGGAGGCTGAGGTGGGAGGATAACTTGAGCCAGGGAGGTCAAGGCTGCAGTGACACATGATTGTGCCACTACACTACAGCCTGGGTGACAAAGCAAGGCCCCATCTTATTTTTCTTTTGAGACAGAGTCTCGTTCTGTCGCCCAGGCTGGAGTGCAATGGTGTGATCTCAGCTCTCTACAACCTCCGCCCCGCCATGTTCAAGCAATTCTCCTACCTCAGCCTCCTGAGTAGCTGGGATTACAGGCACGCACCACCACGCCCAGCTAGTTTTTGTATTTTTAGTAGAGATGGGTTTCACCATGTTGGTCAGGCTGGTCTTGAACTCCTGACCTCAGGTGATCCACCTGCCTTGGCCTCCCGAAGTGCTGGGCTTACAGGTGTGAGCCACTACGCCCGGCCGCAAGACCCCCTTTTTTTTTTTTTTTTTTTTTAGATGGAATCTTGCTCTGTCGCCCAGGCTGGAGTGCAATGGCACGATCTCGGCTCACTGCAACCTCTGCCTCCTGGGTTCAAGCGATTCTCCTGCCTCAGCCTCCTGGGTAGATGGGATTACAGGCACCCACTACTATGCCCCGCTAATTTTTGTATTTTTAGTAGAGACAGGGTTTCACCATGTTAGTCAGGCTGGTCTCAAACCCCTGACCTCAGGTGATCTGCCTGCCTCAGCCTCCCAAAGTGCTAGGATTACAGGCGTGAGCCACCACGCCCGGCCGACCCAATCTTTAAAGAAAAAAAATGAGCAAGAAGTTCACTGCTCCCTTGTAGGGTGGTCCTAAAGGATGGTGAAATGTGTCCAACATAGTGGGTATCCAACCCGAGAGGGCAGATCTAAGGGTTCATCACATCTCTCTTCCCCACAGGACCAGTCCAGGGCTTTGTGGCTTGGAGCATATTTTTTTAGTTGAAGTTGAGGTTGATTTACATTTCCAAGGATGTGGCCTGATTCAGTCCAGGCAGCCCTTGCACCCAGGTGGGGGAAAGGGAAATGACTTGAAGGTCCTTGGTGTTCATGAAATCTATTATCATCATAATAACAATAATTAATTTTTTGTTTTGAAATGGGGTCTCACTGTGTTGCCCAGGCTGACCTTCAACTCCTAAGCTCAAGAGATCTTCCCACCTCAACCTCCCCAGTAGCTGGGACTACAGTCCATGACACTGCACCCAGCTCAATAATTAATTGTTTTATATGGGCAACTGGCATTTTCTTCATTTTATATGAAGCATTTTAGAAAACGTTGCTATTTTTATTGATCTGTATAACCTTTTATTTAAGTACAAACAGCGGTTATACACATAGCTTCAAGCAAGGCCCTCAGCTCCCTTTCAAATAGACTGCTACCTGAAGTCCTTACTGAATAGGAATTTGGGAGCTGCCTCTGTCCAGCCACACACATGCACATACACATGCACGTGCACACATACACACACACACCCCCCCTCCATGAGGGTTGGGAAGACCTCAGCTCCTTTCATGGAGGTGTTGTCCTCAGTCACCTTCACAGATGACACCAGGTTTGAGTACCATTAACAGATGAGCTAACCCTTGGGTAGGCCGGGAAATATACACCTTGAAGTAGGAGATGGGACAGGGACTCCTCCTAAAGATCTGCAACCTGGCTGGACACCACGGCTCATGTCTGTAATCCCTGCACTTTGGGAGGCTGAGGTAGGTGGATCCCTTGAGTCCAGGAATTCAAGAACAACATGGTGAAACCCTGTCTCTACAAAATTAAAAAAAAAAAATTAGTCGCCTGTAATCCCAGCACTTTGGGAGGCTGAGAGGGGCAGATCACGAAGTCAGATTGAGACCCGTCCTGGCTAATATGGTGAAATTCTCTACTAAAAATACAAAAAATTAGCCGGGCATGGTGGTGTGTGCCTGTAATCCCAGCTGCTCGGGAGGCTGAGGCAGGAGAATCACTTGAACCTGGGAGGCGGAGGTTTTAGTGAGCCGAGATCATGCCACTGCACTCCAGCCTGGGCAACAGAGAGAGACTCCATCTCCAAAAAAATAAATAAATAAAGAATAAAATAAAAAAATAAAATAAATTAGCTGGGCATGGTGATGCAGGCCTATGGTCCCAGCTACTCCAGAGGCTGAGACAGATCACTTGAGCCTGGGAGGTTGAGGCTGCAATGAGCCATGATCGTGCCACTGCACTCCAGCCTAGGTGACGAAGTGACAAAATAAATAAATAAAAAATATTTGCAACATTTTTCTGCCCATTTTGTAGGGTGCTCACTCAGCCCAATTTCAGGGCTGGGAAGTCTGGACTGAAGTGCCAGGGGGGCCTATCCTGGGGCTATTTTTCTGGGTGTGGATATTGACAGCTTTAGAAGTGCAAGAGACAGTCAATGAGAGGCTGGAGCTTGGTTGTGTTTCCTGTTGGGGCCACAGCCAATGGAAGTAGGGCTTCTAGAGGAAGGGGCTCTGTCCAGAGGACAACACTGAAGTGTGAGCCCCGGCAGTCTGGCTGGTCCACCAAGTGCAGCTGCCCCTCTCCATCCACATCTCTCCACTGGCTGGGGTCTGAGCAGCAGTTTGGAAACCTTAGCTGGAAGCTAGAAAAACTAACCAGTTGGCTGGAAATTTGGGTATAAGAAGAGAACAATGGTGCTGCAGACCCGAAAACGACTCTCTCTTTTTGGTTCATGGTGCCTGAGAATCTCAAGAGACCCTTTGCCTGGAGGGACATGGAGACCTGGGAGCAGCTGGGCCTTCAGGTGTCCCTGTGGGCCTGGTAGTCTCTCCTTTTCTGCCTCCCCAGCTTCCCATAGCCCCAGGTACCCAGGGACAGCAGAGGCCTTGCAGCAAGTGGCAGAGCAGATGGTGTGTGGTGTGGGGAGGGGAGAGAGCTCCTTAGGCCTTTCTGGGCACCCCCTATCCCCTCCCACCTTGAGTAGTGGGAGTCCAGCCATCCTTCTTATGTTTTTGGTTATTCGGTCAATAACCCATGAGCCAGGTGTTCTGCTAGAGGCTGTACTCCTGGGACCCAGAAAAAATATATCCCTATGGGAACCCTCAAGCAGGTCACCATCAGAAGAAGGGAGCCAAACCAGTGACACCTGATGGATTTAGGACTGGGGATGCTCACAACAAAGGCTCCTGATCTGGTTTGAGAGGCTGGGGAAGGCTGCCTGAAAGAAATGACTTGCTGGGTTCCAATGATAGCCCTGTGACCTTGGAAGAGTTATTTAACCTTGCTGTGCTTGACTTTCCTCATCTTTAAAATGGGCATAATAAGGCCAGATACAGTGGCTCACACCTCTAATCTCAGCATTTTGGGAAGGCGAGATAGGAGGATTGCTTGAGGCCAGGAGTTCAAGACTAGTCTGGGCAACATAGGGAGAGCTCCCTCTCTAAATTAAAATTAAAATTTATTTTATTTATTTATTTTTTTGAGACGGAGTCTCACTCTGTCACCCAGGCTGGAGTGCAGTGGCGCGATCTCGGCTCACCGCAACTTCCGCCTCCTGGGTTAAATCGATTCTCCTGCCTCAGCCTCTCGAGTAGCCGGGATTACAGGCATGGGCCACCACATCTGGCTAATTTTTGTATTTTTAGTAGAGGTGGGGTTTCTCCATGTTGGTCAGGCTGGTCTCTAACTCCTGATCTCAGGTGATCCACACACCTCGGCCTCCCAAAGTGCTGGGATTACAGGCGTGAGCCACCGCGCCCGGCTAAAAAAATTTTTTTTAAATAGGCATCATAATAGTACTATTTCAAAGGTTGTTGTGAGGATTCAGTGAGTTAATATGTACATGTAAATCCACTAGAACAGTGCCTGGCACATAGTAAATGCTCTGTAAGCGTTAAATAAAATATAAAAACAGCTACCGGCGAGGCACAGTGGCTCACACTTGTAATCCCAGCACTTTGGGAGGCCAAGGCAGGTGGATCACTTGAGGTCAGGAGTTCGAGACCAGCCTGGCCAACATGGTGAAACCCCGTCTCTACTAAAAATACAAAAATTAGCTGGCCGTGGTGGCGCATGCCTGTAATCTCAGCTACTCGGGAGGGTGAGGCAGGAGAATCACTTGAACCTGGGAGGTGGAGGTTGCAGTGAGCTGAGATTGCGCCACTGCACTCCAGTCTGGGTGACGGAGCGAGACTCTGTCTTAATAAATAAATAAATAAATAAAAACAGCTACCACTTGGATGAGTCGGACTTGGCAATGGGTGAGAAAGCAGGTCCGAGGCAAGGAGGACGGCCTGCATGTTTGATGGCAGGCTTCTCCAGGGAACTCCCCTGTGTCCTTCCGTGTCACTGGATGGGGTGGCTGGTGACTTTCCTGGTCTAAGACTTGGCCTGGTAACTCTGCCCCCTTCCCTCCGCTGCCTCAGCGTGGTCTTGGGGTTGCTCAGGCCTCAACCTGAGATGTGACTGTGTCCATGGCCCAGCCTTGCCCACTTACCCCTTCCTCTGATGGTGCTGCGGCTCCCTGTGAGCCCACCCCAGGCTGGGCAGGGCGGTGTGGTGCTGGGGACCTCCCTGTGAGCATCTGGAACTCCCTGTTTGGTGGGGCAGCACAGAGGAGCAACTGGCTCAGCCCAGGGATCAGGAGGGCTTCTTGGGGAAGGTGCTCTCTGAACAATGTCCTAAAGGAAAATGAAAAGTTCTCCAGAGAAGGGGAGGGGAGGGAGGTCCCAGGCAGAGGGAACAAGCTGTGCAAATATTGGGAGGGAGAGAGATCCTGACTCAGGAGAAATAAGACCCCGGTAGAGTTCAAACTCTGGGCTTGGGAGCCTTCTTCCGGCAGGTTTTATCCTGAGGCCTGAGTTTCTCCCCGCTTGCCCTCTGGCCCAAGCACTGGTAGTGGCCTAAGAGGTTTAAGTCCAGTCTTGCTCTGGGGCCAGCCCAGGAGCTGGGGGTAGGGGCGCCAGTTGCCCAGGTCCCTCCCTCCCACTTCAGAGCTGGGAGTGTTTGGCAAAGCAACAATGCCGCCTTTGTGTCCCTCTGTGGGTCCAGGCACGTCTAGCCCAGCCTAGGCGGCTGCTGGTTTCAGTGCCCTATGATCCCAGCCTGGCGGTGCAGGGCAGTGCAGGCAGGGTGCACTTCCTCAGGGCCCTGTGGCTGCCTCATGTCCCTTGCACCCCCATGGGGTTCCCCAGGTGGGAAAGCCTGTGCCACGGAGTACATGGGCATGTGTGGGGCTGGCGGTGTGGGCCCAGAGCGGGTAGTGGTGAGTGGGGGTTTGCACAGAGGCTGGAGGGGGACATCCAAAGGCTCCTGTGTGCCACAGCATGCACCCGAGGGGTATCCCGGGGTGAGTCCGTGAGTGTGCATTTGGGTGAGGACGTGATTCTGGGTGTGAGGGGTCTTGCTTGAGCGCTTGAGCACATGAGCAGCCCCTAGCCTGCTCAGAACAGAGCACTGCTGTCTCTGCTGCGCCAACAACGAGGCCTCTCTGTCTCAGCGCATAATGTCCCCTCTGTATTGTCTGCTGCATCGCTGTGGTGACGATAATTTTAAGGCCCAAATCCTTTTCGTGGGTGAGGGTGAGGGTTGGGTTGGGGGTAGGGCAGGGTGGAAGCCTTCTGGGGAGGGTGGGAGCTCGGGGGCTGGGTTTCAGCTCTACGTGTGTGGTGGTCTGTTGTGTGTTTGGGGCCTTCCCCTACATACAACCCCTACAGGGGCAGCAGAGAGAAGTCAGGGACTCCCAGAAGCCTCTGCCAGAACCCCTTGCCCTGAAGTCATGTGGTCCCTGCCCTGCTCCAAGTCCTTCTCCCTCACCCTTGCCCACCCCAGACTTCAAAGGCACTCTCTCTCTGGGAGCCCCTTTTGGTCCCTGCCTGCCTCTGCTGATCCAGGCTTTCTGCAGGCCTATCCCTGTCTTTCCCACCCTGGAACCACTAGACCAGCGGCTGTCAGCCTTTTTGTTCCTGGGACTCCTTTACATGCTTAATAATTACTAAGGATCCCAAAGAACTTTTGTTTACATGGGTTATATCCATCAAGATTTACCATATTAGAAATTCAGACTGGGAAAATTTAAAAAACAGATATTTATTTATTCATTCATTTTATTTATTTATTTATTTTGGGATGGAGTTTTGCTCTGTCACCCAGGCTGGAGTGCAATGGCATGATCTCAGCTCACTGCAATCTCCTTCTCCCTGGTTCAAGTGATTCTCCTGCCTCAGCCTCCCGAGTAGCTAGGACTATAGGCTCACATCACCATGCCCTGCTAATTTTTTTTCTTTTAAGACAGAGTCTCACTCTGTCGTTCAGGGTGGAGTGCAGTGGTGTGATCTTGGCTCACTGCAACCCTTGTCTCCCGGGTTCAAGCGATTCTCATGCCTTGGTCTCCTGGAATTACAGGCATGCACCACCACGCCTGGCTAATTTTTGTATTAGTAGAGACGAGGTTTCACCATGTTGGCCAGGGTGGTCTCAAACTCATGACCTCAAGTGATCCTCCTGCCTTGGCCTCCCAAAGTGCTGGGTTTACAGATGTGAGCCACTATGCTTGGCCAATAATAATTCATTTTAAAATAACAGTAATAATACCATTACCTGTTATCATAGATAATATATTTTTATGAAAAATAACAACCTTGGCTGGGCTCAGTGGCTCATGCCTGTAATCCCAGCACTTTGGGAGGCCGAGGTGGGCAGATCACTTGAAGTCAGGAGTTCGAGACCAGCCTGGCCAACATGGTGAAACCCCGTCTATACTAAAAATACAAAAATTAGCCGGGTGTGGTGGCATGCACCTGTAGTCCCAGCTACTCGGGAAACTGAGGCATGAGAATCGTTTGAGTCCAGGAGGCAGAGGTTGCAGTGAGCCGAAATTGCACCACTGCATTCCAGCCTGGGTGACAGAGTGAGACTCTGTCTCAATTAAAAAAAAAGAAAAAGAAAAACAACAACCTTATTTTCTAGAATAAAACAAAATGAGCAAGAAGAGTGGCATTGTTTTTACATTTTTGCAAATCTCATTAATATCTGGCTTAATAGAGCAAACAGGCCTCGTGGGGCTGGGCTGGATTCTCATATCTGCTTTTACTTTGAATCGGTGGTGATTATAGATAGGCACATAATTTTGTTGTTGTTGTGGTTAAAGTATATGAGGAAAACCTGGCCTCACACAGATTTATAGTTGGAAGAGTGAGTAGTGCTTTATTAGCCTTTTGGGATAATTTGATACTACACCAAAACTTGACAAGTGGTAGTTTCCTAAAGGTTAATATCATTTGGAGCCTGAAACCATATCAATGAGCTTTTCATATCTGTTACTATTAAAGTCCACTTGTCTAACTCACATTTTGAATGGATCTTTTATCCACACATGATTTTATAACAGCATGCATGTCATTTAAAATATTTTTCTGAAGGCCAGGCGCAGTGGCTCACGCTTGTAATCCCAGCACTTTGGGAGGCCGAGGCGAGCGGATCATGAGGTCAGGAGTTCGAGACCAGCCTGGCCAACATGGTGAAACCCCACCTCTATTAAAAATACAAAAAAAAAAAAAACAACTAGCTGGGTTTGGTGGCGGGTGCCTGTAATCCCAGCTACTCGGAAGGCTGAGGCAGGAGAATCGCTTGAACCTGGGAGGCAGAGGTTGCAGTGAGCCGAGATCGCGCCACTGCACTCCAGCCCGGGTGACAGTGCGAAACTCCATCTCAGAAAAAAAAAAAGAAAATTTTTCTGGGCACAATGCCTGGAATCCCAGCTACGTGGAAGGCTGAGGCAGGAGGATTTCTTGAGTCTAGGAGTTCGAAGCTAGTCTGGGCAACATAGCAAGACCCTGTCTCTAAAAAATGAACAATAAATAAATAATTTTTTAAAATAAAAAATATTTGTTCACTGAGTTATAAAGATCTCTCAATTATTAACACATTTCATTATGCCATATTAAAAAATCACATCCATGGATATCACCAACAGTTTCATTAGAAATGTACCAGGAAACTGTGAAGCTTATGGTGTTATGGTGTTGTATACCTGTCTTTCAAAATTTAAATTTCACTTAAAAATATAATTTTATACATAAGCAGAATATGCAAAATGAAAATAGAATTTTAGCTGGGCATAGCAGTGTGTACCTGTAGACCCAGCTACTCAGGAAGCTGAGGCGAGAAGATCCTTTGAGCCCAGGAGTTTGCATCCAGCCTGGGTAACATAGTGAGACCTGTCCCCAAACAACAACAACAACAAAACAAAACAAAAAGATTGTTATCATTGGCAACAAATACTGTGTGTTGTTTTCCTTGAAGTGACTGGCTTACTTCATTATTTGTGAGAGAATAACTGCCAAATATCCAAGACTGCCTGTCAGTCTTTCTGTCAAGTAAAAATGACGTGCCATAAAAAAACCAGCTAGTTCAGCTCGCAACTCAAACAATAGCATAAATGCTTTTCTTGAGGCAGCCAACACACTTTGATTGATATATATATATATATATATATATATATATATATAGTTTTTGAGACGGAGTCCTGCTCTGTTGCCCAGGCTGGAGTGCAGTGGTGGGATCTCGGCTCACCACAACCTCTGCCTCCCGGGTTCAAGCGATTCCCCTGCCTCAGCCTCCCAAGTAGCTGGGACTACAGGTGCGTGCCACCACACCCAGCTAATTTTTGTATTTTTAGTAGAGACGGGGTTTCACTATGTTGGCCAGGCTGGTCTCGAACTCCTGACCTCGTGATCCGCTTCGGCCTCCCAAAGTGCTGGGATTACAGGCATGAGCCACCACGTCTGGCCAACTCTGGTATGTTATAGAAGCGTTTTATGTGAATTCTGCATACATGTGCCGAATATGACTCCTAGTACAGTTTGATTTGTGCTAAGCCAGCAACAGTTTTACCTAGTATGGCTTAGACATAATAAAGAAGTCAAATAATGTCTTAGTATTATTAGTAAAATAATTTTGACCTCATCTACCCCTGAAAAGGTCTGGGAGACTCCCAGGGGTCTGTGAACCCTACTTTGGGATCACTGCACTTGTTGTTCTGTCTCTTCTGCTCTCAGTGGTGATGGGCCGTGTCTTTCATATTTTGCTGATTAGGACACTGGGGTCCAGCAGAGCCCCACATGGGTCCTCATCTCTCATTCCAGGACTGAAGTGAGAATTTTTTTCCTGGCAGTGACTGGGGAGGTTTCTTGTGGGGGGAGGGGTGGCATTGATTTTGATGGATGGAGAGGCCACCAAAAGTGGAGGCTGGGAATGCACCATTGGTGGAGGAAACAGCATTGGTGAAGGCCTGGAGAAAAAAGCTCTGAATGGGGTCAGATAACTAGGGCCCTTGAATGCCAGTGCCAGGGCAGTGGGCACCGCAGAGCAGTGACCAGAGATGGGAAGCAATGGATGAGATGTGCCAGGAACAGGGAGCGCCAGAGAGGAGGGCCTTTGTCCTTCACCAGGAGGCCTTCCCAAGCCGGCTGGCCTCAGGGCTGTGTTCTCAGGGCTGGGTTGATGTGTGGCCACTGAGATGAACTTACCCTTCCTGACTGACCATGATTGGCAGAGGGTGGTCTGCTGCCCAGAACTCCCTGCTGAAAAGTGTCTCCGCACCTGCACTGACTGACACTCAGCCTCTCTTTCCCTTTGTATTGGCTTTTATGGTGACAGTGAGTAGCCTCATCCAGTTTCTTATGCCATGCGTGAGTGTGAGGGTGACCTGGGCAGAGGTGGCTGCTGAGGGGAGAGATTGGTAGTGACATGTCAATGTGATTAGAGGTGAGGGTCCTGACCTTTTTACCACAAAAAAACCTGCTTGTTGCAGGCACTGATGCCTCGGCCAAGTCCTGTAAAAGTGGGGGTTGCAGAGCTGACCCCGACACACCCCCACCCTGGGCCCGGCCTGCCCTCTTCCTCTTCCGATGGCCCTGTGTCCCTACCCCAACCTGTCCCTGAGCTGCTGGTCTGGTATGGGGAGACAGACCTCAGCTTCGGTGCAAGACTGGCCTCATACCTCCTGCTGTGCACATCTGTGCTCCTGAGCTATGTACCTGGGCTGGGTTGTGCCACACACGTGTTAGCAGCCATGCTGTGTGACTATATGGATACACCCTGCGCTGGGTGCACATGGTGCGCTCTGCATCACAGACATTGTGAGCTTGTGTACCTTGCCGTGCACACTAAATTGCGTCTGTTTGTTTCTGTGCCTTCAGTTGGGTGGTGTATGTTTGTGTGTATATGCTTTGTATATCTTTACAGGGTGTGAGTGTCACTGTGGTGGGTGGTGTTTTTGTGTGCTGGTTTGTCAGTGTGTATCTTGGCCCAGCCCCAGAAGGCCAGCTGAGGTGTGGTGGGGGGTGGGGTGTCGGACTGTGCTGGGGTAGGGAGCCCACAGCCAGGAGGCCTGACTGGGAATAGACATGTCCTCACCTGCCCAGAAAGTGTCCCAAGCCCTCAAAGAGCCCTTGTCCAGCTTCACCACCCCTGGCCAGTCAGGGTGGGTGGCTGGAGAAGGGGGCATGAGGGAACCAAAACAACCTCAGCCCAACTCCCACACTTGGCTGGCACCCAGGCCTATTATGGGGTCCCCGTGCCCATGGCCCGCCCCCTAAGGCCCCAAGCACTTTGCATTGTGGGGCTTGGGGAGGGGCCTAGAGACAAGACTCTGTTTGGCTCTTGTGACCAACTTCAGCTCCTAGTGGGCCACCAAGGCAGAGCTGGCCCCAGGCCTTTTTGAGGGTGGGGCTGCTGGGAGGACTAGCTCCATGGAGCCAGGGCTGATGCTCATCTTATTACCTGTGTCATTCATTTAGCAAATACACATTGAGCACCCACTGTGTTCCAGGCCCTGCTTTAGGTGCTGGGAATATAGCAGTCACTCATTGAATTAGGGGTAAGGAGAGGTTATACTGCTGCTGTGCATTTACAGATGAAGAAACAGGTCCTGGGAGGTGAAGTGATTTGCCCAAAGTCATAACAAAGCTGGGATTTGAAACCAGGCCTGTCTCATGCAAGAGGTCTCCTCCTCCTGCATTTGTCCATCCTGACTTCGGTAGTCACAATTATAGCCGAATGCCCACTGAGCTAGGACCAGCTAGCTGGCTAGCCCCGTGCCCTGGGCTACAGGTTGATGCAGGAGAGTGGGCACAATGAAATAGCTCCTAGAAAGGCAAGTTGCCTGGAGTAGGCACAGGGGTGGTAAGGTGGAGGATTGAGGGGTGGGGAAGGAGCAGAGGGAGGCTGTGTCTGTCTCCAGGGTGCACTGGGACCCAAGGGAACGCCTTCTCTCCTGCTGTGTGATCTGGGATGGCCCCTGCTTCACTCTGAGCCTTAGCTTCCTCATCTGTAAAGTGGGCACAGTAACTGCCCTCTCCCAGTGGTACCATGCTCATGGCATGATGCCTGGCACACAGTAGGGCAGCTGGGAGGATGGGGCAGAGCTGCAAGTGGGCAGGGCCTCCCCAGGGCTCTGCTCAGCCTCAGGAAATGGGTAGGGGGTAGGGAGGAGGAGGCGCAGATGTGCGCTTGTCTCACACGAGCAGCCGCATTTAGCCACCGAGTCGGGACTGAAATATTCCTGAGGGAGAAGAACCCTGAGGCTTCAGGGCGGCAACGGCTCGTCAGTGGGGAGCGGGGAAGGGATGTTGTCACCATCTGCCTCGTGTCTGTCTGCGACTAAAATAATACTGGGGTGAGACTCGCCGCAGGCACGGGCCCAGCCGCAAGGTTCCCCAGAAGAGGGAGGGGCTGGGGGTGCTGGAAACCTTGTGGGGAGCAGTGGCAGAGAGAGGTCTGCTGGGGGCAGCTCTTGGCCAAGGCTGGGCCCTGGTCCTGCCCCCTTCCTGAGGGGCCACAAGAACCCATGGGGGTGGTGTGTGCATAGGCATGGATACCTTCCTGGGGGGATCAGCCCTGGGAGTGCAGGACTGGACACCCCCCAGACCCGGCTGGGGTCTGCTTCAGAGGGGAGACCAAGCGTGTGCTGAGATCCCTGCAAAGCAGGGGCAACAGCAGAAACAAAGCAAGAGACAGACAAATTGCCTGATTCAGCTTCCATGAGTTTATCCAGAATATTGAAACCAGAAAACGTAGCAAGAAGCTATTTTAATTTCAGCCGACGTATAAGTTTTGGGTCTATGGTTTACTGTGGTTTTTATTTTGAATCAAATATGGAGGATGTTCCATAATTCCCTCGGGGCTCTGGGCTCTGGGGACTGAGTGTCTGCCTTTCTCTACTGGGCACAGTAGTCACATGCCAGCTGCCTCTAGGAGTTGGCACCCCTGGGCCTGGGCAGGTGCCCCTTCAGGTCAGGGACATGGTTTGGAACCTCATGCTTTGCTTCTGGATGAAGCCATTACATTCTGATCTTTTGCTATGGTTCTCATCAGATATGGCTAGTGGGGTATTTTTGTTTTTGCAGAGAGAACAGACCCATGACCTCAGTGGTTTATTTTAACTGCAGATGCACCCAAAATGCTGGTTGCTTTGTGCTGACATGGTTACAGGGCTGTCAGTTTAGCAGGCAACATGCAAGCACCTACTATGTGCAGACCCTGAGCTGGGGCAGGCTGGGCCCGCCCTCAGCATACAAGGTAGAGAAGCCAGCAAGACCATAGGAGATCAGCCACCTGGGTGCCAAGGAGGGCGGTGGGGAGCAGCAAGGGGGTGTTGGATGTGGCAGGAGTCCACAGCTGTCATCCTGGAGAAAGTGGCAGAAGCACTCACCCTTGAAAAGCAGACAACAGCAAAGGACAGTAAGGAGTATGCCCTAGGCAGAGAGTACGTGTGTGTGCAGACCACCACTTTGTGGCTCTCTCTCTTTGTGGCAAGGGTATTCGCATCACAATTTAGGTGCAATGTGGAGCCCTTCTTACAGACCAGACCCAAGCTAACTGGCTTAGGTGTGTTTTCCCGGTTAGTCCTCACCAACATCCCATAAGGCCAGTACACTTAGTGCCCATCTTATAGATAAGGAAACTGAGGCTCAGAGAGGTTTAGCAACTTGGGTAAGAGGCAGAGGTATGGCCCCAGGCTACTCCGTGCTGCCTCTGCACAATGCCCTCATTTGGCAGGCAGCAACTGAGCACCTACTATGTGCAGGCCCTAAGCCAGGTGCTTCCTGGATTCAGGCCCTGGCATCACATTCCAGAGTGTCCTCAGATGGCTGGCATCTCTCATTGTCATCTGGGCACGATGATCAGAGGAAGCTCTCTCCAGGGTATATGTGGGTATGGGGGAGAGGAGTGTGGGTGGGAGCCTGGAGGCCCCTGCTTGATAGCTGTGAGTTCTCCCTCATGAAAGCCTCAGTTTCTTCACCTGTAAAACGGGGCCGTGATGCCTGCTGTGCAGGCCCATGTGACAACGTGCCTTGAAAGCGTGTGGGAAAAGTGCTTTGTGTGTTCAGTGAGCCCTCAAACTGGGCTGACTCTCCTCAAACCACCAGGAGCGAGCTTCCCGGAACAATCTAGCCACCAGCCTTTCCCTGCAGCTGACAGGCTGCGGTCACCACCGCCACCACCACCCTGAATTATTCAAGACCCTCCAGGCCTCAGTGGCAGCCCTTCCCCTCTCCCTGTGCAACCAGGCTGTCAACACCAGACTCTAGGCCTCTGCCAGTGATCTATGGACCTCAGGGCCCCCGAGCTTCAGCCTGCTCAGGTAGGGCCATGAGTGTGATAGGGCGAGGTGTGACTGAGCATGAGAGTGACAGTGAGCATGTGAGAGCAGGAGGGGGTGACAGTGTGAGTGCGTGTGTGAGTGTGGCTGTGAACGTGCATGAGGATGTGTGCAGGTGAGCATCTACATGAGTGCAGGTGTGAGTGTGCCACATTGTGTGTGAATGAGTGTGTGAGTGTATCTGGAGCCTGGGCTCTCCTTAGCTGCGGGGGAGCCGGGCTCAGGGAGGAGCTCCCTCTGGCTCAAGAGAATACAGTGATCTGAGAGCCAAATTCCAGCCTGGAGTGGGAGGGGGTCAGCTCACCTTTGCTTCTACAGTCCCTTAAGGGCTGGTTGGAGTGGGGAAAAAGCAGAGAAGCAGCAGTTTAGGAAAAAAGGTATGTAGTGGTTGGATCATGAAGAGGACTTGGAGTCTGTGGCCCTGTGGGGGCTCAGAACACTGTCAGATTATTTCGGTATGTGTCATTTCCCGGCAAGCTGAGACCCTCAGAAGAGAAGCAGTTGCCTCCCCTTGGTCCCTTTCCTCCTCCTGGGCCTAGGAGAGCTGCGAGCCCCTGTGGGCAAGAGGTGAGGACTGTTCTCTTGGATCTGTGGCCAGGTGGAAGCTCTCCAAAGTCTTGGGGGATGGGGAGGGTATGGAGGCTCACCAGCACCTTGCTGGAGGGCCCTCACCCATAGGCAGGAAGGACAGAGCAGACGTCTCTCTGGTACCCACTCCTACCAACGCACTGACCCTGGAGGGTTACTGCTTCGTGTGGGGTAAGATGGAGAACCTGGGAGGTTGGAAGCTGGTGAGATTTAGGAACTGGGAGCCTGCAGTGTGTGGAGGTTGTGGGGGTGGAATGTGTGTTTGGTGTGAGTGCTGGGGTCTGCGTGTTGGTGTGAGGAGGTGAGAGGCTGTCTGAGTTTGCCTTTGTATCTGTAAGATTGTATGTTTCAATCCCTGTAGGTGTGACTGTTTATGTCTTTTTGTGAGTGAGGACCTGTCTGTGTGATCACATGAGTGTGTACGATCTGTATTTGAGAGTGCATGTGTGTGGAAGCATGCTAATTGTGTGGGAGAGGTGAAAGATGATTGACAGGGAAGGGGCGGAGGGTGGGAGCCCACACTGAGTGCACAGTTTCATCCTTCCTCAGGCTCTGCTTGTCATGGCTGAAATCCCCTGGACTGCATTGGGACCATACTGCTGAGAGTCTGGTTGCTGGGCTTCAGCTGACAGAACATCAGAGCCCCAGGATGGGATAGCCACAAGTTGGGAAGGTGAGGCAGGGTGAGGGGCTTGATGATGGGGAGCAGGCAGAAAGAACAGGCTGCAGAGCTAGGGCTGCTGGAGCCTGATGTCTGGTCCAAGTTCCAGCTCCTCCACTCATGGGGTGAGCTGGGGCAAGTCACTTCACTCTCTGAGCCTCAGTTTCCTCATCAGAACAATGGGCCTGTACACTAAGCATTATCCACCCCAAATCCTAGAAGCCTGCCTTCTCCTCCTGGCTCTGGGAAGTTGACCATTGGAGGCCTGGGACACTGGCCTGTCTGGAGGCTGGGGAAGTATGAGACGACCCCTTCTTCCCTTCCCTGCGCCCAGAAGGCCTGACTTGTCCTACTGCACCCCTCCCATCACAGTGATCTGTGTGGGCTCATAACAACATAAGCTAGACGGTGATCCTGTATCACCTTCCTGCATTCTGGGAGGCTCGGCCTCCAACTCCCAGACCAGGGAATGGTCTCCACTCCTCCAATCCTTCCCAGGTTCAGAAGCAGGAATGGGGGAAGTCCTGCCTGTCCCCTCTCTGACTTTACTTTCCCTTTCTAGAGCAGGGGTATTCTGGGATGGGAGGACTGAGTGTCCCTGCTGCCTGGTCCTCAGAGTTGGCTAGCTCCCCCCATGCCCCTCATTCCCCCGCCTGCTCGCCTGTAGAGCTGTGGCCCGGGCAGCTGTCCGGCTGAGTGGGTTAGCAACACAAGACAGATGGCGAGGGATTATCTCAGCTTCTCAGAGCACGATGGTGGCAGCGGCGGGGGTGGGGGGAAGGCTCTCACACCCTCCCCATGTGTGTGTACACACACACACACAAATGCACACATGCAGCTCCCCGCTCCTGCCCCAGACCCAGCCCAGCCTCCTGCTATTTATGAGGCGGGCAGGAAGACAAGAGGAGAGATGAGATTATGAGAATTGGTGAGAACCGTGGGACTTGGCAATCTTGTCCCTGCCCCACTTGGCTCCCAGACCACAGGCTGAACCAGCTTCTCAGGCCCTTCTTGGACCCTGCCCCTGCTATTGTGATTTCTCTGCAGCTGCCACCACTGGGAATGGTACATTCAGGAGGGCATGGTTTTACAGAGAAGTTTGAGGCCCAGAGATGTGCGAGCTGCACTCAAAGTCACACAGCAAGTTTGGTTCATTAGCAGGGTAAGTTCTGGGGGGTGGCAGGTGGTGGAGTCTCTTAGCTGTCCTGGCACTGGCTGTGGGGTCCTTGGGTCTTCTGCAAACAAGGTGTTTGCCCTAGCACTTGATGCTGCAGCCCAAGGTCCCACAGGGGCATGTCACAAGGCCAGCTGCTGGCACGCAAGTACTCACAGGCACAGCCTCTTGTTCATATACACTGTCAGGCTCTGGGTGAAGGCTATGTAGAGTTGAGTGACAGAGCTGGGTCTCCAGGCTGTGTCACTGTGAAAGAATTGGGGCAGGGTTAGAACCCCACTAGAGTGAATTCTCCTACCTGTCCCTCAATTTGCCACAGGCAGATGGTGGAGGGACTTTCCAGCCTCGGCCACACACTCAGGCCCCCCTACCACCACATTTGCCCATTAACAGCCCCACTCCAAGTCCTGAGTCATCTATGCTGAGTCGCCTGGGGAGGAGTGTGGGCCAGGAGACTGGGCAGGATTTGCGAATGGCAACCCCAGGGGGCCCTTTTCCCAGCATGGGTGGGCGGGGCCGACGCAGTGGGGAAGGCAGGGTGGAGGCCTTCTGAGAGAACTTCTCTGCTCCTAGCTGCCAATGTCCTGACTTCGCCCCCGTCCCCAAGAGTGACTCAGTGTCTGCTGGATGCGGTAGTGCGGGTGCGGGGCAGTGCGGAGCTGCTGCGGGTTGCCCAGTGCCACTCCCTTCAGAGCAAACCCACTTCTTGAGGCCCCGAGGCCCCCGCCTGGGGGTCTCCTGTGTTCACGTGTGCCTGCCCAGGCTGTCAAGTGAAACATGACCTCAGGGTCAGCCTGGCCTGCCTCTGGGGCTGCATTATTTGCGGGGTTTCCAACATGATGGTACCACCCACACTGTCCGGTCACAAACAAGACCGACACCGCCAGGTTTACCTGCTCCTGCCCCCTCAAACCATTGAATCAGCCCCTCTCTTGCTATTGGATGAGAGGGGTTGCCAGGACCAAGCCCCTCCTCCCCACCGCCAAGGTGACCACACGTCTAGGTATCAGGGGTGGTGGGCCCACTGCAGAGCGCTAGGCCGAACTCATCTCCTGGATCCAGGCCAAGCTCCACCTCTCTGTCTCTCCAGACTCAAGTTGGTCATTTGTATCGTGAAAGCTGGACAAAACTATATCTAAGCTCCCCATCTTCCCTCAAAGCTTGGCCTGGGGAGCCCTACATGAAACCTTGGAGCTTCTGAGCCTTCCCCCACCCCCAGCGGGGGGCTTTTCGTTCTGTGAAGGTCTCAAAGTAACATTCTAAAGAGGCACCGTGAGAGCCAATCAGAGAGCCCATGTAAATAACGGCCCGCTGATTGGCTGTCTCCTTCACGCCCTGAACGAAACTTCAACTTCATCAACTCAGCGAAGATTTTTTCCTCTGGCCTCGCGCGCCCTGCAGAAGGCGGGGCTGGGGGGTCACCCGAGCCTTCTCCCTGCCGCAGGCTACCTGGGCCCGCCGAATGGGATCGCGCTGGGACAGGCGGGGGCGAGTGTGCCGCCCTGACCCTGGCCCCGGGGGTGTTATTCTGGTACAGAATCCCCCGCGGGGGAGGCCCGAGAAGTGAGGCACCCCCGCTTCTTTGTAGGACCGCCACAGAACGGGCTGCAGGCCGCGAGTATAGAGCTTGGCTGGGCGGGATCGATATCTGCCCGCTGGACTGATGCGCGAGGGAGGCTGCTAGACAGGCTGGCTTTGCGGCAGTGTGATGGCCGCGCAGCACCCCCTGACCCCCACGGCTCCCCAACCCCGCCATTCCCTTCATCTAGCGCTCCCGGGGAAGCCGAGGCGGGCAAGTGGCGTAGCGATGGAGGGCGCACCCAGGGGCAGCGACGCTCCCTCGCTCTGGCTCCCAGCCCTGGTGGTGGGTGCAGGAGTGAGGGTAGCCCAGGGTCGCACCCTGCTCCCAACCTCGGCTCGTCCCCACCCTCCACGGTCGTCCGCAGCTCGAGGCAGCCTGCATTTCTGCCAGTATCCTGTCCCCTCGCCCGGTCCTTCGCCCTCCTCCCACTTTCATTGTGTGTCTCCTCTCTGGCTCTGAGGTTCCTCCTCCCTCCCTTCTCTCTCTGGGTGTCTCCGTGTCTATCTCCACATCTCCATCTCCATTTCTTTCTCTGCCTGTCTCTGTCTCTAGCTGTCTCTGTCCCTCAGTCTCTGCTCAGGTCTCCGCTCGCCTCTTGCTCATTTTCGTTCCTCTCTTTGTCTGTCTGACTCTCTCTTGTCTCCCCCCCTTCAGTTACCCCCAACCCCCCGCACACACACACACCTCACAGCCCTGTTTACGACATCCCCTGGGCTGGCAGGTGGGCGGGGCTGCAGCAGAGCGGGGGTGAGAGAGGGAGACGCAGCCTCCCCCCCAGCTGTTAACCTTCACGCTTCAGGCCTCTGCGGATGGCAGAGGAGGGGGAAAGCCCAGCTGCCAGCTTGGCGGAGGTGACCGGGCGGGGGCTGGGGGCTGTCCCTCCCTCTGGGCTCGTCTCTGGGGAGATCTGGGGCCGGAAGGAATGTGGTGGAGGGCGCCTTCGGCTGAGGAAGGCTGTTGCCGGATGGGTGGCCTCCTGAAGGCTTGTGCTGGCGAGGCGGGTGCCCAAAGGGGGCTCTGAGCGGTGTCGGCCCTGCCCGCAGCCCGGCCGGACGTGGGGGCCGGCGTGAGAATCCCGCCCATCTGTGAGCCGGCCTCACGCCGTCAGACCCAATTTATCTCGCCGCCAAAGTTTCACAGCCATCTGCTCGAGTGGAACGGCTTCCAGCGCTGGCCCCACCGGGCCCCCCAGCCAGCGCGGGGATGTTTTCCAATACGACAGCATCGCCCCGCCAAAGCAAGGAGGGGGTGTAGGGGGAGGCGGCAGAGCGCGGTGCGCGGGGCTGGCAGGCAGCCCTCTCCCGCGAGCGAGCCGACCCTGAATTTTAAGCGATTGATCAGGAAGCTCAGGCCGTTCCCATCACTTTGAGCAGCCAAATGCGACGGCGCAGGGATTTCAAGGGGCCTTTGCGGAGGCGGTAATGAGGTCACCGTCACTGCGCCAGCCCGCGGGCGGGAGGGGGCGAAGGTCTGCGGACACGTGTGAACACAGCCTGTGAACCGAGCCACATCTGTATTCACGTGACCCCCGGGGCCCCAGCACTGACCCAGGAAAACTCGGCATTTGGATCTGAGCTGATTCACACTCCCCCGCCCCCACCCCACCTACCCAGCCAGACACGGTTCGAGAGGCTGAGCTAGAACCCAGCCCTGCCACATCCATGATTCCATGATCACCTCAGACAGCTTCAGCACAAGAGCCCCAACTCTCTTCTCCTCCCCGCTATGTGCCTAAAATACACATATTTGGGCACCTGCCCATTGCACTTCTGAACAAGCCTGTGGAGACAGATGTACCCTAGGCCCCCGGTAATCACACAGGTGCACACATTCCAATTACACACCTGACCGCAATGCTCGTGCATTAGTACACTCCCAACCACCACCACTACCACCCCCAAACATGCACACAGGTACTCCATCATTTTCAAGCCAGCACCCAGCAACACACGAGCCCCCAAACTCCCCTCCCCCGGGCGAACTCATGTGCACACTCATTCCCAAGACCCCGAGCTTGCTGCCATGTCCGCGCGGGTGGGCGCCTCCACTGCCCGCCAGGCAGCGCGGGTGCAGACCTCGAAGAGAACAAAGGCCGGGCAGGTGGGAGGGAGGGGCGCTGAGCCCCCGGCCCGTCCTCCTAGGCAATGCTCGTCTGTCTCGGCTCCGCGGCCACCGCATCGAGCGGCTCTGATTGCCGAGTAAATCACCGCGATGATCTGAATAATTATCGTCTCCTGAAAAGGGAAAAAACAGAGAATAAATAAAGAGAGAAGGGAGCAGTCACCTGATTTCTAGGAGCCCTGGGGTATGTTGGGGGGGGTGAATACATAGGGGTGGGTGTCAGTGGCCCCCTGCGGATCCTCGGGACTTCTGTTGGGATGGAGTGCAGGTGGGATGGGCCTCAGGGCAGACAGTCCTTCCTTAAAGGTGGCAGTTAGCATCCAGTCTCCCCCTTCGTCTCCCCAGGGTAAGTCAGGCCCCCTGGAGCACCCAACCGACCCCAGCTGGCTTCTCTGCTTCTTACACACTCAGGCCCACCTGACCTGTAGGGCACCCTCCTGTTCCAGGGCTTTGCTCAGTCGGTTCCCCCCTAGCATGCCCTCTACCCACCACTCTGGCTGGCTTCACTCTCCCATCTCTGAAGTTCAGCCCCAGGTTACTTCCTCTGAGAACTTCTTCCTGACTGCCCAGCCCTCCAGGATCCTTCTCTCCCAGAGTTCCAGTGTCTGATTGCATTTTCTCTGACTGATTTGGGTGTGTTGTCCTGATCTTCTCAGCTGGATGGCAGCTTTGGTGGAAGCAGCTATGTTTTAAACAAAGCAGTAATAGTAGCAACAGCAGCAGCCACTGCCCCATTCTGAGCAGCTAGGATGTGCTGGCCCTGTGCCAAAACATCATCTCACCATGGATCCTCCCCAGAATCCTGTGTGGAAAGTAATGTCTCCATTTAAATAATGGGGAAACTGAGGCGTACCAAGAGTGAAGCTTGGATTCCTTTCCTCAGGGATGAAGATGCTGGTCATCTACGGTATCCTTTCTGCAGTTGTCCCCTGATCCCACATATTGGAGGAGTTGCTTCTCTTCCAGTGCTGGGCACCAAGACACAATTACCTCAACTGGCTGGGCACAGTGGCTCATGCCTGTAATCCTAACACTTTGGGAGGCCGAGGTGGGCAGATTGCTTGAGCCTAGGAGTTTGAGACCAGCTTGGGCAACATGACAGAACACCATCTCTACAAAACAAACAAACAAACAAAAACAAACAAACAAATGAAAAACACCAAAAATTAGCTGGTATGGTGGTGTGAGCATATAGTTCCAGCAACTTGGGAGGCTGAAGAAGAAGGATGGTTTGAACCCAGGAGGTTGAGGCAGTGAGCCGTGATTGTGCCACTATACTCAAGCCTGGGCAACAGATCGAGACCGTCTTAAAAAAAAAAAAAAACCAGGCTGGGTGTGGTGGCTCATGCCTGTAATCCCAGCACTTTGGGAGGCCGAGGTGGGTGGATCACGAGGTCAGGAAATAGAGACCATCCTGGCTAACACGGTGAAACCCCGTCTCTACTAAAAATACAAAAAAATTAGCCAGGTGTAGTGGCAGGCGCCTGTAGTCCCAGCTACTCAGAGGCTGAGGCAGGAGAATGGGGTGAACCCAGGAGGCTGAGCTTGCAGTGAGCTGAGATCATGCCACTGCACTCCAGCCTGGGCGACAGAGCAAGACTCCATCTCAAAAACAAAAAAACAAAACAAAAAAAAACCCAAAATATGAATATCTCAACTCCAAACTGCCCAGCCTCCACCAGCCCTGCCCATTCCTGTTGCTCCCTCTCCTCCCTTTTCCTAGCCTCAGGAGGGCTGCCCTCCATGCATTGTAACCCCCAACCTTCCAAAGGGCATGACCCTTCCCCATAGCCACATCATCAAAGGAGGGGCAGCTCAGCCTTATGCTTCTGCCTGAAATGGTTCCAGATGTGGGGCCTGCAGAAAAGGCAGGGTGAAGGTTCAGCACAAAGCTAGGTTTCCTCCTGGAGGTTGCCCTAGGGGAGGCCCAAGCCCCTCCCACCCCTGGCACCTGGTCAGTAAATGAGAGCAGAACAAGGCCACTGATGGGATGATGGTTCAGGGAAAGAGTCTGTCAAGAGCCTGGGGAAGAGGAACCCTTGTGGGGCCTGGGTGTCTGGGGCAAGAGGGAGGCTGAAGCCCATTCTGGGTTTGCATTCCTCACTCTATCCAGCCTTGCTGGATCTGAGGCCTGGGGCAACTTCCAGGGTGGGGTTCTCCAGGCTGAGCAAGGAGGCCCAGGACTGAGCGATTTAGATCCCTCCTACTACTCCTCAAAGAAATGCCATTATAGATGGGGGAAACTAAGCCCAGGGCTCCAAATTGGCTCCTGACTAATGGTTCCTGTGCAGGCCTCTCCCATGGGGATCCTTATTCAGGGCCCCAAATGTTCCTGGGGGCATGGCAGGGTCTGGATATCACTGTGGCTTGGGTAGAGGAGGGACAGGTGAGACATGATGCTGGTCTAGAGATACATCCAGGTGGTTCAGCTCTGGGTATGAATGAAGATGAGGCAGAGCCCAGCCTAGCTCTGGGAAAATCTCAGCTCCTACTCCACAGTCTTCTGGGACTCAAGACAGCACCTCCTGCCTGAGAGGGGGGCGGAGGTGGCCAGTATCCTTGGGATGGTTCACAAACTCCTCTCCCCACCCCAAGCTCCCTTCTGCCAGCTACTCTTGGTTCCCTACTTAGATATTTCTTTGGCATCTACTGTGTGCTGGCCCTAGGGGCACAGCAGCCTGGGGTTCAGAGAGTGCCCAGGCAGATGGGGAGGCATACCCACCCACCTACACATACTCACACAGACTCTCCTCCCACCCCCTTCAAGTGTGACCAACTGGGAACCCTGGGGAAACAGTAATGAATGTGGCAAGACCTTTGCAATTAGACAAACCCAGGTTCAGACCCTGGCTCTACTTTACTTGTTGAGAGCAAGTCAATGAGCCTCAGTTTTGGTATCTACAAAGTGGAAATTGTAATAGTGCGTGTTTCACAGTGTGCCTGTGAGCGTTCTGTGAGATAATTGAGATGTCGATGCTCATCACCGCCCATCATCAGGGAAGGAGAGATGACCTCCAAGGTTGCTCTTTGGCCACTCTAGGACAGTGTTTCCATGGCATGGCTAGGGTCCAGCCTTTTTTTTTTTTTTTTTTTTTGAGACAGGGTCTCGTTCTGTCACCCAGGCTGGAGTGCTGTAGCATGATCTCTGCTCACTGCAGCCTCAACCTTCTAGACTCAGCAATCCTCCCACCTCAGCTTCCCAAGTAGCTGGGACTATAGGCATGTGTCACCATGCCCGGCTAATGTTAAATTTTTTTGTAGAGACTGGGTCTTCCTATGTTGTCCAGGCAGGTCTGGAACTCCCGACCTCAGGTAATCTTCTCACCTTAGCCTCCAAAAGTGCTGGGATTACAGGTGTGAGCCACTGCACCCAGCCAGTCCAGCCTCTTGACTCAGTGGTGGAGGTGGTTGTCCTTGGCAGATCCTCGACACTGCCAAGCCCCTCACACTCCTCAAAGCTTAGTTCTCCTACTGGTCACGTCTCTCTCTACTAGGTTCCTCTGGCTCTCACTCTCTCTCTGCCGGCCCATAATTCCATCCATCCATGTCTCTTTTTCTGTTTCTGCCTCTCCCTAAAAACATATAACTCTCCCCCTACCATAAGAACACCCTTCCACTCCCACCCACACATCCAGCCCAGCTCAACTCATCACCAGCATGCACTGTCACCTGGGTGCACACAGGCAAGGAGACATACAGAGGCAAAGCGATGGAGAGACACAATCACGCACACACTCACACTCAAGTGCACATGGGCACGAGGACAGCCACCCATCCAACACACACACAAGTGCACACACAGCACAAATAGGCATGAACAGGTGCATACAGATGCACCTGGTGACAAACACACAAGGACATTGGAGCATATTGCATATGCAAGAGTCCACAGGCATGTATACTCTCCCCCCACCACAGGCACACATAGGTCAGGCACAGACAGGTACACACAGGCACAGAAACACACACAAGGGCACACAAGCACATCTGCACAGTAAGACACAGGCACACACATACACACACGTAGGCACACACAAGCTCTCGCCCCCAGCCCCCCTCAGAGAGCTGGCTGCCCGCCAAGCGCGGAGCTTTCTGCTGGGTGTGCACAACCTTTCACAGGCTCTAATTGAGTCGAGGGTGATTTATAACACGGCAGCGCCCCTGCCCGCGTGGGCTGCCCCTCCTGCTACAACCCTGGCCAGTCTTTGACCAACCCCTCCGCCCCCTACCCCCCATAAAGCATCACATGCACAGGCCCCTTTGAGGGAGAAAGGGGCATTTTCTTCCTTGCCACCAGCTCCTGTCTTCATTCTTGCCTTTCTCCTGGGCTAGACACTGGATTCCAAGAAGTTATGACTCAACCCACCCATCCCACCACCATCAGCAAACTCAGTGTTACTCAGCCCAGCCATTGGGAGACCAATCTAACTAACCTGCCTGATTAGAGACAGCCAGGACCCTGACTGCAGATCCCACGTGCTTCCTGAGCTGCAGCGCGAGAAACGGGATTTGGACACGAGAAGGGACTTGCCCAGTGAGCTGGGGCTGCAGGATGGGTGCTGATTAGCAGGGTATAGGAAAGCCTCCATTCAGGGCCATGGGGGAGGAGAAGGCCACCAATAACCTTGTTTCATGCCCCTCCATGCTTTTGGGTAACTGAGCTGTGACCCTCCCTCCCAGCTGTCCCCATGGCCAGTGTGGCTGGGCCTGTGATTAACTGCATTAATTAGGCTCTGAGGTTTGGCTCATAAAGTCCCCTTATCCACCTAAGAAGGAATGACAGTGAGGACTTTTGTCCTAGTGGGAGGGGTGTATGCATCCTGACCCCTCACTTTTGACCCTAACATGGACCATCAGCTCTAGCCATGGCCCATGAACTCAGCCTAAGAGCTATTTCATCCTCCCAGAAGCATCTTGTGTTGGATGCTGATGCTGTTAACCCATTTGACAGTGAAGGCAACCAAGGCCCAGAGAGGCCAAGCCCTAGAGACTGATCCCACAGGAGTCCCATCCTGCTCTCAGGACGCCTGCTGCATGTGGAGCTGCTTTTTGGAGCAGGAAAGGCTCCTTGGAAAGGCTATACCTCCCTGTTCCCAGAGTTGTTTTTTTTTTTGTTTGTTTGTTTTGTTTTGTTTTTGAGATGGAGTTTCGCTCTTGTTGCCCAGGCTGGAGTGCAATGGTGCAATCTTGGCTCACCGCAAACTCCGCCTCCCAGGTTCAAGCGATTCTCCTGCCTCAGCCTCCCAAATAGCTGGGATGACAGGCATGCGCCACCACACCGTGCTAATTTTGTATTTTTAGTAGAGATGGGGTTTCACCATGTTGGCCAGTCTAGTCTCGAACTCCTGACCTCAGGTGATCCACCCGTCTTGGCCTCCCAAAGTGCTGGGATTACAGGCATGAGCCACTGCGCCGGACCAGAGTTGGGTTTAGATTACAGAATGAGGAATTCAGATTAGATTTAAGAGGGGTTGGGCATGATGGCTCATGCCTATAATCCCAATACTTTGGGAGGCCAGCCTGGGCAACATGGGGAAACCCCATCTCTACAAAAAATTTTAAAAATTTAGCTGGGTGTGGTGTTGCATGTCTGTACTCCCAGCTACTTGGGAGGCTTAGATGGTAGGATCACTTGAGCCCAGGAGTTCAAGACCAGCCTGGGCAACATGGTGAAACCCTACCTCTAAAATTAAAAAATTAGCTGGGTGTGGTGGCTCACACCTGTAATCTCAGCACTTTGGGAGGCTGGACAGATCGCTTGAGCTCAGGAGTTCGAGCTCCAGCCTGGGCAACATGGTGAGACCTTGTCTCTACTAAAAATACAAAAAAAATAGCTGGGGCGTGGTGGTGCGTGTCTGTGGTCCTAGCTACTTAGGAGGCTGAGGTGGGAGGATTGCTTGATCCCAGGAGGTGGAGGCTGCAGTGAGCTGAGATCACACCACTGCACTCCAGCATGGGTGATAGAGTGACACCCTGCCTCAAATTAAAAAAAATAAAATAAGTTAAAAAAAATTAGCCAGTATGGTGGCACCCACCTGTAATCCCAGCTACTTGGGAGGCTGAGGTGGGAGGATCACTTGAACCTGGGAAGTTGAAGCTGCAGTGAGCTGTGATTGCATCACTGCATTCCAGCTTGAGTGACCCTGTCTCAAAAAAAAACAAAAACAAAAACAAAAACAGAGGGACCTCCTTAGCAGTAGAGTTTGATTGGGAGCCAAGGTGTGTATGTGTTTTTGTGTGTGTGTGCAGTGGAGAGGGTCCGGGCTGCCCCCAAGGGAATCCACATGATAATGGCAGCCAACATTTAGTGCTTGCTTATTGAGTCGCAGACAGTCCCGTAGGGGAGGAGTTGAACCCCATTTTATAGACGAACAAAACTGAAATTCTGACAGTTTAAGCCATCTGCCCCAGCCTCATGGATTTGAGGCAGCGCCACCCACGCCCCTTCCCACTGTCAGGTCCTGGGTAGGTAGATGGATCCTCTGGGGTCTGTGTTCCAGCGACGCCACCTCATCTCTGCTGTGGGTCAACCCAGTCTTGGGCTCTCGCTCGAATACACTTGAACATGTGTGAGTGTGGGTGTGAAATGGGTGGCTGAGAGGGTATATAGGGTGTGTTCCAGAGACGCTAGTGGGGAGGGGATTTGTGCTTTGATGTGTGCGTGTCCCAGCATGCCTGGGTGTTTGTGTGCGTGGGTATCTTTGGGACATGTTATGGGGTGCTGGTCTCTATATTGTTGCATGTTTGTGTTTGTAGCTCTGCCTGCGTCATTCTGTGTCCCTCTCTGCACAGCTTGTGTGATGTGTGTATGTCCCTGGGAGCCTCCTCCCTATTTGTCTCTGTGTGTGTGTATCTTTGATATGTCTGTGTCTGTCCTGCTTCTGGGTGTGTTTCCGTGTGAGCATCTCTGCGGCCCTGCTGTGTGTGTGTGTGTGTGTGTGTGTGTGTGTGCGCGCGCATGAGGCTCCGTGCCTGTTTCCGAAGTGACTCTAGGTGCCACAGTGTGTGATGCTGTGACTGTGTCTCTGTGTGTGACTGTGTGTGAGACTGTAACTGTTCTGTGTGTATGCGACACACCGTGTGCGTGACTAAATGGTGCTGTCTGTGTGACTGTTTCAGGACCTGGACTAGCGTCGGCACAAAATTTAAGGGGGCTCCAACAAATCTCAGTAATTAGGAAAAATATTTTCGTATACTTAAAAAAAGCACAATGCAAAAAATGATGAAAATAGACTATTAAAGACAGGTTCAGTGTATGTGCCTATCCGTGTGGCTCTGTCTGTGCCTCCGCTAGTGTCCCCGCGGCTGCCGTCCGCCCTCCCGCGCCCCGCCAGGTGAGCGCAGCCCCCACCCCCAGTCACGCTGCTCTGGGCTGAGCCTCGGTAATTTCCGAGTCGGCGGCGGCTTTGTGTGCACCGGCCGCGGTCTGGGGGCGGGGAGGGAAGGGAGGGTTATTTCTCCCCCCTCTTCCTTTTTATTGGGTCATTAACAACGGCTCGGACTGCCGCTGCGCCCCCCCTTTCATGTCTGCCGCGCCTCCCGCCATTATCTGCCTCCGCCGCGCGGCGTAATTCGATGCCAATCAGGTTGGGGCGCAGAGGCAGCCGGATCAAAGCCGGGGCCGCGGCGCTGGAGGGAGTGGGGTTGGGGAGCAGGCTGCGCTCCCCCGGGGTCGGGGCACCCACCAGGGTTCCCGCTCAAGCATCTAGGGTCAGACTGGGAAGTCCTTGCCCAACCCGTGCAGGGTTCAGAAGGTTGCTTGGGGTGACCAGGTGGTCAGTGGCTGGGCTGCGCGGTTCAGCCAGGCACCAGGGTCCCTTGGGGGTAGTTTCGTGGAGGGAGCGGACTTTAGGTGGAGATTCTAGGCGGAGGGACCAGCTTGGGCACAGGCGAGGAGGCAGGACTCAGCAGAGCGCCCTAGGAATAGGGAAGAACCCAGCTGGTGGGATTCTTCTGGCTGGGCGACTGTGTTGTCTTACAAGGGTTAGGAGCAATGGAGGGGCTTGAGAGGGGGCGGGCAAAATCAAAGTTGGCCTTCAGGATCCTTTATCTGGCGATGTCCTCTGTCTGCTAGAGGCTATGCCCTGACTCAGTTTCCTCCGCTGGGAAATAGGGAAGCTATTAGCTTCCCGCACTCTTCCACAAGGGATAGTGAGGTGATGAAGGTGATAAAACAACCCAAAACAAGCACAACTCAAATTTCTTGAGCACTTCCTAATTGCAGGTCAGGCCCGAGTCTCCATTCATCCACACAACAGCTCTACAAGGTTGGAACTCATGTTTTTACAGATGAGGAAACAGAGGCACAGAGAGGGAAAGTGACCTGCTCAAGGTCCAGGGTAGTGAGGGGCATGGCTGGGATTGGAATCAGGCCCATAGATTGCATGAAGCGGATTCTCTCCTGGGAGGTCCCCTAGCCAAGCCATCTGCTGTTCTCCCACCCCTCCTGGGCTCTGGGATGGGGGCAAAGGGTTTGGAGCTGCCTGTGTGAGAAGCCAGTGGAGTCACAGAGTGGGCTGGGTGGGCAGTGGGATGAGAATCATCCTCCTCACACTCACAGCCATCTCCACTGCTTACAGCCCTTGGGCAAATCACCTGCCACCACCACCCCAACCCTGTCCTTCGCCTGCATCTGTGAAAGGGGGTTCACAAGCTTCTTCAGCTTTTCCCTTAAGAGTCAGTAAGTGAACGTAGCAAAGGGTGTTTTGAGCATCAGATGTAGTGTGGATGGGTGTTTTTATCACCATCAACCAAAGACTCAAGGGGGGTAGTGTCTGCCAGGCAGTCCCTGAAGGGAATGGAAAACCCCCTTCTTCCCCCAAAGAAAATGCTGGTGTTAGTCCCAATGATTTGGGAAAGAGTTGTTCCCCCGTCCCCACCCTTGAGAGGGAGAGAAAGAGATTTTTTCTTCCAAATAGTGCTGGGTCTTCACAACTCTAAATATCTCCAACCCTAGAATGTTCTGAGCAAACCAACGTATACATAATATATGCTTCTGTTCTTAACTAAAAGCAGGCCTCCAGACCTTGAGGACACCAGCCGGCAAGGACTTTCACCTCTGTCCTCTCCCCAGCATACCCTAGTTCTGGGGCCTGTCAAGTTGGGGTTGTGGACTGAGGAGAATGGAGGAGTACAGGTCCCTCAGCAGCCCCTGGTGTCTTACAAATGGTTTCTTGAGGCTGGGCACGGTGACTCATGCCTGTAGTCCCAGCGCTTTGGGAGGCCAAGGTGGGAGGATAGATTAAGCCCAGGAGGTAGAGGTTGCAGTGAGCTAGGATTGTGCCACTGCACTTGAGCCAGGGCAAGTGAGTGAGGACCCTATTTCAAAAACAAAACGAAACGAAACAAAAAAACCAAATGGTTTCTTAGTACCAACTTGGGTTGGGTTAGTCTGCCCTGCACTGGGGAGACAGGTGTAGGAGGCCACAGATAGATGTAGGGGTGCCTTGTCTGGTGGGAGAGGCCGGTGGAGCGTGCTTTCTGCATGGGGTGGTGATCTGTGCTCACAAGGGTGGGGTTTCTAGTGGGCCTGGGAGCACCCTTTCTTTCTGGAGAGACAAGTGAGCTGGATACAGCAGGATAAATAGAAGTTTGCTTGTTGAGGGCTGGGGACAGGAAGTACATTTCAGGAATGTTTGAAGCCCAGAGGCCTGAAAGAATAGTGCACAGTGAGTGTTTCTGGAGGTGGGGAGAAGGGCAGGGGGTTAGGCTGTAAAGTGCTGCGGACCGTGCGGGCAGAAAGGGCAGGGCCTCGAAGGATCTTGAAAGTAATCCTGAGGGTGCTGGAGAGCCAGGGCAGCTTCAGGGCAGGAAGTCACCTTGCTTCAGCCTCCTCCCCTGTGCAGTGTGGGCACAAACCATCCTCCCTGCAGGGCTGACTGGAAGGTAAATGAGAGACTGGAAGGGGACGCACTTATGCCTTTTACTACCCTGCTCCCTGCGTCCGGGAACTAGAGGTTGGGGAGTGAGGCCAGAGTGAGGAGGCAGGGTTTGGGGGCTTTGTATCCACTGTTCTCCACGCACAGGGAGACAGGCCAGGGATTCCATGCTTCCTCCAAGACCTGGCCTGGGCTGCTAGACAGAGGTGGCCATGATTAGCAGCTCCAGTTGACCTGGGCATGTGACTTGGGCAGTGTCTCCCATTGGGGAAATGGGATCTTGGTTCTGGCTCCACGGTCAGGAAAGCTGCCTTCGCCCAGGGTCCCCTTCTTGCCGCTGGGAGGTTCTGCTGGGCCCAGCCTCAGTCCTCACCATGTTCTTCTTGCTGGATTGGCAGGGGCCTTCTTAATGGATTCTCCTCCAGCTCACATTCCATGCTCCAGGTAGTACTGAAGGGGAGATCTAGGGGTGGTGCAGGCCACAGAGCTGGGGGCTGAAATCTCTGCCCTGGTCTGGTTCTACATTTCCTATCTTCCTGAAGGAGGCCCATGGCCTCCCCCATTCTCCGTCTCTCCTGGGGAGTTCCTGCCTGTCTGGAGCTGGGTGCCTGTGTGTGTTGGAAAGGCTGCACCGCACACCGCAGATCCCAGCTGCCTCTGGACGCTGAAAAATCCAATTTTCTTCCTAATTGCCACCGCCCGCGCGCGCTCTCTCTCCACTCACAGCCTACTTCTGCTTGGCGGCGCCTCGTTTCCCCCACATTCTCCCTGCTCCTGCCTCCTGCTGCCCACCCCATGGGCGGATGCTGCCCCCGATCGCGGTCACCCGTGTCGGGACGCACCGTATATCATGTCTGCAGCCGGGAGGGGCCTGGGAGCTGGCTGTCCCCCGCCCTGGGCTCCCTGACGAAATCGTCCTTTTCTGCGGCGGATGACAGGTTGTGGGAACAACAGCTTGAATTACGGAAAGAAGTTTCCCCACTGAGTTAATCTGCAGTGGCTGGAGGTGACCTTCTGGAGACGGCGATTAATCACGGGCCGTGGCGGGCGCCGCGCCACGCCGGGCCCTTTGGGGGAATACTAATTCCACTACAAGATAAATCATAATTTGACAATAATCATCTGCCCTAATCACTCCAATTCTTCCGTTTAATTATTTGTATACACTGTGTTTCTTCCACGAAGACCCTGTGTGCCCATGGGTGGGGAGAGGATGGCCGCCTGGGCACAGACCCCTCTCTGGCCCCTCAAGCCTGTCAGCCCTGCTGGCATGCCTGGGGAGGCCTGACTCAGAACTGATAGGGAGAGTGTTGGAGCTCAGAGTTTTGATAGGGTAACTGAGGAAACTGAGGCTCAGAGAAAGGCCAGGCCTTGCCCAAGGTCACATGGCAAGTTTGGGGTGAGCCAGGCTGAGGACAAAGGCCTTCGCTGTTCAGGCCCAGGTTGTAGCCCACTGTCCAGAATGCCTCACTTCTGCTCTACTCCCTGACCTTCGGTCCTCAATCTCCTGTGATGCCTGGTCCCACCCTCCATCTGCCAGTATGGACAGGGTTGCTGACTGCTTCCATTCCCCCTACCCCAGTCCTGGGCCTGGCTGTGCACTCAGGACATGAGGATCAGGGATTGCAGGCATCTGAGCAAGCATTGCCTGAAGCTTCTTACCAGGTGCTGTGTGACCTCTGGTAGTTGATGGAACCTCTCTGAGTCTGTAGCCTTTACCTATAATTGGATTGAGCTCTCTGTCTTCCAGGGTGGTGGAAACTTGACCTGGTGCCAGATCCACAGGTGTGCTCACGGGGGACCCACAGGTGTGCTCACAGATGCCTGCCATTGCCCCTTCCTGTTCTGTCAGGGTCCAGCCACTGGAGCCCTGCATTTCCTGTCTCCACTTCCCCTCCCAAACCTGGCTCCTGGTGCCACCATGCTCAGCCCCTGGGTTGTGCCGCCAGGAGAGTCCCAGGATTCCAGCTCTGCCCCTGATCCTCCCTTGGATGCGCTGGCTGGCTCTGCTGCTGATTCTGGCTCACTGAGCAGGAATCAGAATGACTCAGTGGCTTTCTTCTTCCAGGCAGGCTCCTGGCACCCTATGGAGGAGGGTAGTGGCAAATGGGGTATAATGAGAGCTGCTAGATCCAGGGTGCACCCCACATAGGGCTTGTGGTCTGCCTTTGTGGCAATGTGAGGGGGAATGGCTCTCCCAAACAAGAGCCACAAGCCTGCTGGGTGTGTGCTGATGGTGCTACAGCCAATAGAGAATGATGTACTGATGATAATGAAAATAATGATAACAACAATGAATGCTCTTTCCCAACAGCAGCCTGCCCCGGGGATCTCCTGGTCCCAAGGTCAATGTTAGGCTGATAGAGGAAACGTAGCCCTTCCCTGGTGGTCTAGTGGTTAGGATAATAAAAATAAATACACAAATAAATAAAAGGGAAATACAGTCCTTATCCCCAAGATGCCATAGTCTCAGGGAAGATGTGTGAGAGAAGAAAGACTCAGGGGCAAATACAAACCACAGCATTGCCCATCAACATCTCGGAGTCCCTGCTGCGTGCCAGGCCTGGTGCTCAGTTTTTTGCCTGATCCACTTCACTGAGTCCTCATGACCACTTGTGAGTAAGATGTGATGTCAGCCCATTTTACAGATGGGAAAATCAAGTCACAGAGAGGCGAAGTCACTTGCTCAATGTCACTATGCTTGTGAGCACAAGGTTGGGATTTGAACTCAGCCTTCTCCTCCATTCTTTCCTGTCTCCCAGAAATCATTTCATCAGTGTTGTAGAATTTCTGGCCAGAGGATCTGGGCAAAGCTGAGTCAGTCTGTTCACCTGTCAGGGTCTCCATGCTTCTGGCTGTAAAAGGGGCTTCGCACAGTTGTGAAGTGGGGATGTGAAAGAGCAGCCAGTCCCTGCCTCAGCCCTATAAGCCTGTAAGTCCCTCACAGGGTCTTCTTTCCGTCCTTTCTGCTGTAGTTCCCCTTCACTCCTCCTCCGTGGACACCAGTTTCCCTTATTTCCTGTTTCCCTTATTCCTTGGCTTAGATCAGCACCCCCTAACCTCTGCTTTCCATGACCCTTGCTTGGAGGAGGAGATGTGTGTGCGACAGGCAGTGTTAAATAGCCCACCGGCCTCCATCTGGTGCTGTTTCCTGACTGCTCAGGGAGATCATCCATGGCTTAGGACCAGTGGGGACACTGTTGACTTTGTGATATATGTTTTGGTCAGGAACCCCTGGCTGTCTGCAGCCCTCACCCTGCCTGCCTTTTAAGGTGAGTTCCCAATACCAGGCAGGGCTCTGGAAGGCAGCTGTCCAGGAGTACCTCATCCCAACCATGAGGACCTGAGGAGGGTCATTTAGCCTTTCTGAGCCTCCGTTTCCATAGCTGTAAATCAAGGATAATAATAATGCCTGACAGATAGTAAGCATTCAATAATTTTTATTTTTATTTATTTATCTTTTTTTTGAGACGGAGTCTTGCTCTGTTGCCAGGCTGGAGTGCAGTGGCGTAATCTCGGCTCACTGTAACCTCCGCCTCCTGGGTTCAAGCAAGTCTCCTGCCTCAACCTCCCAAGTAGCTAGGACTATAGGTGTGCACCACCATGCCTGGCTAATTTTTGTATTTTTAGTAAAGACAGGGTTTCACCATGTTGGTCAGGCTGGTCTTGAACTCCTAACCTCAGGTGATCCACCTGCCTTGGCCTCCCGAAGTGTTGGGATTACAGGCATGAACCACCACGCCCAGTCCTTCATTCGTTTTTTCTTAAGACAGGGTCTTGCTCTGTTGCCCAGGCTGGAGTGCAGTGGCGCAATCATAGCTCACTGCAGCCTCAAACTGGGGCTCAAACGATCCTCCCACCTCAGCCTCTTGACTAGCTAGGACTACAGGTGTGCACCACAATGCCTATCTAAGTAAAGAAATGTTATGTATAGACCCAGGTATCCCCTGTATTGCCCATGCTGAGCGCTCAATAATTGTTGCCTATTGTTAGTTGAAGTACCAGGTTGCTTGTTGAGGTCACAGAGGGGTCAACCAATTGTCACCCTCTTCTAGCTTGGCCCTAGATGGCCTTTTTTAGCGTGTCCAAGAGAGGAGGGTCATCTACCCTGCAGACAGTACTCCACTCAGAAAGGCTACAGACCCCTCCCGGCAGACCCCTCCCGGCAGAGCCAGCCCCCTTTCCTGCCAGGGGGATGGCAGGACAGGAGGCCTGGCTGGGGAGGTGGTGGGGCTGTGGCAGCAGAGAGGGGAGGCAAAGGTTGGCAGAGTGGGGAGAGATGGCCTGGGGGGAGAGCAGCGGAGTCGCTGGGGAGAGAGGGAGGCTGTTGCGCTATAAATACCTTCCAGGTAACAGGACCCATAAATGAAGGGAGGGAATTAGTCACATTCTGCAGCGCCTCAGAGAGAGGACAGGGAGCAATGACCTGAATCCACGGAAGGAAAAAAATTAGGCTAACCTTGTTGGGTGAGGGGGAGGTTAGGGGCCGGATGCTGTGCCTCCTCAGTGGGGTGCCTGAACAGGCTCTGCTGGGCGGGCCCAGGGAGGAATAACCCTGGCAGGAGGGGTCTGGAAGAAACATCTTGTCTATTCCCTCCAGATGTGTGAGGTGTGTGGGACTCTTCCTTTTCTTCTCAAGGATCTCCTGGCCTCTCTCTGAACCTCACACCCATTCCTCCTGGGAAGTCCTTCCAGGAGTCTAGCCCAGTTGTTCTTCACGTCACTCTGAAGCATGTTTTCATTCACTGCGCTCACTGTCTTTAAGCCCTGGCTCCCCCTGGGGTGCCCACCTTGTCAGGCATCTAGCTCTGGGGTCATTCCCTGGGTTCCCAATCAGGCAGAAGGATCTTTGCCGGGGAAGGCAAGAAGGCCGTGTCCTACTTCCACTCTGGACTCAAGCCGAGTGGGCCCACTTGTCCCTTGCTGGGATGATGACCATGGCCTGTGCTCTAGTCTCCTAGCTCCAGCTTCACCTGCCCTGGGCCAGCCCCTCACCCCCAGGGTTGCCAGAGCAATAGTCAGGCATGCCCTCCCTTGCTCACACCTTCCCTGCTCCTCTCGGAATGGAGGCCAGTCCCCTCGGCCTGGCACAGCGAGCCTCCAGGATTGGCCTCCAAGCAGCTTCCTAACCACATCTTCTGCCTTTGCTCTCACACCCAGCCTGCCAGTCTACATTCTCCAGGTCTTTGCACCAGCTGTTCTTTCAGCCTAGTGTTCCTGCCTCTTGCTATGCCTGGTCGACTTGCGTTTTCTCCCAAGACCCGAGCTTGAGTCTGAAATTCTCTCTGCTGCCTCCCCAGCTGAGTTGGGTCCTCCCTCATCTGTGCTTCGGAAATTCTCCAGCAAAGGTAGTCTGGGGAAGTCACCAAGATCCAATTGGGAAGTCCAGCTCTGCCTCACCCTGACTACATGGCCTCTGGTGAATAGATGAGCTCTCCTGTGCCTCAGTTTCCCCATCTGTGAAAAGGAGTTCTCACAGTGCTTCCCAAGGGTTTTACAGTTTAGGCAAGATCCTGCATGAGGAGGGCTGAGCACACAGTCAGCGGGTGGCTGTTGTTGGGGTCACAGTATTGATCACACTGTTTCTGTGTCTGCCTCCCCTGCGGGCTGCGAGATGGGGAGGGAGGGGGGCAGTGCAGCGTCCCCGTGTGACTTGTCGCCGCCACAACCGCAGTGGCCAGCTCGCGCCTGGCACTGAGACCGTAAGCAAATGTTTGCTGAATTAATGAGTGGGGGCTGCAGGGAGGGCTTGGGCTGCAGTTCCGCCTGGGCTGCTGCAGCTGGGGCGCGTACGTACATCCGTGTGCCCCTGGGAGTGTGAGTGAGGGGCGCCTGTGGGTGGGGGAGCCATATCCGTGTCCCGGGGGTCTGGCGGCGCCGTGGGCAGCCTGGCGCGCCCGCTCCCTGGGGTCCCCGCCGAGCGCCTGCCTGGCTGCGGGACCCCGTTGCCAGGAGCAGTCAGGATGCGGCAGCGTCTCCATGGCAACGCGGCATCTCGAGCCGCGCGCCGCCCTCCCCCGGCGCCCCGCAGTGGGCAGGAGGCCGAGCCTGGCAGCCCCTCCCGGCCCAGCAGCCAGCAAGCTGGGCCAGGAGGCCGAAACCTGATGGGAGGGGCTGAGCAGGGGGCTCCTTATTTTCTAGGGATAAGGGGCTGACCTGCCTTTACTTCCCACCTCATCTGGGGGAGGTAGATAATAGAGCCTGTCCTCTGTCTATGAGCAGCACCCTCCACACCCGCCAGGAAAGCAGGAATAGGTTCTGGTCAGGGCAGGATACCCTCACTGGCGAAGGGACATTTCTGATCTAAGTCCTGGCTGTGAAAGTGGCGCTGTTGTGAGGGGCACTGAGGCACAGCCAGGGAAGTGCCATACTGTTCCAGGGCTTCAGTGTGACCCCAGTGACTTCCATGACCCACCCGATGTCCACCCATGTCCCCACTTCTCATAGATAATGCCCAGTACCTGCCACGAACCCTTCCAACGCCCCCTCACCCTCTCAGTTGTGCCATATCCCCAGACCCACTCAGTACTTCCCACTGCGGGTTCCGTGACCCTCCCACCCCTGGTTCCCACTCAGTGCCCCTTCTGCTCGCTATCTTCACACTGCCTTCCAGTTCTTCCCAGCACACAATGTCTCCAGTTGTTATTCAGTACCCCCAGTGCCTACGCAGTGGTACTTCCAACATGCACTCAGGGCCCCCGTTACCACCAGGAAACCACCCAGCGCCCTCTTTCCAGTTTAGGCTTGGTACCACTTAAATAGCCCCCAGGGACCACCCACTGCCCCCAGTACCTGCCCGGTGGCCCCCAGTGCCCTCCTATTAATCGGCCCAGTACCCTGCACATCCACTGTAGTTCCCCACCTCTTCGTACTTCTGTTCACCTAGTGCTAACCACTACAATCTCGTTCTGCCCAGTATATTCCCACCATGCAGCCCCTTGCCACATTATTTCCAGATAAATCCCCATTCGCCCCCTTGCCCACCTCCCACCCTCCAAGCCCAAGCTCCGCCGGGCCGCAGTGCTCGCAGCGGCCAGGAGGGGGAGAGAGCGAGTAGTCAGCAGGAGACCGAAGCGCGGGGCGCGGCTGGGGAGAGGGTCGAGGGGCAGCATCCAAGGCCGTCTTCTTACAAGGGCTGAATCCGAGCCCAGGGTGCGGCTGCGTTCCGGGGGGGTTCCTCCCGGAGTGACCGCACCCCTGCCCCGCATCTTCTGCAAACCCCTCCGGGTCCGCCGCCACCGCCGCCGTCGTGGCTTTGGCTCTGAGAAGGGGCGCGCGCCCTCTGGTGGCTGCTGAGCAGTACAGCTTCCTAGGCCGATGAGAGGACGCCGCTCTGGCCCGGGGTGGTGCGTTCGTTCCCTCTCTCTTTCCCTGTCCTCCTTTTTTGGGCCTGTCCTCAAGCTGGCGGCGATGGGGTGACGGCAAGCCAGGCCCCTCTGTGGTGGCTGGGTAGAGAGCCTGGGGTCTGGATGAAGGGAGAACATTGGGTAGGGAGGTGTGGAACCAGGGCCTGGGGAGAGGGACCGCGGAGCAGAATGGTGGTGGGGGTGGATCGCTGAGTCCACAGATGAAGGACTAACAGATGGATCTGAACTCAGGAAGTCTACAATCTGAGCTGTGATTCGATGTGCTGTTTGTAGAAGGGGGCGATACAGGATTGGTGGCAGTAGGGTGAGGCCTCCCTTCCAGGCCTGGCAGTTCTATCTGGCCCTAAGCCTTTCATGGGATACTTGTTGATGGACCTACCCTTCGATGACTCTGTTTCTGCCTCTGCCCGTCTACCAGCGCCTAGCCTTCTTTTCACCTGCCTGGGCCTGTTTCTCAGTCTTCAGCAGTCCTGGAATGGTGGGGGGCACCCTCTCCCTGTCCCACAATATGGGGTTTTCTCTCCTCTGTGTATGGGGGAAATGGATGGAGCTAGAGCAGAAGGGACCCAGGTTAGACTCTTGCAGTCTGTCCTGAGTTTAGGTGACCTTGGCCTGTAGGACCCTCCATGGTTAGATCTGTGATTTTGTGCCCATTCCAGCAGCCCCACCTCGATGGATTAATAAGTTCCCTTAGACTTAAAGGTCCTTAGAGATGCCTCCTCCATCCTCGCCATTGCCTGGCTGGGGAAACTGAGACACCCAGCAGGTTAAGAATTGCTCTAGGGCGAATAGAGGGGTAGGCATCAGGATAGTAAGGTGATAAAGAGCACTGACTGGCCTGGGTTTGAGTCTGGGCAAGTCCCTTCCTTCTTTCTTTCTTTCTTTCTTTCTTTCTTTCTTTCTTTCTTTCTTTCTTTCTTTCTTTCCTTCTTTCCCTCTTTCCCTCCCTTCCTTCCTTCCTTCCTTCCCTTCTTTCTTTCTTTCTTTCTTTCTTTCTTTCTTTCTTTCTTTCTTTCTTTCTTTCTTTCTTTCTTTCCTTCTTTCTTTCTTTCTCAGAGTCTCGCTCTGTCACCCAGGCTGGAGTGCAGTGGCACAATCTCGGCTCACTGCAAGCTCTGCCTCCCAGGTTCACACCATTCTACTGCCTCAGCCTCCCGAGTAGCTGGGACTACAGGCACCCGCCACCTTGCCCAGCTAATTTTTTTTGTATTTTTAGTAGAGACAGATTTCACCGTGTTAGCCAGGATGGTCTCGATCTCCTGACCTCGTGATCCGCCTGCCTCGGCCTCCCAAAGTGCTGGGATTACAGGCGTGAGCCACCGCACCCAGCCACCATCTTTCTTTCTTTCTTCCTTTTATTTTTATTTTTTAAAGACAGAATCCCACTCTATTGCCCAGGCTGGAGTGCAATGTCACGATCTCAGATCACTGCAACCTCCACCTCCCGGATTCAAGGGATTCTTATGCCTCAGTCTCCCAAGTAGCTGGGATTACAGGCATGCACCACCATGCCCAGCTAATTTTTGTATTTTTAGTAGAGACGGGGTTTCCCCATGTTGGCCAGGCTGGTCTCGAACTCCTGATCTCAAGTGATCTGCCCACCTCGGCCTCCCAGAGTGCTGGGATTACAGATGTGAGACACGGCATCTGGCCCCTCCTGTCTTTGTAAGCATCAGTTTTCTTATTTATAAAATGAGGATCAAAACTCTACCTACTTCCCAGGAGAGCTGTAAAGATTCAGTCAGATGAGGATGATATTGGAGAGAATAATAACAATGATTGGAGCTGTTAATAATGTTAACTGAGCACTCACTTTGTGCCAGGTGCTGTGCAAAGTGATTCAGCACATGCAATCCAAGAGGTTATATACCAGCTTGACAGAGGTAAGGCTCTTGCTCAGAGGCTCTCAGTGATGACCAGCTCACAGGCAGAGTGACAAAGCCCCTACCAGGTCTAGTGCCTGACCCCAGGGCACCAGGATGAGTTCCAGAGTCCTCTGCCTCAGCTAGGGCTGGAGGCAGAGAGAGGGACAAGAAGACCTTGAGCTGTCCCCTGTGCAGTGCTCCCCTGTCCCCTGGGCCTGGCTCAGATATCTGGCCCCCCGCCAGGGAGGGCAAAGGGGCTGGTTGATGGAGGTAGCACGTGTCCCAGCCTGGGCAGCTGAACCTGGGGGCCTTGCCCCGGAACCTGGAACCTTTCCTGCAAAGGGAATATCCTACAGCAGGAAGGAAGGAAGTGGGGAGGGGGAGGAAGAGGAGGGAGAAAGGATAGGACAGGCCCCAGCTGGGAGAGAGTTCTCTCCCAGACAGGCCAAGAAAAGAGGACCTCTGGACTCCAGGCTGAGAGGCCAGTGGGCTGGTCACCCTGGCTGCGGTTTAGATGTGTGTAGTGGGGGAGAGGAGGGCATAAAAAGAGAATGTGACCCACTCACTGCCCTCTGTTTCCTCATTTGTGTAACAGGTATAAAAACACCTTCCTTGGCCAGGCATGGTGGCTCAAGTCTGTAATCCCAGCACTTTGGGAGGCCGAGGTGGGTGGATCGCCTGAGGAAGGGAGTTCGAGACTAGCCTGACCAACATGGAGAAACCCCCGTCTCTACTAAAAATACAAAATTAGCTGGGCTTGGTGGCGCATGCCTGTAATCCCAGCTATTTGGGAGGCTGAGGCAGGAGAATTGCTTGAACCTGGGAGGCAGAGGTTGCTGTGAGCCGAGATCAAGCCATTGCACTCCAGCCTGGGCAACAAGAGCAAAACTCCATCTAAAAAAAAAAAAAAAACAACACCTCCCTCCCTCCTGGGCTGGATGGGAGTAAAAAAGTGAGGTCAGGAATGTAAAGAGCCAATCGGGCCTGCAACATGGTGGGTGCATCATGCCTCTCAGTCCCTCCACCCTGGACTAACTGTCTGATCTGTAAGACAAGACAGTAGCTCATGCAGAGTCCAGACTCCCACAGCCTGTGAACTCATGCGTTCAGTCAACAACATTATTGAGCACCTACTACGTGTTGGGGTCTGGGGCTATTGCCCTGAACAGGAGCCAGTCCCTGCCCTCATGGAATTCTGTCATTGGTGGAGGGTAGGGGAAGATGAGTCACCAGGCAGTGATGTTGGAGAAGCACAGGGCCTGTGACCCAGCCTGGTGGGTTGGGGAAGACTTCCTGAAGGAGGTGATATTCATGCCAGGACCCAGAGGGAGTGTGCATAGTCTGAAGAAGGAGCATGGTGGGAAGAGGGCTCCAGGCAAAGGGAAGAACAGGCACAGAGCCTAAGACCCAGGGCAAGCAGGGCTACGGCTGCAGCAGAGCAGGTGGCGGCGGGGGTTGGGGGAGAGGAGGACGGGCCTCAGGCCTCAGGGATAGGGCTGTGGGTATTTTCCTGACAGCAAAAATCCAGAGAAGCTTCTAGACAGGGGTGGCATGGTCAGAGTGCGATAAGTCCCAATGGAGGGCACTCAGGGCCTCCATGTGACCTGCTACCTCTATGCCCTCATCTCTCCCAGCTCCTCTGTGGGGGGCAGCCAGGCTGTAGCACTTGTGGCTCCTCAGGCTTCCCACCTTCCTTCATTATAAAGACTTCTCCCCTGCCTGAACTGCCCTCCTGTACTGAACCTCACCTATGGGCAGGGGACTGTGGTGGCTTGAGTTCTCATCTGTCCAGCACTTGCCCAGCCCTTCAGGGACACACCTTTGTTCCCTAAAGGTGAAGTGAGTCATAGATGCCCCACCTTCACCTCCTACCTGGCCATGGGTGGCCTTGTGACCCAGGCTGGGTCAGTCATTGCACTTCGGACTCAAGACACTGATGGTGGCAGTGGGGGGCAGTGCCCTGAGTTGGGCCAGCCACAGTCCTCCTTGGAAGTTTCCATCTGGCTTGCGGTGAGGGTGGAGGTGGGGCAGCTTCATTGACGTGGGGTCACACAGGGCCCCATGCTCACCAGGGCCTGCTTACCTTAATGCTCTGCTGTAGCTGTCTTGAAATGTCTCATAATTTCATCTTTGAACTTGTGTTTTGTAAGTGGGGTCCAGTGGGACAGTGGAGCATGCGGTACACAGAGAGGTAGAACCTGGGTGTCATGCGGGCCGGCTGGGGCTCCTGTGTGCATGCAGTGCTGGTGATGCCCGTGAGCACAGGATTCTGATGACCCCACCACATGTGGGGGCTCAGCAAGACTCAAAGTGAGTGTAAGGTAAGCTTGTTATGTCTACAACTGAGTAAGAGGAACGCTGACAGCCCTGAGGGACCTCACCATCCATTTCAACCAGAACTTGCCAGATGCAAGAAGAAGGCAATTGTGTGCTAAGAAACATGAACAGGGCCTGTCTTGGTGACTCACGCCTGTAATCCCAGCACTTTGGGGAGCTGAGGCAGGTGGATCTCCTGAGGTCAGGAGCTCGAGACCAGCCTGGCCAACATGGTGAAACCCCATCTCTACTAAAATACAAAAATTAGCTGGTCGTGGTGGCAGGCGGACTATAATCCCAGCTGCTCAGGAGGCTGAGGCAGGAGAATTAGGAGAATTGCTTGAACTGGGGAGTCGGAGGTTGCAGAGAGCTGAGATCGCGGCACTACACTCCAGCCTGGGCAACAGAGCGAGACTCCGTGTCAAAAAAACAAACAAACAAACAAAAAAACATGAATGGCCCAGGAACCCTGCTATAGCCTTCTTCCTCATGTTATTTCGCTGGATAAGCCAACCGCTGACACTAATCATGATGAGCTAGGACAGGGACAGATCAGGCAACCTGTAGTTCCTTTCCTTTCAGCCCCTCCTCACACATCATAAGCTAAAAGCAGAGCATGTTGAGAGAATGTGCATAAGTCAAGAAAAGAAATGAAAACAGTTGAGTAAGTTTTGTGCCCTTTCCCACCATTTCAGGTAAGATGAAATACACATGTGTGCACAAGGTACTGAATACAAATTATACGATTTTGATGATTCTGCATATGAGTTAAACACCCTTATATTTGCATTTAAAACTGACATTGCACAATAGAAAGATGAATAGTAAAATTCATGCTAGTCATTTAGATTTTTCATTTTTCTTTACTTAAAATGATATTTAACAAATACAAACTCATGACAAATCTAGAGGCAGACCAACAGAAAAGAAGCGAAGCTTTATATATCTCTAGGTACAGATACATAGATACTTTTATATTTTAGCGCCTTTATTATTAGGCATTTCCCTCCTGCTTTTTGAACAAGAAGCTCCACATTTTCATTTTGTGCTGGGTCCCATGTTGTGACTGGCCCGGGTGGCGGAGTCTCTATTTTAGGGTGAGGAATTGCGGGCCTGGGGACCCGGGGCTGCCCCACCCCTGGGCACTCCCTCTGTGGTGGAGCCGCCGTGGTGGGTAAGGCCCTGAATAGCCTGAGCGCAGGAGTGCAGGCAGGAAGCAGGCCTGCTTTCTTTTCTTTTCTTTTCTTTTTTTTTGAGATGGAGTCTCACTCTGTCGCCCAGGCTGGAGTGCAGTGGCACAATCTCGGCTCACTGCAAGCTCCGCCTCCTGGGTTCACGCCATTCTCCTGCCTCAGCCTCCCGAGTAGCTGGGACTACAGGCGCCCGCCACCACGCCCGGCTAATTTTTTGTATTTTTAGTAGAGATGGGGTTTCACCGTGTTAACTAGGATGGTCTCGATTTCCTGACCTCGTGATCCGCCCACCTCGGCCTCCCAAAGTGCTGGGATTACAGTCTTGAGCCACCGCGCCCCGCAGCCTGCTTTCCTTTCTATAACATTCTTCCCAGCTGGTGCAAGGTCTGGCTGTCCCTGGAGTCTGGCTCTCTCCCTGGTGTGCCACAGGCTATTTAGGGTCTGGGGCAGTGTAGCGCATATGGGGAAGTAAGTTCTCTCAGACTTCAAGATGCTGTTGCCCCTGGCCTTGGGGGGCATCTTCACTGACCACTGGGCTGCCATCCAAGGACCACGGTCCAACCCCTTCCAAGGGCAGGGCCTGCAGAGGGGCCTCAGAAACGGTGTTGCGGGACTGGAGATGGGCTTCTGTCTCCTCGCTCCCAGCACCCTTCCCCAGCCAGGTGAGGGAGAGGTAGTGGGTTCTCTCCTTGGCTTGCTCTTAGGGGACAATGAGAGGAGGAACGGAAAGCCCTTGGCAGGGATCAGTTAGCAGCCAGGCCTCCTGTGCGAGGCCCTCTCCCTAGAGGCAGAGGGAGTGGGAGTGGGAGTGGAAGGGCAGCTGGGTGGGAGGAAAAAGCGTCCCCAGACTGGGTCCTTGAAGGCAGCACAGGGGGCATTAGATCCCTCCTCCCGCTCTATGACTTTGACTCTAGTCCCAGACCCAGCAGCTCAGCCAAGTTCTCTGAGCCTGTTTCCTTCTTTATATTGTGGCTAATGACTATACCTGCCCCAAGGACTGTTGAGAGCATTCTCCGAGCCGATCTGTAAAAAGCATTTGGTGCAGAGCTGGGCACTTAGAGGTCTCGGTTCATGGAGCCCCTCCTCCCCTGCTGTGAAGAGGAGGTTGGTGATCCAGTGAGGCCTCCCTGCTCTGCGACCAGGAACACCTTCTGTCCCCTCTCCTTCTCCCTGTCCCAGGGCCTCCTTCTTTCATCTCTCCTCCTCGTCCCCTCCTTTTCTCTCTGCTGTTCCTCTAGCATGCCACACTCATGCCCAGCACAGGGCCTTTGCACTTGCTGTTTCTTCTGTCTGCAGCTCAGGTCTCCTGGATGCTTGATGACTGACTCTTGATCATTCCTTGGGTCTTTGCACAAATGTCACCTCCTCTGGGATGGTATGCCTGACTGCTCCAGTTGAAACTCCTCCTCATGCAGCCACTCTGTTACATTTCACTTTTTAATTTTCTGCACAGCAGGTAATAGGTGATAATATTCTTGTTTATTTGTTTGTTCAGTATCTTTTTCCCCTCCCCGCAGGCTGTGAGCTCCAGGTGAGTGGGCACCTTGTCTGTCTTGGTCCCCAAGTCTTCAGTGACTAGCAACACACAGTAGGTGCACCAGGCAGATACAGGTACTGTTCTTATGGAGGTCACAGTTTAATGAATGAGGCAGGATTGAAAAAGCAAAGAAATGTTTTGATACATATTTTTTTATTTACGGTAAAATATACATAACAAAATTTATCATCTTAACCTTTTTTAAGTATACAGTTCAGTGACATTAAATACATTCACATTATTGTGCAACCGTCACCACCATCCATCTTTGGAAGTCATTCATCTCGCAAAACTGAAACTCTGAACTCATTAAAACAGTAACTCCCCCACCTCCTTTCCCAGCACCCTCCACCCCTGCAACCACCTACCTTCCTTTCTTCCTACCTTCCTTCCTTTCTTCCTTTTTTTAGATTGGGTCTCGCTTTTGTCACCCGGGCTGGAGTGCAGTGGCACAATCATAGCTCACTGCAGCCTTGAATTCCTGGGCTCAAGGAATCCTCCTGCCTCAGCCTCTTGATAGCTGGGACTACAGGCACACACCACCACACCCTGCTTTTTTTCATTTTTTTCTAGAGACAGAGTCTTGCTATGTTGCCCAGGCTGGTCTTGAACTCCTGACCTCAAGCAGTTCTCCCATCTTGGCCTCCCATTTTACTTTCTGTCTCTATGAATTTGACTACCCTAGGTACATCATATAAATGGAATCATACCATATTTGTCCTTCTGTGACTGGCTTATTTCATCAGCATAGTGCCTTTGAGGCTCACTCATATTGTCTATGTCATAATTCTTTCCTTTTTAAGGCTGAGTAGTACTCCACTGTGTGGATAGACCACCATTCACCTGCTGATGGGTTCTTGGGTGGCTGCCACCGCTTGGCTGTTGTGAATGATGCTGTTATGAATGTAGGGGTATAAGCATATCTTCGAGTTCTTGTTTCAATGCTTTTGGGAATATATCCAGATGGGGGAATTGGTGGATCATATAATTTTATTTTTAATTGTTTGAGGAACCACCATACTATTTTGCATACTGGCTGAACCCTTTTATATTCCTACCAACAGTGCACAAGGGACAAGGGTTTCAATGTCCCTTGATGTAATGTCCCAATGACATTGAGGGACATTGTCCCTCAATGTCCCAAGGGTTTACATCATAGCTCACTGCAGCCTTGAACTTCTAGACTCAGGTGATCCTCCCACCTCAGCCTCCTAAAGTGTGGGATTAGAGGCGTGAGCCGCAGCACTCGGTCTCGTTTTTTTTTTGATGTGCATTGTCCTAATGATTAGATTACACATTAGGCAGGAAGCATGTTTTTCAGGAATGGAGGGTGGGGAGCCTCTTAGCTTCAGTGGTCTCAAAGGACTCTTTGGGGAGGTGGTATTTGAACTGAAGCCTAAAAGAAGGGAAGAAAGCAGCCAGTGGTGGATCTGGGATAAGGAGTGGAGGTTCAGGGAGAGGGAACAGTAAGTGCACAGGACCTGAAGTGTGGAGTGAGCACTGCGTATTTTTGCTGGAAAATAGTGAATAATGGGCAGGGGGAATGGGGGAAGAGGTGGTTTAAGAGGTGGGCAGGGCTGGCCGATGCAGGGCTGTGGGCCCTGGAAAGGCTTTCTTGCTTTTCTTTTCTTTTCTGGAGATGGAGTCTTGCTCTGTCACCCAGGCTGGAGTGCAGTGGCACGATCTCGGCTCACTGCAACGTCTGCCTCCTGAGTTCAAGCGATTCTCCTGCCTTAACCTCCTGAGTAGCTGGGATTACAGGAGCCCACCACCACGCCCGGCTAATTTTTGTATTTTTTAGTAGAGACGGGGTTTCACCATGTTGGTCAGGCTGGTCTGGAACTCCTGACCTCGTGATCCGCCCACCTCGGCCTCCCAAAGTGCCAGGATTACAGGCGTGAGCCACTGCGCCCGGCCCCGGGAAAGGCTTTCTATTTGCAATTTAGAGTAAGCACCGCTTTCCTCGGGGTCCGCAGGGCACAGGGGAGGGACGGGGCCTGATTGGGTAGTGATGTTGCTGTGTCCACCATGGGAGTGTGGTGCTTGTGGATGTGTGCACATGGAGGCGTGGAGTGTGTTCCTGGACATCACCAGGAGCCCAGATCATGATTTGACCTCTATCGAGACCGTACTGTGCCGCCGCCCTCCTGCCTGCAGTGCCATTGGCCGCCCCAGCCAAGGTTGCTTCTGGCGCCCACCACCAGTCTGGGATCAGCAAGATGGATCTGGAACCCATACCCAGGAGGTGAGGCTAGACTCCAAGAAGAACAGCCAACACTTCGAAGGTTTGGAGACAAGGCCTTGAGGCACTGAGGTCAGATTACTCCACACCCTATCTTTGCAAGGCAGCAGGGGACGCAGGAGTGTTGGGGCACTGTCTCCGGGAGTGGCGGGGGCTGCTGCAGTACCTGGGAGGGCCGCGCGGGGGCGGGCGAGGACGCCGAGCTATGAGAGGAGGGAGGGCGCGCGAGGCCGAGTGGGGAGCTTGGAGCAGCGGGAAGGTCAGGGGCGCCCATCTGCGGCACTCTCGGTTTGGCTCAGTTTCTGCCTACAAGTGTCTGTGCGTGTGAGGAGAAAATAAAGTCATGAGCTCATCACCATCCCAGTGGCGTCTCATTTAATCGTCATACCAACATCCTCACAGGCCCAGAGACGTAGAGCCACTTACCCAAGATCACTCAGCAGGGGAATTCAGACCAGGCCCGCCTGACCCCCCAGCCTGTGCGCTACCCAGTGCCCCACCCTAAATGAACTCATCTGCAGGGGAGGGAGTTTCTTCGCCTGTCTTCTCCTTCTCCTTTCTTCTTCCTTTTTTTGTGAGAGAGAGCTCTTATCGCCCAGGCTGGAGTGCAATGGCACGATCTCAGCTCACTGCAACCTCCGTCTCCGAGGTTCAAGCGATTCTCCTGCCTCAGCCTCCCAAGTCGCTGGAATTATAGGCATGCGCCACCACGCCCTGCTAATTTTTGTATTTTTAGTAGAGACGGAGTTTCGCTATGTTGGTCAGGCTGGTCTCAAACTCCTGACTTCAGGTGATCCACCTGCCTCGATCTCCCAAAATGCTGGGATTACAGGCGTGAGCCACTGAGTCCAGCCTCTTCACCTGTCTTCTGACCTCAGTTTGCCCCCACCACACTCTGCCTCATCCCCCTCCAAGACGCCTCCCCAAGGTCCCTGAGGAGGGGTTCAGGGGCCCTGGGGAGAGCTCAGATATATACCCCATCACCATGGTAACGACACCGGCAGGATAACATCCAGTCTCCTTCCTGACCTCCTGCCGCTGAGGGCTGGGGAGGGGTATCCAGGGAGCCTGGCTGAGCCCCTGGCCTGCTTCTGGGACCCCTGCCACCTCTGCTGAATCTCCTCTGGGCATCGGGCCCAAGTCCCAAGGGCTGTAAGCTGGGATACAACCAGGGTCCCCCTAAAAAACCCAGCAGCCTCCCTCCCCCAAGTGCATGACTGGCAGTTTGGCCTGCCCTGGAGGAAAAATCATGGGTAATTTCAGCTGAGAACATTGAGCAGAAGGGCATCCTGAGGCCCAGAGAGGAGCAGGGAATTATCTAGGATCCTGCAGCAAGGCAGGGGCTGAGGCTTTGTTTGTTTTTGTCCAGAAACGGCTGGATGACCCCAGAAAAAGAGGTCAATAAGATATGTACCCAGAGGCTGGAGATTGAGGGGCCATAAAGTCAGTTTTCTGAACTCCTCCAGGAAGTCCTCCCTGACCATCCCCTCTATTCACCAATGTTAGACATGGTCGCAGAGCTCCCTTGACACTTTGCTCAGGTCATTCTGAGCTGCTTTTTTTTTTTTTTTCCAGATAGGGTCTTGTTCTGTCACCCAGGCTGGAGTGCAGTGGCATGATCAAGGCTCACTGTAGCCTCAACTTCCTGGGCTCAAGTGATCCTCCTTCCTCAGCCTCCTGAGTAGCTGGTGAGCTTCATTAAGGCACCTCAAAGAACCACAGTCCATTCTCCTGGCCAGCCTATAAATCCCCTCTCTAACCCTCCCGACAATGGGCTGCCCATCTTGCTTGCACACCTTATGTGATGGGGAGATAGCTGCCTTAAAAGGCATGTAGTTTCCACTGTAGGACAGTTTCTTCTAGTGAGACCAAGCTGGCCTTCTTGTGCTGTCCAGCTGTTGGAACTAGCTCACTCTGTGGAGCACAGAACAAGTGACTCCATCTGCTGCACACAGGCCCCAGATGGCTGCAGAGAGGTCTGTGTCCTCCCATCCCCATTCCAGCCTTTTCTCCAGCTTAAGTGGTGCCAGTTCCCTATAAACAACCTTTTCAGCCCTTCATCTCCTGGGCAACCCTCCACTGGGTATACCCTAATTGGCAATGGCCCCTTCTGTAGTGGCTTTTTCTCAATACACAAAAAAATATGTGTTTGTTATAGGGAAAGTAAAAAATATGCACAAGGGAAAAATATCCCCAATCCTACCACCCAGAGATGACCTCTTTTAGCTCCTTGGGGCCTCTTGTTGCAAACAGATGCCAATGTGTGCATTAAAGTGAGAGGCAAAAGCAAGACTATTTCAAAGCTGGTGGGAGGGAGGCCTTGTAGGGGAGAAAGGCAACGTCTGTCTAACTTAGTAGCTTGAAGGTCATTTGGTTGTAAGACAGGTTTGCTCAGGAAGACTGAGGATTGGGGCAAAGAGAATAAAATAATTTTGATGATAAAGAAAAATTTAGTTTCCAAAGGCCATGCTAGAAATGTGGGGAGCAGCCTGGGTGCTGTGGCTCATGCCCTTAATCCCAGCACTTTGGGAGGCCGACGTGGGTGGAGTGCTTGAGCTCTGGAGTTCGAGATGAGCCTGTGCAACATGGCCAGACCTCATCTCTACAAAAATACAAAAATTAGCTGCGTGTGGTGGCACACACCTGTGTTCCCAGCTACCTGGGAGGCTGAGGTGGGAGGATTGCTTGAGCTCAGGAGGTTGAGGCTACAGTGAGCCATGATAGCCCCACTGTATTCCAGCCTGGGTGACAGAGGGAGATCCTGTCTCAAAAACAGACAAATAAAAAAAGAAATGTAGGAGCATTTTGCTGAAGCATTGCCCTCCAGACAGGCTCCCAACAACCATTCCCTCTCAGTCTCCACCACCTTCCTCCTAGAGCCTGGGAACAAGGCAAACCCAGGCCCCCATGGGCAGGGCCTCTTTCAGAATGAAGAAGCGAGGGCTTCAGTGCTGGCCCCCTAGGAAAGTCCTACACAAGGTCCAGTTATGCCTTCACTGCAAATGTCAGTCAAAGTTGTATGCCCAATTAGTGGCACTCGAGGTGTGAAGGAATAAGTGTGGTTCCCAAGGGACAGTGCAGGGGGAAATGGGACAGTGCACACAAGATGTACAAGGCAGGTGGGAAGTGGAGAATGTCATGAAAATAGGAAGACAGCTAGTCACAATAAGGAGACATTAAGGCCCCCCAAGAACTGTAAGCCTTGGGACAGGCAGTGGTACACTGAGTAGCCCATGTCATGGGATGGGGTCTCTAGTCAAGAGAAGAGTGACTCCAGAGGCTCTGCTTCCTCCTTAACTGTATAGATAAAGAATATCTTTCCATTTCAGCAAATATTTGTGATGCATCATTTTAATGACATAATACTCCAGTGCATAAAGACACCACAATTTCTTTAACCAATACCCTATTTTAGGACATTTAAGTTATTTACAACTTTTTGCCATTATAATCAATATTGTAATGAACATCCTTGTAGCTATATCTTTGCCCACATCCATCTTTATTTTCTTAGGATAAATCCCTAGCAATGAGGGTCAGGCGTGGTGGCTTACGCCTGTAATACTAGCACTTTGGGAGGCCAAGGATCGCTTGAGCCCAGGAGGTTGAGATCAGCCTGGCAACTTGACAGAAACCCATCTCTCCAAAAAAAAAAGTGCAAAAAATTAGCTGGGTGTGGTGGCACGTGCCTATAGTCGCAGCTACTCAGGGGGCTGAGGTGGGAGGGTTGCTTGAACCCAGGATGTCGAGGCTGCAGTGAGCCATGATAGTGCCCTTGCACTCCAGCCTGGGTGACAGAGCGAGCCAATGTCTCAAAAAAAGAAAAAAAACAAAAAAAAAAAAAAAAAGAAAGAAAAAATTTGGTTAAAGGACAGAAACTTTTTTAAGGCTTTTGGTGCATGTTGACAAATTGCTTCCCAAAAGGTGCGCTGCATTTGCCTCCTAAATGCTGACAGCTGTGGGCCTGTGCTGATTTCCCCAGGACTTAGCCATCAGTTGTTTTTTAATTTATTTATTAATTTTTTTTATTTCCATAGGTTATTGGGGAACAAGTGGTGTTTGGTTACATGAGTCAGTTCTTTAGTGGTGATTGTGAGATTTTGGTGCAGCCATCACCTAAGCAGTATACACTGCACCCAATTTGTGGTCTTTTGGCTGTCTTCTTCTCCACATTTTATTGTTAAAATTTCAGACATACAAAAAAGTTGAACAAATTTTACAGTGAACACCTACGTAGCCACCCCCCGGGTTTTCTAATTTATTTTAGTGCCATCTTTGTCTTGTCATTATCTATGCATCCCTCCTTTACCCATCAAGTCATCTTTTTTGAGTGTATATTAGAGCAAATTACAGCTATCAGTACACTTTGACCCCCAAACACTTCAACATGTTTATCATGAACTAGAGGTCAATGCTTGTGTATGGTTCTTTGTTCTATGAAGGCAAAATTTTTTATACAATGAAATGCACAAATCTTAAGTATACCATTTATTGAGTTTTAACAAATGCATATATTTGTATAAGCCCAACTCTATCAAGATATGGAATATTTCCATCACTCCAAAAAGTTTCCTAGTTTCCCGGTTGCCCCCATTGTTCTGATTTCTTTCCACCATAGCTTAGTTTTGCTCATTCTAGAATGTCATAATCATCGAATCATGCAGTATCTACTCTTTTTACCTGGCTGGTTTCATTCAGCATAATGTTCTGGAGCTTCGTCCTGTTGTTGCATGTATCAGTAGTTTGTTCCTTTTTATTGTTGAGTAGGAATCCATTGTATGGATGTGTAATAGTTTGTTAATCCATTTGCTTCTTGACAGACACCTGGGCTGTTTCTAGTTTGGAACCATTGTAAACAAAACTGCTATGAAATTGTTGTACAATCTTTGTGTGAATATATGTTTTCATTTTTTCTTGGGGACTCGAGTGGAAATGCTGCATCATAGGGTGGGCATATGTTTAGTTGTCTAAGAAACTGCTTGACCTATTTACAAAGCAGTTCTACCATTTTATACTCCCACCAACATTTTACACTCTACCCTTGAGTTCTCAGCTCAGAACACAATGGGTTCTCAGCTCAGAACACAATGGGGTTGTCACCTCCTCAGTGTCAGATGCTGCACCTTGGTGGATACCAGTGAAGGTTACAATGACAGGGTTGGCTGCAGTTGACCTGGCAATCAGCTGTACACCCCAGGCTGTTTCTCATGGACAGATGAATGGATGGATGCTCAACCAGCTCTCCGTGACCCTGAACTTGTATAATTGCTTTGTTGGAACCTGAATGTTGTCTTTTTTCATTTGTCCTCATTAAATTTCTTTTTTTTGTTGTTGTTGTTCTTTTTTTGAGACATTGTCTCGCTCTATTGCCCAGGCTGGAGTGCAGTGGCGTGATCTTGGCTCACTGCAACCACTGCCTCCTGGGTTCAAGTGATTCTCCTGCCTCAGCCTCCCAAGTAGCTTGGATTACAGGCACGCAGCACCATGCCCGACTAATTTTTGTATTTTTAGTAAAGACGGGGTTTCACCATGTTGGCCAGACTGGTCTTGAACTCCTGGTCTCAAATGATCCACCAGCCTCGGCCTCCCAAAGCGCTGGGATTACAGGTGTGAGCCACCATGCCTGCTGTCCTCATTAAATTCCATCTTGTTGGTTTTGAATTCGGCCTCCAGCCAGTCCTGTTAATGATGAGAGTAGCAAACTCTCATACATGCGCCATGTCCAGACCCTTGGTTAACTCATTCAGACTTTGGGAGAATCCTGTGAGGGAGCTACCATTATCCCCATTTTAGAGATGAGGAAATTGAGGCACAAAGAAGAGGTTAAGTAACTTGCCCAAGTTGACTCAGTCATAAATGGTGAGATTAGAACCCAGGTAGTTCAGATTCAGATGTTGTGGTCTTAACTATTCACTCTGTTGCCTCTTTTCAGCTTCTGATGCCATCCCCTTTCATCTTCCAGTCTCCAAAAACACATTGAGCATGCCTCTAATTCTTCATTCAAATTATTGTTTAAAAAAACAAAACAAAACAAAAACCCTATGGACCAGAGAAGTCCAGGGCCAAGGGTGGAGCCTCTAGAGATCTCCTTTTGCACGGGCCTTATTCTATTTGTCCAGAATTCTTGACAGTGATTACTTGACCAGCTGCAAGGTTATAAAACTGGGATCCAGCTGTGGCTGTTCACCATAGTCTCAGGACAGCATTCATCACATATCTCTCTCTTTTTTTTTTTTTCTGAGACGGAGTCTTGCTCTGTTGCCCAGGCTGGAGTGCAGTGGTGCAATCTTGGCCCACTGCAAGCTCCACCTCCTGGGTTCACGCCATTCTCCTGCCTCAGCCTCCCGAGTAGCTGGGACTACAGGTGTCCGCCACCACGCCCGGCTAATTTTTTGTATTTTTAGTAGAGATGGGGTTTCACTGTGTTAGCCAGAGTGGTCTTGATCTTCTGACCTCGTGATCCACCTGTCTTGGCTTCCCAAAGTGCTGGGATTACAGGTGTGAGCCACGGCGCCTGGCCTTTTTTTTTTTTATTTTGAGATGGACTCTCACTCTGTTGCCCAGGCTGGAGTGCAATGGCGCAATCTCGGCTCACTGCAACCTCCGCCTCCTGGGTTCAAGCGATTCTCCTGCGTCAGCCTCCTGAGTAACTGGGATTACAGGCACATGCCACGACACCTGGCTAATTTTTGTATTTTTAGCAGAGATGGGGTTTCACCATGTTGGGCAGGCTGGTCTCGAACTCCTGACCTCAGGTGATCCGCCCACCTCGGCCTCCCAAAATGCTGGGATTACAAGTGTGAGCCATTGTGCCTGGCCTCATCACATATCTCTCTGAAATCGCACACACACACAGCATTTCATATCATAATTGCCTGCCTGGATTTACCTGCCCAGGGGCCCGAGAAAACAAAGGGATCAGAAGGTGGGGCGGGGGCAGTACTTATTTGAGCCCATGTGGGCTCCCAGTGGCCCTTCACAGGGCCTTTCATAGGCCCTAGGTTTCAGCCCAGTATCTGGCCTGTATTAGGTGCTCAATAAATGCTTGTTATCTAGTTTTTTTTGTTTGTTTATTTGTTTGTCTGTGAGACGGAGTTTCACTCTTGTTGCCCAGGCTGGAGTGCAGTGGCACAATCTCGGCTCACTATAACCTCCGCCTCCTGGGTTCAAGTGATTCTCCTGCCTCAGCCTCCCAAGTAGCTGGAATTACAGGTGCCCACTACCATGCCCAGCTAATTTTTGTATTTTTAGTAGAGATGACGTTTTGCCATGTTGGCCAGGCTGGTCTCAAACTCCTGACCTCAGGTGATCCGCCCATTTTGGCCTCCCAGAGTGCTGGGATTACAGATGTGAGCCACTGTGCTGGGCCTGACTAGTTTTTTTTTTTTTTTTTTTTGAGACACAGTCTCACTCCATAGCCCAGGCTGGAGTGCAGTGGCGTGATCTGCGCTCACTGCAACCTCTGCCTCCCGGGTTCAAGCAATTCTCCTGCCTCAGCCTCCCAAGTAGCTGGGACTACAGGCGCATGCCACTACGCCCGGCTCATTTTTTGTATTTTAGTATAGACAGGGTTTCACCGTGTTGCCCAGGCTGGTCTCGAACTCCTGAGCTCAGGCAATCCTCCCACCTCGGCCTCCCAAAGTGCTGGGATTACAGGCATGAGCCACTGTGCCCAGCCCTGACTAGTTTTTGAAGGTCACTTGGCTTTATTTTATTTTTTACTGTGGTAGAATAGCATAAGATTTACCACTTTAACCATTTTTAAGTGTGCAATTCAGTGATATTAGGTACCCTCAAAATGTCATATAATCATCACTAGTATGTAGTATATTTCCAGAACTTTTTCATCGTCACAAACAAAAACTCCATCCATTAGATGAGAACTCACCACTGCTCTCCCTCCAGCCTCTGGTCATGTCTATCCTACTTTCTGTCTTTATGATTTGCCTTGTCTAGATATTTCATATAAATTGGAATCACACAGCATTTGTCCTTTTGTGTCTGAGTTATTTCACTTAGCCTAACATTTTCAAGATTAATCTGGCTGGGCACGGTCACACCTGTAATCCCAGCACTTTGGGAGGCGGAGGTGGGAGGATCGCTTGAGCCCAGGAGTTCAAGGTCAGCTTGGTCAACATAGTAAGACCCTCGTCTCTACAAAAATAAAAATAAAAAAAATTAGCTGGGCAGGGTGGTGCGTACCTGTGGTCTCAGCCACTTGCGAGGCTGAGGCAGAAGGATCGCTTGAGCCCAGAAGTTGAAGGCTACAATGAGCTATGATTGCACCACTGGACTCCAGCCTGGATGACAGAACAAGACCCTGTCTCACAACAGATGCGTCCATATTGTAGCAGGTGTCAGTGCTTCCTGTCTTTTTAAGGCTGATGTTCCATTGTATGGATGTAGCACATATTGTTAATCCATTCACCTGTCGATGGACACCAGGTTGTTTCCACCTCTTGGCCGTCATGAGTAGTGCTGCTCTGAAGTTTATGAATTGTAGACAGGGTCTTGCTGTGTTGCCCAGGCTGCTTGTTAACTGTTATTTCATAACCCTGCTGTTGGGTTCTCCCCAGTCTTTTCCACGAAAACGGCTCTTGTCAAGGTCCCCAGTGGCCTCCATGCTGCTAAAGCCAAGGGAGATTTTCAGCTCTTGTTTCACTTGATTTCATCGGCAGCTTCTGACTCACTCAGTCTCATTTCTCCTCGATATTGTCTCTTTGTTTGGCTTACAGGATTTCTTTCTTTTCCTCTGCCTCTCTGCACAGATGCTTTTTCTCAGTCCCTCTTCTTGTTTCTCCCCTTTCCCCTTTCTCCTTCTGCTAGCTCTTTTTTTTTTTTTTTTTTTTAGACAGGGTCTTGTTCTGTCGCCCATGCTGGAGTGCAGTGGCATGATCTCGGCTCACTGCAGCAACCTCCTGGGTTCAAGTGATCCTCCCACCCTAGCCTCCCAAGTAGCTGGAACTACAGGCACGCACCACCACACTGGCTAATTTTTGTATTTTTTGCAGAGAGGGGTTTTGCCATGTTGCCCAGGCTGGTCTTGAACTCCTGACCTCAAGCGATCCACCCGCCTCTGCCTCCCAAAGTGGTGGGATTACAGGTGTGAGCCATTGCGCTGGCCTCCCCCAGCTCTTAATGTGGGAGGGCCTCAGGGGTCCATTCTTGGTCCTGTGACACGGCCCTCCCCGACTCCTGTGGTGACCTCACCCACTCATCCCCAATGTGTATCTCCACCCAGACTTTTCTGTCTGCCACTCTGACATCTCTGCTTAGATCACTAATTGACATCTCGATGGCCTCCTAACTGGGTTTGGCTCTGATGTCTCCAATCTATCTCTAACACAGCAGCCAGAGGGAGCCTTTAAAAATATAAGTCAGATCAAATCAATTCTCTGGCCCAAAACTTTGGTGGCTCCTGATGTCACTTAGAGTCAAAGCCAAAGTCCTCATCATGGCCTACAACGCCCTCCATCATCTGGCCCCTGCTGCCTCCCTGCTCTCACCTCCCACATCCTTCCCTGTTCCCTTTGCTCCTTGCTGGTCCATGAACATGCCCAGCATATTCCCACCCCAGGGCCTTTGCACTGGCTTTTCTTCCTTCCTGGAAATCTCTCCTGCCATATGTCTACATGACAAATTCCCCCCCTTTTTTTTTTGAGACGGAGTCTTGCTCTGTTGCCCAGGCTGCAGTGCAATGGCATGATCTGGCTCACTGCAACCTCCGCCTCCTGGGTTCAAATGATTTTCCTGTCTCAGCCTCCTGAGTAGCTGGGATAACAGGTGTGCACCACCACGCCTGGCTAATTTTTTTTTGTATTTTTAGTAGAGACAGGGTTTTAGCATGTTGGCCAGGCTGGTCTCAAACTCCTGACCTCAGGTGATCTGCTCACTTCAGTCTCCCAAAGTGCTGGGATTACAGGCGTGAGCCACCTCGCCCAGCCTACCTCTTTCTTGTCTTTTGTTCAACTTCATCCTTTCAAAGTGCCCACTGATAATACTCTATTTAAAGTTGGAACACCTCTCACTCTGTCTACCCTTCTCATCCCCTTTCTTTGTCTTCTCTTCTCCTCTCCTCTCCTCTCCTTTCCTCTTCTCCCTTCTTCCCTCCCTTCCTTCCTTTTTTTTTTTTCAGGGTCTGCTCTGTTGCCCAGGCTGGAGTGCAGTGGTGCTATCTCGGCTTACTGCAACCTCTGCCTCCTGGGTTTAAGCAATCCTCCTGCCTCAGCCTCCCTAGGAGCTGGGACTATAGGCATGCACCACCATGCCTGGCTAATTTTTGTATTTTTAATAGAGATGGGGTGTCACTATGTTGGCCAGGCTGGTCTTGAACTTCTGACCTCAGGCAATCTGCCTGCCTTGGCATCCCAAAGTGCTGGGATTACAGGTGTGGGCCACCGTGCCCGGCCCTCATTGCCTTCCTGATGGCCTGTTTTCCCTGTGATGCTCGTCACTGTCTATAATATTATATACTTCACTTACTTATTATGTTTGTTTCTTCTCTCCTCCCACCTCCATTGGAAGCATGATTCAGGAGGGCAAGGATTTTTGTGTTTTTTTGTTTACTGATATGGCTCACCTAGAATAGTGCTTGGTACATGTAGGGACTCAATATATATTTGTTGAATGAATCAGTGAAGGAAGGAAGTATGATAATGTGGGAAGGGGTCTCCAATCTAAAAATGGGTTAGATGCTGGGTGCAGTGGCTCGCGCCTATAATCCCAGCACTCTGGAAGGCTGAGGTGGGAAGATCGCTTGAGGTCAGAAGTTTGAGACCAGCCTGGGCAATGCAGGGAGACCTTGTCTCTACAAAAAATTTAAAAATTAGCCAGGAGTGGTGGCATACACCCGCGGTCCCAGCTACTTGAGAGGCTGAGGCAGGAGGATCCCTTGAACCCAGGAGTTTGAGGTTACAGTGAGCTGTGATCACACCACTGCACTGTAGCCTGGGTGACAGAGTGAGACCCTGTCTCAAAATAAATAAATAGCCTGGGCGCTGTGGCTCACACCTGTCGTCCCAGCTCTTTTGGAGGCTGAGGCAGGAGGATCTCTTGAGCCCAGGAGTTTGAGATCGGCCTGAGCAACATAGTGAAACCCTGTCTCTACAAAAAATTCAAAAATTAGCCAGGTGTGGTGGCGGGTGCCTGTAGTTCCAGCTACACAGGAGGCAGAGAGGTGGGGGGATCACCTGAGCCCAGGAGGTTGAGACCGGAGCGAACAAAGATCGCTGCCACTGCACTCCAGCCTGGGGGACAGAGCAAGACCCTGCTTCGCTTTATTAAAAATAAATAAATAGATAAATAAATACATTTTTAAAATGAGTTAGGGTCAAGAAAAGGTGGCTTTCTGGTATGCCCAGGTGTCATGGACATTAGAGCTGTTTGCTGTGCAGCAGCTGTCCCCATTCTCCTGAAACATTCCCCCATTTTCCTTTGGGACAAATCCCCACCCACCATCAGTCAGTCCATGTGGTGGATCACCTGCGGCTGACTCCAGGCTTCACTTCAAAGGGGCAGTGACTCTTGGTGACTCAGTGATTGGTTCAGGGCTGGGAGCATTTCACATTTCACCATGTTGCCCAGGCTGGGCCGATGAGACTGAGTCCTGAGACTTCTGCTTGTACTGCACTGTTGGAATGGGGACGGCTTCTTCCCTCAAAGCTGGACGTAAGCTCAGACCTGCCTTAGCCAACTTGACGCGTTTTTGGAAGAGCCTGCCTGGAAATGAAGGCAGTGCAGAAGAGCACTGGGCTACAGATGTGGAGAAAGATCACATTTGAAAGCCTCTTCTGTACTGCCTGACCTACTCCTAAACTTGACTTTCCATTTAGAGAAACCCCTTTTCACTGATCAGTTTGAGTTGGGATTCTGTCACTCGCACAACCACTTACAGTACACCTCCACGAGCATCCGAACCGGGGAGTGAGGAGGGACGGGTTGGGGCCTGGGGGGTGTGTGGGATGTGTGGCCCCAGTGGTCTTCCCAAGTGAGAGAGGCTGAGCACATGGAGGGCACTCACTTAGCAGTGCTAGATGGAGGTGGCATGAAAACAGATTGCCTTGGCCTTGTCCTAGAAGCGCTCTCAAGCTGTCAGCGGAGAAGGTCATGGGCATGAACGGGGCAAACAAGACCAAGGGCTCCTACCATGCCTGAGCTGCAGGCTAAGCTGAGATGGATTCTGCCCCTCCACTCCACCCCCACGCCCCAGTGCAACAGAAAGCCCAGTTCCAGCACAGACGAAGGGGGGCCTGGGCTCTGCCACTTACTAGGGGTGCTCTGGGGTAAGTCACTGAACTTTCTGAGCTCGTGTCCTCATAGGTAAAATGGCAATCATGTCCACTTCATAGGAGTGCTGTAAGGGTGAAATGAGGTCATGCGTGGCAAGAACTCAGCATGAGCCTGGCTCACAGAACACTCTCAGCAGCAGTCAGCTGCCACAACCAGCGTTTGTTGGTGTTCTCTCCCAGCTAAGGAGTCCGCCTGGTGCCGCGGGTGCAGTTTCCAAAAACACCAGCAGGTGGCGCCCCGACCCCAAAAGAGCCCCCGTCGCTGGCCTTCCCAGGGCCGGGAGGGGCTGGGCTGGGCGGCCTGTTGAATCTCGGCCAGTTAGACCCGCGATCTTTCCCGCTGCACGGGGACCCGTGCGTGAACTCCTCTCAATTCTCTGTGGTCTCTGGCACAAGGAAGAGGGGGTCTGGGTCACCATGGGATAGTTGGGGAGCCTGTTTTCCATCCGTGTTGTGTAACGGCACGGCCTTCGGAGACAGCCTGGGCAAAGTTGAGGAAATACCCGGGTTGGAGCGGATAGGAGACTTTGAGAACGGGCGGGATCCCGACGCGCAGGCTGATTTTTGAGTGCCTGCGGCTGAACTCGGGGCGCCGCTGGGCCTGGTGCTGCGGTAGGAGGATGACCCATATGACCTGTATTCGCTTCCTTTCAGAGTGCGGGCGAGCGGGGCTGCGCTTCGCGGAAGACTCCGCGCAGTGCTGGGCACTGGGACGCGGGGAGTCTGGAAATTCTGCGTCTGGCCAGCAGAGGGAGGCGGAGAGCCCGCCCCCCCCGCGCCCCCCCCCGAACCCGTGCCCAGGCCTGGCCCGGCTCCCCCAGCCCGAGCTCCCCCTGCGGGAACCTTCCCGGCTTGGCCGCTCCTCCCTGGGCAGGACTCGACATGTCCCGTGTCCCTTCATTTTGGAAAAAGTCTTGCCCTCCTCTCCCCGCCCAGCTTCTTGGAGGAGCGCGTGGGTTAAGGGGAGGGTCAGTTTCAACCCGAACTCAACCCTAACCGCGCCGCGCGCCCCGCTCCCTGGGCCTCAGTGCGGGTGATGGCACGGACTGGCCACTCTAATTCTAGCAGCTGCGAATTCCTGGGACAGGGTGGGGTGACCTCCACTAGGGTAGAGACTGGGGGGGGCACAAGGGGCTTCTCCCCCTAACCCCCATCAACCCAGGCCTGGACGGCCAGCTGGACCTCCGGAAGCGCGGGCTGCCCACCCCATACCACCCCGGCCAGTTCCCGGGACTCTCCTGGACAGGCTCCCGGAGGCCCACAAAGGCCCTTAGATGCCGTTCTGGGCCAGGCTCTGCCGGGGCCCTGGGCCGGCGGCCGGCTGCCGGCTGGCTCTCGGCACTGCAAGTCCCTGGCACTCCTGTGGGGCTTTGTCCACCAGCCCTGGCCCCATGCTGGCCGGGCCTCGTCGCTGGGGGAGGGATTGCACAGGCAGGTCGTAGAGCTTGGGCAGTCTCCCTTTCTCCAGCCCGTGGCCTTGCTCTCCTCCAGGTGACTGGCCCCTTACCTCAGCCTTGCTGGCCCCCACAGCCAGGGCTGTCCAGTGAGCAAAGAGTGTGAGTCCTCCCCACGCTCCCTCCTGGCTAACATGGGAGTGGTGGGTCACGTTGTCCTCGTTTGCAGACCAGACCGGGGGCTCCAGGGATCTTCCCCAGGCCTCCGTGGCTCCCTGCCCCGGCTCCTGACTGCACGGTTTCCCTACTGTGGGCCTGTCAGGGTTGCGGCCCAGGCATGCGTTTGTCCCTGGCCACTCACTCTTTCATTCATTCTTCGGTTCATCACTCTTTGGATACCAACTTCATCCAGGCCCTGGGCTCAGGGAGGAGCTGGGGACTGAGAGGGAGTGTGCAGGGTCCTTGCGCTCATGGAGTGTCCAGTCCAGACAGTCACGACACAGTATGACATGTGCTGTGATAGAGGCAGACCTGCCCGGCCTGGGGGCACCTCCTCAGAGAGGCCTTCGCTGAACACCTGACTGAAGTAGCCCTACCCACCAGCCAGCTGCAGTCACACACCAGGTTTTGTTTGTTTGTGTGTTTCGAAGCCCTTCTAATATTTACAGCTGACTTCTTCCTTTATTAAGGAAGGATCGCTAGAGCCTGGGAGGTCAAGGCTGTAGTGAGCCGAGATCATGCCCCTGCATTCCAGCCTGGGTATTCCTGTCTCTAAAAGAAAAACAAAAAACAAAACAAAACAAAAACAAAAAGAAACTCACTCAACAAACTAGGAATAGTGGGCACTCATTATATGAGTGCTTCAGTAAATGCCCACTGGGTGCCAGGCACTGTTCCAGCCCCCTGGGAATCTACAAGGGAGAGAGGAAAATTCTTACCCTCATGGAGCCTATGGCCTAGTGATGGCAGCGGTGGTGGGGACACAGACCATTCCCAGAAAGGACAAGCATATGGTATATACATATGTGTTATGGAGGAAAAGAAGGCGGGGAAATGGGAGATGTGGATGAAGGAGGGGGTAGAATTTTAGTAGAGTGGTCAGAAAAGGTGACATTGGAAGAGAGCGCTGAAGGAAGTGAGGGGTGGGCGGTGCGGATACCTGGGGGAGGAGTGTTTTAGGCAGAGAGCAGCACGGGGCCGGGCGGGCGCTGAGGTGGGAGTGTCCCTGGTGCTTTGGAGGAACAGGGAGGGGACCGGTGTGTCTGCAGGAGAATGAGGTCAGAGGAGTGGTGGGGGCCAGATCTTATGGGATTTTGTGGCCTGCGTAAAGACTTGGTTTGAGTCTGGGCACGGGAGCTCGCGCCTGTAATCCCAGCACTTTGGGAGGCTGTGGCAGGAGGATCACTTGAGCCCAGGAATTCGAGACCAGGCTGGCCTTGTGGTCGTGATGTTTACGGCAAAGAGGAAGAGGAGGTCAGTGTGGGTTGGGTTAAGATGGAACTGCTCTTTGGATATCCTAGTGGCAACTTCAGGTCAGCACTTGGGTGTTGGGGTCTGACCTCAGGTGGAAAGGTCCAGGTTGGAGAATCACACACCGAGAAGCTTCAGGGTTTAGCTGGGCTTTGAAGCTGGGCTGGGGTCATCATGGGAAAGAGTGAGATGGAGAAGACCGAGGACTGAGCCCTGGGAGCTCTGGCATTGGAGGTCAGAGAGGGGCGGAGAAACTAGCAAAGGAAGATGAGAAGGTGCAGCCAGAGAGGCAGGAGGAAAAACATGACAGTGAGGAGTCCTGGAAGTCAAGGGAAGAAAGTATGTCAAGGAGGAAGCGGGGATGAACGGTGTCAGATGCTGTCAGGAAGCTAAGACCAGGCCTGTGAATGGACTTTTGGATTTAGCATTGTGGCAGTCACTGAGGACTAGGCCACAGTCTAGCACCATGTACAAACTTTAGAAAATGGTGGCCATGGCCGGGTGCTGTGGTTCATGCTTGTAATCCCAGCTCTTTGGGAGGCTGAGGTGGGTGTCCTGAGGTCAGTTGTTCAAGACCAGCCTGGCCAACATGATGAAACCCTGTCTCTACTAAAAATACAAAAAATTAGCTGGGTGTGGTGGTTGGGTGGGGGGGAGCGCCTATAATCCCAGCTACTCGGGAGACCGAAGCAGGAAAATCGCTTGAACCCAGGAGGTGGGGGGTGCAGTGAACCGAGATTGCACCATTGCACTACAGCCTGGGCAACAAAAGTGAAACTTCATCTCAAAAAAATAAAAAAAGAAAAGAAAATGGTGGCCATTCCAGGTGGACCTGGCTACACAGGCAAACAGAAGGTGGATACCTTGCTGTAAAGAAAAAGGCACTCTGCACAGTGGCTCACACCTGTAATCCTAGCACTTTGGGAAGCCAAGGCAGGAGGATCACTTGAGCCCAGGAAGTCAAGACCAGCCTGGGCAACATGGCGAAACTCCATCTCTACAAAAAATATAAAAATTAGCTGGGTATAGTGGTGCATGCCTGTAGTCCTAGCTACTGGGGAGGCTGAGATGGGAGGATCGCTTGAGCCTGGGAAGTCAAGGCTGCACTGATCTGAGATCATGCCACTGCACTCCAGCCTGGGTATTCCTGTCTCTAAAAGAAAAACAAAAAACAAAACAAAACAAAACCAAAAACAAAAAGAAACCCACTCAACAAACTAGGAATAGAAGGGAATGAACTCAACATGATAAAGGGCATTTATGAAAAACCCACAGCTAACACTGTACTCAGGTTGCAGCGAGCCATGATTGTGCCACTGCACTATGCTGGCCTGAGACCCTCTCTCAGAAAACAAAAAACAAAAAACAAAAAAAAAAGAGAAAGAAAAAGGCATCTCTTCCCCTGACAGATACAACCTTGCATCAGGACACACAGCATGGTGAAAGGAGAACAGGTTGGGTTTTAGCTACCTCTCCATCCTTCATGTAACCCAGCACCCTTGTGCAGTGCCCAGCCTGCACATCTGTACTCAGCAACTGTGTTGGTGACTTTGATGAGTGGTGTCAGTGGACTGTACAGGGAGATAAGAGCTAGACTGGAGTTCCTTTGAGAGACAGGAATTAGAGACAGCCAGCATGGACAACTTTTTCAAGGAGCTTTGCTGTAATAGGTAAAGAGAAATGGGATGGTAGCTGGGGAGTGGAGAGGAATTAGCCAAATGAGAGTGCGTGAAGGGGAAGGCATCCCAGGCAGAGAGCCTGCCTAAGCAAAGGGAGGTCACTAGAAATGGTTGAGGGGGAATGAGTGTGGGAGGGGTCCTAGGACATCAAATTTGAGGTGGGAAGTGTCAGGAGAGGGGACATAGAATAGGTGAATTGGGGCCTTCATCTTGGGGTCGTGGGGGTGCTGGGGACAGGGGCAGGTTACAACAAAGCTGTGAACACAGTAGGTGCTTATTGAGCTCTCTGGGATTGGCCTGGGGAATCCCTACCCAGGCACCCCACCTGGGCCTCAGGCTTCCAGCTGGAAGATGGGAGAATTGGGTGTTTTAGGGGTCCTCTGAGTCAAGCCTCTTCTGGGTTGGACCCAAATGAGTCCTCCCAATTGGTGGGTCCCTCTGTCCCTGCCCAAGGTGCTGACCATGCCCAATGCAGCTGGCCCCCCCTCCCCCCATAACTTTCATGCTCTCCTGGGGACCAGTCAAGGGCCAGGCGGTAAACCATGGGAAAAGGCCCCTCCATGTGCAAGGGTCTTTGGTTCAGCCTTGGCACCTGCTTCTTATGAGACCCCCTCAGGTGAGGAGGCGGGGTGGGGGAGGAAAGGGAGGTCACTTGGAGGAACAGGGAGAAGCTGCGCATTCTTCTTTCCCTTGAGGAATGGGGGAAATATCGTCTATTCTGGCTCCTGGGTAGGGGGATGTTGACCCTGCTGTCTTTCTTTCTCTTTCTTTCTTTTCTTTTCTTTCTCTCTTTCTTTTTTCTTTCTTTCTTTCTCTTTCTCCCTTCCTTCCTTCCTCCCTCCCTCCCTCTCTTTCTCTCTCTCTTTTCCTTCCTTCCCTTCCTTCCTTCCTTTCTTTCTTTTTTTCTTTCTGTCTTTCCTTCCTTCCTTCCTTCCTTCCTTCCTTCCTTCCTTCCTTCCTTCCTTCTTTCTTTCTTTTTTCTTTCTTTCTTTCTGTCTTTCTTTCTTCTTTCCTTCTTCTTTTGACTGAGTCTTGCTCTGTTGCCCAGGCTGGAATGTAGTGGCACGATCTTGGCTCACTGCAACCTCTGCATCCTGGGTTCCAGTGATTCTCTTGCCTCCGGAGTAGCTGGGATTACAGGTGTGCATCACCACACCCGGCTAATTTTTGTATTTTTAGTAGAGAGGGGGGTTTCACTGTGTTGGCCAGGCTGGTCTCGAGCTCTTGACCTCAAGTGATCCAACCCACTTTGGCCTCCCAAAGTGTTGGGATTACAGGCGTGAGCCACCATTCCCAGCCTGACCCTGCTGTCTTTCAGGAGGCGAAGGTAGCCACAAGGAACAGTAACAATACTCCCCTCTCCAGTGTCCATGGCACCCAGAACACTCACACAGAGCTCACCTGTGGCCTCCAGGCAGCCCTCTGAGCCCTAGGGAGCTAGTTCCACTTGACGGAGGGGAAAGGAAGGTTCAGGAAAGGGTACAGCTGCCCATAGCCACACAGCTAGGAAGTGTGGGTTGGGGGGACTGGACTAGAACCCGGGTCTCCTTGCCCCTGCCACAGGCTCCCAGAGCTACAAAGGACAGGGGGCAGATCCAGGGGGCAGAGACTAGGTTCTGTGTGCCAGCCCAGCGCAAGTTAGCTGGAGAGACAGCTATGTCTACCTTTCCCCTTTCCCTGTTCTTTCCTTCCACATAATTTATTAAGCCATGCTGAGTGTTAGGTGCTGAGGATACACTGTGAACCCTTTCAAGGGGCTCAGAGTCCATCCAGTGGACAACAATTAAATAGTGCATTCCATGAGTAAGTAATCATTACAGCTGGAACAGCCATGGCCCATTGAGTGCATCTGTGTGCCAGGTCTTGAGCACATCAGCTCTTTCGGTCCCCATCCTAGCCTCACAAAGAGGGGGACTGCTACCATCCTCATTGGGCAGATGAGGAAGTAGGAGCCCAGAAAGGTGGTCCAGCTGTGACTTGAGGGCATGGGTGCCAAGGGTGGGGAATGTGGTATCTAAGCCCTGCCATGAGCACTTCCCTCCACAGCCCCTGCTGGTCGCCACCCTTCTCTGCCTACAGGTAGCAGAGGGCAGGGGGGTAGAATGCAGGACAGCAGGGAAGCCAAGCTCCCTCTGTGCCCTTTAAGATCCTGGGCACCTGCACAGAGAGTGGCTCCCTTGTTTCTGGGCTCTGCGGTAATGTCCTAGGGTTTGATGGGCAGTGAAGGATGTGGTCTGAGTGCCCTCTTAATTGACCAGCTGTGCTCACAGATTCAGATCTCCTGGGATCATGAGCAAGTGACTTATGCTCTCCAAGTCTCAGTTTTCTCATCTGTAAAACGGGTTGTAGGATTGTTTTGAGAATTAAATATGACACATGAAGAGCACTTGGTAGATGCTTGGTTGTCAGAGGTGTCACCATGGTTGATGAAGTCCCAGCTCCTGCTGTTGCCCAGCTTGAAGGGAGGGAGACTACGCACAGCTCAGATTCCACACCTCCAATTACTGCCACCCTAAGAGGTCAGCAAATCCTCTTCCTGCTCCCTAAGAAGAGTCCATGTTTGTGTGTTCATGGGTGGAAAGAAGGTCAGAGAAGACTTCATGAAGGAAGGGGCATTTAAGGAGGAATTTGAGGGTTCAGTAGGAGTTCACTGAGCACAGCAGGATCAAGGCCCCACCGGGCAGAGTGTGGATCATCTGCTGAGGTCTGGAGATGGAAGCAACTGGGTGTGGTGAACCCCCCAGGGGCTGGAGTAGGGGAGAGGGGTAGAAAGTGGCCTCCAGTGGCAGGGCCTGACTCTATCCTGATTTCCCTTCTCCCAGGCACTGGGCCTGCTCCCCACGCCCTCCTTAGATCCCTGTGGGTGGGGGCCCTTTAATGCCTCTCTGAGAGGCGGACTCTTACTCTGCAGGTGCCTCACAGCCAGGAAGTTCTTAATGTCTAGCCCAGGTACAGCCAGTCAACCCTCTTCTTCAGTTAGAGTCCTGGGCTGAGGGGGGCGGCTTCAGGGCCTTGACTTGCCCTTGGGGAGACACCGTGGGACAGGTGCCTTGGGAGATGGTTTCCTCTGCCCAGGGCACCCTCTGTCTCTCTCTGTCTCCTTATATCTGCCCAGGGAGGCTTCCCCTTGACCTGGCACAGGGATGTGGATTCTTGGTTGGACCCACCCCTCACCTCCCGCCTCCCTCAGGTTCTTTCTCCTTTGTCTCTTTCTCCTCTCTCCTGCCTCCTCCCATCCCACTCTGTCCCGAGGCTCCTTCTCACCCCACAGCCCAGGTCTCCGTCCCGTCCCGTGTGACTCTAGGTCTCAGGGGCTCAGTCTCCCTCTCTGAGATTCTTCACCTTGGCCCCCCGCACTCCCTGCTCCTCCCTTGGCGGCGTCTCCCGGGGGCTGGCGTGTGTGTCGGGGGGCTGGGGGCAGGGGTCACTCCCTGAACAGACCGCGGGAGGAGGGCCAGGACCCGCCCCCTCCTTCACCTCCAGGGCCTGGCGGGTCCCGAGAGCTCAGGTTCTAGACCGGTGGGTCCTGCCTGGAGGGCGGAGGTGGTTGGGTCTGCCCGAGGGTTCGAGGACGGCAGGGGCCCAGCGTGGCTAGGAGGGGGCAGAACCCCGGGCGCTCCCCTCCCCCCCTTTCTTAAAGGGCCCGCGCGGGGCAGAGGGGGACAAGGTGGGCCGCGCTCTCCCCGGCACGCTCGGGGTCCCGGGGCGAGCGCTGCGCTGCAAGCGGACAGGGCTGGGGGCCGCGCTTCCCTCCGGGCTCCGCGCCCGCCGCTCGCGCGCCCGCAGTGCCCCCGCCCTTCCCCGCCCTTCCCGCTCCTCCCTCCTCCTCCTCCTCCAGCTCACGGCTCCGCTCCCTCCCTCCTGCCGTCCGTCCCCCTCGCTCAGCCTCTCCACATCGCGGCTCCGGCACCTGAAGGGACGCGGGCGGGCGCGGGCAGCTCCGACCGGCGGCGGCGGGGCGGGACAGGCAGCCCGGCGGCCTCCGATGGCCCCGCCGTGAGAGGCCGGACCCGCGGCGGGGACCAGCAGCGGTGAGTGGGGCCGCGGGGCTCCGGGACCCGCCCCTCCCCGCTGGCGGCCAGGCCGGGGCGGGACGGGCCGGGGAGAGGGCCGCGTGCGGGTGGGGGGCGTCGCCCTCGCCCTCGGTGCCCACCCGGGTCCGCTAACAAAGCTACATTTCCAGATCAATTCCGCGGCGTCTGGAGCATCCGAAGGATACGGTTGTCATGGAGATGGGGCCGAGAGAGGAAGCCCGGGCTGGCCGGGTCTGGGCCGGGGAGAGGGGGCGCCGCGGGAAAGCCCGAGCCCAGCCTGAGGGACGGTGGGGGCTGCCGGGCCGATTGTCTCCCGGCTCCGCCACCCACTACCCTCTCCCCGCTTTTGTATAATCTGGGGGTACGCGTGTGCGTGGGGGGTGCCAGTGGCAGCCTGGTGGTCGGGGATCGGGGCATTGGGTACCGGGGCCTGCCGGCAGCCACCTTCACGAGGCTGCAGCTTTGAGGATTTATTTCTGTTTCCAGTTTCCCAACTTTGACAGCCCTGCTTGGCGGCCAGGCCTCCCCGGCTCTGCAGCTAGAGCGGGGGCTCGCACGGGGGCGTGGCAGTCAGGGCTGAGGAGGCACATAATGGCCGAGGCGGCAGCGGGAGGGAGGGGTCCCAGGAGCGGGCTGCTGGGGCTGGGTGCAGAGGGAGTCCAGACTGGGGACAACCCTGCCCAGCGGGCCCCCTCGGAGGAGGAGGTATTCAGCTGTTCCTAGAGGATGCAGGGACTCCCCGGAATGATCACTGGGGGCATTGTTTTTGCATAGGCCCAGGGGGCCACTGTCTCAAGCCCACCCCTTTGTCTTGGGGCCATCTTGGGGGGGCCAGGAAGAGAACAGGGAGCAGAAGCAGCAGTCACAATGGAAGAGGGCCTAAGACTCCTGGCAGCCTGGGGATAAGCCAGGCTGAATTTGATGGGGATCAGCGAGAGGGCTCAGGATTTGGCCAGGGCAGGTGGGCAGCCTGGGTTTGGACTTTCCTGGGTTCCCCAGTTCCTTTTTCTAGATCCTACAAACAAGAGCTGCTTAATAGTGGTTGGGGGTGGGGGGGTTCACTGGGCTGGGACTGCCTCCAAACCCAACCCGTGGCCCAGGGCAGTTGCAGTCGTTCTTTCATTCTTCCACCCTCTCCCCAGGACTTTAGGAACCTGTCTCCCAGGGAAGCTACAAGTTCTGGGGCCTGGGATCTCCGAATCAGTAAAATGTGCCTGCTGTCCTCCCAGCAGCCCCTTTCCCCAATATATGCGGGAAGCAGGGAACAGGGGCTTTTGAGTGGGGCTACTGCAAAGTTTGGTCCTGGTGGAAACATAGCAGGTCCCTAGGGTTTGGCCAGAGCCCCCAAAAGATTCCCACGCAGTGGGGTGAGTAGGTGGGTGTGGCCCAGCTAAAGGAGGATGACTGGGTTGTCCTTGGAAGGCCTCCCTCACTGGTGCCTCTTGCAAGGTTGAAGTCTCAATGCTTGGGTGAATTGCACCCTGCAGCCCAGGGATGCCCCCAGAGGCCTCCCCGCTGCAGCTTGTCCTGGTCTGACAACTATGGGGTGCACGCTCCACAAGCAGACCTGACAAATAGTGCCTCCCAGGGTCTTCCCTGAAGGGAGAGAGCAAAGATAGCTGGAAGGAATGACTTCCTGCTCTAGACAGGACTGAGAGAGAGAGTGTGGCTGGGGGGTATTACCTCACCTAGCTTCCACATATGGAGCATATGTGCTAAGTACCCTCATAACAGTCTTTAGAGGGAGGCACTACCCTTATTCCCATTTTGTGGTAGAGCTGTTTGTTCAAAGTCTCCTGGTTAGTAAGTGGCAGAGTGAGGATTTGCACTTGGCCAGAACTGTCTGATACTCAGACCTGTGTCCCCATCCTCTCCTCTTCTTCCCTGGAGACACAATTTAGGAGAGAGGTGGGAGGTGGGATAGAGTGTCTCTCCATCTGGGCAAGAGGGTGACCTTGGGAAAAACAAGCACTAAGCTGTAGTTTCCTAGGGAGGTGGGATCAAGGCATTCCCATTCCGGACGTTGGCTTGCAGGAGATCAACACTGCCTCTCACAACAGACGATGCTCTAGACCTCCTTTGCCAGATGGTCTTTTCCAGGAAAATCTGTTTTGAGCGGCATCTTATGTCTGAGGCTCCGTATTTAGACTGGCTCTCCAAACAGGAGGATACACTTAGGCTGTCGCCCCTTGAGGGGTGTTTGGGGGAGTTGGGTGGGCTTGGGGCCAGACCTGGCTCCTTGCCACAGCTCAATGGAGGGGGAGGGGCCCATGTTCCTGCCCTGGTCTCCCTGGGACCAGCTTGTTTTCCTTGTCCCTCTAAGCCGGCTTGCCCACAGGTGAGTCCGTTTCCTCAGGGTCTGGCCCCCTTTTCAGGTGGTAAGCCACTCCAGCGCTGTGCCTGCCTGGCCTGGGCTGGCCTGTGGGCTGGCCCACAGCTCTGCATGCTCAGGTTTGTGGACTGCCCTGGGGAAGGAATGTCCTCTCCTCTGACTCCTGCCCCAAAATTCCAACCCCTGAGCTCCCCTCTTTGGAACGTCTCCCTCCACTCCCTTCCTTCTCCCACCTTACTTTTTATCTTGTCAAAGCTGATAGTATAGTGAACACCCACCTACATACCCTTCACCTAGAGACCTAGATTTGCCAGTTGTTAACATTTTGCCACATTTGTTTCTCTCTCTCTCTCTTTCTCTCTCTCTCTCAATCTTTTGAAAGTAAGTTGCCAACATTATAACACTTCACCTCTAAATACTTCAGCATGAATTTCCTGAGACAGGGACATTTTTCTACAAAAATAATGCATTGTTATCATACCCAAGAAGTTTAGTAATCATCCAGTTTAACCTAACATGTAGTCCATATTTAAATTTCTCTAGTTGTCTCAGTAAAGTCCTTTATAGCTGTTTTTTTTAATTTGATCATGGAACATACATTGCATTTAGTTATTATGGCTCTTTAGTGTTTCAATCTGGATGAATCCCTGGCTTTTTTGAGATTTTTTTTAATGACATTGTCAATTTGGAAGGCTTGTGATACGTCTCACATCCTGGATTTGTCTTCTTGCTTGCTTGTGATTAGAGTCAAGTTAACCATTTTGGGGCAAGAATATCTCATAGATGATGTCATGTCCTTCTCAGTGCATGATATTGGCAGGCACCTGTTATTAGTTTGTCCTGTAGTAGGTGGTGGTAAGTTAGGTCACTTGGCTCAGGGGTCCCTGTATTTCAATTCTGTTCCTCCCCCTTCCCTACCTCCAGAAGCTTCATCTACCTGGTAATCTGCGCACCAGGTCAGCAAATCTGACTGAACCCCTACATCAGACCAGATGCTGGAGAATAGAGAAGCAGACAGAAACTTTCAGGGAGCTCAAAACTTCAGGGTTGGGAGTGGGGGAGCCACAACTCAGACAGGTGCTGTTGGTGGGGGAGAGGGGAAGCCCAGAGAAAGTAGTGAGAGGCACAGCAAGGGGAGAGGGCATGGGGGCCAGACAGGAAGGGAGGCCCAGGCCACAGCTAGCCTGGAATGTGGGCTGAGGGGTTGGCCTTTTCCCCAAGGGCACTTCAAAACCACTGAAGGGTTTTGAAGAGGGGATGATGAGGCAGTTTGGAGTGTTGGAAAGGCACTCTGAGGAGGATGGAGTGGGGCTGACTGGGCCAGCACATGGGAAAGAGACCAGCCAGGAGGCTGTGGCAGCACCCAGCACAAGACAGGGGGGACAGCATTGGGGCTGCTGCTTGTGGCATATAGAGAGAGTGGAGTTGTGTGGTTTGGGGGCCCTGCTGGGAGGGTGTTGCTGGGGGGTATCGGAGAAGGGGATGGAGCTGGGAGAGATTTAGGAAGCAGAACGGACAGGCCCTTGTGTCTGACTAGAGATAGGGAGAGTGGGAAGGATGAGCTTGTGCAATGGCTTGGGAAGGGAGATGGAGGTTTTGAGTGTATGAGGTCTGAGGTGTTTTCCAGGCCAGAGGAATGGTGTGTGGGAAGCTCATTTGGTGGCCCCAACTGTGGCCCCCTTGCAGAAGCTCATTTTGAGATGCAGGCAGAAAGAAGAGCCACACATAGCCCACTGCAGGGGATGGATGGTGGGCTTCAGGCACCAGCAGGGGAGGGCCCTGAGCAGGGCTAGGCCAGCTCAGATGGCAGCTGCCCCTGTGGAAGCCAGGATAATCCTGCCACTAACTTGCAGACCCCAATTCCCTTACCTCATTTTGCTTCTTCACACTTTCTTGGCAAAACCCCAACCCTGGTTAAATCCAATGCCTGGCCTACCCCACTCCTGCACATGCAGCTGAATGGGGCTGAGCAAAACAACTGCCCTGACTGTTCTCACTTTCAGTCCAAGCCCATGAACTCTGAACTTCAGGTGGGTCCTTAGTGCAGTCCACCAGGCACAGCACAGGTTCTGAAGTTGTCGCCTCTCCCACATGCTAGATGATTCTTTCACACTTGCTCTTTGTGTGTGTGTGTAGAGATGGGGTCTCACTATGTTGCCAGAGCTGGTCTTGAACTCCTGACCTCAAGTGATCCGCCCTCCTCGGCTGCCCTCCTTGGCTTCCCAAAGTGCTGGGATTATGGGCATAAGCCCCTGTGCCCGGCCCTCACTTGCTCTTCTACCCTCACCCTCCGGCCTCTCCCACCCTTCCTTTCAGCGGATAATCTTTGAGAAAATATAAGCAGTCAGAGCGTCCTGAGGCTCCCAGTGCCACACTCACTGTCTGCCAGCGTCTGCACTCACTGCTCTGCTTTCTTCTGTATCTGTGGGTGAAGTGTTCCTGCTCCTGGTTAAGGCCACCCCTCCACTTTTGCAGAGATCCTGGCCTCTTGTGTCTGCTTGAGAACATCACTCCAGCAGGGCCCCCGCCTGCATCATTGGGTCCCCCTCTCTGCTAGAGCATCCCATGAACAGATATCTTGCTGTTATTTCTTTTATCTTAAAAATGGTTCTGGCTGGGCACGGCGGCTCACACCTGAAATCCCATCACTTTGGGAGGCTGAGATAGGTGGATCACCTGAGGTCAGGAGTTCAAGACCAGCCTGGCCAACATGACGAAATTCCGTCTCTACTAAAAATACAAAAATTAACCAGGCATGGTGGTGGGCACTTGTACTCCCAGGTACTCGGGAGGCTGAGGCAGGAGAATTGCTTGAACCTAGGAGGCAGAGGTTGCAGTGAGCTGAGATTGCGCCACTGCACTCCAGCCTGGATGACAGAGAGAGACTCCATCTCAAAAAAAAAAAAAAAGATCTCTCCTTCCCTTAGCAGAGAAACTTCTGGAAGGGTTGTCTAGACTCATTGTCTCCACATCCTCTCCTCCTGCTCTCTCTTGACTCTACTCTTATGGGGCTCCACTCCGCTGACCTCTCCTCTCAAGGTCATCAGTAATGTTCCTGTCGCTGCACCCAGTGGTCAATTCTCAGTCTTATTGGCAGCATTTGACACATCCAGTCTTCCTCTTCCTTGAAATACCTTCCTTGGCTTCCAGGACACCCATTCTTCTGTTTTCCTCCTACCTTGTGGGTTGCTCCTTCTCAGCCTCCTTTGCTGGTTCCTCTTCTCCCCCTCCCACCTCTTGATATCAGGGTGCCCCAGCACTTGCCCTGCACAGGCTCTCTCCCCCATCTCCACTCCTCCATACAGATCCCATCCAGTCTTGTGGCTTTAAGTATCACCTATGTACTGCCAGCCCCCAAATTTAAATCCCAAGTCTCAACCTCTCACCCGACTCCAGTAGCCTACACAGCATCTCAACTTTCATCTCAACTTTCCTGTCTGTCAGACAACCCCCCTCAACTTGCCCTGATCTTCCTCCCCAAACCTGCTCCACCCAGTTTCTCTTCTTGAGCGGCAACTCCATCCTTCTAGTTGTTCAGGGCACAAATGTTGGCGTCACTCTTGGGTCCCCTCTCTCTCTCCTGCCCCATGTACAGCACATGGATGGGTGGGTGAGGCTTTAGAGTGCCTGACTTCCCTTCAGCGGGCCATGGGCAAGAGAGGAGGTGACAGTGAAATGGCCCAGCACAGCCCCTTTCACACCTGCTTACTTCGTACCACATGCTGTTGTATTTTCATCAAGGAGGCCACAACCTGCAGACCCTGAGCCGAAGTCCTAAAGAGGAGACAAGACTGGACAGGGAAGAGGAGGGAGAGGAAGGGAGGACTCGCCTGGGGAGAGATGAAGAGACGCTACATAACACAGAGATTGGGGAGGGGGTGGGGAGGAAGGCCACAGTTGGGGAGGCAGAGAAGGAGAGGAGTTGGGGGGCCTGGACAGAGAATGTGAGGACTTAGAGGGTTTGGGGTGTGTGAAAACTGGGCAGACAGAAGGGAGGAGGAAGCTTCTTGGTTTCTGTCTCTTGGCTGTTGAAGCAGACTGTGGGGAGCTACTCAGAGGTGGAGCTCTCTCAGGTCTGCCTCTGCCCAGGTGTTGTATCCGAGGCTGGGCTGGTTGGGAGGATTTGCACTTGGTCAGTCCATTGTAGCTCTCAGGATTCAACTCTCAACCCACAGGCTCATGTTAGCCTGTGGGCTCCATGAGCCTGTGGGTTGAAGCAGTGTGAGTCCAGTGCCCTCCGAAGTTGGAGGAAGGTGGCCCAGTGGTCAGTCTGGCTGTGAACTCTCTTGACCAAGACAGCTTAGTCCTTTGTGGTTCCTGATAACTGAGGGTTCACCCCGTAGGGAAGTCAGTTGGGCATAGAGTCACCAGCTGTAAACATGATTTGAAATTTGACAGCAGACTTTGTGGATTTCATTAGTGTTAAGGGCTCTTCAACCAGCATGCAGATGTACGCAAATGCTAAGCAAATGAGGGTGCCAATTGGCTGGGGGGTTGGGGAGAGAAGCAAGCTGGGAGATGTCTAGGAATGACCTTTGTGGAGCAAGCTCCAAGGGCCCCTGAGAATCCCAGCAGAGCACATGCAGGATAAGATGCAAATGTGCATGCAGCCCCGGGGACTTCTGCCTGCCTGACCATGAGAACATGAGCCCAAGGCAAGGGCTGGTTCCCTGATGGCCACACTGAGAGAAGGAAAGCAGGTGGGGGCTGGTTATCACTCCAAACAGGCATTACCTGAAAGGGATGGGCATCTTTAAAGAGGGCGTAGGTTCTTGGCCCTTGCCCTACACTTGTGTGCCCTGAGATGGAAAGATAGGAGTGAGCCTGGCCTTGGGTGAGGGTGTTGGGAGGGCAGGACAGTAGGGACCTCAGCTGCCTTGGGAAAGGGAGGGGATGCCCTCTCTGGCCCCCCTCCTGGCCCCACGGGAGTCTTTGATTTGCCTCTACCCTCTAGCTGGGCTTCTGAAGCCCCTGCCTCAGAACTTGCTCTGACAGCTGCCAAGGACGCATATCCAATGGGTGCTGGCTGAGTGGCCTGTGCTGTGTGCTGCTGTCCTGGGCATGGCACCCCTGGGGGTAGCCAGCTTGGTTCCTTGCAGCCCCCAGAAGGTTTTGGGAGGCAGCAGCCCTCCCTTGAGCACTGAACACATGCCATCTCCTTTAGTCCTCACAGGTGCCTTGAGAAGACAAATGCTCTTGGCACCCCCCATTTATGGAGGAGGACACCGAGCTCAGATAGACAGGCAGTTTTCCTGAAGTCACACAGCTTGTGGCTAGCAGAGCTTGGATTTGGAGCCAGGTCTTTCTGAGCACACAGGAAAGGGCACTGACCCACTCTCCCGGACTGTCCCAGTCTGAGGCCCTTGCAGCACAAGGCGGTCCAAGCTGGGAAGACCAAGTGGGTTAAGAGGGTTTAGGGTCACTTTGGGATGTGGAATCCGGGAAGTTCCCTAGGCTCCTGGGTGGGCGTCCCTTCCAAATTATCCTGGGCATCTCCCTGGGCAGTTGGGATGTGGAGGAGGCTGGCCTGGGCTTAGGGAGGGGGCCTGGAGCTCTTGGAGGTGGGAAGATCCTTAACTCCAGGCCCCTTGGTTGGCAGAGGCTACAAGGGAGCATGGTTAGGGGGGCCCAACTGAGGGCTTCCTGGCAGCACCCTACTGCCCATGCTGCCAGTGGCCTAGCAGGTCCTGTGGAGCCCTGGAGCACTCCAGGCCTGGCCATCCTAGGCCCCATTGCGGTGTGGGCATCGCTGTTCAGGGTCTGTTTTGACACTCCCTACATGCCACATGTTTGCATTGATCATCTCTTTTAAGTGTCTGTGTGTGTCTTGTGTGTTCATGTGTGTTCACATGTGTTTGTGTGTCTGAAGATCCTAGCCCATGTGCTAAAATCTGGGTGATCTAGGGAATCTTGGGTTGGGATTTTGGGGAAGAGTAGTGAACCAGTGGGGGTGTTCAGGGTGGGTTTCCAGGGGGCAGAGAATAGGTCCAAGAAAGATTTCTTTGCCAAGTAACCCTCATGGAGCTCTCTCCAAGTATCCAATGTTGGTTGGCAGGTCCTTGGAGACTGTCCAGATTAGGGTATGGAATCAAGGATGGATAGAGGGCTTTGAGCCTTTCCAGATATACTCTAAATGTTGCACACATTTGTGAGATTTCCAGGGCAGGATCTTCCATCAAGTGCACAAAGAGGTCCAGGACTTGGAACTGGTTAGGTATCAATGGTGCACGTGGGGACATGAGGTCAGAGAGGGGTTTTTTTGTGCCCAACTTCCCCTAGCCCACTGGAAGCAAAACGTGAGGGTCCTGGTGCTCCTAGATTTGCTTCCCTGGGTCAGCTGTGGTCTCAGCCTTGCCACCACACTGACATTCCAGAACAATTTTCTCTGATCCCAGTCCCTTCTGCATACCCAGGATGGTTTTGACCCTGGATGCCCGATGATGTAGATCTCGCTGCCCTTAACCTTGCCCATAGGCCTGCCAGTGCCTTGTCCACCTTACCAGGCAAATTAGGGGGATTGCCTCATGAGCGGCTGCCCAGTTCCCTCTGTGTGTGTGCGTGTGTGTGTGTCTGTGTGCATGTGTGTGTGCGTGCGTGTGTGCATGTCTGTGAACGTGTGTGTGCATGTGTCTGCACGTGTGCGTGTGTATGTGTGCGTGTGTGCGTGCGTGTGTGCATGTGTGTGTCTCTGTGTGTGTGTGAGTGTGTGCGTGTGTGTGTATTGTGCATGTGTGTGCGCATGTGTGTGTGCACGTGCGCGTGTGTCTGGGCATGTGTACATGTGTGCATGTGCCTACCCATACCTGTATTGTATGTCTGCTGTCAGGTCCTGCACCCATGCACTTGCCCCTGTGTCTTATAGAGCATGCTGGCCTCTGGAGCCCTCCCTGGTGGGCCCCACCTCCAGCCCTGCCCTTGGGTTTCCCACAGTCCCTGGCTTGGATCCCACCATAAAAGGGACCGTAAGATTATTTCTTTGACAATCTAGCATTCCATCAGAATCTCAGCCTTGCTGCTTTCCAGCTTTGTGACTCCGAGCAGTTCCTCAATCTCTCTTAGCCTCTGCCACAAATAGGCATGATGATAATCCCTGTTATTCATCTAACAAATACTTCTAAAGGCCTGCTGTGTGCCAAGCATTGCACTGGACTCTGGGGACACAGCCGTGAACATGACATAGTCCCCACCCTCACTGAACTTACATCCTAGTACAGAGATAGGCAGGGAATCAGTAAACACATAGAAAAGGGAGCTTCAGTTCTACTGAGTGCTATGGTGCTCCATCACTCCATGATGCAGTGCCAGGGGTCAGAGAGGGCCTTTCTCAGGAGGCAGTGTTGGAGTTGAGCCCTGAGTGGCAGAAGAAGCTCTTTTAAAGATCTAGGGAAAGAGCATTCTAGGCCACGGGTATAGCTGGTGCAAAGGCCCTGAGGTGGGAATGAACTCAGGGAGCGGAAAGAAGGCCACTGTGGCTGATGTGGGAGAGCATGGGGACATGGGGTAGAGGGCAGCAGAACCAGCTCCTGCAGGACCTTTTCAGGCCATGCTGGGGAGACTGGATTCTAATCTAGGGGAGATGGTTAGAGGATTATGAGGAGGGAGGAAGGATTGTGCTTTTGCAACTCCCTCCAGCTGCCACAGGGAGAGTGAGGAGGGGGACAGAGTTGCTCAGGAGAGCTGAGACCCAGGAAGTGCTTGACTCTGCACTCAGCCCTGGCAGTTGGCTGAGCCAGGGTTCCACTATCATTATAGGACCTACCTTAGCTGGTGTTGAAAAGAGGCTGCCGAGCCCAAGGTCATTCCAAGGGCTGAGGCTAGTGGGAGACCCTGCCTGGAGAGGGGCTTGGATCAGGCCAAGAGAGGCTGCAGGGGATCTTGGCCAATGCCAGCCTGTCATTTGCAGGCGTCTCCTTGGGATGGGTGCCCAGTGGCCCAGCTGCACCCGCTCCCCTGCTCTTGCCAGCAGGGCTGGAGGTGGGAAGGGCCACTGCTTTGGGCCAACTCTCTTGGTTGAGGGTTTGGGCCCTTGATCTCCTGGGAGAGTTTGGCAGGGGTCCTGGGAAACTGGGGGCTCATTCTGCGTCTCCAGCCCATCTAGCTGCAGAGGGAGGCTACTCCTGGGTTCTAGAGACAGCTACGCTGTGGGGCCTCAGGCAAAGCCTTTCTGGGTTCTGTGCCTCAGCCTTCCTCATTTGTCAAATATGGCGGTAGAAAGGGTGGAGCACAGCTGCCTTTCATCCTTAACCTTGCAGGGAGTTTGCCCTTCCTTGGACCTTAGCTCTCTCAGCTTTCATGACGTTTAGTTTCCCACTGGCCCTGGGGGAGAACAGAGGTGATGCTCCCACTCTGTAGATGGGCTCACAAAGGCAAGAGGGAGCAATGATGAGTCCCAGGACACATAGCAGTTCAGAGTGAGCATGTGGGGCATCGTTTTACACCTCTACCCTAAAGCCTCCCCTTTATGCAGCCCTTGCTTGGGCTCAGCAAGAGAGGGGGTTCTGGCTCAGCTACTTCTGGGCTCAGCTGGTCTGCAGCCCAGGCAGGGACTCTGGGCCCCCCGCCCAGAGTAGAACTCAATGCTGCCCCTTGTCTGCCCACCCCCAGAAACAAAGGATGTGGCCCAGTGCCTGGTGTTGGCAGGCTCCCGCTCCCAGCTAAAGGAGGACATAGCAGGGCAGGTAGGGCTGGAGCTAGCCTGAGGCAGCTGCTGGAACTTGGGGGTAGGGCGGAGGGGCTCCCAAGAGGTCCTCAATCTGTCCACAATTCTAGCTTTGGTGCTGGTGTAGGCTGAGCATCAAGTGAAGCTGCTGATACTCTTAAACCTCAGGTTTCATGAAGGCTTAGGCAGAGCCCTGACTCAAAATGGTGGGCTCAGCCCCTAGGTATGTGTAGGGGAGCTTGAGTCATCCTGGTGAAATCGGGTTGAAACCCTGTGCCCCAGAGCCAATGCTCATCCAGGCCCCTGGGCTAGAAAGCAGGTCAGAGGACTGGAACTCAGGCAGCAGGCCAAAAGCCCCCACTTCTTTTTCCTTTCTAAATGCCCCCCCTCCCCCCGCTCAGGAGTCTCAGTTGAGAAAGTGACTTCTTGTTTCTCCTCCTCTGAGTATACAACCAGAGGGAACCGATTGAAATAGCAACTACAGCAGCAGGGATTTAGGGCAGACCAGAAAGAATTCCTCACTCAGTGCTCAACCTCTAGAGGTCTCCGATGTCCTAGGATCAGGGCCCAGATATTTTAGAGCCTGGCTTTTGAGATGTTTAAGTCTGTGGGCTTTTTTTTTAAAGTAAAAGTCTCCCTTATGAAGTTATCAAAATTCTAGGAGGTGAGGGTCAGTGTAAACGGGCGGCGTCCCAGGTCTGCTGTTCTACTCTCCTCTTTTCCACTCCATGTTTGAAAACCCAGGTTAAATAATCTTAACTGGACAGTGGTGGTTGAGCTTCCCTCAAGGGCCCAGAATTCCTGAGAAGTGGACCCGCCTCCCTCCCCAGGCTCTTGTTCTCTAAGTGAGACTTTTCTTCTGGAGCCTACCCCAGTGTTCCCACACTTGCCTCGTTATAAGAATCACAGAGGAGCATACCCCTTCCCTGTAGCTTCTGGTTCGGGAGGTCTGGGGTAGGGCCTGGTAATCTGCATTGTACCAAGTCCCTCAGGTGGTGTTTATGACCAGGCAAGTATAGGAAGTTTGAGCCTCACTTATATCCCTGTTGTTGCCCCTGCAGCTCATTCTGCTGTAGCCTAGAAGGGCAGCCAGTGCCTCTCTTGAACCCCCAGCATCCCTCTCCAGAGCAGAGTGGTAGCCAAGGCCCAACAAGGGGAGGAAGGAAGTGGCCCAGCCAGAACTGGGAGAAATGGCCCAGATTCCTGTTTCTGTCCAGGGCATTTGGAGGGGCTGATCTGTGTCCCCACTGGCAGAGGCCACTTGCGGAGGGGGTTAGCCTAGCCTAGGTGGGGCCAGGGGCAGACAGGGGAGGAGGGGAGAGCCAGAACACAGCCTGTTACACATTACATCTGCCCTCTACATCTGGGATTAGGTTGGGCAGGAAGCCTCTGGGAAATGTGGGCTGGTCCCAACCCATTTGAAACAGTGGCGGTGAAGATGATGGGTAAATGGGTCTCCTCATTTTACAGAAGAGAAACAGACCCAGAGGGGAGTGGGGCTGGCCTGGGCAGGCCAGTGAGGAGGCCTGACCTGGACTCACACGAGGTCATGCAGGGAGTTGGGCAGAGCAGGGCCTGACTCCCCTTCCAGTGCTCTCCCCAGAGTGCCCCTTGGCGGCCTCCTCATGAGTCCCTCCTCGCAGCTGGGTGAGCTCTGATGGGGGCCCGGGAGTGGAGGGGAACCCCAGGCCTCCTCCTTCCTCCCAGACAGCTGGGGCTCTGGGCGCTGTGTGTGGTGGAGGCAGCCCGGGCTCTCTGAGAGGCTCCCGGGTGGCACCGCCCACCCAGCACCCTGGACAGCGCCCCACGCTGGGCTATCCCTGTCTGTCTCCAGGCTTCACTTTGGCTTCTGGGGTGGGCCCTGCTCCAATTAGGCTGCGTCTGTTGACTTCCTTGCCTCCTCTCTTAACTCCTCCTTGAAGATAGCCTCCCAGCCTAGTTATCTCCATTAATCACAAAGGTAAGTTTCGCTCATCTTTGGCTCCTGGAGCCAGGGTAAGAACACGGGAAGAGGCTAGGGGACCGGCTGCTGACAGCCTGTGGTTTGTCACCATCACTCACCAGCGGGAATGGGAGGGGGCCCTACTGGACCCTTCTCCACTTCCTCCCCACCTGGATCTTCCTCAGAGGGCTTTGGTGAACTCTGGCGGGCACAGCAGAGACACAAGAGGTAACACGAAGGGCAGGGACTGGGGCATAGTGGGCTGGCCAGGGTCAAGGGTGAGGTGAGGTGGCTGCTTGGGCAGGCAGTGAGGGCAGCATGGCCCGAACCCACACTCCAGCTGGAAGGGCCCCGAGGAGGTCATCTTGGCCATCTCCCACTCTCAGGCAGGCTGCTCTGCCACTGGTTCTGCTGGACTTTAGGTGCCCCCCAGCCCCAGTCCTGTCTGACCAGTTCTTCCTCTCTCCACCCACTGCCAGGTCTAGAGGAGTCCCAGGAGCAGCCAGGACAGGCGGAAGCAGTGGCTGCCATGGAGGAGGACAAGCTCTTATCTGCAGTGCCTGAGGAAGGCGATGCCACCCGTGACCCCGGTCCAGAGCCTGAAGAGGAGCCAGGGGTCCGGAATGGGATGGCCAGTGAGGGCCTGAACAGCAGCCTCTGCAGCCCAGGGCACGAGCGAAGGGGCACCCCAGCGGACACTGAGGAACCCACGAAGGACCCAGATGTGGCCTTCCATGGCCTCAGCCTTGGCCTCTCTCTCACCAATGGCCTAGCCCTGGGGCCAGACTTGAACATTCTGGAAGATTCAGCGGAGTCCAGGCCCTGGAGGGCTGGCGTGCTGGCAGAGGGGGACAATGCTTCCAGGAGCCTCTACCCAGATGCTGAGGACCCTCAGCTGGGGTGAGTGGATGTCTTGGGATGGGAGCTCACCACATTTGGCTGTTCTGTTGTTGTGTGGCCTGGGCTTAGCCACTTAGTTTCTCCGGTTCTTGTTTTTCTCACACATAAAATGGGGATTTCATATCCCTCTTTTGCCCAGATTCTGGGTGTTTTGAAAGGACAGAGCCTTGACGGAGAATTCAAAGGCCAGCAGATTGGGGGGCTGAAAGTTGTGCCATCGTGAGCTGCTTCTATGTGGATTGCAGGGGGTGGGGGGTGCTGCCCTCCCTCCATCCCAAGCTGGGCATTCGATTTCCAAGTCCTTTTAAAATGCCCAATGTGAAAATTCATGTGGTTCATTTCTCTGCTTCCTGGAAATGAGACTCTCCCAAATCCTTCAACTGACTCCAGGAAAGCCGGCTTTAGGCTTTAATCCCTCCTAGCTACTCTCACCTGCAGTAATCGTCAGGAAGTTCTACCAGGGATCTCACTTCAGTCCTGCTTACTGGAGTTACAGCCCAATTTCTGTTGTCCTCAGCAGGCAATGGAGAGACCTGGAGTTTTGGGGGTGTGTTGGACAAGCAGGGCAGGGAAGGGACAGAGAAATGTCTAGAAGGCACCAGGGTGGACTGAGAAAAGAAAGCATTTAGAAGTCTTAGTGTGCATAGCTGCAGGCTCTGGCCTGAAAGGGCAGTGTACGGGTAGTGTGTGAGTGTGCGTGGGGGCATGAGTGTGTGCCTGCCCTGCATGTCATGTGTACACACGGATGTGTGAACGTGTTGGTATGCATGGGGTTGGTGGCTGTGGGTGGGGGGTGTTGGTGCCCCTGGCCTGGGCATTTGTGGCTGCACATTTGGGCACATGTTCGTGTTATGTAGGGATAAGTGTCTCTAAGTCTCCATGGGCAGGAGTATGTGAGTATGTGTCTGTGGCACTGGGTGTGCCATGGCCCTAAGAGTGTTTCCATCCAGGCAGGGCCTAGGGCAGCCCCATAGCTGGCAGTGGGGAAGGGGCAGGGGACTGGGGCTTCTTAGAGCACACCGTATTGAGGTGGCATCTTTACTTGGGATGGCGAGGCTGGGGGCAGTTGGAGGCTTGCAGATTGGACTGATGGTCTTCAAGCTCCCATCAGGGCCACCCCTCAGCCTTGCTCAGTTGCATGAGGGGGTGGGAGATGGGGGGTCCATTGGTGGCTCTGACCCTGGGCTGAGAGCTCCCCACAAGCAGGGCTCTGTCTTGTTTGGATGTCTCTAGTGCCCAGCACAGGCCTGGCAGAGGTGTCTTTACTGGGCTGACTTTGGGTATTTGCCCTGGTGGCCAGGGCAACGAACCTTCTTTCCTCTCCTTTCCTTCCAGAGGTCAGTAGAGGAAACTTCCACCCCAGCCCCTGCCAGGCATTCTGTGCCTTTTAGATTTCTGTCCCCCTCCCCACTTTGTTCCTTGGCAAGAGAGAGCCTAATGAGGCTGCAGTCTCAGGTCCTGCTGGGGCTGGAGTGGGAGTGCCTTCTCCAGGAAGCACACTGGGACAGAATCTTAGGCACTGGGGGGCCAAGGAGATGTTCGAGGGGAAGGGGCACTTCCCAGTCCTCCAAATACAACTCAGTCTCTGCTAGGCAGCAGGGGCTGGGGGAACGTAGGGTGGGGCCAGAGCCTCAGGGGAGGCTGATGCAGAGGGAGGGGAGTGCTTCTTTGCACATCATGGGCCTCAGCTGATCTGAAATGGGCTGGGCTCAGCCTGCTGTGTTCTTTCCTTGTGTCTCTTCCTGTTGCTGGCTCTATCTTCCATCTCTATCCTTGTCTGTCTAGCTCTTTTTTTTTATTTGAGACGGAGTCTTACTCTGTTACCCAGGCTGGAGTGCTGTGGCACAATCTCAACTCACTGCAAGCTCCACCTCCCGGGTTCACGCTATTCTTCTGCCTCAGCCTCCCAAGTAGCTGGGACTACAGGTGCCCGCCACTACGCCCGGCTAATTTTTGTATTTTTAGTAGAGATGGGGTTTCATCGTGTTAGCCAGGATGGTCTAGATCTCCTGACCTCGTGATCCACCTGTCTCGGCCTCCCAAAGTGCTGGGATTACAGCCGTGAGCCACCGCGCCTGGCCGTCTGTCTAGCTCTTTCTTTCTCTCACTTTCTGTCTCTGTTGTCCTCTCGTATCCCTTTCCTCTGTCTCTTTCTTGTCCCCTTCTAGTGGTCTTACTCTCTCAGTCTCTCTCTCCTTCCTTCCCTGTGTACCTGCTCATGTCCCTGGTGGATAAGAATCTTCCCAGGCTCCTCAGGTCATCTATGTGCGATGCTCTCTTCCAGGTGCTGGAGATGAACAAAACATACAAACCCCTTGCTCTCATGGAGCTTACGGTCTAGTGGGGAGACCGACGATAAATATTAAAACAATAAATACTTATATAGTGTGTTGGAAGGAGATAAGTGCTTTGGGGAAGAAAAAGTAGGAAAAAAGGGGCTGGGGTGTTTGGAGGCAGGTCATGGTTTAGATCGGGAGGTCGGGGCAGTCCTCACTGAGAAGGGGATGTGGAAGGAGGGCTTTAGCTGGGGAAGAACACTTTGGGCAGAGGGAACAGCCAGTGCAAAGGCCTCTTTTGGGGGACAGCACAGGGTCCTGCAAGGGCTTGGGAAGCGTGGTTGGGGCCATGGGGCTGACAAGCATATGTTCATTCACCCAGCACATCATTCAGCCAGATGTTCCAAGCACCTACTATGTGCGGGGTGCTCCCTGGCTTTGCAAAGCTTTTGTTCTGGGGCTGGGGATCATACAGTAAACAGGGGAACAGACAGAATCTTACATGCCTGGAAGGTCTGAGGAGTAAATGAACAGATCCCGGAGCAGGAGGCCAGTGTGCTGTGGGCCTGCCTCCCCTGCTCTCTCTGAGGAGGTGGCAATGAGGCCAGACCTGACAGCTGAGGTGCGTTTGGCCGAGCTAAGAACCTCCCAGGTTGTGGGAAGAGCAAAATTATGACCCAGTGTGACACTGGTTGTGATAAGATGTTCACACTGCTTTGGGAGCCTGGAGGAAGCAGCCCTCTAGGCCGGGCTGGGGGACGAGGCCTTACATTCATTCATTTAGACACATATCTGATGCCCACTAGTTCTCCGTGGGCAGGAGTGTGAGTATGTGGGGTTAGGTGTCTGTGGCACTGGGTGTTCCATGGCCATAAGAGTGTTTCCATCCAAGCAGGGCCTAGGGCAGCCCCATAGCTGGCAGCGGGGCAGGGGCAGGGGACTGGGGCTTCTTAGAGCACACCATATTGAGGTGGCATCTTTACTTGAGATGGCGAGGCTGGGGGCCCCGGCCCCAGGTCTGCTCTTTTCCCTGCAGTATTCCCAGTACCCAGCCTGGTGTCTGGCACCTTGTGCTCAGTTAGTATTGGCTGAAGGGATAAGTGAATAGGATGGGGGAGTGGTGTGCCCCCAGGGGGCTCCCAGACACAGATGAGTGTAGTCACCAGCACCTGTATGGGGGACAGCTTGGCAGGATGGTGACTGGCTCCTTGCATCCCACAGGTTGGATGGTCCCGGGGAGCCAGATGTGCGGGATGGCTTCAGCGCCACGTTTGAGAAGATTCTGGAGTCAGAGCTGCTGCGGGGCACCCAGTACAGCAGCCTCGACTCCCTAGACGGGCTGAGCCTCACGGATGAGAGCGACAGCTGCGTCAGCTTCGAGGCCCCCCTCACACCCCTCATCCAGCAGCGGGCCCGTGACAGCCCTGAGCCAGGGGCTGGGTTGGGCATTGGGGACATGGCGTTTGAGGGGGACATGGGGGCAGCTGGTGGTGATGGGGAGCTGGGCAGCCCCCTGCGGCGCTCCATCTCCAGCAGCCGCTCTGAGAATGTCCTGAGCCGCCTGTCTCTCATGGCCATGCCCAATGGATTCCATGAAGATGGCCCTCAGGGCCCAGGGGGGGATGAGGATGATGATGAGGAGGACACGGACAAGTTGCTGAACTCAGCCAGGTGAGGCAGGGCCCAGGCTGGGAGAACCACCGAGCAGATGGGGAAACTGAGACCCAGAGGGGGCAAAGCAGGTTAGGGTGACTCAGTGTCCAGAGTCAGCATGCCCTCTTCAAGGTCACCTGGTCTACCCTCTGCATCCAGGCTTCCCACCCTGTGTCCTGAGGTTTCATTCTGCTCTTCCAGGCCTTCTCAGCCCCGGTAGAAGTCGGGGGAGTCAGGGAACTATGCTGTGAGTTCACTTGAGAGGTTCTTCTGAAAGTCTGATTTCATTCCCTCCGGCTGCAGTGGAGCTTCTTTCCCTGTTCTGGCCCCTACATGGTTTGCAGTGGCCTGGGGAAACCTCCCAGCCTCCTCTGGGGCCTTTGACCCTGGGCCTCTGACGCTACTCTTCCACCCACCTTCCATCTGCAGTGACCCCAGCCTGAAGGATGGCCTGTCAGACTCAGACTCTGAGCTCAGCAGCTCGGAGGGGTTGGAGCCTGGTAGTGCAGACCCTCTGGCCAACGGGTGCCAGGGGGTCAGTGAAGCTGCTCATCGGCTGGCACGCCGTCTCTACCACCTCGAGGGCTTCCAGCGCTGTGATGTGGCCCGGCAGCTGGGCAAGAAGTGAGTGTGAGCTCCCCTGCCCCCAACCCTGGGCAAACCTCGTGTCTTCCTCAACCTGAAGAGGGTGTGGGTGACCTTCTTCAGGGGTGCCAGGTGCTGGGGGGGCACTCCCAACAGTTCCCCAAGGACACCTCCTCCCGCCACTGTCCTCATTCCTGGCCTCGCCCTAAATCTGTTTCCTTTCTGGGCTGCTTGGGCGAAGCTGATGCTCTCGGGGAGGGGTGGTGGCGGGCAGCCCCTCAGGGCTGGGGGTGCGGGATGTGGGATGTGGTTATGGGGCCACGATGGATGTGAGGACAGAGAAGCCAGCAGGAGCTGGGCCCAGCTAATGGGGCCAGGGAGAAAGGAGAACCCGGGCCTCGGGGGACACCTCTGGGACCCAGAGCTCAGGAAAGGGCTCCTGGCCTTCATTAAGCCCTACTATCTATTGGGACAAGCTGAAGGGGCTGAAGCCCCCAAAGCACACACCCTGGCCTTCAGACCAGGTGCAAAGGGAACTGGCTAGATGAGGGCCCCAAAGGGGACCAGGGGACAGGCGGGATTGCAGGACCGAGGAAGTCTGCCGGCACATTCTGCTCACATCTGACCACCAGTGTGACCACCCACCACCTGCCCCTGGCCCTTTCATCCAGATTGCCTCCCAACGTCCGCATTAAGGCTCTGAGCTGTGCAGGAGCAGGCCTGGCCCTGCAGCACTGCTCACAGGGCTGGGAGACAGTCCAGACCCTTGTCCATGAGTGGGAGATGACATGCAGGCTAGGCCTCAGGATGCCCTGAGGGCGGCTCAGGTCCTGGATCCTCCTCTTCTCTCACTTCTTCTCCCTCCCTCCACTTCTCCCTCCACCCTCCTCAGTCTCCACGCTGCTCCTGCACCAGGTCCCCAACAACTGCGCCAGCCCAGAAATCACAACTCGGATGCCCTCACCTGTTCTGCTAGGCTGGACCCCCAAACCTAACGCCATCCTTTCAGGAGCCTTCTTTGTGGCCTGCCCCTGCCCTCTCCCATCTTTTCAACCACTCCCTCCAGCAGCTAATTGTCCTCAAGTCTCTCCCATCTGAAAAACAAAAAGTGTTTCTCAACCCCACTTCCTCCTCTAGCCAAAATTCTTGGATTTTCTGCCCAGGGTGGCCTCTATCCCCTTTCTTTCTCCACACTCAGCCCCTCCACACTGGTTTCCTCTCCCCACACCAACTTCAGAAACCTCTTGTGTCAAGGTCATTGGTGGCCTTGTGTCTTTGAATCTGGTGGTTGCTCCCCAGGCCTCACCTTAGCCCCTTCAGCAGCTTCCACGAGACTGGCCATTTCTTTCTTTTTCTTTAATTAAACTTTTTATTATGAAAATTTCAGGCCGGGCATAGTGGCTCATGCCTGTAATCCCAGCACTTTGGGAGGCCGAGGTGGGCGGATCACCTGAGGTCAGGAGTTTGAGACCAGCCTGGCCAATATGGGGAAACCCTGTCTCTAACAAAAATACAAAAATTAGCTGGGCGCTGTGGTGGTTGCCTGTAATCCCAGCTACTCGGGAGGCTGAGGCAGGAGAATCGCTTGATCCTGGGAGGCGGAGGTTGCAGTGAGCCAAGACCGTGCCACTGCACTCCAGCCTGGGCAACAGAGCAACACTCCATATATTAAAAAAAAAAAAAAAAAAAAAGAAAATTTCAAACAAACACGAAAGCAGAGGAAAAAAATATCAAACCTCTATATGCCCATTACTGAGTTTCAAAGTTACTATTTGCTTCATTCTCATTTCATCTATGACCCACAGCCTTTTTTTCATGTGCTGGAAGATTGTAACGCATATTTCAGACACTCTATCATTTGATTTATAAATACTTTAGTATGTATCTCCAACTGATAAGGATCTTTTTTTACATAATCATGATTCTATTATAATTTCTAACAAAATGAACAAAAAGTTCTTAATCTCTCCAACATTCAGTCTGTGTTTAATTTTCTCTGATTGTCTAAAAAATGTTGGTTTATTGAAATCAAGATTCAAACAGGGTCCACACATTGCACTTGGCCGATTGGTCTGTTAAGTCTCTTTTAACCAACAACAGTTCTGCAGTTTGGCGGTCCTCCTCCCTTCTTAAGTGCCGTGTATTTGTTGAAGAAACCAAGCCATTTGTCCTAAAGAATGTTCCACGGTTTGGATATGGTATCCTGATGGTGTTATTTAACATGTTTCTCTATTTCCCATGAGTCCTGCAAATGGGCAGCGAGCTCCAGGCTTAATTAGAATCAGGTGGAAATTTGTTCTAGTTTTTGACAAGAATTCCTCATGCCAGTCTTCTTGAAATACAGTCTTCGTTGGCCTGCAGGACAACACACCCCACCTCTGGCTGCTGCTTCTCAGCCTCCTTCGCTGGCTCGCTCCTGGGTTCCCACCCCGATTCGGGGCTCTGGGCCGGCCAGCTTGTCTGTGCCCTCTCCTGTTGCATGGGCTCAGCCCCACCCTGAGCTGTTACTGACCAGCTGTGAATTGATGACTCTCACACGGATGCCTCGTCCTGAAGTCTCACATCTCCCGCAGGGGACCACCTTCTTGGTCATGCCGCACGTCCATTCCATCTCCTTGTCTTGTGGATTCTGCCCCCTAAATTTCTCTTTTCCCCATCCCTTCTATCTCTATCTGGACAACTATGGCAGTCCCCCTGTGGGTCTCCACTCAGCAGGTAGCGCATTCCAAAATACAGACTGACCATCCCTGCTTTAACCTTTCTGAATCAAGTCCTGGTCCTTCCCCTGGTCCCGGCCTCATCACTTGCTGCCCCATTCTTGCTCTTTAGGTTCTGGCCACATGGCCCTGCTAGTAGCTTCTTGGACATGCCATGCAGTTTCCTCCCTGGGGACACTGCATCATCCCACCCCTACTCCCTTCGCCTGGTTAGCTCGTAATTCCCTGTGTTGACTGAGACATCACCTCCTCCAGAAAGCCTTCCTGACACCCCAAGACCAAGGTTGAATGTTATGGCCCAACTAGCCAGCAGCCTAGGGGTTGAGCAGGTCTAGGGGGTGGGTGGGTCCGGGTACCCTGGGCCCAAGTAATGCCTGTGATTCTGTCATCCTTGGGCTGGACCCTGCTTCTAACAGACATCCCATACTCTCCTGGCAGCAACGAGTTTAGCAGGCTGGTGGCCGGGGAGTACCTCAGTTTCTTCGACTTCTCGGGCTTGACTCTGGACGGAGCACTCAGGTCAGTGGGGCTGGGACAGGCAGTGCCCACAAGTGGTACAGGCTGCACTTCTGGATTCTCATGTCAACTCTACCATAAACTTGCTGTACAACCTTGGGCAAGTCTTTTGACCCCTGGTGAGGCTGTGGGGAAGGGGCCACAGGAGCAGCAGCGGCCCAACAGTTAGGCGAGTGCCCACTTTGTAGTAGCTGTTAGGATGTGAGGGTGGAAATGTAATTGTGACTCTAGGAGAGGAAGGGAGGCTCAGGACTTGCCTGTATTGAGCACTTCCTGCCTGCCAGATGCTCTAGGTCTTTACTCACCTTGCTTACTGCATCCTCTGTACCCAGTAAGGTAGGCACTATCATTCCTATTTTTCACATGAAGAAACTATGGGCCAGAGGGATAAAGAGACTTCCCCACAGTCATCGAAGGAGGAGATGGTAAAATGGGATTTTATCTCAACTCTATTGGTGTTTGGACCTAGGGAGTAGACCTCAGGAGGGCCAATTGCAGGTTCCCAGGAGCAGGAGGGTAGAATGGATGGGTGCAGCCCTGTAGTATCTAGCAGGCTCTGGTGGCAGGGGCCAGCTGGGCAGATACTGGCCAGGTCCTAGGAGAGATGGATGCATCTCAGAGCTAAGGGGTAGGGTGACTCATGCACGTTAGACATCTTGACTGTGTTCCACATGTCTCTTACACTTTAAAAAAATGTAATTTCTGGTCAGGCACAGTGGCTCATACCTGTAATCCCAGCACTTTGGGAGGCCGAGGCTGGAAGATTACCTGAGGCCAGGAGTTCCAGACCAGCCTGGGCAACATAGGGAGGCCCAGTCTCTACAAAAAAGTAGAAAAATTAGCCAGGTATGGTGGTGCAGGCCTGTAGTCCCAGTTCCTCAGGAGGCTTAGGTTGGAGGATCACCTGAGCCTGGGAGGTTGAGGCTACAGTAAGCCATGACTGCACCACTGCACTCCAGCCTGGGTGACAGAGTGAAACCCTATCTCAAAGAAACAAACAAACAAACAAAAACCACATACAAAAAAAGTAATTTCCATTCTTTTTTCTCTGCTTCTGTTGGGATATTTTCGGTTGACCTGTTTTCACTTCACTTCACTTACCCTTTTCTGTTTGTAATATGTCATTAACCCATTTATGCCTGAGGTTGCAATTTTCTGAATTGCAAAATCAGACCTTGGCGATCACCTTGAGCAGTAGGATATAAATAACTCCCACATGCTTAGCGTTCCAATAATGGAACCATAGGCATAAATGGGTTTTGAACTCATTTATTGAGTTTTGAATTTATGTTATATTTTCCATTTCTAGAATTTCCATTTTATTAAAAAATTTAAAAAATAGATTCTAATTCTCTGGGTGAATTATCCATCTTTTCCATTATTTTCTCCACCTTTCCCTCTCTTTTTTTGAACATATTAGTTGTAAAGCCCTTGCTGCTAACTCCAGTATCTATCATCTGAATCATCTGTATCTGTTTCTATTGTCTCTTTTTTCTCTTGGTTTTCCATCATATATCCTGTCTCTTTGCATGCTTAATAACTTAAAAAAATTGGATGCTGTATACTTTGTATAGAATTGTAGTGGTTCTAGATTATTCTGTGTTCCTCCAGAGAGGGTTTACGTTGTCCTTTGCTAGGCAGTTAGAAGGTTTGTGGGGATGCAGTGCTAATCCAATTAAGGTTGCACTGAAGTTTGGTATGGCTCAGGGTTTGCTCTGATAATAGGGTCCAGGCCCTCGGAGTTTTCTACTGGGAGCCTCATGTGTTCAGTTGGGCAAACCCCCTTGTTGGCTCAGAAGCCTAGTTTTGTCTTCTCAGTGCAGCAACACTGCCCCCTCTTCAACAAAATATCCCTCTACTTCTCAGAGGTTTTCTGCTTAGCCTTTTAGCCTCCTGCCTTTTACATCTTTTATATCTCTGAAATTCAGCAACTATCTCAAAGGGAAAAGTGGCCATGTGTTTACAGCCCCTGAAGTCTCCAGCCTCTTGAAGCCACCCAATGCCCTGCCTCTTGCCTGTGCCCATAATCAGCAATGCCCCCAGGGAAAAAGCAGCTGCAGAAGGTCAAACTACCTTCCCGCAGTTCTCTCCTCTCCAGAATCTTGGCCCTTTTTGTCTTTGTTGCCTCAGCAATTTTCCAATATCTTAAGAAAACCCATGGTTTTTATTGTTTTCAGTGGAAGTGTTGGTGTGCTGCAGGCTACTGTATCCTGAGCTGAGTTGTAAAGATTGCGCTAGAATGAGGAAGATTGGTCTGGCAAGGTGTTCAGCGGGGTCAGCTCATGATCAGAGGTGTGGGTGCTAGACTGAGTGCCTTGTATGCCAGCCCAATGCTGAGGCTCAACTGTGCAGGCACTGGAGAGCCGCAGAAGGTACTGGCTGCAAAGCAACATTTTGGAAGCAAATACTGGCCCCAATGTACTGGTGGCCTTTGATCTAGAGGCATGTAGCCTTCTGAAGAGGGTCAGGTGGGAGAGAACAAGCATGAGGTTGGGCAGAGGGGAAAGGTCGGTGTGAGAGGCTCCACAGAGGGAAGAGTAAAAGGGCTGCTGGTGCCAAGATGTGGGGAGGGTGGACAGTGGTGAGGCTACCCCTAGGGACAGCCCAAGAGTTTGGTGGTGGCGGCACGGGGTTGCGGCTTGGGGCAGAGTGTCCAGGGAAGGGGAGTTTGGGCTGGGGAGTAGGAGTTGGGATGGATGGCTCATAGGTAAGACAGGCTACGGTTTGAATGGGGGAGGTTTTGAGAAAGTCCTGGAGGAATGTGAGAAGAGGGAGGGGCCAGGCTGGGGGACAGATGGGAGAAGAGAACGGGAGCAAGAGAGACAGGGAGAGGAGGACAGCGAGCTGTCAGACAGGGCAGTGCTATTATGCAGCAGTTGGTTGCTTGGGATTGGATTTCGAGAGTACTCTGCAGTTTTGGATGCCTTGAGGCACCTCAGAGTGTAAGGGCTGGCCAAGTCATGGCTTGCAGGTCCCAGGGTGCCTTAGGAGGTGGCATGAGAGAGGGTAAAGCAAAGTGGGCATTGCAGCATTCTGGGCCAAAACGAAATGAACTATAGCAAAAATTAGGAAAAAACCATCTTCTGAACTCAAGACTGATGGAGACACCAATGGCCTCAGCCTGTAATCTCCCTTCCCAAGGGAATGACCTTTATATTGGGCCTTGAGGGAGATTCAGAGCTGCCCAGCAGAGGAAGGACGGGTGTCCTGAAGGCCTGGCCTGCTCTGAGGCACTGAATAGTGAAATGCCTGTTCTGTCCAAGGTGTAGCAGGCGGGTATGAGGTTGGAGGCAGAGGAGGGTAGTCTGGGCAGTGAACATGGCCATGATATGAGGAGCCTTGGTGCTATTCTGAGGGTGCCAAGGGGCCAGAGGTTGTTTTTTTTTTTTCTTGAGATGGAATCTTCTTCTGTCGCCCAGGCTGGAGTGCAATGGTGCGACCTTGGCTCACCGCAACCTCTGCCTCCTGGGTTCAAGTGATTCTCTTGCCTCAACCTCCTGAGTAGCTTGGATTACAGGCATGCGCCACCACACCTGGCTAATTTTTGTATTTTTAGTAGAGATGGGGTTTCACCATGTTGGCCAGGCTGGTCTTGAACTCCTGACCTTGGGTGATCTGCCCAACTCGGCCTCCCAAAATGCTGGGATTATAGGCGTGAGCCACCGCGCCTGGCCCAGTGATGGATTTTAAGCAGTGGTAAGTCCTGCCTATGTGTGTATTTAGAAAGACAACTTAGTGTCAGCAGGGAGGAGGATTGGGTGCAGGGGTGGCCCCGTTGTCCTGGGCACATGATGAAGGTGGTGGCAGCAGAGGAGGATTAAGGTTGAGGTTGAAGAACAAACCATCAGGATTTGGTGGCAACTCAAACTTGGGGTAGGGGAGGAGTTGAGGGGCCAGAGTTGGGCCTGGGGCTCAGCTGGTGGCACATGAAAGAGAGGGGATGACTGAGGAGGAGCATTCTGAAGGGCAGGCAGGGACAGGGTCCGGCTGTAGGGGAAGGAGCAAGGAGTGGGCATCCACCCTGAAGAAGAGCAGGTGCTGAGGTGCTCTTCTGTCTTTGTTCTTCACCATCTGTCCTCTGCCTAATTTCAGAAGGTCCCTGGAGGGCAATGAGGACTGAAACTCTAAAGCTTACCAGGTCCCCTGGCCTCAGCACTCCAGAGTGGCCATCCTGGGGGCCAGGGCCTCCTGGGCGTGGAGAGAGCATCCAGACCCAGAGAGTGGGGCACTGGAGCCCTGGCCCCCTAGAGTGGGTGTGTGCTGTGTGTGTGGGGGGTGGTCTTACCCTGGGTGAGGACTCAGACTGCCCTCAGCAGCTTTGAATTGCCTTCCAGAACATTCTTGAAGGCCTTCCCGCTGATGGGGGAGACACAAGAGCGTGAGCGGGTCCTCACACACTTCTCCCGCCGGTACTGCCAGTGCAACCCTGATGACAGCACTTCGGAAGGTATGGCCCCTTGCCCACTCTGCCTGACCCTCCCCACCCACTCAGCCAGGCCCTGGTCCCCTCCCATCCTGGTCCACCTGGCACTTCGGTCCTGTTGCCAGGCCCAGATGGTTTGTCCTCTCTGGCATGCAGTAGGTGCTCAATGAATGCTAATTGAATAAGCTATGGCACACGGTCTGCCTGCTGAGCAAGGCGCAGTCTTGCCTGTTCTCCTCCCCACTGCCTGGAAGTCCCTCCAGCCTCGGGATTCAGCTCTGGGGCTCTCCCTTCTCTGGGGTCCCTGTCATGGTGCTGGCTGTTGGTGTGGTGGGGGTCTAGGTCGGGGTCCTCTTAGGGACAGGACTTGCCCAATAGATGGGCCTAAGTCCCAGGAACTAGGGGACAAGGCCCATTATTGGGAGAGACACAGGTCAATGCAGGGGCAGGGCTGGGAGCTCAGAGCTATTTCTGGGTCTGAGGTTCAAGGTGAGTTTGGCCACAGGAGGCAGGAGTCTGGGCCAGAGTGGGTCCAGGGTGGTCAGGCTCCTGGGGCAGGCAAGTGACTTGGGTCCTGCAGTTGGGGCAGACCTGGAGCGTCACACAGGCCCTGTCCCCTGAGGTGAGTTTGGCAGGCGGCCGGCCTCCCTCTGTGTCCAAGGTCTCCTGACGGGTTCCGTCAGGAGACAGGGAGTGGGAAGAGGTTGGATCCTCGCACTGAGAGTGCCACCATCTCTGACTCAGATGGGATCCACACGCTCACCTGTGCCCTGATGCTGCTCAACACGGACCTGCACGGCCACGTGAGTTGGGGAGGTGACGGGGGGTGTCGCATGTCCTCTCAGGGACCCACCTTGTGTTGATCCCGGCCCCTTCCTGAGATCTCTTACTCAGTGGCCGGGCTTCTTTTTGAAGCGGTGGGGGTTGGGCAGCTTGGCTTCTAGATTTGGCCCCGCCCTAGTTTCATCCACCTGTGATCCACCTGAGTCCCCACCCCCAAGTATGCCAGTGAGAGCAGCTGGGCCACGGGAGTTTAAGATGAGCCACAAATGTGTGCCTCTCGTCCATGCTAAGAGATCATGTGCCCTTTGTGCCCCTGTCCTGCAAGTCTGAATGCAGCTGCATTGAAATACCGTGCTCGGGGCAGCCCCTCCCAAATCCCCGGCCCCTACCAGGCCAAGCAGTGAAGTGACTGGTGTGGGACGCCCAGGCTGTGAGGCTGTGTCTGGTCCAGGCCCCAGGCTGTCTCAGCACTTCTCATGGCTCAATAACTCCTTCTTCTTTCCTCTATCTGCTCCGGGACCCCTCTCTGGGCTCTCTTGCCCTCGCAGGTGGTAAGTGTAGCTAGTGGTGTGCATGCCCTGTGTGCCGAGGCCCCCATCACCATGTTGCCCTTCTGTGTCCCCCATCACCATCTGGCTCCACCCCATCTCTGCCCCATCATTGCTCACCCATGGTGGTTGGAGCCCCCTGCTAGGTAGGGAATATCTCAGTGACTCATGGGGACAACAGGCCAGCAAGTTAACCAGGAAATCCAGGGCATATGGGGGTGAAAGAAAGAGCTGGGATAGACCAAACTTCAGATTCTACTCTTGCCTCCACGTGGTAGCTGTGTGATCCCGGGCAAGCACTGGCCCTCTCTGGGCCTCAGGTTCCACATCTGTGAGGTGGGAATAATGATCTCCCTGCGGTGTCATGGGCAGGACTGAGAGAGGTAATATACATGGCACCAAGGGGCAGGGTCTGGCACCTAGTAAGGATTTCATTATGAAGAAAATTGTTACGTAAAAAGAACAATAGTATTCCTCATTACTGTGAAAATCGAACCAAGGGCAAGCTGGAAGACCCAGCCTGCAGGCCCCTGTAGGGCAAGATTGTGAAGGCCCAGTCTGCTGGCAGCCTGGGCTCATGGGTGCACTGGGGCACCTGGCCTGGGGAGGGCTAGAGCCTCAGTGCCTGCGTCAGGAAGAGCAAATATGCGACAGCTTTTGCCAAGTCCACCTGGGCATGCAACCTGAGTGTGGAACAAGAGAGAAGACGCATTCCATATGAATGTCACTCACCACCAAAGCCCATGAGCCTGCTGCTGTTCCCCTAGACTGTGCCCTCTGTTTATTGACAGACAGCAGTGTTGCTGGCCTGCTTTGAAAGGAGCACTCAACAGGCCCCTCACTCCCTGTCCCCACCCCTGGCTGGGCCTCCCTATGGCTAAGAACTGCTAAGGAGGGCGGCAGCCACTGTGTAGTGAACCCTGGGCCAAGAGCACCCCGCAGCTTGGTGGGCCTTAGCTGGCATGGTCTCACATTGATGCCACAGCTGAAGAGAAATGTCAGCACTTCATAGATTAGAAGTGGGTTGGGATGAGTGTTCATGTTTGCAGCAGACAGACACTGAGGCTTTCGTCTCTCTCTTGTTTTTTTTTTTTTTTTTTTTGAGACGGAGTCTCACTCTGTCGCCTAGGCTGGAGTGCAGTGGCGAGATCTCGGTTCACCACAAGCCTCGCCTCCCAGGTTCATGCCATTCTCCTGCCTCAGCCTCCCGAGTAGCTGGGACTACAGGCACCTGCCACCACGCCCGGCTAATTTTTTGTATTTTTAGTAGAGATGTCTCTCTCTTTACGTGGTACTGCTCAGAGATTAGGAGCGCAGGCTCTGAGGCTGTGTTCTCTGTTGCTCCACACGAAGGCTGTGTGGCCTGAGACAAGTTATTTACTTCACTATGCCTCAGTTTCCCCATGATAAAGTGCCAGTGTGTAAAGAATGTGAAGTAAAGCTCGTACCCAAGGCCTGGCGGTTGCAGTTACTGGGAGCTCTTCAGAGCACCTGATGCTTTGCACTTTTCCCCTTGCCTCCTCCCCTCCCACGTCACTCATCAAGCAGGGACTGAGGCCTGGTGGGTTGTGGGGATCTCGGGAACAGGGGCCCTGCGAGTCCCCACAAAAAGAGCTCTGTTCAGAGCAGGAGGCAGTAAGGGGCTATCGGGCTATAGGCATGCTCCTGAGATGGGTGCAGTCTGGTTGAGGAACTGGGGAGGATTTGTGTAGAAGAGGCGCTGGGACCCTTGAGGTTGGAGGCTCAACAACAACCCTGCTTTTGTGTTCCATGAACAAGACAAGAAAGGGAGCCCCACCAGTTACAAGAGGTGGACAACACAGAAGTGAACAAGCGATTACAAGTTGTGCAGCTCCATGAAGGGCACACACAGGAAGGTGTGATGGGTCCGGTCTAAGGGTCAGGGAAAGCCTGCAAGGTTTGGGCAGAGACCTGGATCAGCGGGAGCCGGCCATGGAAAGATCTAGGACCACGCATTTCAGGCAATGGGGCCAGCAGGGCTGGTTTTCACCTTGTGGCTGTTGGGAATAGCGCTGCTGTGAACATTCGTGCACAAGTTTTCGTTTGAACACCTGTTTTCAGTTATTTGGGGTTCCTACCTTGGAGTGGACTTGCTGGTTCATATATCTGGTTGTTCTGTGTTTAATTTTTTGAGGAGCTGCAGAACTGTTTCCATAGTGGTGTTTGTTTACATCCAGGTGGGAGATGATGGTAGCGTGGGTAGAAGGGACTGACAAGGGAGACCTTTCAGGACTGAGTCTAACAGGACTTGCTGATGGGGTTGGTCAGTGAAAGAGAGGAGCAAGGGTGGCTTTGGCATGTGGCTAGCTGGGGGTGCCATTTCCTGAGAGGGGGAAGAAACTTCTGTGTGGGGGTGGTGGTGAGTGGGAGAGGGGGACTTGAGTCCCGATTTTGACCTGTGTTTCTGATGCCTCTAGACATCAGTGCGGGGAGGCCAAGGAGGCAGTAACATGGATTAGTCTGGGCCCGGTGCAGACACTTGGGCTGAAGACAGAGATGGGGTGGGGTGGAATTCAAAGCTATGGGACTGGCTGATTGCCATGTCCCTGCAGAGAGAACACACTGATGGCCAAGTCCTGGGGCTCAGCGTTATGTAGAGGCCAGGCAGAGGAGTAGGAGAGACTGCAACGCATCCAGGGATGTCGGAGGAAACTCATGAGTGTGTGGCATCTCTGAAGCCCAGACAAGACAGCATTTCGAGGAGAAGGGAGTGAGTGGCCAACTGTATAAAAGGCTGCCATGAGGTCAAGTAAAGTGATGGCGCAAGAGTGACCACTGGGGTTGGAGTGGTCATGGGTGGGATGGTCAAGGTCATTGGAGACCTTTATAAGAGCACCTTAGGTGGAGTGGAGAGGACAGATGCCAGGTTGAAGTGGGTGAGATGAGCTCAAGAGGCGAGGGTGTGGTGGCCATAGACAGCTCTTAAGATGTTTGGCCTTGCCTGGGGGCCTGACAGGAGCCAGCGGTCAAGTCTGATGTTAAAACAGCCCAACCTTGTGCATGTGCCACCAGGATCAACCCAACAGACAAGATGCTGCCACTGCAGGAGAGAGAAGGGACAGTGGAAGCTTCCCTTGAGATGAGAAGCAGAGCACAGGTGGGAAGTGGCCTTTAGTGTGAGTGGGGAATGTTGACCCATCTCCCACGTTCATAAGAAAGTGAGGCAGAAAGTGGAGGTGCTGCAGTGGGCTTGGTAGCTCTGGCAATGAGAAGATGAGGGGCTTCTGATGGCTTCTACTTCTACCACGAAGATGAGATGAGGTCCTGAGCTGAGAGTGAAGATGGGAAGGGGACTGACCAGTCAGGATGGGTTTAGTTAAGGTCACAAAAAACGTAACACCCACTAGCTTTAAAAATGACAGCTACTTACTGTTTGAAAAGTGTAGAGTCAGGCAGGGTCCAGGGTGGATTTGAATCAGCCTTACCTCCAGTTAAGAGGTGATCTAATTTCTTGTCATTTTCTTCTGACAGTGATGTCAGCCTCATCCCAAGCCTGGCTTCCCCTACATGGGCCCGATAGATGCAGCAATTCCAGGCCTCACAGCCACACTTCACTGCTTGCTGGAGAGAGCTGGTACCCGAAGTGTCTTCTTAGGAGCTGGAGTCAGGAAGGCTTCTACCACAGAAGCTCCCAGAAAATGGCTTTCAAATACCGTTGGCCCCAGATGGGTCATATGCCATTTTCTGAACTGGTCTCTTTGGCCCAGAGAATACCATGGGACAGTTGGAAAAAGCCTAGGTTACCCGAATCAATCTCTGTGGCAAGAGGAATGAGGTGATCCAGGGCCTAGCCCTGGGCTAGAGGTGGGGTCATTCTTCCCCACCCACACCTCATTGCTGATACATAATGGGAAAAGGGTTTTGGAGAGAGAGAGCCACAGTGTCTACTACAGGGACTTTGAGGCTTAAGGGAAAGGAAAAGCCATGCCATGTTCATGGAGGATGAGAGCAAACACAGGAACTGTGGCAGTCAGGAGTCTCCATGCCCATGTGGCTGTGGTTATAGACATAAAATCGGACCAATTAGCACAGCTGTGTGTCCTACAAGTGTATTTGGTTGGACTTGGATACAGGTACAGTATAGGAAATCAGTTGGGTTTAGTCAGTGCTGGGCTTTTTCTAGGCACATATGACAGAAGCACAAAGGGGCAAGAGAGATGTCTGCAGGGAAGTGGTTACTGATGGGGCCTGGGATCTAAACTGGATAAAAAAGAAAGAGAGGACCTTTGAATCTTGTATTAGTCCATTTTCACATTGCTATAAAGAACTTCCCTGAGACTGGGTAATTTGTAAAGGAAAGAGGCTTCATTGACTCACAGTTCCACATGGCTTGGGAGGCCTCAGGAAACTTACAATCATGGCGGAAGGGGAAGCAGGCATCTTCTTCACGAGGTGGCAGGAGAGAGAAGAATGTAGGAGGAACTTCCAAACACTTATAAAACCATCAGATCTGCTGAGAACTCATTCACTATCATGAGAACAGCGTGGGGGAACCACCCCCATGATCCAATCACCTTCCTCCCTTGACATGTGGGGATTACAATTCGAGATGAGATTTGGGTGGGGACACAGGGCGAAACTGTATCAGATCTCAACAGAGGATCAAAGGGTTGTTGGAGTGAGGGTTCTAAAGAATGGGGGAGGTGGAAGAGCAGGAGATGGGGGTCAGGAGTTGTATTTGAAATGGGGGTTTTGGAGATGATGCCAATGCTGGTGATGATGGGTGATGACGGGTCAGCAAATGAGCCTGGGATGCACTGAGTGGGGGATGTCAGAGAACGGTGATTCGCAAGCTCCAGCCATGAGAAAATGGCAGTGTGGGTTAGAATTGGAGACGGAGACCAGGAGAGAAATTCCAGAGGTATTTTTGTTGCACAGCCTATGGCACTGGTCAATGGACTGAAGGCTGGGGTAAGCGGGGGAGAACCACCAGGGTTGAGGCAAACAGAGAAGGAGGGGTGGGTGGGAGAAGTCATTCCAGGAGAGCTCAAGCTGAAACAAAGATTAATTGTTTTTCAGGAACAGCTTAATTTCTCTCCAACCTTGTGTTGCCTGAAGGGTGGCAACAGCGGGAGTTTCTGGCGAAGCGCATTGGGGCTGGATGGTGGAGGGCTGGAGGGACAGGCCAGGGGTTTGGATGCTATCCTGAGGTCTGCAGAGGTCTGCCCATTCTCAGATGGTGACAGAGCCTCACACAATAACCTTAAGGGAATACCAAGTATAATTAAGGTTTAGCCTAGATTTGCAAATAGTGGCAAGGGTTTTTCTGCCATAGGACCTTTGATCAGCCCCTCCCCTCCTCCCGAAGGATGACGTCTGCTTGGCCTGCCTCATCCTGCTTCTGAAATGACCCTTAAAGACAGGCTAGCATTGTTCTGATCTCAGGGCTGTGCATGGAAATCAGACTTGTGGGAAAAGGCCTGGCTCCTGTGGGGCAAAGGCAGTGACACAGTTTTACTATGTGGATGATGGCCTGGGCATCACCCTGTACCCGTCTAGCCTCTACTCTGGGCAAGGAGATGAGTTTGAGGAGATGGTCACCCTGGCCCTAACGTGCCAGGGTCCAGGCCTTGGGATGGGGCAGTGGTTGGACCCGCTGTGACTTTCCTCTGCTCGGAGACAGAGGCTGTGGGAAGAAGTCCAAGGGCTCAGGAAAGACTGGGAGGCCCTGTAGATCCAAATGGGGTGGGAGGGAGGGGAGGAACTGGGAATTCAGAGGCCCCAAATCGTGGACCTCCCTTGGGCTTTGGGATGATCTGGGTGCATGTCTTTTTGCCTGGTTGTCATTATAAGTATTATATTTTAAAGCAGATAACTTACCCAGTATAATTTCACTTCTTTGCATGAGTCTTGCTTTTTCGCCCTGAGAAAGATCAATTCTAGTGAATGTTTCATGTGGACTTGAAAAGAATATATTCTGTGTGTTGGTTACAATGTTCTATATGTGCCAGTAAGGTGCCTATATGTGTTGTAAAAATCATGTATATTCTTAGTGATTTATTTTCTTGTTATGAAACTTACCATTTTAACTATTTTAAAGCTTACAATTTAGTGGCACTAAGTACATTCACAATGGTGTGCAATCGTTGCCACTGTCTAGTTTCTGAACATCTTCATCACAACAAAAGGAAACCCCATACCCATCAGCAGTCATACCCCATTTCCTCCTCCACCTGGCCCCTGGCTAATGCTATTTTGCTTTCTGTCTCTGTGAATTTGTCTACCGTAGATATTTCATGTGAGTGGGATCACACAATATGTGGCCTGTTGTGACTGGCGTCTTTCATTTAGCATGTTTTCAAGATTCATTCATGTTGTCGCATGTATTAGTAGTTCATTTTTTATGGCTGAATAATATTCCATTGTATGGATATGCCACATTTTATTTATCTGTTCATCTCTTGATGGATATTTGGGTCGTTTCCATCTTTTGGTGATTGTGAATAGCGCTGCTATGAGCATTCGTGTACAAGTTTTTGTCTGAATATCTGTTTTCATATTTTGGGGGTATATACCTAGGATTGACTTGCTGGGTCATAGGATAATTCTACATTTAACTTTTTGAGGAAGTGCCCAACTGTTTTCCATAGTGGCTGAACCATTTTACATTTCCACCACCAACATGCAAGGGTGTTCTAATTTCTTTACATCCTCACCAACCCTTTTCTTTTTTTTTGAAAAAAAAAAAAAAAGATAGCCATCCTAGTGTAGTGTGATCTGGTATGTGTGATCTGTAATGTGAAGTGGTATCTCATTGTGGTTTGGATTTGTGTTTCTCTAATGATTAGTGATGTTGAGCATTTTTTTCATGTACTTTTTGGCCATTTGTATATTTTCTTTGGAGAAATGTCTATTCAGGTCCTTCATTCATTTTAAAATTAGGTTGTTTGTCTTTTGTTGTTGTATTCTTAGAGTTCTTTATATATCCTTGATACTAGACCCTTAGTAGATACTTGATTTACAAATTTTTTTTCTCACTCTGTGGGTTGTTTTTCATCTCTTGATAGTGTTCTTTTTTTTTTTTTTTTTTTCCTTTTGAGACAGCGTCTCTCTGTTGCCCAGGCTGGAGTGTAGTGGTGTGATCCTGGCTCACTGCAGCCTCAACCGCCTGGGCTCAAGCAATCCTCTCACCTCAGTCTCCTGAGTAGCTGGAACCACAAGCATGTGCCATCATGCCCAGCTAATTTTCTTCCTTCCTTCCTTCCTTCCTTCCTTCCTTCCTTCCTTCCTTCCTTTCTTTCTTTCTTTCTTTCTTTCTTTTTCTTTCTTTCTTTCTCTTTCTTTCTTTCTTTCTCTTTCTTTCTTTCTTTCTTTCTTTCTTTCTCTTTCTTTCTTTATTTCTCTTTCTTTCTTTTCTTTTTTTTTTTTTAGAGACAAGGTCTCCCTATGTTGCCCAGACTGGCCTCAAACTCCTGTGCTCAAGTGATCCTTCCACCTTGGCTTCCCAAAGTGCTGGGATTACAGGTGTGAGCCACCACACCTGGACTTGCTTTTTTTTTTTTTTTTTTTTTTATTGATTCAATCTCTTTACTTGTTATAGGTCTATTCAGATTTTCTATTTCTTCTTGAGCCAGTTTTAGTAGCTTGTGTATTTCTAAGAATTTGTCCATTTCATCTGGGTTATCTAATTTTTTGGCATAGAATTCTTGCCAACTTTTTGTCTGCTTGTTCTTCCTGTTACTAAGAGAGCAGTGTTAAAATCTCCAGCCAAGATTGTGAATATGTCTTCTTTTGGTTTTGTCAATTTTTGTCTTGTATATTTTGAAGCTATGTTACTAGATGTATACAGATTTAGGATGATTATATCTTCTGGCAGATTGACCCTTTTATCACTATGAACATGTCCGTCTTTATGTCTAGTAATGCTTCTTGCCTTCGAATCTATTTTGTCAGACATTAGTGTAGCTATACTGGAGTTCTTTTGTTAGTGTTTATGTGGTATATCTTTTTCTGACTTTTTCTTTCAAAGATTTCTGTTCTTTTATATTTAAGGCATATATCTTGTATCATATACTTAAAAATAAAATTTGGTAATAATGTTAATTTGAACATTTAATGAATTATGATATATTTGAGTTTAAGTATATCAAGTGACTGTTTTCTCTTTGACTCCTCTGTTCTGTTTCTTTTTTTTTCTTCTTTTGCCTACTTTTGGATTAAGTATGTTTTAGAATTCAATTTCCCTGCTCTGTTAGCTTGTTTGTTGTGCATTCTTTCGGAATTCCTTCTATGGTTGGCAATTTGCATTCTTGACTTATAAAGTACTTGTACCACTTCCTGGGCAATGAAATACCTTGAAACACTTTAGTTCCATTTACTGCTCTCTTAACTTACATACTCCTGTTATCATGCTTTTAACTATTATATCTCTCTATATTTTATTCCCTGGGAAACTTTATTGTTGCTCTACATAGTCGATTTCCATTTAGAGTTACCAATTCTTTTTGTTATTTCATTCATTTCTGCTTCTCCACATTTCCATCTGGGATACTTTTTCTTCTTTTAGTATTTTCTTTCTTAATTTCAACTTTTATGTTGAAGTGTGACTGGGGTGTTTCCCAGGACCCTTGTCCTTGGTGGACCCTGAACTCCAATCTCTTTTCTCCAATCCTAAGAGGCCACTTAGCCGCTCAGCCCCTGGCCACTGCTGGGAAGGAGCAGGTGCTTCGGGGAGGAATGCTGCTCTTTCTGGGGTCACCTCTCCACACTCCCCTGCAGGATCCTCACCCTTGAAGCCTTCACTGCTTTTGTAAAGCCTCCAATGCTGCTGGGAAGGTTCACCCACAAGAAGATAGTCTGATATTGCTCAGATTAGAAATCTTGCCGTGTTATTTTTTGATTTTGTGCTCCTGACCGATGGCTGGGGAATGTTCAGTTTGTGTGGAACTCAAAGACAGTCTTACCAACATTGCCCTCATAATCCTGTATTGCAAATGTACACACACAGCTATATACTTATATATCTATACACACATATATATGTAAATCTACACAGAAAAATACAAAACACACTTGTATCAAGGCATACATAGGATCTTTTCTCCTGAACTAGTTGGAAAAGGCATAGAAAGTTCTTGCTTGTCAGCTACTTATAAAGCCTTGCATCATTGTTTTCTGAATGATTTCTGTGGTGTGTGAATGTCCCACATGATGCTAATAGAGTGTCTTTGCTAAAATAGTGCCAATGTCAGTAAACTTGGGAAATGACATGGAATCCTCTCCTTGGAGACACCAGCACAAATCAGCATGGTAAAGACTCTGAAACATGTAAATAAAGTTGTTCTATTATGAAATCTTTTTTTGAGAGAATACCTATTTCCATCTCCTGGAATACCAGAGTTCTGTAGGTAAACCTTGGAAAACACTGCTTTAGAGCAAACCCCAATCCACAAAATCCTTCAGTGATAAGTATCTGGTATTCAAGAGTCTTCATCCTCACAAAGATGAAGTGCTGTTCAATGTTTTCTCAAACGTGGGGACTCCAAGGAGAGTCTGGAAGTATGAATATTAGGTGTTGGGTTTGCAGGGTTTGAGCCCCTCTGCTACTCATTGGTTAAAACAAGAAGGCAGAACTTGGGGATTTAGTCATTTCCAGCTCTTTGCCTGTTTCTACCTCTGAGTGTGAAACCATCTGCTTGGGTTCTCTTTGTCCCAGCTCAGCTCAGCTTAGCATGGGGCACTTGTGTGTCCATGGCAATTGATTTTTGACTCCCATAAACTTTCCCTCACTTCACCTATGTCTTGGAAGGCTTGCTGCCCCTCTGTGCAGGTGAGAGGGCGAGACAGTTGTGGCAGAATATGCAGAGCTTCTGCTCAGAAGCCAAGAGGCCTGGGTTCAAGTCCTGGTGTTGAGTGACTTTGGGAGAGTTAACCGTGGAGTAGCGGTGAGAGCACGGGATTTGGTTTCAGACACACTTGGCCTTTTCACTTCCTTGCCTTGTGATCGTGGGCATGTCACTTCACCTTCCTGTATCTCAGTTTCCTTACCTGTCAAATGGGGATAATAAAAACAGGCACCTCACCTCCTCCTTGGGGTGAGAAAGAAATAAGATAATGCATGTCAAGCACAAGACCTGGAACATAGTAGGCACCTGGCAAATGTCAGCTCTTACAACTCTTCATCCAGCCCAACTCCTTCACCTGGGCTGCAGAAGAAGCCCAACCTCTCAAGATGCTTGAGAATCAAGTACAGTTCTGACTGTGAGAAAGAGTTTTGTAAACTCTTGGAGACAAAAGAAAATTCACGCAATTTAATTTTCATTATTGCCCTTAATGCTGCCTCATCCCTCTGGCTGGGCAGGGCAGGGTGTGTGGGGAACACACCAGCCTCCTTCCCTACTCTTAGGCAGAACCATTTCTCCATTACAGAACATTGGCAAAAAGATGTCCTGTCAGCAATTCATTGCCAACTTGGACCAGCTGAATGATGGCCAAGACTTTGCCAAAGACCTGCTGAAGGTACTGTCTGCTGAGTGTCCCCATCCCACTAGCTGTGCCCTGAATGGATAGAGAGGAGAGAGGTCTGTGCCTCGTGAAATCCTGGCATTCCAGGCCGTTAACACAGGGTGCAGGGCCATGATGACAAAGTTAGAAACCACTGAGCTCAACATTTGGCTGTTCTGTGTTCCCTGAGTTAGGCAGAGGGTAAGGCTTTGTGAGATTTGTTTTTAGTACTCCATTACCACCATTACTGTCACAGTAATAATCAACACTGCTATGAACTGTCACAGCTGCCACCCACCACAACCGCCACCACCACCTTCACCACAAACATCATTATCATCACCACAAGGAAAAGCCCCCCTCATTCCTTCAACATTACCAGGAATTAAGAGAATCCAGTTTTCTTTTGAGGCTGAAGTGAAGGGTGGAACTCTAGCCTTTCTAGTCTGGTCATTTCTCCACTGAGGAAAAGGAGCAGGTTTTTGGTGGCTCGGTGATGGGCTCATTTTTATTATTTTTATATTTTTGAGACAAGGTCTCATTCTGTCACCCACCCTGGAGTGCAGTGATGCAATCATGGCTCACTGCAGCCTGGAACTTTTGGCCTCAAAGGATCCTCCTGCCTCAGCCTCCCAAGTAGCTGGGACTATAGGTGCATGCCACTGTGCCTGGCGATTTTTATTTTTATGCTTTTTTTTTTTTTTATAGAGCTGGGGATCTCACTATGTTGCCCAGGCTGGTCACAAACTCCTGGGCTCAAGCAATCCTCACACCTCAGCCTCCCAAAATGCTGAAATTACAGGCGTAAGCCACCACACCCAGCCAGCTTCATTTTTAAATAGTGGGTTTGAAGAATCTGATGATACTACAGGCGTAGTTGAATAATGAGTTCGGAGGTCTCCATCCAAACCCCAATGTTCCATAGAACATTGTCTCCATCACTCTTCTTACTATATTATATTCTTCACCATTGAGAAGCGTTTGTTAAGAACATATTTGTGAGATCAAACAATCCCAGTCCCACTATCCACCTATCCATTTCTCCCAAACTACCCATTCACCTATCTAACCACTTCTGCACCCATCCACTCATCCTCCCATGCATCCACCCAGCCACTCAATCATTCACCTACCCATATACCCACCCATTCACCCATCACCCATATATATATATATCTCCCCAAACCCTCCCTTCCCACTCCTCGCATAGCAACCACTCACCCATTCACCCGTCACCCACACAGACACCCTGTACTCCTCAAACACTCCCCATCTACTCACCTCAACAAACTTCTCCACATCTACTCACCCATCCCCCATCACCCATTTCCCCACCCATTCACTTACCCGCCAACCCACCCACCCATTCATCCTCAAATCTATCAACCCAATCATTTACTCAATCATCCACCCAACACCCTGCCATTCATTTGCCCACCCATATCCTCATGCATACACCCCTAAATCTTCCTCATATACCCTCTGTCTACCCACCCATCTTCTATTCATTCACCCATCCACCTGCTTGTTTCCCCACCCATCCTTCCATCTTCCACCTGTCCACTTCCCCATCCATCCATTCACTCACCCATCCTCCCATTCATCCTCCCATCCATTCATTTACCCTGTCGAGCACTTGCTGTATGTCAAGTTCTGGATTATGCACTGGAAATTCAGTAGTGAACAAATGGACAGCCTCTGACCTTGTGAAGCTTACAGTCTCCTACGGGAGATTGACATTAAGTGATCACATAATTAAATACCACCCATCCGTACATCCACCCACCCACTCACTTACCCATCCAGCAAATAAGTATGAATCAAACACCCACTTTGCCCCATTGGCTGAAAAGGTGCTCCCTCACTGTACCCATGTTATTGGTGGTAGATGAGGGTTTCTTTGACCCTTCACCTGAATTCCCCCCTCTCTCTTTTCCCTCTCCCAGACCCTTTACAACTCCATCAAGAATGAAAAGCTGGAATGGGCCATGTGAGTAGTGACGATGGGCACAGGTATGGGGAGCATACATCCCTGGGTGGGGGAGTGTGGGGGTGCAGGTCCGACATTCTGACCACTCTCCATGGTGCTGATCCCTCCCAATCCAGGGCCTGATACCTGTGTCTAGCTGGCGCACACCTGGTGTTGAATTCCCCTTTGGATTCATTTTCTGTATTGAGAAAAAGAGTGCAATGTTTGCATTGTTACAGAATAGATTGAACTGTGACTTTAGTTCTATGATGTCCACAGCTGGTTTTCTATATGGGGATAGTGTTCCAATTCCCATTGATGACCGCTCCTTTCCCTTTGGGAAGTAGGCAGACAGGAGGCATGAGGCCTCTATAACCTGGAGAATATGACCACGTTTAGGTGGTGACTGTTATTGACAGTGGGAAGGGGAGAGTGCCCTCTAACTTCTTCCCCTGCAAAGGCAGTGAGACCTGTAGGTCTCATCAGGAAAGAGGGGTGTTGACCTTGCTGTTTGGGGAGACCGTGAAAGGCTCTGCTGTGTTCCCCAGGGCAGGCAGGTCCATGTAGAGGCCTCAGGCAGGGATTAGCAGGAACTCCAACCCCACAGGGAAGAGCTGGCACTCTTCTTCCAGGGCTCTCATGGGGGCCCAGGCTTCAGGGCCTTACCTGCTGGCCTCCCGCTGCCAGCATGTCGGTGGGGTTTGTGCAGCAGCTTCAGTCTGGCCACGGTTAGTGCTCCCTGGGATGGAGAGAGGAGAAGGAAGACTAGGAAGGAGACCTGGTGACAGTTAAGTCTCCACGTTTGTGATCAAGGGTGACAATTTGGGCTTGGAGGACAAAAATCAAAGATCAGAGGTCAGAGGTCAGAGGTCAGAAGTGGAGATGAGAGGAGGGGTCAGAGATCTGGATCTGTGGTCTGGAATTGGAATCTCTTCATCTCTGCCTCCTGGGGCTGCTCTTCCTCCATGACCCTGGCTCCTGGAGAGGAGGCTGGTGGGGAAAGGCCATGACGATGCGGGGCCGAGGCCTCCCTGGAGGTGGTGCTCAGGCCTAGTACTTCCCTAGTGATGAGGATGAGCTGAGGAAATCCCTGTCTGAGCTGGTGGATGACAAGTTCGGGACAGGCACGAAGAAGGTGACGCGAATCCTGGATGGTGGCAACCCCTTCCTGGATGTCCCACAGGCGCTCAGTGCCACCACCTACAAGCACGGCGTCCTGACCCGGAAGACTCACGCTGACATGGATGGCAAGAGGAGTGGGTGTCAGGCTGGGAGAGGGGCATGGGAGGGAGGCTGGCACAGAGGGGGGCGCCACGGGCCACTCTTTGGGGACGAACATACAGGTGGACACGTAGTGGGAGGTGGGGTTGGAGAGACTGCAGAGGGTGGCTGCAGCCACACTACCAGTGCCCTCCTCCCCAGCGCCCCGTGGGAGGCGTGGCTGGAAGAAATTCTACGCAGTGCTCAAAGGGACCATCCTGTACCTGCAGAAGGTGAGAGACTGCCCCAGAGACCTTACTCAGAAAGGGCCAGCTCAGTCCCATCCCGCCCTGGCCTTGTGGCACCCCGAAGCCCCAGGCAGGACCTGGGGCTCAGGCACATGCTGGGTCCTTCCCCAGACTTGGGCCCTCTCAGGGCTTTGGAGGTTTTTGGGAGAACTTGGTGCCCAGTGGCTCAGTGGACTCTCAGCATGAGGCCTGTTCAGGCCTCTGGGACAAACTGGGGTAAGGGGAGGAGTACCTGGATTCTTGTTGGGGTGGGTGAGGCAGCAGGAACAGAAAATTAAGGGAGCCGTAGGGTTAGACAGAGAGCAGTGAGGGGAGGGGAGAGTGGAAGGTGTGGGTCAGTGACCCTAGCTCGCCCATCCTGCCCCACCCAGGATGAGTACAGGCCTGACAAAGCTCTATCGGAGGGTGACCTGAAGAACGCCATTCGCGTGCATCACGCTCTGGCCACCAGGGCCTCTGACTACAGCAAGAAGTCCAACGTGCTGAAGCTTAAGACAGCCGACTGGAGGGTATTCCTCTTCCAGGCACCGTGAGTAGGAGCTGGAGCCCTTCACTCCCACCTGGGGCCCAGGGCCACAGTGACCCGGCACACAACCCCTCTCCTTCCCGTGAGTCAGCAACAGAGCATGTGTATCCACATGACACAGACCGACAGCTGGGTCCCTCCAAAGCAGTGGTTCCCAATGTGTGGTTCCCCTCAGCATCATTTGCAGTCTCTCTGGCCCCACCTTAGACCTACTGAACCCAAAACTCTGGGATGGCTCCAGCAACTGTGTTTAACAAGCCCTGCAGGGGCTGCTGAGTGCGCTGGAGTCTGCAATGTGGGGCAGGTGGCATCTTTACGAATCATCCTTCACTTTAAGTGTGGGAAAGATGCACCCTCCAGGTAACCTGTAAGGCTGTCCTACCACCTCTCGTCCTCCTGTGACTTGAGATTGGGGTGCACATGTCACATGAGCTTGCAAGGAGGCAGGCTAGTGGGTGAGGCCTCAGGATCACAGTGCCAGTGCTGGGCAGGCAGCGGGGGAGGGCAGGAGGGCTGTGGGGGTCACCCAGTTGCTATTGCCTCTGATGATCCCCAGTCCACAGTCACTCCCACCTATTCACTCCAGGGCCACTAGCTGTGGACCTGGGAAGTTTGATCTTCACATGAGAATTCGGGTGTGCCTGGAAGCTGGGACAGAAAGGGAGCTCCGTGCATAGCTCTGGCCAGGCCCATCCAGCCCCCATGTGTCCTCCCTCTCCCCTTTATCCACCCATCTAGAGGTACTGGTGCCTTCTCAGTGCCAGGCCCAGTGCTGGGTACGGGATGCTGAGTAGGGGACAGGGAGTCCTGTGTGAGAGGCCGGCACCCTCTCCCCCTCCTGTCCCCAGGAGCAAGGAAGAAATGCTGTCCTGGATCCTCAGGATCAACCTGGTGGCAGCCATCTTCTCTGCCCCGGCCTTCCCAGCCGCTGTCAGCTCCATGAAGAAGTTCTGTCGGCCCCTGCTGCCCTCCTGCACCACCCGCCTCTGCCAGGTACATGTTCCTGGGTCAACATTTTGCCTCCCCAGGCTGCCATCCTCAGCCCAGGCCCCCATCCAGCAGCCCCACCCCAGCTCTGTCTCTAGGCTGGGTGATCCTGGGCTGAAGGACACCAGAGAAGGACACCTGTTCCCTCCATCCCAAGCACCCCACCCCCACATCAACAGGGAGACCGAGGCATGGCACACAGGGGCCACAGCTGTGGCAGGTGGCATGGAGCTGCCTCTATGCCAGTGCATCCCTGTGGATGTGACCGAGAGTTGGTGGCCTTGTGTGCACCTGGGCACAAATGCAAGAGACCGTGTGTCACAGGGAGCTTGCACAGGTGACACCTGGCTGACGCTTCATCCAGTGCTCTTTTGCTGCTCTCACCTATTCTTAAATGTTTTATTTGTAATCCTAGAAAACCCAACACACCCATGCTGCAGGTTCTCAGGGCTTCTTTGGAGAGGACAGGAGAAATGGTGGCCCGGAGCTTGAGAGGTAGAGGGCAGCGGAAGCCCCACACTTCCTCTTTGCCAGCGGCCTTTCCCACTAGGCCTTGTCCCGGGTCACCCCACTGAGCTCCTGGGCTCCTGCTTCTGCCCAGAACCTTTGTGCAATGCACGTACACCATGTATGTGCACAAACCATACACATTCACATGTGTAAACACACAGGTGGTGACTCATACACACATGCATGCATGTGCACACAGCACCAGGGGGCCTGGCTGGCCTGTAGTGGGTGGGATGTGTGCGTTTGCCCATCAGCGACAGTGTCTCCGCCTGTCTTTGGGTGTGATCCTGGGTCTGCAACCATTACGTGTATCTGCGCATGAATGTAAGAGAACGCGTGTATCATATGGAGCAGGGGATAGCGGGGCCAGGCTGGCCTTGGTCCGGGGTGTTTGTGTGTGCACATGGGAGTGCATATGAGCTGGGTTTTGTGTGGGGGTCATTGTGTGTCTGTGTCAGGGACTGTCTATGTGCACATATAAGTGTGAGCATCTCTTGTCTCCCAAGCCTGCGGTGGGGTGGCTGGGGGGCATCGAGGAAAGCTGATGCTGATGGGACCTGGGGGAGGAGGAAGGGAGGTGGGAGGAAGAGCATGCCCTCAGGTCCAGAGTCTGGCTCTGTCCCCACATTTTGGTGATGCTGGCTAGGCCTTCATTTCCCTTTGGTGGAGCAGCTCCTGGTAGAACAGGATTTGAGCCACTCCGTGACATCCTGAGAGTAAGGCCTCACAGTCCAGGATTTGTCTTTGCAGGAGGAGCAACTGCGGTCTCATGAGAATAAGTTGAGGCAGCTGACTGCGGAGCTGGCCGAACACAGGTGTCACCCAGTCGAGAGGGGCATCAAGTCCAAGGAGGCCGAGGAGTACCGGTTGAAGGAGCACTATCTCACCTTCGAGGTGAGCCTTGGGGGACTGGATTGCAAAGCCCAGTGCCCTGCTCTTTCTCCTTCCTGCCTGGCCTGATGTGGGACTGGGGAGGTGAAGCCTAGTGATAAAGGGGCTCATTGATGTGGGAGCTGGGAGGGAACAGGGTCCCCTGACCTTTAGTCCCCAGTCCTTCCAGAGTGCCAGCCTTCCCTGACAGCAGTGAGGGGCAGAAGCTCAGATGAAGGCCCTCAGATGCTGCCAAACCTTCCTCTTAAATGTTTGTGCCAATTTCTAACCCCTTTAATAATTTGTGAATGTACTTATTTCTCCATGCCCTCACCAGCACTGGGCATTGCAAAACGTTTTAATCTTCACTAACCTGATAGGTTTAACAATTAGTATCTCATTACTATTTTTTTTTTTTTTTTGAGATGGAATCTCACTCTGTCGCCCAGGCTGGAGTACAGTGGCACGATCTTGGCTCACTATAATCTCTGCCTCCTGGGTTCAAGCAATTCTCCTGCCTCAGCCTCCCGAACAACTGGGATTACAGGCACATGCCACCATGCCTGGCTAATTTTTGTATTTTTAGTAGATATGGGGGTTTCACCATGTTGGCCAGGATGGTCTCGAACTCCTGACTTCAGGTGATCCACCTGCCTCGGCCTCCCAAAGTGCTGGGATTACAGGTGTGAGCCACCACGCCCGGCCTCATTACTATTTTAATTTGGATTTTAAAACATTTTAATTGCAGTAAGACATGTAATATAAAATTTACCATCTTCACCATTTTTAAGTGTATAGTTCAGTAGTGTTAAGTCTATTCACATTGTTGTGTAACCAATCTCCACAATTCTTTCCTCTTCCCAAACTGAAACTCTGTACACATTAAATAATAACTTCCCATTCTCCCCTCCCTCCAGCCCCTGACAATCACCATTCTACTCTCTGCCTCTATGATTTTGACTACTCTAAGTGGAATCCTACAGAATTCATCTTTTTGTGATTGAATTATTTTACTTAGCATAATGTCCTTAAGGTTCATCCATGTTGTAGCGTGTGTCAGAATTTCCTTTCTTTTTAACCCATTTATGTCAGAGTTTGCAAATTTTTTTTTGGTGAAAAATCAGACCTTGGAGATGACCTTGAGCAGTATGATATAAATAACTCCCATGAACTTAATGTCCCAATAATGGAACACTAGGCATAAATGGGATAAGGCTGAATAATATTCCATTGTATGTACACACCACATTTTGTTTATCCGTTTATCCATCAATGAACACTTGGCTTACTTCCATCTTTTGGCTATTATGAAAAATGCTGTTATGAAAATGGGTATACAAATATCCCTTCAAGACCCTGCTTTCAACTCTTTTGGGTTTATAGTTAGAAATGGTCTTGCTGGATCATGTGGTAATTTTATTTTTAACTTTTCGATAAACCACCAGCTTTCCATAACAGCTGCTCCATTTACATTCCCACCAGCAGGGCACAAGGGTTCTGTCTATTTCTCCATATCCTCACCAACATGTATTTTCTGCTCTTTCGATAGTAGTAAGAGTGTGAATTGATATCTCATTGTGACTTGCATTTCTCTAATGACTAATGATGTTGAGCATCTTTTCATGTGCTTGTTGGCCGTTTGTATGCTTTCTTTGGAGAAATGTAAATTCAAGTCGTTTGCCCATTTAAAAATTTTGGGTTGTCTTCTGTTGTTGCATTCTGAGAGTTCTTTATATATTCTGGATACAAGACCCTTATCAGATATATGACTTGCAAATATTTTTCTCCCATTCTGTAGGTTGCCTTTTCATTCTGTTGATTGTATCCTGTGATGTACAGAAGTTTTCAATTTTGATATAGTCCCATTTGTGTATTTTTACTTTTGTTGCCTGGGTTTTTGGTGTCATATACAAGAAATCATTGCCAATTATTTGGATTTTTCAAATTATGAATGAAGTTTATGTGCATGTCCCTTGTTTATTTTTTAATTGGACTGTTCATCTTCTTTTTAATGATTTGTGAAAGCTCTCTGCATATTAAGGAAATTAGTCTTTTGTCATATAAGGTGCACATACTTTTTTCCTATTTTGTTGTCTTTTGACCTTGTGTTTGGCCTTTCCCCAGAAAAGCCGTTATGAGACCTATATCCACCTCCTGGCTATGAAAATCAAAGTGGGCTCAGATGATCTGGAGCGGATTGAGGCCCGGCTGGCCACTCTGGAAGGGGATGACCCTTCTCTCCGGAAGACACATTCAAGCCCTGCCCTCAGCCAGGGCCATGTGACTGGCAGCAAAACCACAAAGGATGCCACTGGGCCTGATACTTAGCTGACATGGATTTGCAGACCCCAGGGTGGGCAGATGTCTCCAGTGGGGTCAGTGAGCACAATTCCAGCCAGGGGCCACTTGGACCAAGCTCCAGTCAGTTGATGGGCAGCTAGAGGGGTGCAGAAAGCCTGTGGGCCCAGGAGATGGAGATGCCGTTTGTGGCGTTGATCTCCTTGCGTCCTTGGGCATCTCCGGGCATCAGACCCTCTCCCTGGCCCTTGTTTTCCTCTCCACCATGGAGCCTCATTTTGTAGGCCAGTTGTGTGCATGCTCTAGACACCACCTCGCTGGAGAAGCTGGAAGGGCTGTTGTCTTCCCAGGTCTTTCTCTTCTCATCAAGCTCCTCTCCTCATCTTTTTTGTGTGTGAGGGCAGGTCTTGACTCTAGGTCTCAGCTGGAACCCCACCCTTTCTCCTCCTCCTTCCTCTGAGTTGACCAGCAGCAGGTCTGCCGACCACCAGCACCATCCTCTCCTCCCAGCAGCCTCCAGAACCATGCCCAGGTCTCCTGCCTCACATCACAATAATCTGGGACCCAGGCTTGTGCCCTTTCAGTGTAAAGCTGACTCCATCACATGTGCATCCACTTCTTTTCATCCATTGAGATCACACTGCCTCCTTTTTATACAGACACAAATATACATCTATAAGAATAATATATACATAAGGAACCCCTGAAAGATGGTTTTGGAACTGGAATCAGTTAGAGGATGAAATCAGATAAAGGAAAAGCCTATTTTGGAGCTTCCCCTGTTAGGAAGGATGGCTGCACCTGGCCCCCTGGCATTCCTGACGCTCTAGGAGGGAAGGGGGAGGCAGTGCTGGCCTCCCTTGCCCTGTTTTTCCCTCTTCCAGCTGACCTGTGACTTATACTGCTCTTACCGATGATACTTTTGGAAAAAATAGAGCGTGTATGCACCGCCCCGTTTGTCCCATGGATATCCTGGGGTGTGAGTCGGATGGGACCACGGCCCTGTTTATATTTGGGTCTTTATGTTGGTGCTGCCAGGTCTCTGAGCTCCAGAGGTGGCCTCTTGGACAGATCTACTGCTATAGGAATAAAAGACACTCTGTCTCGCAAATGGCTGCTTGTCAACAAGCCCAAAGATGCTTGTCGGAGGACGGTTATGGAAGCCCTTAATTCTTGGTTGTGGGAAAAGGTGGAATGACAAGTTATTGATTGTTTTTCTGTCGCTATTTCTTTCATTTGTCTAGTGAATCAGAAAGGCTTAGCCAAGGCCACATCTGGGAAGAGTGGAGAAATTTGCCACTTGACGATCACGGATTAGCTAGCACCTTTAAGCCCTGCATTTCTCCAACTGACAAGTGGGTGGGGGTGATGGCACATTCAGTGTGGCTATGAAGAGCGAATCCTCTCTATTGTTTAAATAGATTACTGTAGTTTGGCCAGGAATTTGGCGTCAGTGGTAACACACTTAGTTAATAAAATAAGCCAGGCTTGCAACTAAGTATCTAACTTTACAGGCCCACTCACATTTGAGGCAAGGGGCTATTGAGTATGTGGAGAGATGTAGTGATTTAAATTCAGATTATTTAAGTTGGATCAGCTGAAGTGTGTTTTAGACCCAAACCATCTGGCCCCTTCGTTTTGCTCAGAGGAAGTAAATGTTCACTTAAATGAAATTGAAAACGCCATGTGGCACCACAAAAGAGCTCTCTGTACTTTCCCCATGCTGCCTCAAAAGTTCTGTGAGTTTCGGGGTCAGTGTCCCACCCTTCACTTCCCGAGGGCGGGTGAGTGGAGAGCAGAGCCAGGAGCTCTGGCAGCTGTGGACAGATGTGCTTCCTGAGCATGGGTTGTGCCTCCCATCAGTAAAAAAATGTTTAGTTCACTTCCTTAATTGTATAATTATTTATTTGTAAATTATATACATGTACTACTGTACTAAAATATTATGTACATTATAAAACATACACAAAAATAGAAATTTAAAAAAGATGAGATGAAAATAAATCTAAGTCAAAGTTCTAATAGTTCTTCCTGCATTCGAATGGATCCTCACCACCCACAACTGCTGCCTCCAACATGCCCATTTTCTAGGACTGTTCAAATTCAGGACTGGTGACATGCAATAAGTGGTTTGCGCCACCTGGTGGTCCTGGGAAGTGGCCTCGGGCTCAGGGACTTCTGGGGGTTGCCCCTTGAGGACGGTGTCTCTTGCGCCTTCATCCTCTCATTCAATGAGGGCCAACTGTGTGCTGCACGCTGGGCGGGGTGATGGGGATACGGTGGTGGGAGGAAGTTTGGCTGCCTGTCCTCGTGGGGCTCACAGTTTCGTGAGGAGAAGAACAGGCAGTTACCATTACCACTTGGGCCTCTGGGAGGGGCTGGAAAGAGAAGCCAAAAAATGACCTGGAAGAGAAAAGAAAGAACTGGGAAAGTGGGGATGAAGCCTCTGACTTGCGAAGCTGCCTGAATGTCGTCCTACGTGTTCCAGCGACGGGGCGGTGGTAGGGAAGTAGCTTGACAGGACTGCGACTCTTCCTGAAAGGCCACTGGGAAGGCTTCCCCAGGCAGAGGTTTGAGAGGCAGAGTGGAGAAGGGGCCTCTCTGGCCACATGTGTTCCCGGGTCCTAATCATACCTGTGAAATGAATGGGTGGATGACAGGTGAGGAAAGAACTCTGTTAGGTTCTGGCCTTGGACTCTCCGCACATATGGCAGGTACTGTAGGATTCAAAGCATATAATGAAGGTACCCGATGCTCATGCAAAGATCGGTGAGTTCACCAAGAGGTCATTCAGAATCAACCGAGGGCCACATAGAGATTGGTGGGTTCATTGGGTGGCTTCTGACTCTAAAATTTAGAAAGCAACAGCAACCTAGAGCCCCCAGAAAGGTCACACGAGGACAATAAGCTGGACCACACAAAGGTCAATGGGTTCCCCAAGAGTTCATATGGAGTTAATTTGGGATCCTACAGAAGCCACAAGTCACAGAGAAGAATAACTGGCTCTCAGAGAATTTTAAAGTCAACTACGAAACCAGAGACAGCAGAGGGGCCTGGATGAGATCAACAGAAGGGGGCCGGGAGGGGCCAGTGAGTTGCAGGTTTATGCAGGATTGAGTTCATTATTTTCCTTTTTAAAATTTTTTGTAGCAGATACTTTTTCCCAGCACCCCCACAATAAATACAATAACTTTAATTTGTTCTTTATTTTTTTCCATCGACTCCCTCTCATCTAGTTTTTGTCACTCTGGCTGTGTGATACAAGGATGCAAGGCACAGGATATTGTCATCACCACCATCAAATCAGCCATGTAATAGGCATCTATCACGTGCCAGCATCAGCACTGGGTACTTTATAATCTCCACAGCAACCTTTTGGAATAGGTATTTACATCACCCATTTCCCAGCAAGGAAACTGTGGCCTAGAGACGTCACACAGCTAGGCGGCACAGAGCTGGAATTTGAACTTACGCCCTGTTGATGCCAAAGCCCTCTCAACCCGCAGCCTCTCTGTCCCTCCCACCTATAGGTCTCTGACTACACACATCCTAGTGGGATTCACACACACACACACACACACACACACACGTGTAGCCGAGTGTGCATGCCAACCACCTCAGCTGTTTGGGTGGAAGACGTCCGTGTGTCTGGCTGGAACCGAATAGTTCCGGGTGCTGGGCACTGGTTTACTAAATTAGTTGATGAGGGGAAAGGCTTTTGAACCTGGGCCTCCATCTGCCTTCTCCATACTGAAATCATGTACTCTCTCTCAGGTCTGCGGGTTTAGACAGGTCCTGGCTCTGAGGGGGTATAAAGTTGGGGAAAGAGCAACACCCTGTGGGCTTATGAACTGCAGCAGCTGTGGTCCTGGCAGCTGAGGGTACCACTGTTATGCCACTTTGCATGTTCAGACTTTGCCTGTGACGTGCCTCAGGGTCCAAGGGTCATCCTGCCTTGGCTGTGCTATTACCAACCCCACAACCCATCCCTCCTCAACCACCTAGGCCGGCAACTGTTGCCTCAGTCCGGCCCATAGATCCAGGGCAGGAACTGGGCCAGAGTTCCAACGCTGAGTTTGAAGCAGAGCAATTTGTGTCAGTCCCTTGGCCAGGTTCCCCAGCAGCCAGTGGGGACACCTTGTAAATATTCTTGGAAGCGGGAGGAGGGCTGGAGTCTGTCCTGTGAGCTGGGGCCGGAGAGACCGGAGACAGGGTCACTTCCTTCCAGGGACTGCCCTGGCCCCCTCCAACCTCCAGGCCAGCATCATCCACATCCACCATGGGACTTCGTGCTCTGAGTTCCCTCCTCATCTGAGGCTAGGCACACACAGTCAAACAGGAGTTATTTCTGATTTTATTTATAATATAAAAATGTTCAAGTGTCAACAGTCAGGTGTTCAGACATTTCAGGACAGGATTCCCATCTGTTTCTGTTTGGGATTTTTTTTTTTTTTAAACAATTACCTTTTTGACAAATTAGCAGTGGACCCAGTTTTTGGGGGTGGGAGGGCAGGACTGGAGACGAGTGGATGTCATAGGTGGGTTGGGGGCTAGGAGGCAGCCTGTGAGAAGGAAATGGTGTTACTTTATTGCTAAAAGGGGAATACACTGTCGAGTGGCTCTTCTCGGTCCCAGCGTGACCATGCATCCAATCTAAAGAATCTGAAATGCAAAGGACATGCAGGTGTAAAATAGAAAAGACGACCTGTAAACGAAGGTGCTGCAGAGGACGGAGGGGCGTCCTGGAGGCTGTGGGGGACAGGAGCCGCCAACATTGGGCCCCTGGCAGAGCTGCCACCTCCCTGGGCTCAGGCTCTTGGGGAAACGTTTCTCTGCCCCCCCTCCTTTAACAGCTGTGAGTAGCCAGGGCTTCCCCATTCGGGTAGCTGTGTCTTTATCTCCCCCTGGAAGTTACCCCAGCTCCAGCTCCAAGCCTAGGGTCCTGGCCCTCTCCTCCCAGGGGTCGGGAACTTCAGCTCTTGCCTGGGAGCAAAGCTACTTCCGTCCTCAGTTCTTCCTTAGGGCCAACCCCCCACCGCCCCCCACCCTCGCCCCCAACAGAACCCGCACCTCTTCTCTCCCAGCTGTCACTCTCAGCACCCCACAACCCAGACCTGTCCCCCGGAGCCCCAGATGAGCATACAGCAAAAGGCACCACAAAATAGGTTTCTATTAAAGAGTCAAAAAATTGGCCCATCTCTCTTTTTTTTTTGTTGTTTCTTTTTTTTTTCCGAAGCTGTAAATCAGGATGTTACATATAAATAGTTTCCCTATAAAAACGCCTTTGCCGTTAGCTAGTATTATAAGACAATTTTTGCTAAAATGAAAATAAAACATTTTGTTATACTTTTTTCCTTTTATAGAAAATAAAAATATTTTTATTTCTTTTTTCCTCCTTTCTCTCCAGTAGGCGGTCTCTGGTCTCCTTAAAGATAGTGGGGCGGGCGGGGCGGAGGGGCGCGCGGCGGGGCCCTAGAGTGGCGCCGAGTCCTGCTTGGCCCGCGGGGGCGGCCCGCGGCTGTGTCTGCTGCTGGCCCGCGTGCTGTGGCTGTCCAGTGAGTAGTAAGTCCTGCTGTCGGCCGCCGGGCACAGTGGCGGCGAGTCCGAGCGCAGCGCGTCGTGCGCCCCACGCAGGCCCAGGAAAGGTGTGCTCTCGGCCGCCAGCGCCCCGTCCGCGTCGTCCGCGTCGTCGTCCGACGCCGAGGCTGAGCCGCCGCCCGAGCCGCTGCTCAGCGACAGCGAGTCCCTCGCCGCCCGTGCGCGCTGCGCCGCCAGCCCGTTGAGGCGCGAGCGGCGCCAGCGCCGGGGCCCCGCCGACGTCCTGCGGGACGCACCGCGCGCGCGCGGCCGCGGCGGCGGCGGGGGCGCGCACTCCTGCGTGGTCTCGTACTCGTCGTCCTCGGGGATGCGGAAGGGGCTGGCAGGCAGGCTGCCCAGGCTGCCGCCGAGCGCGCAGGTCCCGCGCCGCGGTCCGGGCCCCGCCGCGGGGTAATAGTAGCTGTCATAGCTGCGCTGCATGTCTGCGCCGGGCCCGGGCCCGGGCCCGGGTCCGGGTCCCGGGCCGGGGGGCGCCGGGTGCCGCAGTAACGGCTGCTGCTCGGCCAGGCGGTAACTGATGGGCGCCGCCGGCGGCAGCGACACGGCGTGCGCCGAGTTGGGGGACGTGATCTCGAAAGTTGGCACCTGCGTGGCCAGCGAGTAGTGGAAGTCCACGGGCGAGAGGCGCGCGGGCGTGGTCAGGGCCGACACGTACCTGCGGGGAGAGGCAGAGGCATGGGCCAGGGCCAGGCCGGGCCGGCGCGGGGGAGGGGGGGTTGGGGGTGGGGTAGGGTGGGAGGGGCGGACCCAGACTTGCCTTAACCTTGCCCGAGACCCCGCCTGCAAGAATGACGGCAGCAACCCTCAGTGGCCTTATGCAATTTCCTAAACCTCTCCGAGCCTCGGTTTCCTTATCTGTTACGCGGGCATAACCATGGTGTTGATTCCATAGCTCTGTTGGGATGATTCCAGATTGTATCAGTGGGATGTGTTAGCCCTGTGCCTGACCCTGGTAAGCTTTCATGAATGGTCACTTGCTGTGGGAATGCTCACCGTCAGGGGGTCAGGCTCACGCTGGGGTACATGTTCCATCTGGTTTAATACCGCAGCTCTGTAAGACCCTTCCGCCAGTCCCATTCTACACGCAGGAAAGTAACACTCAGAACGTTTAATTCTACACGCAGGAAAGTAACACTCAGAACGTTTAAGTGACTTATTCAGGATTTACACAGCCAAGAAGTGGCAGAGCTGGGATGTGACTTGAGGCTAGTCAGGAACCAGGACTCATACTGCCCAATTCCAGAAGCCATTAGTCTCCATTCAGATACCCCTGTGACCTGGCCTCACTGCCCCACAGGGACAATTCCTCCCATGCCCTGATGGCTTCAGTGAGGGAAATATTCCTCCTTACAGTGAAGTCAAAACCTGCTTCAGGGGAGTACCAAGATCCCATGAGGTGTCTCTGCTTGTGGCTACAGACCCATCCCCACACCACCAGCTCCTTCAGAAGTCTGGCCTTGCTAATATCTCCCAGGCTGGATCCCGGGTACCTGTCCCCTTTTGTGCTCCACATCCCCCTTGTAAGCCCATCAGTCTTCTGCCCCACCGTTGTCACCTCAGGACAGGGGCCACCCACCTCCACGCTTCCCTTCCAAACTGCACAGCTGGGCATCTCACTGCTCTCTGGAACCAGCCTGGAGTCCCCATTATCATTTTTTCTGAATCGCCTGACTCCTCCCTCTTCCCTTTCCCACCGGCACATCTGATTAACCACCAAGTCCTACCCATTCCCTTCTCCGGAAGCACACTCTCCACCCCATCCTGGGCCCGACTGTTCACATGTGGTCATCTGGGTCCACCCCAGGGTCTCTCCTCCTTCACTCTATGCAGTTCCCAGAGCAATCTTGTAAAGTCACAGCTCTGCTGAAGCCGGTCTTCCTGTTTACCCACCCAGGGTCAGTCTGTCTGGCCTCAGCTTGCCTGTTCAGGCCCAGCTCCTCTGCTCCCTACAGCCCACTCTGTTCCAGGCACCTCACTCATCAGCCCTGTTCTTAAGTGCCTCTGTTGGAACAGCTCAAGTTGTTCCCCGTGCCTAGAATGCTTTTCTTCCTGCTCTCCTGCCTCTCCCCTTCCTACCACCCATTAAGGAGTCTCATTGCTGTGGTTACGATTCATAAATAGCTACACCTAGTGAGCATCAGCTCCATGCCAGGGATGAGACAAAGAGCTCTGTGCACATGATCTCAGGTGGCCTTCACTTGAACCATGCATAGTAGCTTTTGTTCTCCCTGTTCTACAGCTGAGGGAACAAGGTACAGAGGTGATCAGTCTGCCCCAAATCACACAGGTGGTGGAGCTGGGCTTAGAAAATCTGGCTACTTCCCAGAGCCTACAGTCAGACTGGGTCTCTCTGCCCTGGTGTGGTGTCATGTTTAGCACCTTCCATAGGCTGCTGTAAGCTTCCTTGGTTTGTTTCTGTGGCTAGGAGCTCCTCAGGAGCAGGAACCTGGCAGGCCACTTCTGGATTCCCAGCCAGGCCTGCCCAGCACAGGGCCTGGCATGGAGTAGGCTGAGTTGAGAGCAAGGGAATATCTGCTCCTCTCCCTGCTCCCTGGTGTGGAGTTTTTAGTACCACTCATCTTTCCCTGCTCACCTCCTACAGACCCCACTTGCTGAGGGCCACTCAGGGCTGAGCAAGGTGGCAGGGGTGCTGGCCCTTGACTTCTGGCTTGGAGTCAGGGAAGAAAGGGCGTTTCCTGGTTCTTACTACATCCACTGCTTAGGAAGCCAACAAGGCCTTGAACCCTGGGGTCTTGTTGCTGCTACTGCCAAGGCCTGCCATCATTCTTGGCTCACGTCCATCTTGTGCTGGTCAGTGTCCTCAAAGGCAACCTCCCCTCCCACTCTGCAGTTTACTCCTTCTTCGTGTCTCCTTCTGTTCCTGCTGGGACATGGAACTTCTAGCATGTATCCTGGTTTGTCCAGAACAGCCCCTGTTTGTTCTTTTTTTTTTTTTCTTTTTGTAAAGGGAGTCTTGCTCTGTTGCTGAGGTTGGAGTGCAGTGGCGCCATCTCAGCTCACTGCAACCTCCGCCTCCCAGGTGAAGGGATGCTCTTGCCTCAGCCTCCCAAGTAGCTGTGATTACAGGCATGTGCCACCATGCCTGGCTAATTTTTGTATTTTTAGTAAAGATGGGGGTTTCACCATGTTGGCCAGACTAGTCTCAAACTCCTGACCTCAGGTGATCCATCCGCCTTGGCCTCCCAAGTGCTGGGATTACAGGTGTGAGCCACCGCGCCCGGCTGCCTGTTTGTTCTTGATGTTCCAGTGTAACTATTAATAATGTCCTTTTTCTAGTGTGAAAAGTGTCCTGGGAGGACAATTAAATTAGATGGTCACTGTCCACCAGGGTCCACTGGCCCAACTCTAGTCCCAGTCTGTCATTAACATGCCGATGGCTCTGAGCAGGCCATTTCACCTTTTCTAGGACCTTGTTTTCCCATATGAAAAATGGAGATGAGGCTCTTTGGAGTGTTTCTGAGGGGCCCTAAGGGTCAGCCTTGGGCCAGTGGTGCCAGCCCTCTGGCTAAGCGGGGAATAGGTCAGGGGGTAGGAACTGACCTCTCGCTGTGTGGGGAGTCGCGAAGGGAGTCCACGGAATCGTGATAGGGTGGCGCGGTGGCCCTGCGCCGCTCCTCCAGGTTGTAGGCTGCTGCCCGCCTTGCCCGGGCCTCCACACATGCTGGGCTGTTGCATTTGCTGGTACCCACTGATGATAGCATGATCCCCGACTGGGAGTCAGAAGTCAGGCTCTCAGAACGTTCCAGGCTCCACGTGTGGCTCTCGTGTCTGGGAAGGCCAGATGGGGTGAGACGAGGGGTCAGGAAGGGGCAGGGCGGCCCAGCAGGTGTGGTCCCATGGACCTCCCTGGCTCTTCTTCCACCTCGAGCTCCCTTAGCTCAATGCCCTTCTCCACTCTGGGGTGATGTGTATTGTTGCAAATGCCCAACCCCAATATTGGAAGAAGGAGGGCTGGGGTCCCATAGATGGGTGAGCTGTAATGTGCAGAGACCCATTTCTTTCCTTCCTGCAACCAGCCTCCCCCCAGCCTTACCTTAGACCCCCTGTCTGGGACCTTTCCACCACCGTGGTCCTTAGCTACCTATCTCAGAAGCCCAGCCCCAGGGGCCAGTATGTGAGGGCCCTGACTATTTCCTGGTGCTCCCGAGGGAAGAAGGGAGCCAGCCATGTTATTTTTGAGTTGTCTGAGCCTTTGTGCTGTGTGGACTGGCCTCTGCAGTTCTGGAGAGGAGGCTAAGGTGTGCTGTGATTCCTGTGGCAAGCTCAGGGGAGGGTATTGAATAGCTCTGGATGTCGGAGTAAGTGGGCACTTTGCGCCAGATGAAGTATGTGAGTCTACAAGTTTCCATGGGCCTTGGTGGTGCCTACCTGTGGCTGGAGGTGGGTGTGGCTGTGGAGCAGTGGTGAGAAGGAGAACAGGAGTGGCTCCCAGAGAAGGTGGTCTCAGTTTCTCTCCTGATGACATGGTCTGTGGCTGGCACGTTCTTGGAAATATACTGGAACAGACAGAGTTGGGCGAGAGTTAGTGACTGGGGCCCAAATGAACTCTTTCTTGTTGGGGACAGGGAAGTGATGAGCACTGACTGAGCTCCTGGTTGGGGAGACCCACTGTGTGAGAGTGACTTGATGTTGGGGCAGCGATGGCTCCAGCAAATCAACCCCCACCCCTTCCTCATGGAAGTGAGCAAACCAAGGCCAGCCATCCTGGTGAGGCAGTGCCTAGCAGGCAAGGCTGGCCATGGGATAGGCTGGCTGCTGCCCTGGCCCATCCTTGCAGGGGGCATGAGAAGGCTGGCTGTCCACTGAGGGCTCAGAAGGGGGCCCCAGGAAAGCCACTCACATCTGCCATCTGGATCTCCTCTGGGTCCAGCCGGGGGTGGCTGGGCCCATTGGCCAAGCTCCGGTTCTGATGGGCCGGGCACATGTTCTGCCGGAGGTGGTTGTGCATCTGCTTCCGCTGTTTTCTGCACAAGGGAAGGGAAGGTGAGGCTGGCATTCCCCCCACTCGCCAACGATGAACTTCCCTAGCTATCTCTCTAGGGAAACAGCTTTTCCTCCTGCCCAGGGTGGCCATGGCTACTGCTCGTCCCTGTACTCAAGCTGCCCTACAGCATCACTACCACCTGAATCCAATAGGACCTGAGCGTCGTGGCAGTGAGCTCTGGCTCTGCCCAGAGAGTAGAACTTCACTGCTTTCTAGCTATGCAACCCCGGGCAAGTTACTTAAGCTCTTCACGTTTCACTTTCCTCATCTATAAGACAGGGTGATCATTTATCCATTCCAAAGACTATTGAGGATTAAAAGTATATGAAACATTCAAGCACAGTGCTGACTCCCTCTCTCTCTCCCTCATTCATTAATTTGGTATGTATTGAGTTATCACTATGTGCCAGACACTGTTTTGGAGCAGAGACAATAGATAGGTAGATAGGGAATCCACCCTCCTGAAGCCTGCAGGCCAGTAGAGGAAGCAGATGGTAAACACATAAACAAAGCAATGAACTAGATACTTTCAATAAAGTTCCATGAAGAAAATAAAACAGGTGCTGTGGCTAGGGAGTCAGGGCCTGTGGGACTACTTCAGATTGGCACATATTAAATGCTCGATTTATTTGATATTAAATCTAATCATGTCCCTCCCCTGTTTAAGACCCTTCATTGTGAACTCACGGAGATAGAGAGTAGAAGGATGGTTACCAGAGGCTGGGAAAGGAAGTGGGGGGTTGGGAGGGAGGTGGGGATGGTTCATGGGTACAAAAACTAGTTAGAAGGAAAAAGACCTAGTATTCAATAGCATATGGGGTGACTATAGTCAATAATAATTTAATTATACATTTAAAAGAGTATAACTGGATTGCTTGTAACACAAAGGTCCACGAGGACCCATCAGTTTGCTCAAGGTCACAAAGGATAAATGCCTGGGGGGATGAATAGAATACATGATATGATTATTATGCATTGCATGTCTGTATCAAAATATCTCATGTACCCCATAAATATATACACCTACTAAGTACCCGCAAAAATGAAAATAAAACCCCTTTATTGGGCCTTAGTGTCCTGTTTCTCTCCCAGCCCTGTCTCTCTCTGCCCACCCAGCACCCCAGCTAGCTGCCTCCATGGTGAGCTTGTTTCTGATCCCCCACTATGCCCAGCCCTCTCTGGCCTCCCGGCCTTTGCGCATGCCAGGCCATTCACCTGGAATACTTTCTCTCCTCTTCACCTGCTAACTCTTGTTCACCTCTCAGGCCCTGGCCTAAATGCTGCTTCCTCAGGGAAACCCTTCCTGCTCCTCAGCCAAGGTTAGGTGACTCTAAAAGGTGTCCCGTGACACTGGACCACTTGTTCAGAGCACCGGCCGTATGCCTGAGGCAGGACCTGGTGTCCAGCAGGCACTGAATGTTTGTTGAAGAAATGAGTAAATGCAGTGGGGGCAGGACAGGCGGCTTGCTTTTTCTCCAATTCTTGGACTTAGTTTTCCCTCTTGGGCCCAGTCTCCTCTGGGCTCACTGGGCCCCAACTCCCTCCTGACTCTCCTCCAGACTTTCTGGTCCTGGATTCATTCAAGACAAGGCCAGCAGGACTTCAGATGCCACAGATGGGGCAGCATGAGTCCAGACCAGGGGCTCAGTCCCCAGAATGGTGGCTCTGTCCAGTCCAGACCCTTGCTTTCCAGATAAGAACAGTTGTTACAAACCCGTCATCTTTCAGCACATCAGAAGGTCATAGGGCCTTGGATGCCGAGCTAGGGAGCCTGGGTTTATCCAACAAAGGCACATCTATAGCCTTCACTGGATAAACCCAAACTTGCTAGCTCGGCATCCAAGGCCCTATGGTACCATCTGGGTCCCAGCTATTCTTTTAGACTCATGCCCGCTTTTTTCCTGTCCCTGGCCCTTTGCTCCAGCTAGTCTGGGCTGCCCATGCTCCGGGAGTACAGTTGACCCTCATCTGTGCTGTCTTTTAGCTTAGACTGCCCGGCTCCCTCTCTGTTCACTTATTCTCCTTGCCCCAAGGTTCTGCCCCTACCTCTTCTCTGTCCAGAGGGGGACCAGCCCTGCCTTCTCTGTCCTTTTGTCTCAATTGCTCCCAAGGCGGGGTCAGGCAGTGCTTTGAGGCATCTGTCTTTCTTTGGGAATGAAGCTGTCCTCTCTGTGTTCCTCCCCAACACTACCTAGTACCTGCCCACTTGACGGGGCACCTGCTCCAGGAGCCTGTGGGGTCAGCTGCACGCTACTGCTCAGGTCCTCACAGTGTCCTTTGAGGTACATACCAGGATCATTCCCATGAGGAACCATCAATTTGCTCAAGGTTACATGGGAAATAGCAGAGCTGGATTTGAACCCAGATTCGTCTTCTTCCAAAGCCTGTGCTCACAACCATTCTTCGTCAGTGCCCTGGGGCCTGTCTCCCTGACCCTCTGCCTCTACTTCTTGGTCCAGATCTTTGGCTCGACACCCACCCAGCTACAGAGGCCCCCGAGGGGTAGTTGGGGCCTAGGAGGGTATAGAGGGCTCCAGTGGGGTGGGGGAGGAAAGTCTTCTTCACACACATTCTTGGAGGCCCATCCCTTGGCTTGGCCTGTCCCCAGCTTGAGTGACTGACACTCACTTGGTCTTGCAGTAGGCCACCACACAGACGATGCCCACGACCAGCAGAGCCACGCAGATGCCCGTGATGGTCAGGACCCTCTTCTGGTACAGCTCCTCGGCTTCTGCAGAGGTAGGGTAGATGTGAGGGGTGGGGCAGGAGGCAAACCCCATAGGGATAGTGGTGCAGAGACCCCTTTGCCCCCAAAGCCATAGGCTCTCCCCAGCTCAGGTCCTGCCCAGCTCCTTTCCATCCCTTTTCTCCAGCCAGTTCCTTCCCTCCTACATGCTCTGTTTTGCCTTCCACTTCCCTGCAGCTCCCACCCACCCATGGATCTGGTCACACACAACTCCTCCTGAGTTCCCCTCCCCAAGCCCCATGCCTGCCCAGAGCACATGAGTGGAAAATGCAGGGGAATGGGAAGGGATGGAGTGGAGGCAAAGCTCCCGAGGCTGTAGAGCAGGGGAGGACAGCTCAGTCTGGCCGGTGACCCTGCCCTGCTCCACAGTGGCCTGGTAGCTGCAAAGAACCTTGGTGGGCCAAGAGGAGTTGTTCTTCCTGGCAGTGATCATGGGAATGCCTTTGTTTACCCCTGCAGCCTGGTCAGGGAGTGGCCCTGGCCCCCTCCAGGCCTGCTATCTCTGCTTGTGAGAAGCCCGCCAGTGGCACCATGGACCCCTGGCATCTAGGAAAGTGCTGGTGTGCAAGGAACAGCCCCCACCGTTGCTGAGGAGCTGAGCTAGGCTGGGCCTCAAAGCCCTCCCAAAGGCCGACTGTCCTCTTTACCCTCTGCTGCTGCTGCTGGGGCAACCCCCATCCTTCTAAAACAGAGAAAGCCAGGAGGAAGAAAAAGTAAAAGGTGACAGCGCTAGCTGTAGTCAAGGCTACAGCCCGGAGACCCCACCCGTGCCCACCACACCTGCTGGCTGGCCCCTCCTCCCAGCTCAGGGTAAAGTGGAGGCTGGACCTCAATGCCTTGGCAGAGCCCTGGGAAATGTCCCTAACCTCTTGGGCTTGCAGCATATCCTGTGGCAAAGGTGTACACACCAGGAAACACCCAGGGCTACAAACCCTCCAGACACACAGAGATTTCTAACTATGCCTATCTGATTCACAGGCAGACCCCTTCATTCACGCACACACACCTGCACACACAACATATGCACACACACAGAGTTAACCACACACTCCAGCAACAGGTGCACACACACGCCCATGCCCACTGACACACAGTTGGATGGAGTTGTAAACAACCAGACCTCCACCCTAGGTCCCCATCTCTTGGCTCTGTGCCCACAGCCCTGGCTCCAGCTCTCACGCCCCCTTCACATGCCTCATCCAGTTCAGCCAGGCATGTGTCTCCATCACTCCTCTGAGACTACCCTGGTTACAGGCACCAACAACCTCCAGGCCGCCAAGTCCTGAGGTCACTTGCTTCCTTCCCAGCTGCTCTCCTCCTTCTGGGGCCCACTCCCCCTGGGCTTTGGAATGGTTCTTCTCTCTGTCCTACTTCATTGGCTGACCTGTCTCTGTCTTAGCCATGCTTTCTTCTTTTCTACCGACTGGGAAGATAGACGGGCCTGGGCTCAGGTTTCTTTCTTTCCTGCACCTGCCCTCTCTCCCTTAGTGATTTAACTCAGACTCAGACTTTGTATACCGTCTATTTGCAGACTCTCAAATTTTTATGTCCTGCCCTGACTGCTCCCTGAAGTATGATCGTGCCAGATGGCCCTCCATCGAGTCTGCACCTATTGGCAGCCTCTGTCCCATCAGACATGGATGAGAGGACTGGTTCCCCTCACTCCATGGTGTTATCAGACTTGTTGAGTTTACCAGTCCAGGGGGTGAACTGTGCTTGTCTCAGTGTCGTTTTTATTTCCATTTTACTCATGAGTGAGGTTGAGCATTTTTCCTATTGCAGTCATCTGTGATCCCTTTCTGCTTGCTATTCATGTCCTTTTCTCTGCAGGCATTTAATCAGTTGCATCCTACTTGGGCTGTGTTGGGCACCAGACTCATGCATCCAAGGGCCACGACCAAAGAGAATCCCTGCTTCCTTACCCTCTTTTCAAACTCCTACTCGACTCTTCCCAGCTCATGGATGCAGCACCACTTTTCCTGTTGCTCAGGCCCCATACCTTGGGCTCATTCTTGATTACTCCCTTTCTTCCCACCTACCCTAATGCCGGATCCAGCCGCAAGTCCTCGCAGCTCTGCTTCCCAAGTAGATCCTGGGTCTGATCTAGCCTTACCATTTCCATTGCTTCCAACTTAGTCCAGGATGGTGTCACCTCTCATCTGGAGATGGTCACCTTCTGACGGGTCTTTCTGCTTCCACTCCTCCCCACCCTGCCCCCAGCCCAGGCTGTTGTCCATCCAAAGCTACATTTATTTACAACCATAAAGCAGATCATTTTACTCCCCTGTTTAGAAACTCAAAATGGCTTCACACTGTGACTCAAATGCAACCCAAAGCCTTACCATGGCCTCTGAGGCCCCCGGCTGCTTGGTCCCAGCCTTCCTTTTGGATCTCATCTGTGGTCCTCTCCCTGCGTTCACTGTGCTTCAGAGATGCTGGAAGTCTCTCCATCCACTGAATAAGGCAAGCCCACTCCAACCACATGATCTCTATACCTGCTGTGCCGCCCTCTGCAGGACTCCCCCCTGGTTGTTTGCAGGGTTGGCCACTTTTCATCAGGTCTTAAAACAGATGTCACCTCCTCAGATAAATCTTCCCTGACCACTTCGCTACACTAGCACCCCACTCCAGCCAGGCACTATCCCATTACCTCATTTTATTTTCTGTGCAGCACTGAACACCACCTGATGTCTTTCCTGTTTGCTTGTTGTCACCTGTGAATGTGAGCCCAGGAGGGCAGGGACTGTGTGTCTGGTAAATTCTGTTCCATAGATGTTTGTTGCATTGGTGAGTGAGTGAATATACAGACCAGCCTTATAGACATTGACATATCTGCACACTCACACTCATCTCCACGCCCTCACAGTTCCACCTGCACAGTGCTCAAACCTTAACACAAAGGCATTCACAGCCCCTCCACCTGCTGACATCTTGCCCTGACAGACCTCACAAGGTGTATACTCTCAACAACACACACGTACCTGCAGATTCACGCCTGTGCACCCTGCCACCATCACAGACCCCACACGGACTCAATGCCTCTCCCACAACCCCATCACAGCCAGTAGCTATAGACAGATGCACTCTTACACACAAACTTTGCAATCTATCTTCTACTGAGAACAGCTGATAGAGGATAGGTGGTGGGGCTAGGAGGCCTCCCCAAATCAGCCACGAGAGCAGCCTTTCTGTAACTGTAGGCTCTGCACCATGTCTGAGATCCCACCCCACTGGAGCCCCCACCCTCTGAGCCCCTGCCTCTCTCCTCATGTCATATGCCTGGACACTTGAGCTATGGAGGAGCCTCCCGGTGCAAAGCCAGAGAGCCAGAAACACTAACCCCATAAAGTCCCTTCTAGCCCAAGGAGTCTTCCGGGGGCCAGAGGGTGGTAGTAGCAGGTGGCAGGAGGACATATGTAAGATTCTGAGCTGGGAGACAAGGGGCAGGTACTAGAGGCCAGCCCCACCCAGACCCTGGCTGGTCTTGCCAATGTGGGGTCAGATCATGGAGGGAGTGACAGCCTCAAGCAGATGGCAAAGCCAGGCAGACAGACACAGGGCAGGGACAGAGATAAATAGAGAGTTATCAGCTGCTGGCCTGGTGCAGGATGAAAAGCAATGAACATGGAAATGGGGAATGGAAAGAAGACTAAAGTCAAATGGAAAGGGATGCCTCTCTGCACAACTCTCCAAACCAGGCTTCTGTGGTTCCTGGACACCAGCCCTTCAAGGGGCCATGTTCACACATGGGGCCTATCTCTTGTCCAGCCAGCCTGCGGGTCTGCACTCAGCTCAGGAGGGGGCCCTCCCCTCTGAGCTCTCCTAGCAATAAATCTCCCCTATGTGAGGGATGCTACGGTACACTGAGGGCAACGGTCCGAACCCCTGAGTGCCCTTCTGTTCATGAGCTTCTTTCGTCTCCTGCTAAATCAACGTAGTTTATGATAGGACATCTCGATGGGGCCAGGAGAGATTTTTGGAATCATCCCTTTTCCATTTTTTGGAAAGGAAACCAAACATTCAGCACACATGGCATCGGAGGCTGTGGAGAGGGGCCACGCAGATGGTGCTGAGTGACACACAGAGGTTTCATACCCTTTAATTCAAATCCAAGGTGCTCTGGCAGTGCAGAAGAGCGAGGGTCACAAAGGGAGGGGTGGAGGGAGAGAGACAGGTGGGTGGGGACAGGGGGAGAGAGAGAGACAGAAACGTTGGTCAGGACTCCTCAGACACCGGGCAGCCATCCTGCGAGGTGAAAGCAGGTTAGTAGTGTCCCCTCCCAGCCTCCTGAGCTCCTTCCCTGACACCCAGTCCCCAAGAGCCCCAAGGAGGGTAGAGAGAGATGTTAGAAACAGCAGGCAGGGCAGGCTCTTTAGAGATGAGCTGTGGGGTTAGTACCTGGTGGCGAGGCAGAGGCGCAAGAGTCAGTTGGCAAATGTCCCTGGGAGGAAAGGTAAGTGGGGGTGGGGGTCTCAGGAGCCCCCCTGCTCCTCCCAGCATCAGTGCCAGGCCTTCAGCACTCTCAACTCTCAAGCCTTCCTGCAGACAGCTTGCCCAGCTCCCTCATTGGGGGCCCAATTTTTTTTTTTTTGTTCAGAGTGCAGGCATGAGGTCCCCAGACTGGCCCCATGTCCCTGCTGTGCCCCACAGGCCTAGCTGGCCTGTCCACGTACTGGGAGCCCGGGTGGGGAGCCTCAGAGTCTGTGGGAGGGAGTGGGAAGAGGAAGAGGATGAGGCTCCAGATAGCAGGTCACTTCTCTACTTGACACCGCAACACCCTAGAAGCCTACAGGGCTGGGCCATGGTGCCTGAGCCTGATTTCACTACCCAGAAGAGCAAACTGCAACTCACAGGAAGAGACAAGTGGGTTCACTTGTAGAATGTCTGAGCTCCTCAACTGGTGGACAAATTACAGTCTTGGAAGTGGGATCCTGTTTTGAATGTGTGATTTCAGGACCCTGTGACGGAGACCCCCACATCATTGAAGGGTTAGATAAAAGGACCCTGACTCAAGAGTCAGTTCTGCACTGACCTGCTGCTGTGCCACCCTGAGTGATTCCAATCTAGTTAAGTCTCAGGCTCTTCTCTGTTACGTGGGGATCAGCCTGGGGCATAGGATCCTAGGAGGTTTGCAAACCTGGCTGAGCTTCTGAATTGTCCAGACTGAGGAAATCTGGCTCTGAGGTGGGAGCCCAGAAATCTCAACAGTGTTTTTAAAAAGCTCACCTACCATTCTAATGTAGCAGCCAGCATCGGTCTACAAGCCTAGAGTCTCCGTTTCATCCCTAATTCACTATGTGGATGTGGGTAAGCCATAATCCCTGTTTCCTTGTCTGTCCAAAGTGCTTGCACACAGCTACAGGAAGATGTGAACAAGCCTGGACGGCATGAGCTCAGCATGCGTGCAGGGCCCCGCTCCTCCTAGCCTGGATTGGCTCACTCTCTGGCTTCCCCAGGTGTATAGTCAGCACCACTAGATCCAGGGAAGGTGTGACACTGTGTCTGATATTCTCATCTGCCTTGGAGGAAGGCGAGCACGTGGCAATCCGCAGGAAGTCCTGCGCATTATCCATCCCTGGACCTCTCATCTACTTCCTGATAGGGATTCCAGAAGGTTCTGCATTTGGAAAAGGGCGGGAGAGCAGCATGGCTCCGAGCCAGGGACTGTGATGGCTCTGACTAAAGAGGCTTGAGGAAGATCCTGGGGCTTCAACCCCCCAGTTCCATGCAGAGACCACACCAATGAAGCATTCATTACTCCCAGCTTTTCCAGACACAAGCCATTCTTGTACTGCTATTAAATCCCAGGTTGGGGAGTGACCTTGACGTTTTGGTTTCTTTGCATTCCCACTCTGACTGCTTGGAGGCAGGAAAAAGTTGCCGTAAGTACAGTTTGTCCACTCCTCTCCAGGGTGTCCCAGGGCTGGTCAGGCGTGCTGAGTAGACAGTACAAACTTGACAATTCTCAAAGAACCCTGGCGCACCTCTCACTGAGTAGTTAATGCTGTGGCCCAGGGACCCTTCAGGCAGCTGGAGAGCTCACATTGTTTGGCTATCCAGCCATGCTGCCCTGAGAGAACAGCCCAGCTTGACCACAACACCTGGGACGCAAAGAGGATTGGGTTCATAGAGCTGGTCTGGGCCCCACTTTCCGACGAGGTGGTTGTATTAGATGAGGCAGCTGGGGCCCAGTGATGCTAGGACACTTTCCCAAGGTCACACAGCAAATTAGGAGGCAGAAGGGAGACTGGAGGCCAGACCCTTTGGTCCCTTGGTGCTAAGCCATGGCTTTCCTGCCCACTGAGTTTCTGGGCAGGCCTGGCTGGGTATTCCTGAGGACAATGACCAGCTGGAGAAGTGAGCAGGGCTCCCAAAGCCCTTTAAGCGTTTTCTTCTGCATCACTCCTCTGGGAACCGAATAGTAGCAGCTGCAGCTTCTAGGGCTCCTAACTGGCCTCCTCTTTGAGTCAAAGGCCAGTACTGTTTAGAGTGGTGGCTGGCATGATTGGTGGGGTCACTGAGGGCCTGGCCAGTCACTGGGTAGGCAGCTTTCTCACTGGGAAGCATGGGTTGGAACATGAGGGGCCTATGGCTGTGTCCGCCCCAGCAAAGACAAGACCTTCCCACTCATTATGTTCATTGGCTGCCACTCAGCCAGGGTGGAGTGGCACCACTGAGTCACCGGAAGGTCCTATTAACCAGAAATTTGCATGTTGACCAGTAACCATGGCAACCTGATGCTGGACTCCCAACAGGGCTGTGCTTACCAGACAATATGCAAATTCTTCATCCTGGACATGTCCCATGCCATACAGTCATAGGCTGCCTGGACAAGGAGGCAGTGATGTGTACAGATGTGAGCATGAGCTCCTGTGTTTGCACTTGTGTGTGCAGGTGTGAGCACATGCTCATGGGTTTGCTCATGTGTGCAGGTATGTAAGAACATGATTGTGTGTTTGTGCATGTATGAGCCCATGCTCATGCGTTTGTGCTTGTGTGTACAAGTATGTGTGCTCTTTTACATGGGGACATAAAGATGGACAAGCTTTGACCCGTGGGGAATGGAGGGGCTGTTTGTGGAAGAAAGAAAAGCTTCAATGTGCTATTGCAGTCACAGGCTCTTTCTTTGATCTCTGCAAAAGATAACCTGGTCTAGATGCTATCTGGGCAGGTTGGACACTTTGCTCAGGATGTGCTGGGAGTCAGCCTCTAGGGGGCTGATGCTGCCCTGCCCCCGCATACCAGTTGTAGCTGGGAGAGGTACTAAATTGTGCTCCAATCACAATGGCAGGCTCTCTGCTAAGCCCTTCTTATGCAGCACTTCATTTCATCCTCACAGTAACCCCACAGGCATAAATGTCATCATCCCCATTTTACAGATGAGAAAACAAATTGAGAAGTTAAAGAGGCCCCAGAGCTAGTAAGCTCAGCAGCTGGCATTTTTACTGAGGTCTCTTTGAATCCGAAGCCTGAACACTTAAGCCAGCACTTTACACTACCTTTTCAGTAATTATCTGCTAGAGCAGTACATGAAGTGCTCTCTGGGAAAGTGCTTGAAGAGCATAAATCCTTTACGAAAAGGTAACAGTCAAGCTACTGAAGACACTAGGCAGAAGGGCCTGGACTGCCTTTGCAGGCTCTTTTCTGGGCTCCCGGGGCCCTGCTGACCTTCCTAGCAGATCTAGGCTGAAAGCTGAAGCAGCCCAGCTGGCAGAGAGGCCTTGGATAGCGGCCCGGTTCCGGAGGCTCTGCTGCTCTGATTCAGGACAGGCTGGGACTCGCCATCCAGGACAGTCTCACAAGCCCGGGAGGCTCTCTGCCGAGAGGAATATTGCCCCACTGTCTCTTGCCCCTGGCCCCCAGCTCTGCCTAGGCTCTGCCTTCTCTTGAGGTCCCTCCTGCTCTACAGTCCTGCACTCAGGGCTGGATATGACTCTGAAATGATTGCAGAGCCTGCGTTCTAGAGAATTCTGTTGGGCCACATGTCCTGCCCACAGGCTCTGCCCTTCCTCCTTGGCCTCCCACACTCTATTAAGATAGTTGACCATCTGGGCCAAGCAGCTCCCATCCCCCAGGGGTCTCTATGCCCCTGTGGGGTTGGGGTGGGGAGTAACTTGCTGGACTTTTGTGCTGTGGTCTGAGGAGTACTGGGAAGGATCATTTCTCCACCCTGAGACCTAAATCCCCAAACCCCTTTTCTCCAAGGCTACCTACATGGTCCCCTGGATCCCACCTTTAGCACCTCCCAGAGTTCTACCTCCCAGTATCCAGTGCCATGTGGACACTTGGTTCCACACTCCTCATGGGGCCCAGCTGTCCTCCCTGGAGAAGAGGAGGTCGGGGGGCACGCAGGGGCCTAGCCTGCTCTGCAGGATGGGATGGGTAACTGGGGACAGGCCTTGCAAGCCAGCGGACCCCTGGTCCTCAAGCAGAATCAATGGCCGGCCAGAGGCTTTTTGTTCTGCTCCACCTCCACCTGGTGGTGCTGGAAGGAACTGCTCTCAGGCCCCAAATAAAAGCACTCCATAATTATGGCTGGGTCCTTGGGCCTCGGGGCTCACTTTTCTTTCTTTCTTCTCCTTCTTCTTCTTCTTTTTTTTTTTTTTTTGCAAACTGTGCAAAAGGGAAAGCTCCAACCTCATAAGTTGAAGAAAGGAAGGGAATAAAATCCTAGATGGGAGGATTCAGACCACAGAGGTGCTGAGAGAGTCACCAGTTACCCCTCAATTCCTCATTTCCTCAACTTTTTAGCATCTCCAGCACCAACCCCCGCCCCCTCTCCCACCATCCTGTAGCCACATAAATATCTCTGGTATTCATGGAAATCATTGCCCTGGGTCCTGCTCTCCCTTAATTCCCCTTCCTTCCCTCTACCCCATTTCCAAACCCTCAAAACAAACAAACTCTGGCCAGACTGGAAAATGGGCTTTCTGAGAACTTTTTTTCTCTCTCAAACACGTCGGCACACACACACACACACACACACTCACTGCCAGACCCTTTGGTACCCTCAGGCAGCCTTCGGAGCAGGGGAGGGCTCTGCAAATGCTTCCTCCCATTCTGGCCAGGCTGCCCGACCCCAGAAGTTGGGAGGAGGCCTGGGTGTGGCCCTGGCTGCTGCAGAGAGAACTTGGCATTACTGTGCCCAGGAGGTACAGCCCACATGTGGAGGTGGGGGTGCCGGGGGTGTTTCCGTCTCCTCTAAGGAGCGCAGGACACCCTCTACATCTCCCCCTAGTCTTGCTAAGCAAGGCCCCATCCCTCCCCAGGGGGAGACTGTCAGTCACCAGGGAAGAGAAGAAATAGAAGAAAGAGACATACTGGAGAAGTTGACCATTGCGAACTGCTGACACCTGTCCCCGGTGTATCCCACAGGACACCTACCAAAAGAAAGAAAACCAGAAAGAGAGAGCCAGGATAGCAAGACACAGGCATTGCAACACCCCGGCACGGGCTCCTGCCAATGCCAGCTGGGTTCCTTGCCACCGTTACCATTTGTATTGGCCTTGCCACTCTGCCCCTTACCTGCAGCCCTGAACTTTAAACCCAAGGATTAGGCCAAAAATGAAAACAAAGCAAAACAAAACAAAACAAAAAGAACTAACAAACCAAAATACAAAAAAGAAAAGAGAAACAAAACAAAACAGCCAAAGATCAAAACAACCAACACCCCTGGCCCTATGCCCTACATTGGGGGGACTGCACCCAGAAGCTTTCTAAGGAGCAGGGACTTGTGTTTGTATCTTCAAACATACTTTGCTTAGGATCTGGCATGTACAATCGCAAAGGCAGTTTCTCCAAACATCTCTGTCCGAAGAATCCATTTGGACATCTGGAGAAGGAAAAGGGGAAAAATCACAGAACAAACTGGCATCATCCGCGAGGCTAAGGTTAGAAATCAAAGTGCACAGTGATGAATGAGAAAAACCAAGTCAGGCACTTGGGGTCATACTTGTAGCTGAAGGGACTGGAGTCAGGGCTGGGTGGAGGGCTCTGAAATCTCCTTAAAAATCTGTCTCATAGATGTGGCTCCATGGGTGGTGGGGAAGGTGGGGTGGGTCAGGGGGAGGATGATTTAGGTAAGTGGGGTGAGGGAAGATGGGAAATTGTCCTACTGGTCATTGAGACTTTCCTTCTTACCTGCCTGGTGCCCCATGAAGCAAGCACTGTGGCCTCTTGGTGCCAGGCAGTCAGTCAGCTGGCAGGGATCTGGGAGCCTTAAGGAATACCAAGTTCTTGGGAGCTACTCCTCCCAGGACCGACTGAAGGATTCTCTCCTGGGCCCTGGGCAGGTTTTCTCATCCAAGAAACAGCCCCCAGGAAACTCAGATAACTCGGGAATGCTGTTCCCAGACTGTGTATGTCTTTGACAAAAGTGACCTAAGAGATGTTTTATCTGTTCTTTCAAAGAGGGTTCTGTGGCCAAATCAATGTAGGAAATACATTCTCAGGGTGCCTTGTAGAGTTGCAGTGTACCTTCACCTATGAAAGACTATGAAAGTTTCATAGGAGGAAATAGCTGAACTTTCCATGTAAGTTCTCAAATTTATTTGTGTTTCAAATTTACTTCACCATGGATGTTGTTTTTTGAGGAACCCTTGTGGTAGAACATGGTTTGGAATAGGCTGCCCCAGTGTGATGTACATGGGAAAAGCTTAGTAGGGAAATGGGAAGTTGGAGAGGAGCTGGAATTATCAGCATCCCAAAGTGGGCCTTCCTGATACCAGGTGCAGGGAATCTGGCCTCAGGTAGCAAGGACCACAAAAGGGATTGGAGCAGGCTCGCTGGGGGACCCTGGAAGCCTGGTCCACATCAAGGTCCTAGTGGCAGCCAGCCTGCGAAACTCTTCCATTTCCCCATGACCTGTTTCTCCATCACTGCCTGGACCTGCCCTGGATCTCATTCTCTGATCTTGCCTTGCTTACAGCTCTAAAGCACCCCCCACTCAATCTCCCTGACCTTGTCTCTACCCACAGGGTACACGTTCTTCTGCTCTCTGGCTGCCAGCCCTCTCCTCAAGCGAATCTCAGATTTCTTGCAGAAGTCTTGCAAATTTCTGGAGGACATGCCCAGCCCTGTACTCTCTTCTGAACCCCGGCAAGGCTGGATACCTAAGGAGAAGCTTACAGGGAGGGCTAGACCCCTTCCCCACATCTCCCTACTCAGAGATGGGTCTATATTGCCTCTGCATCTTCTTCCTTAGGAAATTAGCTAAGTTCATCACCAGTGTCCCCCTCAATAATAGGCTACTGTTCAAAATTAATCAATGTAAACTTCCTCAAGAGGCAAGTGTACTCTATTTCTTAGCATTGCAGTATATAGCAACTGTCAGGAAGCCACTTAGGCTTACAGTAAGTGGCAGCCATTGGTTGTGACAGATACTCATGAACACCCTGTGACCTCAAATCTGGAGGAGTGGGGAATGGGAGTGGTAGTTGAGCAGAGGGCTAGAGTTTCTCTGGGCCTTGATGGCATCTCCCCCAGGGGAGGCAGGAGGTTTGTCCTGTAGTGGTAGGAGTGTGTGTGTGGGTATGCCTGGCTAATTGGGGGGTGGTGGAGGGCTGGGAAGTGTATCAGGGAAGTGGCATGGGTGGGAAGAGGGTACATGGTCGTCTTACTGAACAGGGTGGTTTGGAGGAGGAGACTGCCATCAGCCCCCTTGTCAACACATCCTTCTCTGATCCCTGGCCCTCGTCCCTATTCATCCCAGCTCAGGTAAATGGAGGTAGTGGCTAAGGCTTCCCAACCAGCTCAAGCTCTTCTTCCTTAGCTCTTGGAAACTGATGTCCACTTGTGATGGGGACTAGAGAGGGAGAAGTGATTTTCAAACATAAGTGCCTTTGGGAGTGGAGGATGAAGACCCAGGAAGTTGCCAAATGACTCTTGGATTCCACAAAGGAACAAGAAAGAGACAGATGTGTCTGTGTCCAATGTCTGAGATCAGCCCAGCTCTTGGAGGAAGGGAAACCTGTGTGTGTGTGTGTGTGTGTGTGTGTGTGTGTGTATGAGTGTGTGTGTGTGTGTGTGTGTGTGTGTGTGTGTGACAGAGAGAGAGAGAAAATGGGGGAGTACAGGGGCAGGAGGGGCAAGGGGAAATTTATTTCCATTGCTGACAAGCAGGGCTGCTGTCCCAAGACCCTTGGAGAACAATGATAACAATGATAACTCCATACATCCCTGTGGCCCTTATCTCACACCCAGCCTGGACTATCCTGACTACAGACTTACATCTTTCATGGCCGCTGAGTTGCACAACATTATGGTCCTAACCTTCCTTCCTTGAGAAAATGTGCTCCCCGCTGGCTGAACAAAACAAAAGGCACTGGGGAGGGGCACAGTGGGGGTGGTGGAAGGCTGACAGCTACTGCTGTTCTTTGGGGTGCTAGCTCCTTCAGGGACCTCCTGGACACTCCTATGTCTCTCCTTAGTCCTGTTTGCTGAGGATGAGTCACATTCAGGAGACTGGGGCTTCCCTAGAGAAGGCTTTGGGGGTGAGCTGGGCCTATAGCCTCTCTAACCTGCACCTAATACCAGGGTAAGAGAGTATGGGGTACATTAGCCTATCAACCAGGTTGGGAGTCTGAACTCAGCATTGGGGGCTGGGTGGTGGTTGGTGGTTTCCACTGAAACTGGGATTGACCCTCTGATTTTCAGGGGGCACAGAGGACAGATTAGAAGGAGCAGCGGGTAACAGCCTTCCCAGCCTTTCCCACCAGGTCATCAGTTATGACTCTGGGGAAGGTCTGTCCCCAGGGCTGGAGAAGAGCAGGGTGAGAGAGGGGCAGAGAGGAGAGCCCACGGGCTGCATCTGGGGTGACAGAGAGGTCAGGACCTCTGCCTTCCCCTTTTCCCACCCCACCTCCCGGGCCTCAGTTTCTCCTTTTGGTAGCCTGGGGATAATGCCATGTGTGCTGCCCTCACCCGGGGGAGGGGGTGGATGAAGGATGGCGGTGTGCCCCGGGCACTGGAGGGAGTGAAGGGCCTCTGAGTTCATGAGAGGGGTGAAGATGTGGCGAGGATGAGCAGGCAGATGGAGGTGGGATGGGGAATCACCTGGACATGGGTGGGGTAGGGGCAGAGGGATGAGGGGGATGAGCTGATGGGAAGGGGAGGCATGCCACTGGTATGTGCACAGGGCTGGAAAGAGTCTTGTTCTGTCATCATCCCCTGAACCAGTCCCCAAGAGTCACGCACCAACCGTGCTCTACAAACACACGGAGAGAAGAGGAGAAAGCAGCAAGAGGGAGTGCAGAGGCCCCTGTCTGGCCCAGACAGGGGACAGTCACCTTGATTTGGACTCCCATTTTCAAATCCCCCTACGTTGTCTTTTTTTAAAACAAAATTCAGTATCAGTGACACTGTTTCTTTTGGCACTGAATTCCAGAAAAACAGGAGGGACGGAGTGTGCCTGCTTTCCAACACTCCCTGCAGGGCTCTGAACCAATACACAACAACAAGTGTAAGAAAACCAGGAAGGAAAACTGATTTTTATAGAAACTGGAATGAAACTGACCAGTGTAGTTTCATTATCCAAGCTAAGCGGAAATGCAAAAAAATCAAAATAAAAAGTAAACAAACAGCACAAATGGTAAGACGTGAGTTCCGTTTCCTAAGTTCTTTCCTTTTTATTCCATTCAGGTGTCATCAGGAACCCCAAGAGGCCTGCCCACCTTCCCTCCCAGCTCGTCCACCCGCAGAATGGCCTCTGGGCTCTGCCCTGCCCCCCACCCCCCTGCCCTTCTCCAGCACAGCTCTGAGGACCTGGTGTTCTGACCGCATCTCCACCAGGGCTGCCCTCTCCCCCGAGGGCTGACAAAGGGTGTTGGGGAAGTTGGTTCCAGGAACCTTGGCTGGAACCAGGGGAGGCTGAGATGGGGAAGTGGTGGCTCTGGGTACCAAGTTCTAAGCAGTGCAGCCCAGGTGCCCTGGTGGGAAAGGGAACAGGGCACCATCTTCACAATGGCTCAGGCTCCTGCCTCTGCTCCTCTCAGATTTAGCTGGGCAGGACTCAGAGGTCCTAGGGGTGCAACCTTGCTGGCAGGGCCCTCCTGGAGCCCACATATCTCACCACTCCCTTGCCCACACCGAACTCTAGCACTGGAGCCCTGGCCCCCATGGCCCTCCTCAGCCCTGGCACCTGTCCTGAGGGGCCAGAACCTTCCCTGCCCGGACGAGGGCTGACTTCAGTGACAGTGCTGGATCCCTTCAAAGTCTGGGGTCCAAGGGGCTAGGGAAGAGGAGAGACCTACCTAGTGTGTATGTCACAGGGAGGAGGAGGGTGCAGGAGACAAGGAAATGGGGATGCAGGGCTGGGTCATCCCTGTGAGGTATTCCAGGACCCTGATGAATTTCTAGTAGATCTGTTCCAAAGAACTCTGAGCAAGTTTCACAGCTAGAATGTTCCCTAGGGTCTGTCATACTAACATGGCAGCCTCCTAGAGGCAGGAGGCGGGGAAGGATGAGGGGCTGAGTTTGGGTTGAGAACTTCCCTAGAGGGCCTGTTGTTGCTACTGGGACTCTCCTCTAAGGTTCAGGGAGGGGGAGAAGGAGGTGGCAGCAGGGGCAGGGTGGGGCCAGGGAGGAAGCCAGCTGAGGAGGCCAGCCGGGGCAAGAGCCCCTCGTTACCATGTTGTTAGGTGGAGGGGTCTTGAAAAGTCCTGGCCTTCTCAGACCAGGCTCACATTCCCGGGCAAGGGTGTGCCCAGGAAGGGGGCTGTGGATCTAGAGCGGGAGATCAGAGGCAGGGGAGCTGAGAAGTGTTGAGTCTGACCTTGCCTGGGGGAAGGTCAAACATCTCTCTCTGAATCCCCATCAATGTTTTGGTGGCCTTTGCCCAGATGCCATGGGAATGGGGCAGCTTTAGCAACTTGCCAGGGCTCTAGGCTTGGGCTGCTTTGAAACACTGAAGTTATTAACTAGGCCCCCCTCCCACTCCTCTCCTAGATCTGTCTGGAGCCTATGCTGCCCTCACCAAGCTCCCCTCCCCTCCTCACACACTCACCAGAGAATCTGTCCAGGGGGCACTGTAGGCCCAGCTGCCCAGAAGATCTGGCTGGGCCTGAACGAGCCCTCCCTGACAGCCTCTCTCCCACCTGCCTTGTTTGCTATGGGGAGTGGGTGGTTCTGAGCTCCTTGGAGTTCCTGCTGGGGCCACCCTGCCTGGCTGGTGAGCAGGCTCTGGCCCCTGGGGAGGCTGAGAGGCCCCAGCCTGAGCCTCTCCTCCACCCTGACCTCCCCCATTGGGCCATACCTAGAGTAGTGTCCTTGCTGGTATCCCCTCATCCCATGGAGTGGGGGCTAGGGGCTGAAGGGACACAGGCAGCACCCAGGGATGGCATCTTTGTACAATGGGGTCCTGTAGGGCAGAAGGGCAGCCAGATCCTGAGGTCAGTACTGGGTTCTGGGCAGACCCCTCTTCTCCCCTCAAGACTACAGGAGCAAAGGGCTCTGGAACCTGTGCTCTGCCTGGCCCTGCCAGGCTCCTCGCTATTGGGGAAGATGCAGCCTGGGAAATGTTCATTAAGAACAAAGTTTGGAGAGTTGCTGAGAGATGGGGAGGAAAAGAGGGGGGGAAAGAGAGACTGAGGGAGGCAGAGAGAGAGAGAAAGAGAAACCCAGTGCCCAGTGCCTAGGGCATAGACTAGCATCCCCATCTCCCTAAAGGGTGTTGGTGAAAGGGTAGACATCAGGAGATGGGGTGGGTAGGGGCCTGGGAAATGGGGACTGCACAAGCCCCTGTGCCCCTTAGAGCTTATATCTCCTTATATTCCAGGAAAGGGCTAGGAAGTAGGGCAAAGCTTCCTGTCTACACCCCTTGGGGACCTCTTGTCAGTGGCTTGGAACCCTCTTTTCCTAGAGCCCTCCACTTCTGACCCAGCATCTCCTACCCTGTTCTTGCTCCCATGCCCACCCCTACTGGTCACTTACTTGCAGGAGAGCTGGTTGATGCCCTCGATGTAGTAGCAGACGCCTCCATTGACGCAATAGGACTTGGCTGTCTCGTTGCACTTCCGGGCGTGCCCCGACCAGGATGACAGGGTGGTGCTCACTGAGGGTATGAGAGACATGTGCCAGTGACGCACTGAGACTATCCCTAGGCCCCAGGAATCATCTCCTTCATGCCCCACGTCAAAACTGGAAGATGACCAGAGGCTGCAGGAATGACTGGGGAGGGGAGGTCTGGTGGTCCCTTCTAGTCACAAATAAGGCAAAGGAGAGGCCACCATGAGCTCTGCCCGTTTACCCAGTGCAACCTTGCACCCAAGCTCTAGGCAAACTTCCAAAGGCCAGGAAGATTTTCATTCTTTTGTGGGGGGAGCAGGGTGAGAAGACAGCAGGAACTGCTTCCTCTGCTGAATAAGGGCCCACCTCTCCCCTTCCCTGCCTGGCTTTCCGGGGGCTCCCCTGCAAGTGGTTGAAATGCTGATGTCTCATGTGGGGAACAAACGCAGGAGGCGGTGCAGGAAAGAGACACCTACACCCGCCTGCATGGCTTGGGCTCTCATGGTGGACCAGGGAGTGGCTGGAAGGGAGCTGGGCCTTCAGGGGATGGCACCTTTAGGACACGGTCATTTTCTAAGATCTGGAGAGATGTTGGGGGTAGGAGGAACCCTAGCTTCTGCTCTCTTCCCCCATTCTCCAAGGTCTGGGCTAGCTCCAGGAATGCTTCAAAGGCTACTATGCCCCATCTCCATAAGCATCTGGGGTCTTCTCCATATCTCCCCACCCCAGACAGCCCCCTCCTCCCTGACCTTATCAGCTGTTGCCCCTAGAGGGAGCCTCCAGGTCTCGGACAGCCCCAGCCATAAATCACGGGTTTCAAGTTGTTGGGGAGGAGACAGGGCCAGGGAAAGGGAAGGGGGCAGCTGGGGTGCAAAACTGGGGGAGAGCAAGGCTGGGCCTTAAGGCTTCTAGCACAGACTGCACGTCCGATTGACTGGACTCATTTGAGAAATGAACATCACTGAAGCTCTGCTCCTCATCAGGGAATGGCATCCAGAAAGCTAGCTTCAAGTGAACATTCTCGCCCCAAACATCAGTTTTAGATAATGCCCCATCCAATCCGGACTGGACAGCCAGAAGCAGGTCCTGCTCCCCTCAGCTCCCAGGGCCTCTGAGGGCCTCTCGTTCCCACCCAGCCCAGCAGTGGCCTCCTGAATGAGGTGGCCCAAGCTACCCCAGCTGGCCCTGTCTCCTCAGGGGTACTGGGTCTCTCCACTCCCCTCAGTAATAGGGGTGGAAGTGAGAGGAGGAGGAGGAGGGCAGGCAGTCGGCACCCTCAGTGTTTAGACATGTGGGGAGACGGATGGAGCACAGGGGGCTGGGAGTGTATACACAGCTCTGCTTCTGTATATGTCTGAGGAGCATGCTGATAAAATCCAGCGGGCAGGGCCGGCTTCACCATCCCCTCCACATCATGCCTGCTGCTGAGCTGGCATCCCGGAGCCCCACCCCTGCTGAGGTCTCCCTCCTCGGCTCAACCCCAGACCCAGCTGGAACCCACGTGCTGGCTGGAACTAGAGACCTCCTGCTGATCTTTGCCCCACTTCTGGGTCAGTGAGACCCAGGGAACTAAGAAAGGGACAGAGAAGAGAAGCAGCTGAGGTACCACGCCTGCCACTTGTAAAATCCCCTTGCTGGGAGAACCCTCGAGGTTGTCCTGCCCTTCATTTACATCACACAGGAGAGTGGAGAGAGAGAAGGCAGCGAAGTGTCTGGCCAGAGTGCAGTGTGTGTTGCAACAGAGCCTCAGGGCTCCTAGCCCCTGGCTGTACATCCTCCCCATCAGCACCCAGGCTTGACAAAAGCAGACGAATGCAAGCGCAGTGAGGACTGCAGGCCTGGGCCCTCCTGTGGGTGTTGGCTAAGCCAGAGAAATCTCAGCCTGGATCTGCCAGGCCCAGCCTGGTGTCCTCTGCAGTTGCGGGTGGCACAGACTGCCCACTGCTGTGCCCATTGTTTCACCCCAGTCGAGTGAGCAGTGGACAGCAGGGAGGATGCTGGGTTGGCCGGGGCCACAGTTGCACACTTGGGCTTCTCACATATATGTCTGTGCTCATCGAGGCTTTGGGAGGCTAAGGACAACTCCTGAGGAAAGATGGGGCCTCCCCAGCCGAATGCATTGAGCCTGCGCTGCCAGTATCATGTTGTCATGGGGACGAGGCTGGGACCCCGGGAAGGTAAAAAGGGAAGACATTTGGGGAGCCAGTCACAGAGGGTGTGGGGAAAGAGTGACCACGGGTGTTTCCATCTCAGAAAGGCCACTCCTCTGTAATGGCAGGGCCTTCCCAAGATACTGCAGCCCAACTCTGCCAGTGGCAAAGCCATACTCCAGGGAGATTTCCACACGGAAGAGCTGCGCTCACGCTGTAGCGCAGTTACACTGTTCTAGCACGCGTGGGCTCCTGAGGCAACGTGTCTATACACCCCTGTCAGCGTATCCATATCTCTCACTATGGTTGCCCGTGTTTGGAGAAGTGAAGGTGACGTGGACTCTCCCTTTACACCTCCACGAGGATGGCTCACAGCACCCCAAACTCAACAAGTCCAAAACTGTGCTCTGCACCATCTGCCCTACCCACCTTCTTCCCCAGTCTTTCCTATCTCCGTGACCAAATGGCACAAACCAAAGTCCTAGAGGGCATCTTTGATTTCATCCTCCTTTATTCCCCTATAGCCATCTGTCACCAAGGGTTGCCATTTCCACTTCCTCAAGAGACTCCATCCATGTCTTGCTACCTCCTCCCCTAGTCCAGGCCACCATTGTCTCTTTCTTTGATGGCCACAATAGCTTCCTCTCTGGTCTTTCTGCCTTCACTCTTGCCTTCATCTCCTTTACTTTGCAGCAGCCACAGTGGTCTTTAAAATATGTAAATTGTATCAATCTTTTCTATTACCAAAGCTCTCCAGTGGCTTCCATTTGCACTCAGAATAAAGCCCCCAACTTCTTCCCAGGTCTTATCTGGGCTTCACCACCTCTCCCACTTCATCTCCCATCTTTCTCCTTCAGTATATTTCAGACTATGCTGGTCATAGTTCTGCTCCTTTAATAAGCCAAGTAGTCTCCTGCCCAGGATGTTCAAAATACAACAAGTGTCTCAGGGAGGCCTCACCTGACTTCTTAAGCTGGTCAGGCTCCTCCCTTATTCCCTCGCTTAGCTTCATATACTTCTACTTATAGCTATTCTAGCATAATTACATGACTAAGTGTGCAACTGTTTGCTTTCTTTTTTCCCCAAGACAGAGTCTTGCTCTGTTGCCCAGGCTGGAGTGCAATGGTAAGATCTCAGCTCACTGCAACCTCTGCCTCCCGGGTTCAAGCAATTCTCCTGCCTCAGCCTCCCAAGTAGCTGGGATTACAGGCATGTGCCACCATGCCCAGCTAATTTTTGTATTTTTTAGTAGAGATGGGGTTTCACCATGTTGGCCAGGATGGTCTCGATCTCCTGACCTCATGATCTGCCTGCCTCAGCCTCACAAAATGCTAGGATTACAGGCTTGTGCCACCGTGCCCAGCCAACTGTTTGCTGTTTAATGCTTAGTTTCTTCACTAGAATGTAAGCTCCATTAGGGCAGGAGCCATGTCTGACATGTTTACCCTGAACCCCAATGTCCAGCATGGTGCCTGGCACATAACAGGTGCTTAACAAATATTTACTGAATGAATGAATGAGAAAATAAATATCTTATTCTTTGGGGGAAAAAAGTGCCCTGTGCTACCATCCCAGGGACTAGTCTGGTATCCTTGGCTGATAATATCATCTTTTTGGTAGATTAAAGGACTGTCTCCTTTAAATGCAAACATTCCAAAAAGGTCATTAGGGGAATGAAAATCAAAGCCACAATGAGACCAAGCCAATGGCTGGCTCACCCCCGTAATCCTAGCACTTTTGGGAGACCAAGGCAGGAAGATCACTTGAGACCAGGAGTTCAAGACCAGCCTGGGCAATGTAGCAAGACCCCATCTCTATAAAACATACACATACGCACACACTCTGAGATACCACTTTCACTAGGATGGCCAGAATCAAAAAGAAGGATAATAACATGTGGTGGTGAGGATGTGGAGAAATTGGAAGCCGTATGCATTGCTGGTGGGAATGTAAAATAGTGTAGCTGCTTTGGAAAGCAGTCTGGGAGTTCCTTTAAAAATTAAATATGGTCATGATGTGCTCCAGAAATTCCACTCCTAGGTGTATCCCCAAGAGATTGAAAACCTATGCTCACACAAAAACTTGTGCCCAGATGTCCACAGCAGCATTATTAATAACAGCCAAAATGTGGAAACAATCCAAATGACCCAAGAATCCAAATGACCCAAGAATCCAAACTTATGAGTGGATAAATAAAATGTGGTATGTCTATACAGTGAAATAGTATTTAGCCATAAAAAGGAATGGAGTACTGATCCATGCTACAACACGGATGAACCTTGAAAACATTATGTTAAGTATAAGAAGACAGTCACAAAAGGCCACATATTGTATGATTCTATTTGTATGAAATGTCCAGAATTAGTGGTTGCCGGGGCTGGAGAGGGGGAGAAATGGGAGTGGCTGCTAAAGGGCATGGGGTTTCTTTTTGGGGTGACAAAAATGTCCTAAAATTAGTGGTGATAGTTATATAACCTTGTGAATATACTAAAAACCACTGAATTGTATACTTTAAAAGGGTGAATTTTATGGTATATAAATTATATCTCAAAAATTAATTTAAAAAAGCACCCGGGAGGAGTAAGCCCAGGAAGTTTTGATGAACCGTTAGTGTCTTGGTGTGAGTTTATCAGGGCCCCTGAAGAGTGACAGTGGCGGGGTGGGAGCCGCTGCTGTGGAGCTGCGTCCCCGACTGCCCACAAGTGCAGCTGCTTTTCACCTTTGCTCATGGAGAAAACTTCTGCTTGTCCTTCAAGACTCAGGTCGAGTGCTCCTTTATCCATCGAGGCCCCTTTCCCTTTGATAAATTGCCTACCTTCCTCTCAGTTTGTTAGAAAAGGCAGACCTTTTAGAGTTCGGGTTTTAGTTTCCTGCCATTTGAGGGACTTTCTTGGGGGCCAAGACTGCGACTTCCCAGAGCTCAGAGCAAGATCTTGTTGAATAAGCGCTTCTGAATGCGTGACTGACATGAATGTGCATCTGTGTGTGTGTGTGTGTGTGTGTGTGTGTGTGTGTGTGTTTAAACAGCCAGCTTTTGCAAGACTCCAGGTAAGAGACTGGCCCAGAGGCCTCTCCAGGGCTTCCATGGTCCTATGACACCCCAGGTCAAACCTGCCTGTCCTCTGGGGCAAAGCCTGACATCAGGGGCTGGTACAGCCACCTCAGGACATTCCCAAACTCCCTTTCACCTGGGATGAGACATCTGTTTCTCTAACTCAGAAGTGGGTTGGACCAAGCTATTGTGTTAGCACCGCAAACTTCCTGCCGACTCCTCCTGCCCGCCAGTTCAGGAAGGCAGGAGCCTCTTGTGAGCTGGCAGAGCTCTGACTATAAGGAAGGCCTACTCTAATTTGTGGAAGGAGCCCTGGGCTCCACCTGAACAGAGCAGTAGCCACTCAAGAGCCAAAGTGATGCCACCCGAGCAGCCTGCTGCTCCCCAATGACCTCCCTGTACCCTCTTCTAGCTGCCCTATCCCTGTAGCCCTGGTTTCCCTTCGGCCTGGGCGGGCCAAACCAACCCACCTTGGGATGAGTCAGAGGGGGCAGACCACAGGGTGTGGTTGCTGCAGGTCTCATGGGTTCTGTGGATAAACAAGGAGCCTGGGCATCTCTGCCTGGGAAAACATCCCCAGCAGGGGCCTCCTGGTCCCCAGCAGTGGCCCTGTTCACCTGTTCAAGGGTAGGCTCTTGCCTGCCATGGACTGCACATGGTAGCAGAAGTGGTGTGGTATGTGTTTGTGTGTGTGCGTACTGGTTAGGTGCACAGGATGTCAGCCTCAGCATCAAACTCAGAATCCCCGAATTTTAGAGGGAAGGGGGCTTAAAGATCATCTAGTTCAGCCCCACAACGGGAAAACCAAAGACTGGTGGGGTGAAGTGACTTACTCAGGGTTGCATGATGTAAAGCTTGGACGAGACCAAATCTCCAAACTCTTTCCCCTGCTCTGCCCTGCCGCTGCCCTGGAGGGTCAAGAGGCAAGAAGGCTGCAGGAAGCTGGGATTCCAGATATGCCCTCAGTGCCCTGCCCAAAGGTGCCACGGTCTGGTTCCTAAACTGATCACAGCATGGCCTACGGAGGGCTGACAGTAATCCGTGTGTGGGAGGGGACTGCAGCTTATCTGAGGGGTCTCACCACCTCTGGCCACAGGCCCCAAGCCCTGTGCAAGAGAGAGGGCACTCCTGTGGTTTTCTGCACAGCAGCCGCTCCCACTTTCTCTGCTAACAGCACCCCTTCGGGGAAGTGCTTTTCCATGGAGTTCTGACCAGGCCTTCACTCACAGTGCCCTGCCTCTCAGTAGCCCCTGTGCACACACAGACAGGCCAGGCAAAGATGGCCCCACCCTCCAAGCACAGTGACTGGTCAAGTGGGTCACATGACCTGGCAGGGTCATTCAGAATCCATCCTTGTGACTGTACTTATGGACACAGAGACAAAGCCATCTCTTTTCTCCGGGTGGTGGGCTGGGATGGGGTAGATCTGGACCTGTCTGAGACCATGGCCTCCTCTTCCCACCCCACTCCCCAAACATGAGAGAGGCCCATTTTACAGTAGGAAAGAATGAGGCCAACACATAGTGAGAGAAACTGTCTTGAGCCATCCTATGAGTTCTTGGACTCTTCCTCTGAGTTCTTAGATTCTGTCATGCCTGGGGCCAGTTCCACCTCTGAACTTACCAGTTTTATAAGCCAATAAATAAATCCCTTAAGATAGGCTTAAGTTAATTCTAGTCAAGAAAGTCTTGACTAATAAAATAGGAAGGCCCCAAATCCAAAGTGGATCTGAGAATGTCTGACCACTACAGCAGAGGTGGCAGGTGCTAGACCCCAGACACAGCCCACCTTCCCAAACTTGGGATAGGATGAGAGAAGTAGGAGCTCAGACACCCTCCCTGCTGTCATGCCCAGGCTGGGCCATAGAGGAGGCAGTAAAGACCTTGGAGCAGGTTATAAGTTCTCTTATATAATATTTACCAGGCACCCACTGTGAGCCAGGTGCTGTGCTAGACCCTGAGGCTAGGGTGGTAGACAGACTAGACATAGCCCCACAGAGCTCAAAGACTAAGTGTTTGCCAACTACTTTTACATCGTACAGCTCTATCATTAACTAGGTGTTTGACTTCAGGTGAAATATTTAATCTCCCTGAGCTTCTTATTGTTTATAAAATATATCCTGGCTTTGAGTATGGGTTCATGGGATAATGTGGAGCTTGGCTCAATAAATACTGGCTATGATTGTAACTTCCAGGAGAAAGCATCCTCCCTGTTCTCCCCTCTCCTGAGGCTCACAGATTCACTGGGATGGCCACGCCCACAGAGAAAGTTCAGCAATAGCATGAGAGTTGAAGGCTAATCAAAGGCTAGAATTCAAGAGATGCCATCAGAGCATGGTTGGCCAAGGAGTGGCCCAGGAGTGGAGCCCTAGCTGGGAGAGACGCTGCAGTGGGTTGGGATGGTCAAGGAGGAAGAGATGAAGCCATGGCCTCCTCTTCCCACCCCACTCTCCGAACATGGGAGAGGCCCATTTTACAGTAGGAAAGAATGAGGCCAACACATAGTGAGAGAAACTGTCTTGACCCATCCTATGAGTCAGGATGGCACAGGAGCAAGAGTAAGAATGGAATGGACAAGGGACTGATGGAAGTTAGGCTGGAAAGATCATTTAGGCCAGGGTGTTGAGAACAAAGTCCCTGTTCTGTAGTTCTATGGGGTGGGGAACATGACAGGATAAAAGCACCTTAGGAGGCTGCTGCTCTGGTTCAGGTGACTAGGGATGAAACCCAAGCCAGGGTTACCCTTGAGGTATAGTTAGAGCAGAAGAGGCAGGTGTGAGAAAGATCCAGAAAGAAGACTGGCAAGGACATGGAGACTCAGACTTATTAGACACAGTGGCAAGGGAGACCAAGGAGCACAAGGGGCTGGGAGGACGGGGTGTCCCTCACCAGGACAGGAAGACAGGGTCTGAACTAGGTTTTTGTCTGAGGGTCATAGGGCAGAGAGTGTTCCAAGTAGTCTTTTAGACCATGCTAGGTTTAGGGCATATTGGGAGGCTGTCTGGTGGAAATAGAGGCAGGTAATGACAGATACAGGATTATATTCTGTGATGAGCAGGACTGGAAGTGAACCCCAATAAATAGGTAGCCACATGCACACTCAGTCTGTGTGTGTTGGGGGGAGGAGAGTGATCTGTGGGATTTAAGGTACTCAAGCTAGAGTGGAGAGGGCACTGCCTGAGGACAGGTAGTTTTGGCGGAGAGGCAATCTCCCAGTCAAGGGAAAGAACCAGGGCCTGAGAGGGCAGTGCAGCAGGAAGGCAGCCTCTACCCTGAGGCTGGGTCTGCCACTGTAGAGACGAGAAGGTAAGAGGTGCCGTGAGGTCCTGACCTTGCAAGACTTCAAGGAGTGAGGATGGCCTGTCGGGGAGGAGTTTGCCCTCCCTGAACAGAGGCTGCCACCAGGGGCCCCAGGCATCCAAGCTGCCCACCCATGGCCCAGTGGAGATGGCTGCCTGTGCTCAGGTGCCCAGCAAAGCAACAGGCAATAGGCAGTCAGCTTGTACATGCCCCAGGCCTGCCTCTCCCTGCAGCCCCACTCCTGGCAGCCCAGCCTCCTATAATTGCCTTCTAAAAATATCCTTTCCCCACCCCCACCTCTTGATTTCAAAATATTTAGTTTTCAGGGTATTTAAAATGAGAGCTGGCGGCTCTTCCAGGCCCAGATAACAAAGCTAAACATTTATGCTTCGACTGCATTTCTCTGAATCGGCTGAGATCTAGGGCTTGATATGGCAGCAGCAGGAGGGAGGGGAGTTGAGTGCGAGATGGATCACATGCAGGCCCCAAGGGCTGGGGGGCCACTGGCCCGCCCTGCCAAACCCCTCTAGGACCCTTCCCTCTGTCTGGGCCCACCTACCGCTGTTGACGTAAAGCCGGCCCCGGACGGTGTCCTTCCCCAGGATGTTCTCGGCCTCGCAGACATACTCCCCAGCGTCCTCCACCTTCACCTTGTTGAACTGTAGTCGTGAGTTCTTTCTGGTTAGGGAGGGGATAAAAGGGGGAGAGGCGTGAGCCAGGGCCGGCTGTGGCTCCCCAGCAGTCACCCAGCGGTTGCCTCTCTCCACAGAGCCACAGTGGCCCTGCAGCTTAGATGGGAAGGAGATTCCCTCCCCCCAGCAATTTCTGGAGTCCAGGTGGGGCACGGAGTCCCTGCAGCTGCAGGGAGCCTTGGGCCCTTAGGACAACACAGGGCAGGACTAGTGGCTGCTCACATGTCCTAAATCTATGATCCCTCACATCCGCTCTTCTAGGGCTGGACCATTGTAACATTCTTCTGGGGGAGTAAAGCCAGGCCCTGTAGGAAGTCACATGGCCACCTCCCTCATTCCCAGCTGCCTCTGCCTCTCCTGGGAAGTGGCAACCTGTCATTCTGGGTATGCAAGACCTGTTCCCAGATACCCGGGAGGGCAGCTGTCCTGACGGATTCCCATGGTGATGGTGCCCAGACTCCTAGTCCAAACCTGGGGCTCTCCCTTGTTCTCAAAATCAGCGCTGCCACTAAGGGGCACTCTGTGGCTTCTCCAAGGGGTTTTTGTTTCATTCATTCATTCAACAAATGTTTACTGAGCACTTCCTGTGTGCCAGGAGCTTGTACACCTTGGGGAACAAAAAGATCCTGGACTTGATCCTCAGGGCCAAACTGGGTGTTCTCTGCTTACAGAAGGGAAAACTGAGTCCTAGAGGGACTTCCTGACTTGCCCAAGGGCACTCGGCAAGGCAAAGGCAGAGGTATGCCAGGAGCTGCAGTTCATGAGGACGTGGGCTATCTCTGAGAAAAGCTGGGGCTAGCCCTGAAGCTTTGCACCTAGTCCCTGCATGCTGAGAACTGTGTAGGGCACCTGGCCTTGGTCCCCCTCTTCTTTCTGAAGCCCCAGCCAAACCTCTCCTTCCTTCTCAGAGTTTCCCTGCACCTACCCCAGGGTGCTTAGGCTCTGCAAGGGCCTGTTCACAGCCCTCACCCCTTCCTCTGCCTCCAAGGGCCAGCATGAGCTCTGGATAAAGCCTGGGATCCCAGGCTGGCCCCCAGGAGGAAGCAAGAAGTAACACGGTAATTTCTGCACATGGTATGATCACCTCCTCTTTTTAGTGCTGAATTAAAAAGCCAGATTTCCAGCCTATGTGTAGTGGGCTGGAGAGATGGGGGAATACGAGGGAGGGCAGTAGAGCCATCATTGCCCTGAGCCTAGGGGATGTAAAACTGAGCTATGGAGCTGATGGGGTAAGGAGGCTGAGGAGAGGCAAGCAGATAGGCTGGGCCAGGGTCAAGGAGACGCAAACTGGCCCACAATCCCTACCTGGGCTGTCTCCACCTCTGATGGGGAGCCTCTTCCCAGGCATCCTGGCATCCTTACCCCAAGGTCCTCCCAACAAGGGTGCTACAAGATGGTCTTGTCTATAGACCCTATTGCTATGGTAATGTCCTTGCTGATGCTGTGGTGACAGCTGCTTAACTATACCATATTCTTCCTGGCTCAAGCTGGTCTCTGTCTCCTTGGCCTGGTGCCGGCCCACAACCCTCTTCTGTCAATTATAATTTGTTCCCTTCATTAAAGAGAGCCCTGGAGGCCCCTCTGACTAAGACAGCATCTCTTTCCCTGCTCCAGCCAAATTAGATGCCACAAACTCCAGCTTGCCCAGGGTATGGCTTCTCTCACTTCCCTGTGCACACACCAGATTAGCAGGGAAGGGGGATCGCCTGAGGGTCCGGGGGTGGGGGTGTTGATGCACAGGGGACTCAGAGCCAGATTCTCCTTGTCACCCCCCTGGAATTCAGAGGCGCTTCCCTTATACAGCATCATATGTAGCAGGACGTGGCAGAATGTTAAGGAAGGATTCCCCACATGCAGGCATGTGAGACCTGGAGAAGGCAGGCACAGGTCTCTAGGAGTGCCCCTTCCTTCTGAGGAACAAGAAAGAGGCAGGGGACAGAGATAATGACCCTGAGGCTTGCTGCAGATGTCCTAGGTTAGCAGCTGTCTGATGATTTCATAGAAGCCGGCCCCAGAGATGCACACGGGGCTCTGGGTCCTGGCTAAGGGGCAGGGCTCTGAGGGTTTCTCAGCCCCTGCAGGAACTGGAGTCACCACCTTCTCCCTCCTCACTCCCAGCTCCAGGTGGAAGCCTGAGGATCCAGGACTCTCCTGTCTCCCTGGCAGGCCGCGTGCTGTGCTCTGCTCCTGGTGTCCCATCACATGCTGACCCAAGTTTGCCCTGAGATGGTGACCACGCCCTCCCCCCTCCCCCCTACCTCCCCAGCTGGTTCTCTGCTGGCAGGGACAGGATCTGGGCAGCTGTGTCCTCCACATTTTCCTCAGCGCCTACCCCCGCCCCCCGCCCCCTGCCTGCTCAAGGGGCCTGTTCCAGCCTGCCCCTCATAAACAAGGGAACATGCGATTCTGCAGGGAAGGCCCCGTGCCCAGGATTTGGGGGGGCAGTTTGCTCCTGGCACAGGAAGGCTTGGGTGAGATGTTTCAGTGCAGTGGGCACAAAGACAGACAGCACCCTCTGAGGAGGGGTCTCTACAGGTCAACAGAGATGCCCAGACAGAGTGCGGCCCGGGCAGGGAGAGTGCTAGGAGGTAGGGGAGCCAGCTGTTGTGTGGGCAGACAAGACAGAGAACATTTTGCCAGAAAGCAGACTCCTGCCACTGCCCCTGGCCCCTCTACTAGGTGAGATGTGTAGTGTAGGATGGGTAGGTGTGCAGGTGGCCGTTCTCTCTAAGTCACTCCGAGGGCGCCTTGGTCGCAGGGAGTCAGAAGTTCTCTATGATGGCCCACTCCTCCACCACTGACAACTCACTGCTGAGAGCCCAGGGGCAGAACAGGGAGAACAGGGAAGTTTCCAGATGCAGCAAATGGGGCAGGGCCCTGAAAGGTAGGGAGCAGGGGGCACACTTTAGACTCTTAGGGGTCCATAATACCCAGGAGGAGAAGACCAGTCCCTGTTTCTGGATTCTTTAGATGAAACTGAGGCTTAACCAGGACAGTAACTGGTTCAGAAGGCTAGAACCATCCAAAAGGTCTCATGCCCAGTCTCAGTGGGACTCTACACCCAGGAGAGGAGGGCTAGTCCTGCAAGATTCTCGTCAGTTCAGCCCTCAGTGTAGAGCTCTCTGTCAGGTTCTATAGCGGAGAAGGGGGTATCTGGGTACAGGGATCCAGGCTTTGAGGCTCTCTCATGCTGGAAGGAGAGACAGATCCCTCTACAAAGCAATGAAGCCATGTCTAAGGCACCATGGGAGGAGACAATGAGAGCTGCCTAGAGGGCTTAGGAAGGTGTCCCAGAGAGAAGACAGTTAAGCTGGGCCTTGGAGAGCCTTGCCAGGGACAAGTGAGGGGAGGAGGGCTGCCAGCATAGGGAACAGCCTGGGCCCAAGTCCAGAGCCATGAAAGGAAAGACCAGCGGCCGAGAGTGTGGCAGTGTGAGGAAACTGCATGGCAGTGACTTGTAGGCCAGGAAGAGGAGTCGGAAGAGCCCCAAGGCTGTACCTGGCATGCAGTAGGCTCTCAAGCTCTGTCTTGAATGGATGATTGAATACATGTTCCTGTTAGAAAGATCATTTCCCGTCAGACACTCATGGGGGTCAGTGACTCTGTGGACCTCTAGAATTACAAACAAACTGGGTACATAAGCCACATTTTTTTTTCCTGAAGAAAAGGACAAGGTGTCTACCAGATTCTATAGTAGAAGCTAGACTAGAGACTCATGAAGGTAAGTTTTGTTTTGTTCACTGACATATCTTGAGCCTCTAGCAGAGTGCCTGGCACATAGTTGATACTCAATACAGATATTTTAGATTCAGAAATGAATTCTCAGAGGGGCCTGTGGTCCAGAAAAGGTGGGGAGTGGCCAAGAGTGGGACAGAGGAGGAAGGCTCGAGGCAGGGAGGCCAGATAAGAAATGTGCAGGAGGAGGGAAAGAGGCACGACCCCCTGGGCAGACGACAAAGGGTCAGGGGTTGAGCAGCAGAGAGTCTGGTTGAGCCACAGTTGAGAGGGGAACACATGAGGGAGAGAAAGGACTACAGCAGGCAGGGGAGAGGCCAGATTGGGCCTTCAGAATCAGAAATGTCTGTGAGGCATCTCAGGTGTGGTATCTAGTGTCTCTCTGGCAGCATGGGTCTGGAGCTCAGGTAAAAAAGCCATTGTGTCTGGATATGGAGACTTGGGGTCTCAGATTCTTAAAGCAACAGGAGAAGGTGAAATCACCCACAGGCGGAAAGGGAGGAAAGAAAATAGTGAGGCCCAAAGCTCAGGAAAGTTCCAGCATTGATGGCAACTAAGAGACAGTGTCCAGACTCACAGCAAGACTAGGAGGAGCACCACAGGGCCCGGGGAGCAGGTATTCCCAGGCCGAGGCCGCTGAGAGGCCTGGAGGCCTGAGCCAGGAAGTGCAAAGATAACTGCGGTTTCTCCAGGACCACAGCCATCGAGAGGTTGGGATGTAACTGAAGGGCAGATTCCAGCAGGTCAAAGAGTGAGTGGAGGACGAGAGTGCGCAGTCAGTGGGCATGAGGCTAGCTCCCTCAGTGACTTCATATGGTGGTGGAGGGCGGAAGTGAGATGGGGCAACCGCTGGAGGGCCAGGGGAGCAGCAGCGTGGAGGGACAGCATTTGAGAAAAAAAGTCACGGGCGTGGGTTTGTTGGTAGGGAGAGAAAGCTGAAGTTACCAGAGAAAGGAGTGAGTTGGTGGTACCAGGGCTCTGTGGGTGTGTGTGTGTGGTGGGGGGGAATGTGCGGGAGGGAGGGTGAGTATGAGTGTGTGGCACCAGGTAGGGTGGGATGATGATAGGCAGGTTGTAGACATGTTTGGGAGCCATGAGGAGGGAAAGGGGGGCTCTCCTGACTTTCGTCACTGCAGTGAAGTAGGGGAGAAACCATCTTCTAGAAAGAAAGGATAGGAGGGAGACGGGACCCAACTGCCCCAGCTCCAAGAAGCCTGCCCATTCTCTCCAGCTTGGAAGCAGCCTTGGTAGGGCAGTGAGAAGGGGTGGGGTGGTCTCGGAAGGTGGGCTGGGTGGGCAGCCAGAGCTTCTTGCCAATGCTGTAGACAAGGGACATATAGAACCCCCCACTCGCCACTGGCCATGGCAAGTTCCTTAGGAAGCGGCATTCTTTCAGCCACAAACCTTTGATCTAAGCCAAACTCTTCCTTAATTACATTCTGTTTTCTGCCAGGATCATTTTCTTGAGTGATCAGTTTTACTTCTGCTCCCCATTCTTGGAAGGAGAATCAGAGAACTGGAAGTAACTCCCAGTCCCCTGACTCCTTTAACCTCTTTTACAGGTTCCAGAGTCTGAGGGCCAGAGGCAGGGCATGGACATCCAGCCCCACATGGCAAACCCAAGCAGCCTGCCCAGCCCTGGCCTTCTACCACTTTTTGTTGTGGGCAGGCTGGTGTGCTCTAAAACCATCCTAATTTGCATTTTGTGTGTGTGGTGGGGCGGTGAGGAGGAAAATGACAGCCAGGAAAGGAGTGGTTGTAAGCTACTCTGGGAGGGAGGGTAGAAAAGGTTTGGGAGCTCCTCAGTCAGAGAGGGAAGGCCACTAGGTCCCCGGAGCCAACAGAGCAGACATCAGGTAGAATGCCTGTTTAGCTGGCAGGCAGGGGTTTTCCCCCTTGCTTCTCCTTGAGAGGCAGCAGAGAGGTGGTGGGCTGCCTTGGACTAGCGGCTTCTCTGGTGCCAGAAGCCCCCTGCCTGACCCAGCCAAGATGGAAGACAGGCCATCTCCCATAGCCTAGAGACTCAGGGAACTTCTCTGATTCACTTCCCTGGAGCACTGATTCAGGATTAAAGACAATTCTCAACTTTTAGGGGGAAACCGTCTGAGGAACAGAGTTCTCCAACACCAATCAAAGTGTTGCTCCCTTTTCCCTTACCTAGCTCTCTGACAACTGACAGCTTGCTAAGCTGAGAAACCAGCCCATCATGTGTGACCTCCCAGAGGCATTCTGGAGTCAGGGTCTTTCACCAAAGATTGCCAAATGTTGGGGCTTTCAGACGCTACAGCAGGTTTTTCAAGAAGTTTTAGAGATGAGCAGGGTCTTCCACTGATCAAGCTGACTGTGACAGTCAAATTGCCTTCAACTATCCAGAGAAGTTAAAGGCTTAATTCTTGTCTGTGGTCTGCAAGACCCTGGGCCACCATGACCAGAGGGTCCCCGAGCTGCAGGAAGAAGGCTGGGAGTGGCAAGGAAGGGGAGTATGGAGAGGGGCTGGGACTGGTTCCATGGGTGAGTCTGGGGGCACAGCCCTGGCCTCTGCCCAGTTCAGGCCACTCCTTCTCGAGAGGAGGGAGGGCAGCTGCTTGGATGGAGGACAGGCTGGATATTGCTTACCTGCCGTTGCCATATTTGATGCGAATGTCTCGGCTGCGGTTGAGCTCCTTGCCATCCTTGAACCAACGGTAGGAAGGCTGGGGATTACCGGCTGCTGCCTCACACTTCAGCGATTGCTTCTCACCCACCTGTCCCGTCTGGCTCTTCATCTTCTTCAACTTGGGCCGGGTGGCTGTGGGTTACAAGGCAGGTAGGTGAGCACGGTGGTGGTAGGGGCAGTGCCAAGCATGAGTAGTGGAGAGTAAGGGCCACTGTCTTTGGGCTGGAACTGGGGAAGGGAAGGGTGATCCTGAGAGCCACCCCTCCTAGTGTCATTTCCTAGTTCAATTCAATAAGCATTTATAATGAGTCTGTGATGACATCAATGTAGTTATAACTTATGGAGAGTTTCCTTCATGCCTTGAATGGTATGAAGCTTTACATTAGCTTATGAAACCTTCACAGTAACCCCATGAGCTCACAGCAATGGTTAAACCCACTTACAGATGGGGAAACAGAGGCTCGGAATGGTGAAGTCACTTCCCTAAGGGCAGATGATGGAACTGGGATTCAAACACAGATCTCCTTGACATCAGTGCTCAGGATCTAAAATCATGGGTAACAAGCCATGGGGCTGTACTGGTGGGCTCAGGCCCAATCACGGATGCAAAGCTGCAAATGCCAAGCTGAGAGGCTGTCCCCATTTTTCTTAAACGCCATTCTATTTCCGCATGCCCCAGTCTCCCATGCTTCACTTCCTTGCTCCTCTCCCCACCACCAAAATACAAAACAAAACAACACACACACACACACACACACACCCTGAAAGAGAAAGTACTCTCTTCTCAGGAAGATGAGGCTAAGCCAGTGCTCGTGCTGAGGTGTATAACAATTTCCAGTGGGATAGTCCCTTACAGGATACACAAAGCCTTCATGCAGGCTCTCGTTTGGTCCCTGACCTCTGTGAGGCAGTGTCATACTGACACTGATGGTGCAGATGAGACTCAGAGAGGTGAAGAAACTTGCCTGAAGCCACATAGCCAGGCAGCCACAGAGCTGGGACCAAAGCTCAGGTATCAAGATTTGCCACGTGTTAGGCTGGTAGCAGGATGGTGTCTGATTTTGTGGTCTTATTTCTCTCTGTGAGATGGTTAAAAGCCTTCCAGTAGCAGAAGGGAGGGTCTGTTGGAGCCAGGGAGTTGTCTGGGAACTGATTGGCCCTGTCTCGGCCATTGGTCCTTTCCCTAGCAACTCAGAGTGCTGACAATGGGCCAGAGCTGGCTCTGGAGAAAGGCAGGCAAGAGGGCCTGGCTAGAACAGGGGTCCCCTCATTGAACTTCACCCTGAGCTGCTGCATATACGCAGGGAGTAGATGAGAGGGGCACAGGGCACAGAGGAAGCACAGAAAGGAAGACTTTAAAAATGTATGACGTAGGCTTACACAATGATTCTCGTAAAATAATTTTGTTCATTTTAGAAAATGAAAAAATACAGAGGAGTGAAAAAAGAAGAAAACAAAACCTTCCTTTGTCTCCATACTCATAAATAACACCTCCCCCCATTTTTAAACAAAATGGAATCAATGCCATTTGTGGATAATAATAACAATAATAGCTAACCTTTGTTAAATGCTCTCTATGTGCCAGGCTCTATGTATTCTTTCATTTAATGAAACAGTGTAACCCTTTCGCCTGGGTGTTAAATATTAATAATAGCATTTCCCAAAGTGTATTCTATAAGCAGGAGTATCTGGAGAGATGAAAACAGATATTACTTGACAAGAGGGTTCCATGGGAAAATGGGTTTGGAGAGCATGTGGGTTAAGCATAGTTAAAGAAGTATCTATCAACTTCAGTATCGTTCTCTAAGTGGGGGCCTTGAAACCTTTTTTCTTGGAACTCTTGGTAGCATTTCAAGGAAATGAAAGTTATGTGGAACAAATTCTATGACTTATATGTGTATTTGTTTGTGTATATATATATTTCAACAATGATTCCATTGAATATATATATATAAACATATATTTTGACAGATATTAACATGATTCAAAATTCAAGAAGTGAAAAGAGGTATATGGATTAAAAAACAAGTCTCTCTCTAACTTCTGGCCACAACCACACAGTTGTCTTTCTAGGAGATAATCAATCTTATGGGTTCCTTTGACCTCCTTTCAGAAATATTTTATGCATATACAAATCCCGCACCCCCGAGTATTCACACACTCAGTTTTTCTTACAGCATCATTTTTCATGGTTGCATAATGTTCCTGTATGGGTGTATCATAACTTATGTAACTGATTCCTGTGTGGAACATTTAGCATGCCCCCTCCCCCTTCCCATTACAAACAACCCCAAAAGAACATCCTTGCAGCTTTATCTTTGCACACACCCCATGTATACTGCTGTATGGGGGAGGATGGCTCTAGACTCAGGCTGTCTGGCTTTCAATCCAGACTTTGCTACTTGTTAGATTTGTGTCCAAGAATTAACTTCATTCGTTTGCGCCTCAACTTCCACAGCTGTAAAATACAGGAGATAAATAATAGCTCTTACCTCTTGGGATGATGGCTGTGAGGATTATATGAGACAATGCATGTAGAGCCTGGCACATAGAGAGCATTTAACAAAGGTTAGCTATTATTATTATTATTCACAATTATTTCCTAAGGCGATCTTCCTAAAAGTGGAATTGCTGCGTCAGAAGGTATGCAATCTTTCTCAGCTTTGTACATTGCCAAATTGCCCTTTGGAAAGGTTGCACCAATTTGCGCTCCCCCCAGTGAATGACAGTGCCTGTTTTTTCCACACACTCACCAACACGAGGTATTATCATGTCTTTAATCTTTGCCAATTAGCTAGGCAAAAGATAACGTCTCTTTGTCATTTTAATTTGCATTTATTTGATTACTGATGAGGCTGAACATTTTTCATGAGTGTATTGGCCCATTGTATTTCTTCTTTTTGAATTGCCTGTTCATGCATGCAGTCTGTTTTCCTATCGAGTGCTCATCCTAGTGATTTGTAAGAACTTTTTATAAATATTAAGGCTATTAACCTTTTGCTACAAAGTTTTTTCCCCTCAGTTACCTGCTTTTTTTATATTGCTGGTTCTTCTTCTTCGTCTTTTTCTTTTCTTTTCTTTCTTTCTTTCTTTCTTTTTTTTTTTTTTTTTGGCACCCAGAGATTCTATGTGCATCAATCTAACAATCTGTTGGACTTTTTGGAACTTCATTATTCTAAGTGTGACTGAAATCCTGCTTTATCTTCCTTCCCTTACCCACCTCCCTCCCTCCTGCATCTGCTCTGGAGTCCCCAGTCATTGCTTATGTTAGGTCTTAACCCTGGATGCTAATCGGAATCACATGGGAAGCTTTACAAGTCAGGTACCTGGGACATATCCTAGGCATTCTGAAGCAGAAGCTGTGAGTGTGGGTTCGGGTTGTGGGTTCTAAAGGGCTCTTCAGGTGTGTTCCTTTATTTTTGGAAATGTAACATACATTCAGGAAAGTGCACATATTATAAGTGTATATAGCTCAATGACTGGTTACAAACTGAACACATATGCACAGGTGGCTTTGTGCTAAGATTGGGTTGACACCTGGTGATGATCTAACCTCTTGGTCAAGTGATGACCTCCAACTAGTCCCTTCTCCTTTCTTATGAACTGGGGACACAACACAGAGAGCTCTTATCAGGTGCTAAAGTTTCCCCTTACCTCACTTGGAGTGTGTTGACTTTTCTTGCAACTCAGAGACAAGGGAACTGCCTGTCTCCACCATCATGAGCCACTTCCCTCCCAACAAGATGGTGGGGGATGGCGGTGGCCGCTGGTGGGAGGAAGCAGGGGTTACTCTACCACCTTGGTTCCTGACATGAGTTCCAGTGCTGTATTATGCACTGAGCCTGTGGCCACTGCTTAGTGGTGATGGTGATGGGCTAGGGGGATGTGTTGCATAGAGACTGCTCCCAGAAACAGTAGGCATGGCCCTAATTCAGAGGGCCTGAGGAACTGAGAGCTCCAAAGTAATCGCCGGCCACCAATGGAAAACACAGGACCGCATTTCAGATCACAGGGAGCCCACTCCATCTAGTGAGAACCTTGTGTGACTCAGTAGCCATTTCTGGATAGTCCACTCACTTCAGAACAACCCTATCTAGTTCACCTGTTCCTTATTCATTTATTCAGTTCATTCCAAATGAATTCATTCATTCATTCAACCATACCAAGAAATAAGCATCCTACTGTTAGGGAGCCTGAATTTTAGTGAGGGGGACAATAAACAAAACATCAACAGGAAATATGAGACAGTTAAAAAAAAAAAGCAGCTGGATAAAGACCCTAAGGTGGGAATGAGCTTGATGAGTTCATGGGGCCAAAAGAGGCCTATATGGCTGGAAGATAGTAGAAGATGGGCAGGGTCTGAGGGGAGCCTGGAGAGGTAGGTAGGGCCCAGGTTGACATGGGGCTGTGCAAGCCAGGATGAGAAGTCTGGATTTATTTTGTACATTAAAAAAAAACTATTTATGTGCCTACTAGAAATTTTTAAATTACATATGTGGATTGCATTATATTTCTATTGGACAGCCCTGGTTTAAAGGATGACAAAATAAAAATAACCATACATTTGAATCATGCCACGTTCTTTACAGAGTTTTCTTTTATAGCTCTTAACGGTTCCTCGGAATCATCTGTGATGCTAAAAGCCATGCCTCCTGCTCTAGCAGCTGCAAGTCCTGGTCTTTGCTCACAGGCAATCCTAGTTTGCAGTGATTTGAAAGTTGAAAGCCAGGGTTGGGCAAACCTTGTAGGAAAGTTCCTTGGGGTCAGGGGGCAGTGGCAGCAGCTCAGGTGGCAGGAAAGAGAAGAATGTACACCAGATGGCCTCGGAACAATGTCCTCCACATCCGCACTCCTGGGCCTAGAGCCCTGCCAGGTTTTCTGTGGCAAAGATTGAGGTGACCTCCCCAAGATGGCCCTGGATTGGTTTTGTAGGTGTGCTGGGAAGGCATTAGAGGCTATAAGTTGGGGGATGACCTGATCTTACTTTCTGCATGTTAAGCTCATTCTTATCCTGAGCCACCATCCTTTCTCTATGCATCCTCTAGCCATTGGATCTAGTACCAGGCCCTGGGGTCATGTGGGATAAGGCTGAGGGGCTGTTCACATAGCAGACATTTATGCATCCAGAGACAGCTCTAACGGGACCTCAGACATGACTGGGCTAGATCGGCCCCTCACCTAGACACCCTCTCTGAGCTAGGTCTGGTATTGCCTGTTTCTCTTTTACAGCCCAGGGCCCACACTACAATGCTAGTGTATGGGTATAGAGATCATCGCACCATGTCTCAAGAATGTCTTGGGGCCAGAGCTGAACCAAGCAGAGGAACAGGCTTCCTGGGATGCATGGGATCTGTCAGGGAAAGAACTGAAGCAATGCAGTGGGCAGGCATTTATCCCCCATTCAGTCGACACTCTGATCCCTACCGCTGCTCCTTCCCCACAGATGGAGGGGTAGGCAGCAAGCTGATGGACTACTTGGGCCCTTGAGTATTGAGCACCTCTCCTTTCCCCTGTTTATTGAATGCCTGCTATGAGCCAGGTTCTGTGTTTGGCCCCAGACAGAAATGATCCGCTGTATATGGAGTAACCACCCCTACTCCGCAAAGAGTTTAGCTTGTCCCCTTCTGTTGTTGTTTTGTTACATAAGAAATTTTTGTTGTGAAAAAATTACACAAGTAAGGAAAAAGAAAAACACATTTAAATCAATTCAATTACCAACAGAGAGAAAGCCACTGTAGGCATTTTCAAATGTCTGCCAAAAGACTTTTCTCTCCAAAATGCTTTATATCCCATTTTTCTCAGTCAATATACATTCAAAACATTTTTCCAAGTCTAGAATCATTTCAGTAGCTGCATAATATTTCATTGTTCAGATGAGCATATTAGGTTGTCTCCAACGTTCTGCTAATAATAACAATATTGCAATGAATTTCTCCATAAATTCAGCTTTGTGGCTGAAGGGAGGAGCAGCAGTCCTGGGGGTTCATGCATATTTTCTCATGCAGAAAGGGGACCCTCAAAGGTCCAGCACACAGAAGAGTGGACAGATGAGAGGCATCTAGCAAAAGCAAGAGGAAGTTCTGTGTGCACAAGAAAGGGGAGAAAGTTCCCAGCACTCTGCACCCATGGCCATTACTGACACCCTGATCCCTGCAGCAGCTCCTTCCCCAGAGACGAAAGGGGCAGGTGGCAAGCTGATGGCCTACACAGGTTTTTGGGTATTGGGCAGCTCTTCCTTCCCCTAAGGTTTCCTCCTCAGACCAAGCACCCTCTGCTGAGCTCCCATACTCCTTGGGTTTTGGGGGAAGCCCAGAGGCTACTTCATCCATTCTCTTCCTCCTGGGACAAGGGTTCACTGGAGTTGAGGTGTGGGGATGTGGGGAGGTCTCCCTTGGCAGCTTTATAAGAACAAGAAGCTCTCTCAAGGATGGCCCAGGCCTCCACAAAAAGATTTTCCTCCAGGACGGGCTCCATAAAACTTTAGGACACCTCCCCATGGTTGCCATGAGTTGGGCCACAGGGTATCCGGTGGCTTCTGCTTCCTATCTCCTGGTGCCAAGCCAGGGCTTCTGGCCTGTATCTGTTTGACAGGCCATCCCCAGGAAGCTCCTCATTAAAGATAGCGACAACAGCAACAACAACCAGGACTGCTCTCTTCCCACATCCCAGCCCTGAGACCAGGGGGTGCCGCTGCTGCCAGCAGCTTAACCTCATTCCTCTCGGCAGTGGGCGGTGGGTGCGGAGCCTACTCAGATCTGAGAGCAAGACAGACGCTCAGGACATGGCTGGGCAACCCAGCCAGGGAGGACCTGGCTCTGCCTCCCTCCCGGCACCCAGCGGGCAGGGGCAGCAGGCTCTTAAAAGGGTTAATGATCCTCACCTCATGACTAAGGCTGAGCAGTTCCCTTTGCAGGGCAACACCTGGAGACAATGTGGCCAGCCTGCCTGGCATCAAAGTTTCCCACTGTCCTGCTGCTGGCCAGCTGCAGGCCAGCCCCCTTCCCACCCCTGTCCCACCCACAAAGTGACTGCAACCTATTGGAGGTTAATTACAGACTCCAAGTTCAAATGAGAAAGAAAAAAAAAAAACCCACTAAGCTAAAAACACAGCTGGTTTAAGTAGGCACAGACGGCCTAGGCAGCCAGGCATCCTACCCATGGCCTGCAGAAGAGCAATTTCACACTCACAGGACAGACTCCCAAAGGGAGTGTATGCCCAGCTGGGCTGCTTAGCTTTCCCTGAGCCACATTTCCTCAGTCACCTAAGCCCAGCCCAATGCCTGGGCTTGCTTTGCCCTCTTCTTACATCCATCCAACAAATACCCACATGCAACAGTCCCTATGATGTACGAGGCACTTACCAGTCACCAGGGATTTGGTGCCAAATAAGACATGGCCCTGGTGTCGGGTTGGTCTCTGCCTCCTGTTTAGGGCTCCCACAGAGGCTGATCCTCAAAGAGGACCACCTTCCCTGCACCAGTGAAAACCAGCCTAGACCTGATGGGCTTTCAGCTCAGCAGCCCAGGTGCCTGGCATCTCAGCTGCAAGGTAGAGAAGAGGGGCCAGGCCAGCTGGGATGAGAACTAAAGAGGGGAGGCAGAAGCTGCACCAGGAGGGCAGATAAAGAAGAAGGGGAAGGGAGGAGGAGGAGACAAAACTTGGCAGCATGAAGACCAACAGAAATGATTCCTGCCTTAAAGCTTCACCTGCCCATCCAGAAGCACCCATCCACTGACACCCAACTTGCAATGTGAGGGCAGGTATGCACAGGCCCAGGCCTGACCACCAGGGACAACACTATTCCCACCCACAGCCCCCTCTGCCAGGAGCCAAGCATCCTGAGAGAAACACTGGCCTCCTCAGGGCTCTGCAAGGCCAGGGAGAGATACCTCATCCCCAGAGTCACGCAGGTCCACGCCGCAGTGCTCCACCCAGCGCAGGGCTGGGATACAGGCACACGAGTAGCAGAGATGGGGGATGAGGAGGTTGTCACCTATGTCTGGGAGAGATGGCACAGGTTCACAGAGCAGGGCAGCAGTTGCTGGGGTAGGCATAGGGATACCCAGTACAGATGCCTCAGTCTCCCTGGGTTCTTAGCAGTGCTTGTGGCACAGGCTGTAGACACCTAGGGCTGGCACGGATGAGGCACAGAGGAAGCAGAGCAGGAACAGGGGAAAGAGAGGCAGCTGAAGACACAGCAATCCAGGTCTTTGTCCCAGTCTCCCAATTTCTCAACTGTCTGCCCTTAGATAAGTAGTTTAGCCTCTCTGGGCCTCAGTTGACTCATTTATAAACCACACTCTGTCTATTTTAGAGGAATAGAGCAAGAGAAAGCTCTCTATGGAGGGATGGAAGGCCTCTGACCACTATCATCTCTTCAGCTGCTGAGGGCAGAGGTCGGGGACAAAGCAGAGATGGCAGTTCTGGAAAACTGTTACCATTTACCCAAACTCTGTTTAATCTCCCTACTGGGGAAAGCTGGGCTCTGGGCCAAAGTCTTGGGCCCTGGCCCAGGAGAACCTTCTGTGGAAAGGGCCAGCTGTGGGTGGACTAGGCCGTCTCTTGCTCAGGGAATTCAGAAAGGGCCAAGAAGGGGATCCCAGAGCCCCATCCTCTTTGGGGTGGGCCTGTGCTTCCTGCCTCCTTGGCCTGGCTGGAGAAAGTTGTTTCTGAAGCTCTGAGTCTTGGGGAAATGTAGCAGGGGTTGGGGAAAGGGGGAGGCACCCTGTACATGCAGAAAAGACTGGCTTCTCAAACTGGGATACATGCAAAGCCATAGGATGATCTCAGGGCCTCTTTCTGAGGGTCTGCCAAGCTTATTAATAAGGAAAAGCAGCACCTTTGTATCAGAACAAACAGACATATGGTGGAGAAAAGTGTTAAGTTCATGTGGATTTTTAAGATAAAATAAAAGTATAAGGTTTTGAAAAAATGCTGGGTTTCAGGAGAAAGGTCTTAGCAGGCCTGATGCAGAGCAGGAACAGGCTCATGTGCTCACCATGGGTGCAGGGTGCCCAGGCTGCCAGAGGCCCTGTCTCCTTCCTTCAAATTCAACTGCAAGCATGAAAGTCCCAGCTTAGGCACCCTGGGAGCTTGGGAGGGCTGAAATGTGGTCCTTGTGGTCCTGGCTAGTGAGGGCAAGGGGACTGGAAAGAACTCACCCCAGAATGAACACCTTCCTCCCTGGGTATTTAGTCATTAGGTTAAATATAACATGCGGAAAACCAGTTTCTCCATCTTCTCTTCCAAGATTGCTCCTTCTCCTGGATTTCCTCTTTCAGTCACTTTATCTGTGACAACCCTGTGTCTCTCTTGACTTTCCCCAAAGGCTGAGTCCATTTGGCTTCTACCATGCCTCTTATCCTCATAACTCTCCATCATCTGCCAGGCCCTGGCTCAGGTCATACTGCTCCCCACCCCCCAGTACCATGACATGAACAGTGTACACTTGGCAGTTCCACCTCAATGTGCCTCACGGCCATTCAGAAACCTTCCTTGGCTCTGTGATGTCTGTAGAGAAAGGCCGCCCACCTTCCTTACCTGGCAGCCAGGGCCCTCAGGGGATGTTTGCTGGGTCAGTGAATGGGCTTCCTTCCCAAACTTGCCTCTCTACATTCCCCTACCACTTCCCTTCAGGAATCGTATATTCCAGGCAAACCAAATCACCGATTGCTCCCCAAACTTGCCCATGCCTATTCTGCCCTGCCTCCATGCCCTCTGCTCCTGCTTCCCCTAAATGCCATCCCTCACACAGGAAGCCGAGTTGAGAGGGTCAGACATGCAAGCTGTGGGGTCAGACGGATGCCACTGTGCATTCTGGCTCTGCCCAGCACTTGTATAACTAGGCAAGTTACTTAAACTCTCTGAGCCTTCATTCCTTGTCTGTGAAACAGGGACAGTCTCATCCACTTTTAAGATTGTGGAGAGAATTAAATGAGGGTAATGTATGTCAAGAAGTTTGCACAGTGCCTGAAACAGAGATAGCTTAATAACCGGCAGCTCTTATTAATCTAAATCCCTCAAGATCTCAGATGCCACCACCTTCACTAATCCACCCAGCTAGAAGCAGTCTCTGCCTCACAGACTTCCTGAGACTTTCACACGCTCTTCTCGGGGCTTCTCACCTTGGAGAAAATCAGGTTCTTATCTTTCTAGACTGTGAGGAGCTGGTGGGGGCATGTGCTGCAGAATCGCCGTGTTTCCTGGTGTCTGTCACTGGGTAGGTGTTCACTGATCACAGGCCAAGTAAATGAATTAATGCTGTAAGGCTGGACTGTGACTGATGGGTGCCTCAGAGCAGCCCAGATCAAGACTGCTGTGAGCACTCGCTGGAGGGTGGGATCCATTGACAGGTAATCCCAGAGCCCCTTCCCACCCAACACTCCTCCCCAACTCATCCCTCTCCCTCCCTGCCAGCCCAAACAGGCATCTGCCCTAGAATGGCAGAGCAGATAATGAAGTCGGGGCCCTGACTGAAAGATGACTCTTGATCAGCCTACCATTGCCCAACCATTAAGGGGCTCCAGCCTGGGCAGGAAGCTCAACTGGGGCAGCCTCCTTCCATGAGACTGACCCTCTTCAAACAGGAGTGGCCAGCTAGGTCTCCACATACAGGGGTGAAATAGCTTGAGAATGTCCTTATTCATGTGTTCGTTCAAGAATGGATTGAGCACTGAGCACATTTCGAGTGCTGAGGGTCAAGTTGATGTGGCCTTCGCCCTGGTGGAGATTCTGGCTGAGCAATGTGCTCCTCACCTTGGGGACCAGGGAGGCCCTGTGGAGGAAACAAAGCCTATGCTGGACCTGAAGGATGAGCAAGAGTTTGCTAAGAGAGAACATGTGCCAGGCAAAGTGAACAGCAGGTTCACAGGAACAAGGCCGGAAGGAACCACGAGGTACTCATGGAACTGAGAGGAATCCATCTGCACCGCAGGCATGAGAGGTGAGACCCATGCTGCAGTGGCTGGTTTAGGGGAGCAGGTTGCTGCCCTCATTCTTGCCCTATAGGGCCAAGTCCTTTGCCTTGGTGTGTGGACTTCCCTCTCTGGGCCTCAGTTTCTCCATCTTTACAGTGAAGGGAGTGAACTATGAGTTCAGATCCAGACCTCACCTGACTGCACCAGAAGTCACAGCCCGTTTGCCAGGTCCAAACCCCCAGAATCCTCCCAAAGTGTTTGCAGCTGGCGAGCTATCCCGAGGCAAAGCCTGTGACCTCCTCTACCCAGCCATCACCACATGCACATTCTGATGGTTCAGCTGGGGCTACTGCAGGAGCTCCTGACTGTGCCGTCCCTTTTCCCATCCTTTCACAAAGAGCTATGTGGCTATGATGCCTAAAGTGCAGCTTGGACTAGGTCACCCTCCTGCTCAGAACCCTTCATTCCCTGCTGACTCAGAAAAGTCCAAACTCAGTAGCCTGGCACTCAGAAAATCCACTGTTTGGCAGCATACCTTCTGGATTGTGCCTTATTTCCCCAAATATCCTGTTTCCAAGCCTCCACACCTCCTTAAGTGACTTCTTCAATCTGGGCACATAGCCCCTTTGCCAAAGTCCTTCTCATGCTCCAAAGTCTGCCTCAACCCCATCTCCTCCTCCACGAAGCCTCCTCAGATTCCTCTGGTTAGAGTTAGTCTCTTCTATCTGTTCTGGGCCATCTCTTGCCAGGGTCAGCCTTGTAATTGAAATTAGGTCTGTTCGTGTCTATCTCGTCCTGCCAGGTGACAGGATCTCAGCCAGCACTGCAGACCCCAAGCCTCATGCCTGACACTGAGGAGCTGGGTTAACACCTATGGAACTGACAGGCCCTCTACAGGGCTCTGCTCCAGGAGGCTGGGCCACCCAGCTCAATCAGTGATTCTTAAACATGAGCATGCATCATAATAAATGGTGGGTGGGAGGGGGGCTTGATAAAATGTACATTACTGGCCCCCATCCCCATAGTTACTGATTCAGTAGGTCAGGGGTAGGTCCCAAGAAATTGTACTTCTAACAAGTCCCCAGTTGGTGCTTTAAATCAGGTTCCCAATAATTTAAATGTCCATCTTTTTCACAAGGGGCTCCATAGGACCAGATATCTATTCATTCTGATGCTAGATCTAGCCGGACTCTAGACCTCTAGCTTGGTTTCTGGCTAGGCCATTTGACCATAACAAACCACTGTCTTCTCAGGAGCTCCTGCCTATTTGTGCAGGCTCAAGGCCTCAGTGCTACCCTCCTCTGTCAGTGTTCATGGCTCCTGTTCACACCTTACTGCCACAGTCACACTGCAAGCTCCTTGTGAGGGCAGGGACTCGACCCACTTATCTTTGTATCCTCTCAACTCCACCCAAGAGCCCAGGAAGTAGATATCTGACCAGTTGATCTGATGGGGAGGGCCTGCTCCAAGTGGACCAACAGAGATCCTCTGCCTCTCCCTGGTTTTTGTTGAGGGGCATGGAAGAGCCCAGAGCCAGGTGGACTGTGCATGACTGAGGCTGGGCAGGGGGCAGACTTGAACTTAAGATCTCATCCTGCCACTAATTCATGGTTAATCGTGGGACTTTCTCTGCCCCAGTTTTCTCATCTGTAAAGTGAGGATGATAAAATAATACCTATACTTTATAGTATCAGTACTGGCCTGTAGTGAGTCCTTAGTAAATGAGAGCTGTCTCCCTGTCTCCCATGCAAGTTGGTCATGGACATGTTTCTACTTCTAAGAAGTCCCTTTTCTTTCCCTGGTAAGTTCCTATTCACCATCCAGGCTCAGCTCCAATGTCATCTCCTCTGTGAAGTCCTCCCTACACCACCCTAGGAGAACAAATCATTCCTCTCCTCACCAGATGTTGCACATTTATCTCTGGTCTTACCCTCGGTTCTGATCATAGGTAGTTGTATAAGGATCTGTCTCTCTGAGCTTCCTGAAGACAGGGCCTGTTGTTTATTCACATAATAGAAGCTCAGTTAATGCCTGCAGAATTGAATACACAAAGATGAGTGAACGTACATGTAGTTTATGCAGTTTATGTAGTTACCATGTGGCCAGAGCCTGGAAGTCTTGATGAGAGGATGGCTAGGCTGGAGGAAGACTGGGAAAATGGGCTGCTACTTGCTTCCCACCAAGTTACAAAGGGTGTGCTACTGGCTCAGAAATGGTGGGAAAACACAATGAGAACATGGTTCCAATGGGGCCCAGGTCTCATGCTTTGGCAATGCTTTGCCAGAGGGTTTTTTTGTTTTGTTTTGTTTTTTCCTAAGCCCCTCTTCCATATAGTAACAGTCCCTCAGGCCAGCCTGGTGGGCTGGAGAACAGAGGAGGGCTAGTGGAGTAAGTGGGACTGACCAGGTATGGGTAGCAACTGGGAAACCAACCCCGAGGCCAGGGCTAGGGCCTGCCCAGGCTGGGCCAGCACCTTTTCCTCCATGTGTCTTCATTTTGGTGCTGCCCTAATGTCAGAGCTTTCCTGACTTGGCCCTGAAGCTCCCAGCACCAAGGGGAAGAAGGCAGCAACAGGCAGCACCTTGGGATTCCTGCAAAAATCTGACTCCAAGGGACTTTGCTTCCAAAAAGCTGCTGCTTCTTCCTCCAGCAACTCAATGAGCCCACACAGGCCAGAGGGCCTAGGTCTCCACCTAGGAGAAGGAATGGCCCAGCTCATACTCTTTTAAGGGGGACTATACCCTCTGTTTGCAACCTAAAGCCAGTAGTCCAATTTTACTTCTATCCCAGACCTACTGGCCATCCGATTCCCCCAACCCAGATGACTCACTGCCCTACCCCAGCTGTACCGCTGTGCCAATCTGGAAAGACTAGAGCTCTTGGTCCCCTCTTCACCCCTGCCAAATGCCTGGGACCTGGGATGAAGACTGATGAGTCCTGGTCTGTAAATTGCTTTGAGCTCTCAGGATGAAAGACTGTTGGGAAGTACAAAGTTACTCTGCTTGTTGTTATTGTTTGTAATGAACCTCGAGGTGCCAGGGAGCCAGAGCAGAGCATGAGGCATAGGCTGAGCTCCAGAGTGGCAGGAGGACAGCTCAAGGTGCCTGGCTCAGCAGGGTCAGCCAGGGGCCAAGACCAGAGGTGGAGGCTGCCAGAAGCAACCCCCAGATGTGGCTCCGATACATGCACATGAGCATATCCCACCTCTGACCTGGTCCTGGACAGCCTAAAGAAGGGAGTTTGTTTTAGAAGTCAGGGCAGCATCTTTATCAGAGGCAGGAGATAGCAAAGATGGGAAAGAAAGGCTTTGCAAAGATTTATCTGTGTCCAGGGAATTGAAATGAGATGTGTCCAGAGCCCTCAGCTAGTGATGCTAATCTGCCTTCACACTCCAGGACACTCTGGTGAAGACCAAAGTCTGCTCCATGTCTGCCTGTGGGCAGCTTCAGACTCTCAGTTCACAGGGACCTCCAGCAGAGGAGACTTTTTTTAAATGAAACCCTGACCAACTGGGGCACACAGAAAAGGCTGGTAACTTAGAATCCCCTTCCAAAGTCATTCTTTAAAACAACACAGCAACTACAGGGATTCTGATTTTCTTTAAGGCCAATTTTCCCCACTCCTCCAATCTCATGGCTCTCCTCTAGGGGTTCTCAGAGATGCTGGGTATGCAGGCTTACGCTCTGCCCTTCTCATATAGAAGGTGAGGGCTGAGCGTAGACTGCATATCCAGAGACCCACAGAAAGGGAGGACAGTGTCTGAGGTCACACAGAGGTCCAACAGGGATGAACCCCAGGTGCCTGGCTTCCAGCTGTGCCATTCCACTATACCATGAGTGGGCTTATTACCCAACACCCCCAGCACCGCTGCCAAGGCTGGCAAGACTATGAGCTGGGGAGAAGGGGAAATGGGGGATGGGGGAGACCCAGTTCCCGGTTAGGGATACCAAGCCTCAGACCCACAAACTCTCAGTGAGTCATGGAGCAGAGCTCACACCTGCAGTTCAGCCCCAGCCAGCACTCCTGCACTGAGGCAGAGGAAAAGCCCATTTCCCCACACTGGCCTGGGTTTGTGTGGAGAGAGGTACCTCTTCCTGCTATTTGCTAAGGAGTTGTTGGAGGGTGCTGAGTGTGTGGTCAAGGACCAGGGGGAGCCCATTAATTAGTGTCCCCTTCTCTCTCCCCTCCTTTCTCCCTCCCACTTTCCAGATTCCCACCCCACATCTAAGCTAAAGGTTTTAGTGAATTACTTGCTCATGCTTTCCATGTGCATTTCCCTGGCACTAGTGATTCCCACCAGCTGAAGCCCACCGAGTGCTTGCTACCAGCTCAGCTCCTGCCTCCTTGACATTGAGAGAGTGCTCTTACCTAGCTACCCTTCCAAAATGCCCAAGGTAGGATGTGTATGTAGGGGGAATGGGAGTGGGGTGGGTAATGGAGGTGGCTCACTGAACCAAATCCATAAATTTTCGATCATAAAAAGAGGCACCCTGCATTCTTTCAGATCTCAGTTTGGGAGCTCATCCCACACTGCAGGAGCCCAGCTTGAGCTGACCCACAGGCTCCTCATAGCAGACCACCTGTCCTTGGGAAGAGCTATAAGACACACTTGTCTGGCAGAAATGGGCAAAGAGCTTTTCTCTTAAAAAGAAGGAGAACACAGTTCTGGCCTTTAAGTTTCCTTAACTGCTTCTCTCTACCCTGCTGGAAATAGTGTTTGACGCCTAGGCTCTTCCCAATAGAGACCTCAGAGCCTTGCTACCCCTTCCCTATCATTACACAGAAATTCAGGAAAGGAAAGGGATTTGGCCAAATTCTCAAGCACCATCGAAGCCTCCCAGCTTCCCGTCAAACGCTCTTTTGAAGGCATTTTTATGTTGCTGATCTGGTGGGCACTCCAGTGAGGGGATAGAGACCCAGCAAGTCTCAGGACCTTTGTCCTGAGAATGCTACTTTGAAGCCCAGTCTTATCTCTGGAACGTACTTCGTTACTTTAACTTCAGTAAGCCTCTGTTACTCCCTCTGTAAAATGGAGATAGGACCACCTGCTCCCAGGATTGTTATGAGGATTAAATGGAGATAAAGCATTTGAACATGGCTTGCCTGTGACTCGTACAAAACACATAAAATTAGCACAAAATTAACAAAACGCTTGCCTGAAGAAAAGAACCGAGAATCCAGGGTTTCCCCAATTGGGCCCCAGTGCAAGCCTGGTTCTACGGAGAGGATGTGCATGCCCCGGGCCGCCTCTGAGAAGCCCGAGACCAGTGCACTCCTCTTTGACTCTGCAACCGCCCAGGGAGGGCACGAAAGTGGGTCGCAAATCATGGCTCTGCTCCTCCAGGCAGGGACAGAATCCAAGGGCCCAAGAGAGTCACTCCCGAAGACCAGAGAGAGACAACTGCCCAATGTCTAGTCCAGTTCCCAGGGAACTGTCACAGAAGCAGCGGCTCCCCTTCTCTCTGGGGTTCGCGAGCGGGGCAGGGCATCCCCTCCGAGTCTCCGGAGTTGGCGGGCGCTGTTGCCCACGCTCCAGTGGCCGAGCAGAACGGAGGGAGGTGTGGCACATGGGTAGGGGCAAGCCCGAGGGCTCCGATCTCTCCGAGGAAGGGAAGGCAGTGACAGCTCCCGGAGCGCTCGGCGGCCAGGCCGGGCCCAGCGTCTGATCAGCCGCCGCCTTTCTGTCGGTATCCGCGGCTCCATCCCCGCTCGCTCAGGGCTGCTCGCCTGCAGGCCGGTACCGGCGTGCAGCGCCTCTTGCCCGCCCCTGCGTGGGGACGCGGCCGCCCGGGGAGAGGCGCGCACAGCCACTGTCGGGCTCCTGGCACGCAGCCCCTTGCTCTCCCGGCCGCGACGACCCGCTCGCACGCAGGCACGCGCGCCCTCGGTGCCTGTCACCGCGGCGGCCGCTAGCGCAGCCTAGACTCACCCGCGCTGCGCTGGGGGCGGGTGAGCGGGCGGCAGGTTTCTCCCAGGGAAACCGGGTTTCTGGGCGCGCGGAGGTGCCCTACCTTTCTCCCCGGGATCGGGCTCCCTCTCCCGCTTCCTCCCCTCTGGGTGCTTCTTGCCGCGGCCGCGGCCCCTCCTCCTGGACTCCGACATTCTGCACGGGGTCCCAGGCGGTGGGACGGCCTCAGCTCTCCGCTGCCGCGCTGCGCCCCCGCCGCCTGCAGCCTCAGTGCCCGAGCGCGGCGCCTTTCTTATAGGCGGTCACACCCTCCGGGGGAGGGGAGCAGCGAGCCTTAACTCTTCCCCTCCCGCGCCCTCCACCCTCGCCCCCCCTCCACCGGCTCGGGCCGCGGGGGCGTGTGGGCGGCCGGTCTGGGCCCTAGGCCCCCTCCCTGGGCCCACCGAGGTAGGCAAGACCGGCGCCTAAACAGGGCGCCACAGACCTCCTCGCCGAAGAGGGGGCTTGAGCTGGGCTGGGGGCCTGAGCATGATTGGGGAGGGCGGAGTAGAGATCCCCCAGCGAGGGCCAGGCTAAGGACAGCATGGGGGTGGGGAGACAGCGAGGAAAGGGCCCAGGAAGGGACCAAAATGAAGCCCGCTAGCCAGCCCAGCGGGGTAGCGAGCACCCTTGGCTCTTGCGGTGGGTCTCCACAACCTCGAGGCACCCCCGGCCGTACAGGCGGGTTGCCTGTGCCTCTCATGCCTGCAGGTCTGGCCTCAGCCCCGTGGGATACCGCCATCTGGGGAACACCTTTAATGCAACCACCATTTGTGCCTGGCAGCAAGGGGTCTGTGGCCCAAAAGCCCCTCCCAGCCAGGGCGGGCTGCACTCTGCAGGGAACCTGGGTGCCCCAGGTGGCTTGTAGCCCCCCTCCCACACACTCTGGCTGCAACTCCGACAGCCCAGGCTGCCGGCACCAGCTGGCTCCTCTCTGCAAGGCCTGCGGAGGTGAACTCAGACACTGACTCCCCACCCCCGCCCCGGTCCCACAAACCATTGGGTAGGGGCTGCTGGAGAGGACAGAGTCCTCCCTCCTGCCTGGGTGTGGTGCTGAAAGGGTTACATAGCAAAGGCTCTCCCTCTTCTGGCTCCCAGAAAGCCTGAGCCTGCGGTTTGCCTGCCTAGCTCTGCCTGAGGTGTCCCCTTACAGCCATCCCAACCAGAATCCAAGTCAAAGATCATCTCACCCAGTCCTCTGTCTCCTCAGGAAGGGTCCGAAGGCCTCTCTGGACAGGATTCTCCTTAGGAGAGCCTGAAGCAGGCTTAGGACTCTGGGTCAAGGCCAGGGACTCGAGCTCCAGGGCTGTCTGGGGATGCGGCCAGAACTTGAGGCCAAACTTGTGGGGTGGGAACACAGAAAGGGGGAAGCTGGAGGTGATGGCCCCGCAAAGGGCTGATCTTGGGGCGCAAGTCTGTCTCATCAGGGGCCAGCTCTGGTGGGGGGGGGGCAGGTGTAAGAGACAACCCTTGTACCCCACCCCAACTGAGGGAGAGCGAGTACCCACCCCACTTCACACAGTATCACTTTCTGTGAGGTGGGCAGCAAGGGGCCCTGGGCAGAACCAGAGCCAGGGGCCAGGTCTCACTTCTGCTTCAACCCCTGCTCTTCAGTTTCCAAAATGGCATTCATATCCATCCCTCCTCAGCCTTTGGGGTACTGCCTTGGTTCATTCCCTCTTCCTATCCCATAGACAATGGTCTCCTTGCTTGAAGTCTTGCCTCTCAGTTCTGACCTCTCCAAGGCCATCAGAGTGAGCTTTCTTTCTTTCTTTCTTTTTTTGAGATGTAGTCTCACTCTGTCGCCCAGGCTGGAGTGCAGTGGCGCCATCTTGACTCACTGCAACCTCCTCCTCTCGGGTTCAAGCGATTCTCCTGCCTTAGCCTCCTGAGTAGCTGGGATTACAGGCCTGCACCACCATGCCCAGCTACTTTTTGTATTTTTAGTAGAGACGGTGTTTCACCATGTTGGTCAGGCTGGTCTCGAACTCCTGACCTCCTGATCCGCCTGCCTCAGCCTCTCAAAGTGTTGGGATTACAGGTGTGAGCCACCGCGCCCGGCCCAGACTGAGCTTTCTAAAACACAAACTAGATCACTTCACTCATTGTAACCCATGGGTTAAACCTAAACTCCTCATGGGTGTCCAAAGCCCTATTCTACCTGGCCCTAGCTCACAGCCTTCTAGCCCCCAAAGCCTATACCTCAGCCACTTTACTTACAAGTCACACACACTTACTCTATCTCCTCTCATACCTTTGCACATACTATACTAATCTCTCTGCCCAGGATCTCTCTCCCTTTTTGGCCTACCTGATCTCTGTATTCATTTGTTTGGTAAATAGGTAGTCAGGCTTACTGTGTTTCGGGCACAGTGCTAGGTGCTGGAGATACGGCAGTGAGCAAGACAGACATGGGCCCTCCTTACGTAAAGGCTGGTGGGGATGGAAAAATACCTAATTACACAAATAATGGATTGATTAAAATTTGTGTGAAATATTAAGGAGACATGCATTCAACAAACCTTTATATATGTTGACACACAGCTTGACAGAGGGAACAAACTGTAGTGAAGGAAGGCTTTCCCCAGGAAACACTTAAACTGGGATTTGAAGTATGAGTAGGAGTTGGCCATATTAAGAGGTACTGGGGGAAGAGTATTCCTGGCAGAAGTATCAGCACATCCAATATCCCTGAAGCAAGAAGGAGCTTTTTTACCTTTGAAAAAGAGTATGCTGAGGGCTGTGTGTGTGCGTGTGTGTGCATGTGCACATGTGTGTATGGGATGTGGGTATATGAGTGTGAGTGTGCACATGGGTGTGTATGTGCATGAGGTGTGTGTACATATGAGTGTATGCCTGTGTCTAAGGTGTGTGTGTGTACACGTGGGGTTTGTGGGAGGTCTGTGGACTGATGGTATAAATGTTGTAAAAGGAGCCTGGAGAGGAGGCAGGCAGTGGTCAGATCAAGCAGGACAGTTGTAGGTCCAATGAAGACATTGGGGTTTAATCTTAAGAGCAATGGTCTGCTATGGAAAGCTCTTCAGCAGGTATGTGAGGGGTGGGAGAGGGCAACGATGAGATCCTCTGCTTCCTGAATTCTTTTGATGTATCCCTCTAAGAACACTTGACTGTTGTTTTTCATTTCCACCTCCGTCTCTTCCACTACAGTAAAAGCCCCTTTGGGATTGTGACCCCAGTTTCTGGTACAAGGTAGGTAGTAGGTACCTCCTTGTGGGACAGATAAGTGACCCTCCTTCCACTAGTAAAGAATGGCCAAGGGTATCAGCAAGAAAAAAATGGCTCAAACTGGGGGATTGCAGCCAGATGAAGACAATTCTCCTGGGGGTAGCTCTCCCAGCAGTCCAGAGCAGCTCATGACTTGGTATCAAATGAATGATACGAGTCAGAAATGGCATGGAAATTCAAAGGGGGCACGAGCACTCTCCCTGGACTGGAGTATCCAGATCTAGTGCTGAGGGAGGTTGGGCTTGAAGAAGAGCTTGAAGGATGGGTAGGATTTTGATGGGGGTCAGGTGAGAGATTCCAGATGAGTGGGATACGACAAAGATCTAGGGGGAGCATTCCCTGGGCACCTGCCCAGGAGACAATGAGCAGACCAGGTTTATGTTAGGAAACTATGGGAGCTGCAAATACACACGGAAAACACTTACGGGACACGTACTATCTGCCTCAGCCTAGTGCTAAGCACTTTACACATTTTCTCTCTTGTTATCCTCACGACAATCCTGTGAGGGAGGTCAACTCTTATTCCCATTTTACAGATGAGGAAACAAAGGCTAGGAGTAACGAGTCTTCTCATTCACAGTCATGTACCCAGGAAGCTGCAATGCAAGGACTCCGGCCTTCGCCATTTTTCACTAGGACCCATGCTCTTTACTCTGAGACTAGACTGCTTGTGAGCAGGTGAGAGATACACTTGGACTGCCAGCTGAGGCTTTTGGGCCTTATTTAGTAAATAATGGGAAGTTGAGGATGGTTTTTTGAGGAAGGGAGTGACTTGTGTATTAGAGAAATTAATCTGACTGGAATGTGCAGGATGGATGGGAAGGAGAAGATAGTGGAGACGAGGGAGTCAGCAAAGCAGGTCAGCCATCAAATATTTCCTTAGAGCCCTTTATGCGCCAGGCTCTGAACATCTTGAGGGTCAGGTGAGGAGTACCTGAACCAGCAGTGAAGACAGTGAAAATGGTAGCAGGAAGAGTCACTAATATGATAGTATTAACTCACTTAATTCTTCACAACACCACTATGGAGTAGGTCTACTATTATTCCCATTTTGCAGTTGAAGAAACTGAAGTGCAGAGAGGTGAGGTAATTTTTGTCTAAGTCAATACCTAGTAAGTGGCAGAGCAAGGTTAGGAACCCTTGCAGTTGGGTATCCAGAGCTCACTCTTAAGCACAGCTCTATGGTGTTGCTCAAGAAGATAGGAGATGAGAGAGAGTAGAGAAAGCCCTCACCCCTCAAGCCTAACCACTGGTCGCAAGACCTGCACAGTCTCCACAGCCCTATGACTGATGCTTAGTTCCTGGGTCATGGGCAGGTGGAGAGAGTCACGAGGCACCCTGGGGCATGCCAGCTGGGCTCCCACTTCCCCAGCCTCCCAGTTTCCAGAGCAAAGGTTTCTCAGGGGAGGGAGGACAGCCAGGCATCTGGAGCACCTCTGGCCTGGACCAGGGCTCTTGCCAGGAGCTTGAAAATGACCCTGTGAGCCAGGCCTGTTGCCATGGGAACTCTTTCCTCTTACCACAGGTTGTGCAATGCCCTGTACAACCTCATGCAGAGTGAGCAGGGCTTGGGGATGGGCCCAGAGACCACATCACCCCAAAAAGACCCACCCTATTTTCACAATGGGACGCTAATAGTAACATAACAAGTTAATTCAATTCCTTTAAGAAGAAAAAACACAATATTTAACTGGCTTACAAACTTTTTTCCTTTTTAACATTTTCCCTTCCACTTTGAGGCTGTGCCATGGCAAACTTTGAAGTTTAGGAAAGTTTAGACTTGTTTGAGTCATGTGCAAAAATGCCTTTCAGTGAAAGGGGAAAAAACCCCATACTACCTCTTCCCCTACCTGAGACTTTGGGACTCCGAGTCTTACCTATACAATTCTCCTGCAAGGGGGTCTTGGGAACCATGCTGAAGTTTTCCCACTCCCCTTGGACTCACTATGTCATGGGAATTATTGGGGGAGAGCTTCAGTGGCCTCAGATTAGGGAGAGCCTTAAGCAGTTCCTTGAACCCACTCTCTCCATCCCAGTTGAAGACATCCCTGAGCCATCTCCAAGCCCACGGTATGTTTGCCCGTGAGTTAAAAGTCCTTGGAGGATATGAGGCTACTGCTACCCTTAGCCCTTCTCATTTTAGTGCCTGAAAGTCATGAGGCACACTCCTCACTCAGTGAGGCTGCCAGAGGAGGAAATAGATCAAAATGCCACTCCCTGCAGGACCAGAGAAATTCCCAGTTATCCAGAAGGATTATGCAAAGCCTGGAAGCCCATTCCCCACATGACTCTAGGATGCAGTGGGGGCCTGGATGCAGCCAGTCAGTTCCTGAGGAGTGCATGGGGGCCAGACCCAGTTGCCTAGGCCTGGAGAGCCCCCTAATGCATCAGAGCTGAGAGATAGGGCCTCTTGCCAAATCTGCATCATGGCCTGTAGCTTCAGCATCCCTGTAAGCCGCAATGGGTTTCTTCTCTTAAAAAAGTTTATTCGTGCCTCTGCCTCCCTCAGTCAGTGCAGAGAACTAGGTGGCCAGAAAGAAGGGGGCTGTATCGGCTGGATAAAAAGGGCAAGCTTGGATACTGGAACACTTTTGTTTGGGCCCAGTTTTGCTCCTGAGATTAGGTTAATCTGAAAAAGTCATTTTCCACACCAGGCACTCAGGCTATGAAACAGGGAGATACACTTCCAGATTCCTCTGTCAGCCAACCCGGAAAGCCTGTCTACCAAGAATCTGGATGGCTGAAGGAGTAAGGGCTACAGATTGCTGCAGAAAAGCTTTTGATTGCCAGGTGAGAATGCTTCTAGAGACATACACAGCCCTGTGAACCCTGGCTGTTCCCCTCAGAATTGTGCCTGGCTGCTCAACACATGCACACACACATTCCTCGTTAAGTGAATGAACTTCACTGATTCCTGGAACAGCTGAGAAATTGATATCCACCTACCCAGACTCCAAACCCTGTCCTCCACAGACTGTGACGTTCTGAGCAAGACTTAGTTTCCCCTTCAAAACAAAAACAAACAAACAAAAAATGGGCCCACAGGCCTTTCTCACGGGATTTCAGAGTGGATGAGGAAATTCATCTCTCATCTCCCTGAAATGAGGACGCTTGAAAAGGGCCCAGTCTTAGGCAGCTCCTTATGTTCGGAGGCCCTTTCCAATAGTGATTAGCCGCACCACCTTGCCATGCCCTTTTGACCCTGTCCCCTTTTCCTTTGCTCCTATGGGACACAAGTTCAGATGTTGCAGTGCCTGAGCTGGGACTCTGGTTGTAGGAGCTGCCATGGTGGGCACCTCTGTCCCCACTCCCACATTAGGAGGCTCTTCTTGCTTCAGCCCACCCAATCCCAAACCCAGAAGAGAATTCATCCTCCCTGCTTCATTTTCAGACCCTCTTTGGAGAGAGCAGAAGGTGGAAGGGAAGAGGCAGACCCATCCCAGGAGAAGCCTCAGGAGCAAACTGGGAGGGACCAGAAGAGAGAAGAAAGCATTGGCCGAAGAGAAGGTGGGGAGCCTCCCCTGGCTCCAGGGGCCGGGAGAAGAAAGCCAAGCAGCAATGGGAGAGCAAACGAGGGGAGAGGTGAGGCAACAGGCAGGCCTGGACAGGGCTGGGAGCAGGACGGGGAGAGGAAGTGAGAAGCTGGAGCAGCCCCAACAATGGGGTGGGGGGACAGCATGTGAACAAGAGGACAAAGGAGGACAGCAGAGCAGGCTCTAATTCCAGTGTCCCCGGGGCCTGCTGTGTGCCCTTGGGTAAGTACTTTTCTCTCTCTGGCCTGCCTCCCCATCTAGAAAATGTGAGGTTGGACTAAATGATGTTGAGAGATCCTCACACCTGAGGAACCTAAGGTTCTAAACCTCCCAGTGAGAGGGGAAGGACTGGGAGTAGAGGAGCGGATGACCCCCAGGCCCAAGAGGAAGAAGAGATGTTACTCTGTCCACCAGCTCTTCTCCCAGCCCCATGATCTCTCTCAGCCCCCACCTTCTGGGGCTTCTTGTCCTGGATGAAGCCCATGGTTGTTGTTTGCAAGCCCCTCTGTTAGGCTGGGAGAGGCAGTCAGGAGCTGGCAGAAAGCCTGCGGCATGGTACCAGGCCCTGCTGCAGGTGAGTAAGCTGCCTGGATTCCTGCTGCCAGCCTCTTCCAGGGCATGCCTTGGGGTAAATAGCCCCATCTGCAGGGAGACACCTGGGAGACTCCTGCACTTTATCTTGGGTGACCCTGAGCCACAGTTCTCACTGAGGTGAGAGGTGGGAGCCTGTCTACCTTCCCCAGGATGGGGGGTGATTCAACCCTTCTGCCTGCCCCCCTCATCAAGCTAACTACATAATTGCACAGCAATAATAACAACCGGCACTTACACACCAAGGCCTATGTAAGTACCTAATTTATTTATATAATGACATAATGACTTGTTTGCTGGCCTGGGGGCTCTGGGGACCATGAGCAAGGCCTTAGCTACTATCTATACCACCCTGGGGTACAGTGACTGCATGGATCAGCAACCCAAGGGAGCCGTGGTTCCCAGAAACAGTTGTCCCCCGCTGTGGCTCCCATCCTAGCCTAGCAGAGGTAATGAGTGGCCCACCCTCTTGGATGGAATTTGCTCACATCTCTCTATCCATTCTGGGAGGTCAGGCTGCAGGGGTCAGCATCCATTCTTATTCCCTTGAGGACTGAGGGGGATCCTCTAGAAGGATGCAATCTCTTTCCAGGCAGAGAGACAATTCAACCCAGGCTGGCAAATTTGGAGAGACTCCTGGTCACCGCCCAAGGAAACGAGAGGCCTTGCCCAATATAGCATTTATGAGCCCAGAGGCAAAAAATTCTCTTCTCTCTCTCAGCTCTGCCCAGCCTAGCCCAACCCAGCCCAGCCCTGCCCACCCCAGGCTTGGCTGCTCCTGGGACAACAGCCCAACTTCCCTGGCCTGGTCTGGGTACTGGTTCCCAAGCCAGACTTAGCCCTTCTGGGAATTTCCTCAATGGACGATGTCACAGACACTAACTTCACAGTGGTTATGGCAGGTCTCAGGGACCCTAGAGACCCAGCTCTGGCCCTGCCCTCCTTCCCACTGCCCCAAATCATCCATTCTTTCTCCTCAGAGCACCCATTTAGAGCTTATGAAAGTTCCAGCACTAACCACAAAGCAAAGAACCACTAGACCAAGACTGCTGGCTCTTGGGGTACACTGGAACTGCAAATACCATAATTTACCCAGGAGAAGGATATGCAAATTCCAAGCAGATATGATATGGAGATAGGGTCAGGAAACCTGAATTATCCTTTTAGCTCAATCAGTTTTCTTCTGGTGGTTCCTGGGGAAGTCATATTTTCCCTTTGCGCCTCAACGTGTACTTACCTGTGAACCAAGGGAAAACCGAAATGCTTTCCAGGGCCCTTTCTAGCAGTAAATCTTCAAAGAGGAGCCCTGAGTCTCCACATATGTTTCCAGCTCTAGGACCTTTGTTCCTTGCCATCAGCTGCTGCTCTACAGCTGGCCCTCTGCCAGCCTCCCTCCCACCTTTGAAGGTCAACTACTGGTTCTCTGGAAACCTCTACCCTTCCAAGCCCAGTCTGTGGATGTATGTGGGGCTGCTCATGGGAAGTGGCATGCACACACAGGACCTCAGGAGCTCTGAGCACCTGCGCCTGGTTACTGGATGCTTCAGAATTCCTTGCAGGCTTCTTAGGGCTGCAGGCAACAGCATTTAATCAGCACCCTGCTCATCATGCAACATGTTGACCTTAATGGCCTTGTGAATCTGCACTCACCCCTGTATCCGTTTCTTATACCCTGCCCCAGTCACTGAGGCTTCTGATGAGTCTGGTGGCCTCTCCACCCACTCTGAAGCAGTGGGTCCTGAAACTTATGGTCACTGAGGTGCCCACCACAAGCCTTTGTCTAATTGCTTGCATTGTTTTGGGTTTCCGACTGATGTCCAGTGGAGTACTTCCTTTACATGATTTTATCCACAATTTCCCCCTAAATTATTCTGTAGCTTCAACACTACTAACCCACCCTCTAGACTCAGGGGCTCCCCCGGCAGCCAGAGGATTCATAGCTGAATGGCCTGAGGGGTCCCTATGAGAGCCTTTGTGCCCTCTCCCCTGCTTTGCCCTCCCCTGCTCCTTGAGCTGTCAGGCTCAGTGCCAGACAATGCTTGCTCCACACCTGCTTAATGACAGGCACAGTGCTGGCCATTGCAGTATACAAAGACCCTGTCCTCAAGGAGCTTACAATCTAGAGGGAGGACAACACTTACACAGATGGATAAAAATCACAGCTTAAGACAGCAGCAGCAACTTATGGACAATTTCCTTTGAGAGATCAGAGTAAGTATCCTGGAACTTCCTTGGAGGGATAGTTAAATGTAACCTGGGGTCAGGTGCAGTGGCTCAAGGCCATAATCCCAGCACTTTGGGAGGCTGAGGAGGGTGAATCGTTTGAGCCCAGGAGTTTGAGATCAGCCTGGGCAGCATGGTGAAACTCTGTCTCTACAAAAAAATACAAAAATTAGCCAGGCATGGTGGCACACACCTGTAGTCCCAGCTACATGGGAGGCTGAGAGGTGGGAGAATTGCTTGAGCCCAGGAGGTTGAGGCTGCTGTGAACAACCAAGATCGCTACCACTGCACTCCAGCTTGGGTGACAGACCCTGTCTCAGAAAAAGAAATAATAATAAAAATGACCTGGGGTGGTCTGTCATGGTGGATTTCCTGTAAAAGGAAGGGGAAGATTCCAATTAGCAGAAAGGTCTGGAGGTGGGATGCGAGCAAGCTAGGAGTGGGAGTATGGCGGTCAGAAGGAGGTACACTAACTTATAAGGGAAACAGTGGTGCTCCAAACCCCACACCTGTGCCCTCAGGTCTTTCTCTGTCCCTACCACCTCAAGAATTAGGAGTGCACACATCTGGAGTGGCCTTAAGGCCACCCCAGGCGTGGAACTCAGCCTCGTTCAGAGCTACCTTCCTCTCGCTGCTTTCCAGGGTTCCCAGTATGTGTATATACACACATGCACACCCACCTCCAAGCAACAGCTTCATAAGCTCCTCTGCCAAATTCCCCAGGACACTCCCACTCCATTCTCAACCTCTCTCATTCACTCATGCCTGTATACATACCTCATAGCCTCATTCCTCCTATCATATACCACCTGCCCATTACATAACTCTGTTTGGGATTATTTTTGCCCAGAGGTATGAGCTGCATTTCTGCATATTTAAGCTGTCTTTGATTCATTCCTGCCCGTTTCTTAGTTCTGTTTGCCCAGGTGCCCGCCCCACCCACTAGCTCTGAGGCCCCTGAAAACATGCCCATGTTGGGCTCAGCTTGCCCTACAGCTCCCAGTTCCTTCACTCCAGGTCTAAAGAAGTGGACACACAGCACCACTGGCTCCACTTAGGTGGGGGCCATTGTAGGCCCCCCAGCTGGTTACAGGGGCCACCACAACCTTGTACCTTCCATTGCTCTCTATTCTTCCCTCCCAGTGAGCCTTGGCCTTTGTCACCTCATCTTTCCCATCCTCAAGGTTGCGATCCCTGCACTCCCATACATGGCCCCAGGGTGTGGCTCCAGTAATTCAAGGGGGAAGGGGCTGTGGGAGAAAAGACCAAATTATAATTAATGGTTTGTTTCCCATTAAGCTTCTTTCAGACAAACCGGCTTAATGTAATTACGGAAATGGTTGCAAGGGGGCTCTTGTTGTGCTGTAAAATCATTATCTGACAATCATAATTTTATTTTTAAGAGCTTATTACCAAATAGGCTGTAAATGGCTTTCCAGCCTTCTCTTTTCCTACTGAGATGGGGTGATTTCGTGGACACAGTACAGAGGACAATGGGATTGGGAGAGCATTTCTGCTTGGGGTCACCAGTTGAAATGAGGATTCAATTCAGCAGTTTCCAGCCTCTGTAAGGAAGTGGCGCCAGCTAAGCTGCCAAGACTTGACAGGTTGGGTGGTGGCCAGGGTCCCCCAGGTCCTGCTTACATTCCACTGGTGCCTGATGCAGGCCCCTGATCTCTGGATTACCAGGAAGGATGCTGAATTCCTCAGAGGAGATTGCTACCAGGATTTTATTCCCAGTACTGCACTCTGACCAGGTGTCAGGCTGCACTGCCTGATCTACAGGTGTTTTCTCCGTATATTGTCTGTATATTCAGACAACTCTGAATATTGTCATTCAATTTACAAGTAGCAGAACTGTATAGCTTAAAAGATTATGAAAGGCTGTGTGGTAAATTCTAGACGATCAGCTAGTTAAAATGAAAGGAAGGATCATGGTGACATTTGTATCGCAAAAGATGAGCTGAGAGTACAGGAGATGCTTTCCTGGAATATGGGACAGCCTGGCAATGACACTGAGTGGGAATCCACAAAACAGGTTCAGAGAATGATGAATATTACATTTTGACTGACATGTAGGAAGTCATGGAGATAAGGCTAAAAAGACTGGGTGGGAACCAGGCTGCCCAGAGCACCTGGAGCTCATGCTAAGGGAATGAAAGGATATTGAAGGGTTCTGAGCAGGAAGGTGACCCAACCCAAACTATACTCTTGGAGGCTCATCCAGCAGCGTCATGCAGGGCAGAATGGAGCAGAGTCTGGAGGCAGCAAGATTGATCAGCAAAATGTTTAACAATGGGGTGTAGCCTGCAGCCTCTGTGGGGTGCTTGCTACAAATGCAAGTACCGATCCCACGAAAAACATTCTGAATTACAGTCTCTGGGGTGCAGCCAGGACTTGGTATTTGTAACTATTGTGAGGCAGACGGTATATGAAGCACACTTCGAGAAAACTGGTCCCAGAGAATCCAGTCCTCACTGCTCAACTTGGCATTTAAAGCTTTCTGTAAAATATCCCCACCATCAATTTTCCCCTTATAACTGCATTTTTAAGGTTAATTGGGATATAATTCACATGCCATGCAAATGACCCATTTAAAGTATATAATTCACTTTTGTGGTCTATTCACAGAACTGTGCAGCCATCACTGCAATAAGTTTTGGAACATTTTCATCATCCCCAAAAGAAACCTCGTACTCTTTAGCACCCCCTCCCCCTGCCATCCCCTTCATCCCCTGGCAACCACTGATTGACTTTCTGTCACCACAGATTTGCCTGTTCTGGAAACTTCATATAAATGGAATCATACAATCTGTGGCCTTTCTTGACTGCCTTCTTTCACTAGGTATAATGTTTTCCAGGTTCATCCATGTTGTAGCATGGATCAGTATTCATACCTTTTTTGTGGCCGAATAGTATTCCATTATATGTATATATACCAGATATTATTTATATGTTCATCAGTTGATGGACATTTGGATTGTTTCTACTTTTCGGCTATTACAAATAATACTTCTATGAACATTTGTGTATAAGCTTTTGTGTGGACATGTGCTTTCATTTATCTTGGGTATATATATTATCTGAAATCCCACTTGGAAGTAAGATTGCTCAGTCATATTGTAACTCTACGTTTAATCATTTGAGGAACTGCCAGATCGTTTTCCAAAGCAGCTGCACCATTTTGCATTCCCACCAGCAGTGTATGAGGGTTCCAGTCTCTCCACATTCTCATCAACACCTGTTATTATCTGACTTTTTGATTCTAGCTATCCCAATGGATGTGAAATGGTATCTTGTGATTTTTTTAAAAGCAGCTTTATTGAGGTATAATTCACATACCATACAATTCACCCATTTAAAGTGTACAATTCAATGGTTTTTGGAAAGTACATTACTTTATTGTCATTTTGTTTCATTTTTTTTGTTTTTTTGAGACAAGGTCTCACTCTGTCACCCAGGCTGGAGCACAGTGGTGTGATCACGGTTCACTGCAGCCTTGACCTCCCGGGCTCAAACGATCCTTCCACCTCAGCCTCTTGAGTAGCTGGGACTACAGGCATGCACCGCTGTGCCTGGCTAATTTTTGTATTTTTTGTAGAGACAGGGTTTTGCCACATTGCTCAGGCTGGTCTAGAACTCCTGGGCTCTAGTAATCTGCCCACCTCAGCCTCCCAAAGTGCTGGGATTACAGGTGTAAGCCACTGTCCCCAGCCTTATTATTGTTTTGATCTGTATTTCCCTGATAACTAATGATGTTGAGCATCTTTTTTTGTACATATTGGCCATTTGTATGTCTTCTTTGGGGAAATGTTTATTCAGATCCTTGACTCATTTTTTCCCCAGTTTTATTGAGGTATAATTGACAAATAAATTGAATATGTTCATTTTTAGTTGGGTCATTTATCTTTTTATAATTGAATTGTAAGAGCTCTTTATATATTATGGATACAACTCTCTTATCTGATAAAATTTTTGCAAAATTTTTCTCCCAATCTGTGGGTCGTCTTTTCACTTTCTTGATGGTATCCTTTGAAATGCAACATTTTTTAAAATTTTGATTAACTCTACTTTAACTATTTTGCTGTTGTTGCTCATGCTTATGGTGTCATATCTTAGAAACTATTACCTAATTGAATGTCACAAAGATTTATGCCTATTTTTTCTTCTAAGAGTTTTGTGTTTTAAGTTCTTACTGTTAAGTCTTTGACCCATGTTGGGTTAATTTTTGTATACGGTATGAGGTATTCTTTTGCGCGTGGATATTCCATTGTCCCAGCACAATTGTGAAAGAGACTACAATTGCATTTTTTAAAAAATAAATTCCTCCTAGTAATTCTTATGTGGATGGATTGCAGTCTGGGAACCACTGAGTTAGAGGATATAACTAGGCTCGGATAGAACTAGTCTAGGCAATGGATGACAGAGTTTAAACTCTGGTGGTCATATCAAGAATTGAGATAAAAGGATGGATGAGAAGTACAGGGATAAAGGAAATGGTAACATAAGGTGATGGGGTGAATGTGTGGCTAAAGATGATAGTAGCTTTTAGCTTTTTTAGCTAAAAAAAACTAAAGATGACAGCACAATTATTACATCTCTTCTTTGTGTACCCTTTTACAGCTTAAAACATGCTTCCAGATAGCTTGTCTCGTTCAGTGCTCTTTAGTGAGATAGGGAGCGCATTACCATCTTCACATAGCAGATGAGGAAACTGAGGGTCCAAGATGTGGTTAGTAAACAGCCCAGACAAGCCCCAAGGTTCTTAACATCAGTCACTAGAACACTGAGAGAAGTTGGGAAAACAGGGGGAAAGAGCCGCGTGAGCTATTTAGACAGGTTGGATTTGGATTGCCAGCAGGAAATGCCTAGCAGACATCCGGAAATGTAGGCCTAGAGTTGGCTCAAGAGGTCAGGGTTGAAGATGGGGTTTGAGGAGTCACTGCTGAGGGATATCAATTTAGTCATCATGGCAAGCAAGACTGCTAGAGAGAAAGTGTAGACAGAGGAAGGCAGAAGCAGAGAGATTCATGGGGAGATGCTCACACGTAGAAGCCAGGAAGAAATCAGTGGTGGAGAGGCCAGGAGGGAGCAAAACAGTCGATGGGGAAAAGTAAGAGGAGAATTTTCTTAGAAGAATAGGGTGAGTCAACAAGTAGCAAACACTGAATAAAGAAGTAAAAAAGTTTTGCTTAAATCTAGCCATGCCTGACTGCAGAAGTGAGCACAATATGCTTCTGAAATGATTACCCTCCCAAAGGTAGAGGAGCCAGGCCAGGTTTCTGCAATCTCAGCACAGATTAAGCAGGCAACGCTGGGAGTTCTGAGCTTCCACTCAAAGTCAGGGAAATGGCAAGTATGGGATCGCTAACCCACTCCACCCCACGACTCCTGGGGCCCCATACAGCCTTGTATCACTAGAAGCAAGAAGCACTTGCCAGGGAACTGGTCCTTATGTTTAGCTTGTATGCATCAGCTGCTTGAGAAAATGATCTTCAAGGTTTCCTGAATCCTTGTAGCTAAATGATACTCTAGAGAGAGGAGGTGGCAAGATGAGAGAAGTGATGTTAGAGTGATCAAGCATTTGGAGAAAGTTACTGGATCCTCTCTGGTTACACATCTTAGCCCTCATGGGATTCGTTTTTATCAGGGTAGAGGTGGGTGTTAAGTAATGTGGCTAAATTCCTGGCGTTATGATAGTGTGAGTCAATTGAACAGGGTTCTCTGAGCATCTAGTACATGCAAGCTAAAGATAGTAGAGGATACAGCAATGTTGAAGACAGTCTCTGTCTTGAGGAGCTCACAATTGCCAGACTAATGACAAGAGATGGGTTTCTTGTATATACTTGGCATGCAAATAATTGAGAAAACAAAACTGAATTACAATATTAATACAGGACTCTAAAAGAGAAGCAATGAATGTACACCATGCAACACTAAGCAACCACTTCAATGACAAATATGTTGGCTATGTCAATGCACAAAGATTGTAAATAAAACACAGCAATTGGATTAGGCAGAGATCACACCAGAAACAGCTATGCAAGTCTCGCAACAAAAATCCAAAAGACTGTGGAGGGCAGTAAGAGTTGTCCTGTTTGGCATCCCATAAGTTTTGTTCCTGTAAACTTGCTTAGGTTCATAACAAAAATGAATGGTCCAGAAAATAAGTGCAATAGAAATGTGGAGGATGGAATGGTCATGGAGGAATGAGACCACAGGGAACATCTCAAACAGGGAGAATAGCATATGCAAGCATTCAGAGGTAAAGACGTATAGACTATATCAAGACATAGTGAGTAAACCAGCTTAGTTTGGAAATACAGCTTTAGATCCTGATGTGAAGGCATATAGGCCAATCTAAACTGTCTGGATTCAATTTTATAGGTTAAGGAGAGTTTCTGAGGGTTTTGGAGAGCAGTTCTCATTAATCTTCCTGTGAGAATTAAATGAGTTAAAAGTAAAAGTAAAGTTCTTAGAACAGAGATAAGTGTTTATTATTACTTTCACCTTTGCAGTATGTCGCCCAAATAAGCCATTAGTTTCTTGAGAGTAGGGATTACATCTTCCAGAGAAGAAAGGAAGTACTGGGGATCTGGTAACCCAGACTCATAGGGTCAGAGAAGACTTCCCAGTATAAACCAGAGAAGGCTTCCCAGTATAAATAATAAACCTTGTTTATTATTACTTTCACCTCTGTGTATTGTCTCCCAAATAAGCCATTAGTTTCTTGAGAGTAGGGATTACACCTTCCAGAGAAGAAATGAAGTAGGGGGGATCAGGTAACCCAGACTCATAGAGTCAGAGAAGGCTTCCCAGTATAAACCATGCTTCTCTGAGACCTCAAAGATTAATCAGGTTTAAAGAAGGGGGCATCTGGAGTGGAGACTGAGGGTAGGGAAGGCAGAATACTCCAGACAAAACAAAACAAAACAAAACAAAACAAATCACAGCATATAGGAAAGCCCAAAGTGGAGAAAAAGTGTGGGAACTAACAAAAGCTTAACTACCATCTTCTGAGGAGGTATCTGTTTCAAAATCAAACAACAAAGTGATTACAGCAAGGCTGTAGGATACAAGGTTAATAATACAAAAGTCAATCACTTTCCTATATATTAGCAATGAGTGAGTGAAATTTGAAATGTAAAACACATTATCATTTACATTAGCACTATCTAAAATGAAATATTTCAGTATAAATCTAAAAGAATATACAAGATCTATATTAGGAAAACTACAAAACTCTGATAAACAAAATCAAAGAACTAAGTAAATGGAGAGATATTCCATGTTCATAGACGCAAAGACTCCATGTTGTCAAGATGTCAGTTCTTCCCAACTTGATCTATCGATTCAATGCAATTCCAACTAAAATCCAGCAAGTTATTACTATTTTGTGGATATCAATAAACGTATTCTAAAGTTTATGTGGAGTAGCAAAAGATCAAGAATAGCCAACTCAATATTGAGGGAGAACAAAGAAGACTTACACTGCCTGACTTTGAGGCTTTCTGTAAAGGTACAGTAATCAGGACAGTGGGGTATTGGTGAAAGAAAAGAGCAATAGATCAGTAGAACAGAACGGAGAGCCCAGAAATAGACCCACATAAATATAGTCAACTGATCTTTGACAAAGGAGCAAAGGCAATACAATGGAGCAAAGATAATCTTTACACCCAGCGGTGCTGGAATACTACAGGTAACTTAACAGCTACCTGTAAAAAAAAAAAGAATCTAGACACAGGCATTTCACCACTCACAAATATCAACTCAAAATGGATCACAGACCTAAATATAAAATCCAAAACTATAACACTACTAGAAGATGACATAGGAGAAAATCTAGATGACCTTGGGTTTGGCAATGACTTTCTATACAACACCAATGGCATAATATATGAAAGAAATAATTGATAAGCTGAACTTCATTGAAATTAAAAACTTGGCCAGGCGTGGTGGCTCACACCTATAATTCCAGCACTTTGACAGGTCAAGGTCGGTGGATCACTTGAGCTCAGGAGTTTGAGACCAGCCTGGGCAACAGAGCGAAACACCAAAACACTCTACAAAAAATAAAAATAAAAAATTAGCCGGGCATGGTGGTGTGTGCCTGTAGTCCCAGCTACTCAGGAGACAGAGATGGGAGGAACATTTGAGCCCAGAAGGTTGAGGCTGCAGGGAGCAAAGATCATGCCACTGCACTCCAGCCTGGGTGACAGAGCGAGATTCTGTCTCAAAAAAAAAAAAAAAAAAAAATTAAAAACTTCTCCTCTACAAAAGATAATGTCAAGACACTAAGAAGACAAGCAATAAACAGATAAAATATTTGCAAAGGACACATCTAATAAATTTTTATCCAAAACATACACACCTAATGAATTTTTATCCAAAACATACAAAGAACTCTTAGAACTCAACAATGAAACAAAGACCCAGTTAAAAAATGATCAAAAGACCTAAAGAGGTGCCTTACCAAAGAAAATATACAGATGGCAAATAAGCATATGAGAAGATGCTCCACATCATATATCATCAGGAAATTGCAAATTAAAACAACAACAAGATACCATGATACACCTATTAGAATGCCCCGAATCCAAAACACTAACAGCACCAAATTCTGGTGAGGATGTGGAACAACAGGATCTCTCAATCATTGCTGGTGGTAATGTCAAACAATATAGTCACTTTGTAAGACAGTTTAGCCATTTCTTATAAAACTAAAAATACTCTTACCATATGATCCAGCAATTGTACTCCTTGGTATTTACCCAAATGAGCTGAAAACTTATATCCACAGAAAAACCTGCACAAGGATGTTTATAGCAGCTTCATACATCATTGCCCAAACTTGGAAGCTACCAAGATGTCCTTCAGTAGATGAATGAATAAATAAACTGTGGTACAACCTGACAATGGAATATTATTCAGCATTAAAAAAGAAATGAGCTATCAAGCCATGAAAAGACATGGAGGAAACTTAAATGTATATTACTAAGTGAAGGAAGCCAATCGGAAAAGGCTACATACTGTATGATTCCAACTATAAGACATTCTGGAAAAGGCAAAACTATGGAAACAGTAAAAAGATCAGTGATTGCCAGAGGTTGAGGGGAGGGAGGAATGAAGAGGTGAAGCACAGCGGATTTTTAGGGCAGTGAAAAATACTCTGTTTGATACTATAATGAATACATGTCCTTATACACTTGTCCAAACCCATAGAATGTACAACATCAAGAGTGAACTCTAGTGTAAACTATGGATTTTGGGTGATAATGATGTGTTAATCTAGGTTCGTCAATTGTAACAAACGTACCACCATGGCGGGGAATGTCGATAGTGGGTTTGATTGTGCGTGTGTGGGACAGGGAGGGTGTGGGATCTTTCTGTGCTTCTGCCTAGTTTTGCTGTGAACCTTAAAACTGCTCTAAAAAAAAGTACATCAATTAAAAAAAGCAATTGACAATTATGAAGCAGTGTTTGTGCCACATGCTCTTACCCTTATTAAAATGTATCTTGCGCTCTCTAGGAGTCTCCTAGGCACTCTGTTGGGGATAGCCCTGAAGTGCAGGGATAGAGCATGAGGGTCACAGGGCAGAAGTAGGTTACCAGGACTTGCTAAGAAACCCTGGTTCCTGTCCTGCTCAGCCACGAGTTAGCTCTGTAGCCTCAGATCTGTCTCAGACATTTCCTCTCTCACTCTGGAGCCTAGTTTCCTTCTCTCCAACAAAAGGTTTCGATGGACTATACCCTTAGCAAGGCCCCTTCCAGCTCTCATGTCCTATACCTGTGTTCAAGGGCCAAAGAACTTGGGGGCTCTGGCCCTCTGGTACGTTAACTTGAGAAATAGCCCTTAAGATCAACCTCCAAGGTCTCACCCAAACCCAGAGTCCTAATTTTAATTCATAAGGCCTGACAAATGAGAGATGAAGAAAATCCCAAGGGCTGATGGGACCCATTTGGCCTGCTCGGGACTGTCATACTTGGGACCTCTAGGCCTCCTGAAGGGAGCAGCAACTCAGCCAGCTATATGAGCACTACCCAAACAATACCAGGTGGGTTGATGCTGCAAACAGCAGTCTTGTTGGTCATCTCCCTTGTGCTAGATGCCAACAAAGCTAGGTAGAAAGACTGGCTCTGACAGCTCTAAGGAGCAGTACTATGCCAAGGAGTTTCCAGCTTCAGGATGGCAAGAGGAAGCAGTGGAGAAGATAGCAGGCAAACCTGGCCTGGTCCAGCCCTCCCCAGGATCACTAGGATGGATGAGTAAGGCCTGGTCCCATGTTCAGTTGCCACCTGCCACAATCCTGCAAGCTAGGCAATGGAGGAATCTTTGAGGGGCCCATGATCCTAGATGGGGGAGAGCCCCTGGCTGTCTGGGCTCAAGAATCTCCGGGGGGATTGCCATCTCTTTTGGTCAGAACTGAACTCTCTCACAAGAGTGCTAAATCAATTCAGCGTTGATAAGAATAAATCTTTTTGGTTTGTGAGACAATATCAAAAGTACAGAATTTCTGGTAAAGGAGAAAAAGCAAAATACCCTGAGTATTTTTCTTAAGGGCAATGAATTATGCCTTCCTTGTTGGGTTCTACAGATGGAATTACTCAACCGGCTTGTTCTGTTTTAATTAACCCAGCTAATAACTTCCCTGCTGGATTCCCTTGTTCATAACTTCTTGGTTTCACATAATAATGTGTTTGTTTCTTCCTTTGTGTTCTAATGAAATGATAATAACCTTCCCTGGCATTCATTTCATCCTTAATATCCGGAGATTTCATTAATATAAACCCTCTTTCCATCTGCTCTTGCTCCCTTTTAAAGGAAATATTTCTGTGTCCTCTTTACTTGTCTTTTTTGGGGAGGCTCAGCTAATCTCTTCTTTCCTCTAGAAAGAATCTTTCTGTAAGGCTTTCCTGGGCTGATGGGGCTTGGCACAGGCTCCCTCAGCCGCCTCCCTTTCCGGGGCCTCGCTGAGGTCTCTTCGCTGCTACTTCTGGGACAAAGACCACTGCTCACTTGGAGCCTGGATCTGAGGAACGCAAAGGCATTAAGTTGCTAATACATTTTTGGAATGGGGTCAAGGTAGAAGAGTGAAAATGACACAGGTGTGGGGATCTCGAGAAGAGATGGGGATTGCTGCCAAGGGCCGGCCCGAGTCTCAGGACAGTAGGACACACGAAGCCTGGGAGTAGCCTGCAGGGAGGGCATGGGGAGGAGGAACAGGAGGATAGCCCAGGACTCAAGGAAGATGTGAGGCTAATAAACATATTCAGATGAAGTAGGGGTGGTGGAGTGTGTCAGTTCATCCATAAGTTCTATTGTATGGTTTCCTTTTTGTTGTTTTCTTGGTCAGGAGCAAAATCCTGACTACCAGGGTAGAAAATTCCCTATGAAGCTAATGTCCTGTGTTCTGACTGAGGCTGCACTGTACAGCCATCTGCATCCCACAAATTCCGCACTCAGCTCTCTGCTGTCTTCCGCTGCTCCTCAGCTTCGTCAGTGTTTACTGGACACTCATGAGGCCTGAAAACGCGGTGCTGGGGGGACCTTCCTCTACATTCAAGGAACTTCCACACTGGTAAGAAACTGAGATGGTGATCCCTAAAGCACTAACAATCCCAGATCTCGAGGGCTGGTGCCCACTGTGTACCCTGAAAGGCTCAGAAGGGGAAGCTTGCAGCTAAGTGGCTGGGTTCAGTTCTTTCCTGGTAAATATTATCTTTGGTTTCTACTACAGTCTAGACTAAAAGCTCCCTCCAGAGGTCCTTCTATCTGTAGATAAGCTAGCCCCCAGGAGTAAAACAGTTCAGGCTCTTGAGCCAACTGAGAGAGGGGAAAAGCAGAGGCCCTGCAGCCGAACCAGGCCCTGGGATGTACAACCGTGCTGGCAGAGGCCACGGGCAGTAGCCTGCAGCGCAGGCTCCTGAGGTCTGGTAGAGGACCCCTGCAGGGATGGGGAGCTTGAAGGAAGATGTTGGCACTCTTTTGGTCCATCCTCCTTCACCTGCCTGGCCAGCACAGACCTCCAGGCCCCACCTCTCTACCCACTCCACAGGGTCTCCCAAGCAGCTCATCCATGGATGCACTGAGGCAGCTCCTGACAGCTGGCCAGCTCCACTCTGGCTGCCCAGGCAACTTTATCTTATTTCCTTCCAACTCAGCCCCCTGCCACATGCACCCAGTAGATGCAGCCAATGTGGCTGTTGCAGCCTCTGAGTCACCCCATTGCCCCTAACACAGCAACAGGGTGTGGAGAGAGCCTAGGGCCTTCCTCTGACACAGGAAGAGAGCAGAAGTACCTTTAACACCCACAAGATGAACACGCGAAGATTTGCTTCTTTGGGTCTCCAAGAGGTGATGTGTCATGCCACACATGCTGTGGCTGCTCTGCCAGGGTCAGCATGGCATGGGCATGAGCCTCTTTGCTCCCTGCACTTGATATTTGTCTCTGTACTTTCTGAGCTTGGTGTGGATGCTGACCAGGGAAGGATGGCCCCACAGAGGCAGCAGAGGAGGAAGTGCTGGTGTGTGAGCCCTCTGCAGGGAGCAGTGCACACACAGTACACATGGTCGTGCTCAGTGGCATCTGGTCATATAAGCCTGGCTCTCTGTGGTCTGCCAAGGTAGCCACCCCTTTCTGATTCGCCCTGCTTATCAGACCTCAGGCTGGCTTCCGTGAGTGATGATGCTATGCTTATGGCCTCAGTATGGCTTGCATCAAGTGTGCTGCTGAGTAAGAATGAGCAGGGCCCCTGTGCATAGACCTCTGGGCAGGAAAACAGTCTACCTCTGCTTTTTCTGCTTCCTTACATCCTTAGGCTAGAAGTGTTCAGCCTCCAACCTCCAGGCTCAGGCAAGGCTGCCTCTAACCCAAAGGTGATGCATGAATGTTCATCTATCAGTTCATCCATAACTTCCACTGTCTGGTTTTCTTCTTTCCTGTTGTCTTGTTTGGGTGCAAGTAAATCTGTCCAGCGATTGAACCCCTACTCCCTCCATGGATTGAATCTCCATTCGCCCTCCTTTGGGAAGTCTGATATTACTACTTACAACGTTCTTTCCATTCCAAAGTGGATGTGATGGGCCCCATCTGTGAAGTGTATCACCTGAGCTCACCTTCCAAGCACATTCCAACCAGACCTTCTGCCAGGCAGTTGAGCACAGCACCTTCTGTGACCATGGAAGGAAGAAAGGCTGCCTGGCTCCTACAGGGAAGGAGTCCAGGGCCTTGTGCCAGCCACCCACCCCCAGGACTCCACATTGGGCTGTCTCTAATTTACCTAACCTTAGTTTCTTGTGCAGTCAGGATTCTCATACAGTCCTGCTCTAAGAGGCCAAGAAGAACCTAATACAAGGATGTGGTACCTGGCAAGGGTCACAGCTGTCTCTCCAGGAGACCATACTGGGAGTGTGTGCAAGTGGGAGTAGCAGCCTTTCCTCCCTCCCTTCCCTGCTGTGCTTATTCTTGGCTCACTCTGGGCTCAGATGCCTCACACCTGCCCTATTGCCCTGTTGCATTTGAAACCCTCATTGCAGTGAGCTCCAGGCAACTCTTCTCTCCCTCCCTTCCCCCACTGCACTTAATCTTGCTCCTGGTCCCAAAGTCCTCTAGTTCCCTGTTCAGAAACTGTGGGATAGCTCCTTAAAGAATGAATCAGACCAGAGAAATAAAATTATAAAAAAGTAATCTGCTGAGGTGGGCGGATCACCTGAGGTTAGGAGTTTGAGACCAGCCTGACCAACATGGAGAAACCCCGTCTCTACTAAAAATACAAAAATTAGGTGGGCATGGTGGTGCATGCCTATAATCCCAGCTACTCAGGAGGCTGAGGCAGGAGAATCACTTGAACCCGGAAGGCGGAGGTTGCGGTGAGCCAAGATCGCACTGTTGCACTCCAGCCTGGGCGACAAGAGTGAAACCTTGTCTCAAAAAAAAAAAAAAAAAAAAAAGTAATCTGGTAAAGTCTACAGGACAAGTTTTGAGCACTCTCTGGTCCCCTCTACCCTTGTCTCACTTCCAAAAGGAAACTATCCCCAGGATTATTTCACTGGCTTTGGATGAGATGGCCACCAGTTCACAACTTTATCTACCTCCCCTCTGGGAGGTCAAGATGTGGTCTTTACAGAGATGGGTGCTAGGCCCTTACTCTGCCTCTTACTCTAGAAAAAGCCCCATTTGTCTTAGAAAGCATGAGCCATCCCAATCCTCACACAATCACCCCACAGCACACCCCACAGTCCCCAACCAACAGCCAAAGGCAAGATACAAAAAGGAGCTCCCTTACTATCAGTCAGCCCTTTCTGACCAGGACTCTTAGAATCAGAGCTGCCATTGTGACAACGAGAACAAGTGAGCATGAATGCCCAGGGCCTAAGTCCCATCACTGAGGCAAACTCTGTGTCTTGCCCCATAAGAGCAATGAGCCCAGGCATCCTGATAGCCTTCTCAGGAGGTCCATTTTTTTCTGCAGCAATGAATATAGTGTGTCACCTTCTTCCTGAAATTCCTGCCCTCCCTTGTCCTCTTCTCCCAGGGTTCTCTCCTGGCTTTTCCAGTTTTCTGAAGGTTGCTTCTCTTTCTTCTTCACTGATGCACACTCTACACGTAAGTGCTTCTCCAGATGTTGTCCTTGTCTCATTCTTCCACTAATTTATTCCTCTTTTCTAGAAGCATATGAACCCCGGACCTGGGCCAAGTGTTGGGCAGGCATTGGCCATCTATTTCCTACTCTCCACTCAAGGATTTCTACAACCCCCAGAGCAACAGCTACCACTTCCCCTAGAACAACCAAATTGTGTCTCTGATGCTGGTCTTTCCTGATGGTCAACTCTGTGCTCTTAACTCCAGCTGGAAACTTGCCCCTGGAAGATGAAGCTCAGCCACTACAAATGGAACTTACCATCTTCTCCCTGAGCCTGCTCCTCTGGCTCTTGACTTTCTGACATCTGTTACCTGCCTCAGCTTTTCCTCAGTCACTTGAGCTGAAAATCCAGAGTTGTCTCTGACTGACAGTGTGGCATCACATCCTGTCACTAGCTGTGCCTGGCTAATTCTGCCTGCCCAATGTTCGTCTAACACATTTGCCTCTTCCCCTCTACTCATTCTCATCATGGCCATCAAAAGCAAGCCTTCCAGCATCTCCCAACTTTCCCCCTTTATCCTGGTTCTCTATTCTAGCACCCCATGAAAGGTCCCAGACATAGTTGCTCTATTAGTCTTCCCCCAAAAGCTTTTATCTTGTCACTTCTCTGCTCAAAAGTCCTTCTGAGCTCTTGGTCAACTCTCAAAGAGTGTCCAGCCCCATGGCCTGCCACTCAAGGCACTCCGTCTTGTGTCCTTTGTCATTGTTCTGCCTCACACAGTCTGTCATCTGGCCACATGCTTCCCAAACATACCTTACTTCCCAACATTTCTTATTCTGGCTCCTAGGCACCTCATGCCATATCTGCTATTTCTAAACCTACCCATTCCTAAAGAACAGAATATGATGTTGCTTCCCTCCAATGACATTAAGCGTGTTATACCTTCTACTACAATGAATCCTGTGGCCTCAGTGCCCTGACAAGACCATAATCTTTGATGTATGGGACGTTTTCTCATTCCTTATTGTACTCTCAGCACTTAACAATGGCTGTTCATAGGGCTTATCAGATGAATGAAAATATAATTCCTGCTTCCTAGGGGATGCAAGAGAATAGAAGAGATCAGGTATAGGCTATGCATTCCTCAGAAGCCAGGTAGGAAGAGTGGTCACAGTTGTACAGAAATACCTGCCCAGAAGAGAAGCCACACTTCCATATGGGTGCCAAGAAACAGTATGCCCAAAAGGCTATCTGTAGGTCTCTTTTCTCAAATGTTTTTAACCACAGGATTGCTTCCCCCCTTGGTCAAAAGATTGGATGCCGTGACTTCTCGGCAGGCCCTCCAACAGTCTGACTCCTTCCTCTGGCTGGGGCTTGACGCTCCACAAATTCCTCACAGGTCAACCCTCCCATCGGCTGCTGTGTCACTTTGTCAGTGAGAAAGTGACTGATATTTCAATCGATTCTGACTTTACCTTGGAGAAAAAGCAAGAAAATCACCAAATAGGATAGCATCCCCCAAAGTGGGACAGTCACACCTCATTTGTCTGAATTCGTGATGTCACATAGGGTAAGCCATTGTGACAACATTCTTAACCCAAGACATTCATTTCAGCTTCAGAGGGGGCTTCTGTACCAAGATTTTAACATGATTGTTTGTGGGACAAACGAGGATTAGTGGTTTTCCATGGCACCCTTGCTTTTTCCTAAGTTTCTCCTACTCCAAGTGAGGACCAGGTTTATTGTCTTTCAGACCCAAGTAAACAACCAGCCTAATGCAGAACTTGTCTCTTTCAACAAATGTGCTGTTTCCTACTTTCCCTGGGGCAAGAAGGTGAGTGAGTTAAAAGAGAAGTCTTCTCTTCCAGTCTGCAGATGCTGGAGTAAACCAAAGGACTTGGCTAAGCAGCAAGGAGATGATCATGTCTATAAGGCACGGAAAACAAGATGTATCCTAAAGAATCCCTGCAAAGAGATGATTTACATTTTACCTGTTTTAGGCAGGTGTAAGGTATGCTTGGAAAAGGATTCAACAAAGAGGACCACACTCCTCCACGCCTCAGAGACAGAAAAGGAACAGAGTTCTGTTCAAACTTTCGGGAAGGTTCCCTTTGGTTTGTGTTTCCTCTGCTGGTAGGAGGTCTGCTTTCCATCTCTGCAGAACACACTTCTGCTTCTGACAATAAAGTGCATGCCTCATTGGCTTCTAGATACTTACCACCTGTTGCTATTCCAACTCATGGCTCCACTTGGCAAAAATGGCTGAGGAAAATCCACCAGCCACCAGGAGAAAACAAAGGCTATTTTGGGCTACCAAGCAGGGGTTCTGAGTGCAGCAGCCCATGGGTGGATCCTGATGAAGAGCACAGCCAGGGCTAAAGCAGACAGGCAGGCCATGGGATGCTGTCTGAAGTAACAAGACGCTGTGCAGGGAACATTGGGCCACCAGACCCCATTCAAAGAATCCACAGATTTATCTGGGTCTGTTTCACACGGTAACAGTCAGACTAGTGGCCAGAAAGAATAAGAGGTTACAAGTCCAACTAGAATAAAAAGCCATGGCCACATGAGCTTTGAGTGAGATAGATCTGAGTTTGAATGCTCGCCTAGTCATTCTCTCTCACTAACTTTGGCACTAACTTTGGCTTCATCATTTAACCTTTCTGGGTCTTAGTTTCCTCATATGGAAAATGAGGATAATGATACCTATCATACAAGGGTGTTCTGAAGACTAAATGAAAGGTAGTATAAAGTGCTCAGGCCAAGACCTGTCATACAGAGGGAACTCAATGTACTGATATTCTAGAGGAAAAGACATATTCCCAATCCTGAAAGAGTTTATAATCTAGTTAGGAATACAAAGTACATAAACATTAGCAAACAACAGGACATGGTCCAGCACTGGATTATGGGATATAAATTTAAACATAGTAGTTCAGAGAGTAACAAGATCTCTGAGGGTCCCAATCATCAGGGAAGTCAACATAGAGCAGGTGGGATGACAGTAGGTTCCTGAGAGTAGGGTAGGAAGAGATGAAACAGAAAGGAGGCCCTTCCCCTGGTCCGAGGCTACAAGGAAAATGCTGGGGCCAAGGTTAAAGAGTGAAGCCCAAAGGCCAAGTACAACCAAGTTAATTTTGAAGGAACTCCAACTGGATCCAGATATTGGATTTAGAAGATAAAGAATTCAAAGGATTTATTATAAATATGTTCAAATAATTATAGGAAAATATGCCATCAAGAAACAAACAAGTAGGGAATCTCAACAAGGAAATGGAAACACATTTTAAAATGGATTACAGAGCTAAGGTGTACAAATTAAATGTAAAATTAAAAAATCACTAGATGGGCTCAACTGAGGATTTAAGATGGCAGAAGAAATAATCAGTTAACTTGAAGACAAATGAAAAGAAACTGGCTTATTTAATGAACTACCAGGGAAATGCAAATTAAAACCACAACGAGCTATCACTTCACATTTGTATGGACAGCTATTATCAAAAAGACAAGAAATAACAAATGTTGACAAGGGTATGGAATGAAGGGAACCATTGTACAAAGCTAGTGGAAATGTAGATTGGTACGGCCATTATGGAAAACAATATGGAGATTCCTAAAATAATTTAAAATAGAACTACCATATGACCCAGAAATCCCCCTTTTCGGTATATCCCCAAAGAAGACAAAATCACCACTTCATAAAGATCTGCACTCCCATGTTCATGGAAGCATTAGTCACATTAGCCAAGATATGGAAACAATCTAAATGCCCATAGATGGATGAATGGATAAAGAAAATGTAGTGTGTGTGTGTGTGTGTGTGTGTGTGTGTGTGTGTGTGTATACACAGTGAACTATTTTTCAGGCTTTAAAAAGGAAATTCTGCCATTTGCCACATCATGATGGACCAGGAGGACAGGAAGATGTTATGCTAAGGGAAATAAGCCAGACACAGAAAGAAAAATATTGCATGATCTCACTTATTAGTAGATTTTTTTTTTTAAAAAAAGCTCAAATACATGAGACAGAGAATGAAGCATTAGTTACCATGAGAGTGGCAAGGTAGGAAATTGGGAGATGGAGGTCAAAGGATAAAAATAGCAGATATGTAGGATGAACAGATCTAGAGGCCTAAGGTACAACATGAGAACTACAGTTAATAGAATTGTATTTGGGATTTTGGTTCATTAAGTAGATTTTATCTGTCCTTATCACACAAAAAATACTGTGAAATAACAGATATGCTAATCTACTTTATTATAGTAAGTATTTTACTATCTATATGTATCCCATAATAGCATGTTGTAAAATCTCAAGTATACACAATAAAATTTATTCAGGAAAGAGGAAAGAGAAAGAGAATAGAGAAAGAAATCTCCTAGAAGTGTCAAGAAGAAAAAGAACTGAAGTAAACAGACATATTGGATGGTTAAACCATAAATGAAAAAGGCTCAAATAAACTAGTATTTATTTAAAAATTTTAAAAAATCATATTAATAATTATATTAAATGTAAGTGGTCTGACTCCAATTAAAAGGCAGAGATTGACAGACTATATTAAAAAGTGAGAACAGGCCGCACGCGGTGGCTCACGCCTGTAAGCCCAGCACTTTGGGAGGCCAAGGTGGGCGGATCACTTGAGGTCAGGAGTTTGAGACCAGCCTGGCCAACATGGTGAAACCCTGTCTCTACTAAAAATACAAAAAATAGCCGAGCATGGTGGCACCTGCCTGTAATCCCAGCTATTTAGGAGGCTGAGGCAGGAGAATGGCTTGAATCCAGGAGGTGGAGGTTGCAGTGAGCTGAGATCATACCATTGCACTCCAGCCTGGCTGACAGAGTGAGACTCCGTCTCAAAAAAAAAAAGCAAGAACAAATTATGTGCTTTCCTCAAAAGGGACACTTTAAATACTAAGATACAAATAGACTAGAAGTAAAATACTGTAAAACCATGCAAATAACAAAAGTAAAAACTAAAAGCAGAAGGCTGGAAATTACACAAACCTTAAAGGTAAGGAAACTGGAATAGCTCTCTTAATACAAGACAAAATAGGCTTCAAGAAAAGGAATATACTAGAATCAAAGAAATTTAATAATAGAAGAGTCAATTCATGAGAGATACAGAACAGTTTAAAATATATATGCCTCTAAAAAGAGATCTTCAAATTATATGAAGCAAAAAGTGACAGAACTAAGGAAAAAATAGAAAAACCCACAATCAAAGCTGGAAATCTTAATACTTTTCTATGAGTAATTGATAGGTTAGTTAGACAAAATCTCAATAAGGATATGAAAGAAATGAGTGAACTATTAACTACCTTACCTAATTTACATTTATAGCAAATTATACCCCCAAAATGCAAAATGCATATTCAAGAACACATAGAACGTTTAGCAAGATTAATAATATGCTTGGCCGTAAAAGCAAATCTCAGTAGATTTTAAGAGATACGTTTTTTGACCATGACAAAATTAAAGTTAAAAATGAATTAAGAGAGACTGGGTGTGGTGGCTCACGCCTGTAATCCCAGCACTTTGTGAGGCCAAGGTGGGCCAATTGCTTGAGCTCAGGAGTTTGAGATCAGCCTGGAAAACATGGAGAAACCTCGTCTCTTCAAAAAGTACAAAAATTAGCTGGGCATGGTGGCACATGCCTGTGGTCCCAGCTACTAGGGAGGCTGAGGTGGGAGGATTGCTTGAGTCCGGGAGGTTCAGGCTGCAGTGAGCTGTGATTGTGCCACTGCACTCCAGGCTGGGAGTGAGACTCTGTCTCAATAAAATAAAATAATTAAAAGAAAACATTTAGAAAATCCTCAAATATATTTTTTCTTATGTTTAAAATCTCTTTAAAAGATAATGATTTAAGGCAAAAATAACAATGTATTGTGGAGTTTATAACATACAGAAGTAAAATGTATGACAACAATAGCGAAAAGACTAAGCAATGGGAAATGGAAGTATATGGTTGTAGAGTTTTTATACTATACATAAAATGGTACCATGTTACTTGAAGATAGACTGGTAAGTTGAACATGTATGCCATAGGTCCTAAAGCAACCACTAAAAACAAATCAAAACAAAGCAAAAATGTAAAACTAACGAGCCAGTAAAAAGGTAAAATGAAATCACGAAAAAGAAAAAAACAAAGAACAGATGAGACAAATAGAAAACATAGTCAAATGGTAGATTGAAGCCCAACCACATCAGTAATCACATTAAATGCAAATGGTGTAAACATCCCAATTTTAAAGGAAGAGATTGTCAAATTGTATAAAAAAGAAAGACCAAACAATGTAGGTTAAAGTAAAAGCATGGAAAAAGATGTCAACGCTAGCCAAAAGAAGGCTTAAGTGACTGTACTAATACAAGACAAGGTATATGTCAGAGCAAATCTTACCAGGGATAAGGTGGGTCATTTTATAATGAAAAAGGGATTCATTCATTCATAAGAAATAACAATCCTGGCCGGGCGCGGTGGCTCATGCCTGTAATCCCAGCACTTTGGGAGGCTGAGCCTGGCAGATCACCTGAGGTCAGGAGTTCGAAACCAGCCTGGCCAAAATGGCGAAACCCCGTCTCTACTAAAAATACAAAACAATTAGCTGGGAGTGGTGGTGCGTGCCTGTAGTCCCAGCTACTCGAGAGGCTGAGGCATGAGAACTGCTTGAACCCAGGAGGCAGAAGTTGGCAGTGAGCCGAGATCATGCCACTGTACTCCAGCCTGGGCGACAGAGCGAGGCTTTGTCTCAGTTAAAAAAAAAGAAAAAAGAAATAATCCTAATATTTGGCACCTGATGATACAGCTTTAGAAATAGAGAAATTTAGAAATAGAGAAATAGACAAACTCACTACTATAACGAGATTTCAACACCTTCTCTGAATAGTTGATACAATAAGTGGACAAAATCAATAGGATATAGAAAACTTGAACAGTACTATTAACCAACTTGACCTAATTAACATTCATAGGATACTCCACTGAAAAACGATATATTTGTTTCAAGTGCATAGAGAACATTTACCAAATTAGACCACATTCTGGGCCATACTACAAATCTCAATAAATTCTAAAAGATTCAAATCATACAAACCATGCTCTCTAATCATAATAGAATTAAATTAGAAATCAATAACAAAAAGATATATGGAAAAGCACCCAAATACTTACATATTAAACAATAAATTTCTAAATAATATATGGGTCAAAGAAGAAATCACAACAGAAACTAGAATATATTTTGAATCAAATGAAAATAAAGGCTGGGTGTGGTGGTTCATGTCTGTAATCCCAGCACTTTGGGAGGCCGAGGTGGGTGGATCACTTGAGGCTGGCAGTTGGAGACCAGCCTGGCCAACATGGCAAAACCCCATCTCTAGTAAAAATACAAAAATTAGCCAGCGTGGTGGTGCACACCTGTAATCCCAGCTACTCTGGAGGCCGAGGCACAAGAATCGCTTGAACCTGGGAGGTGGAGATTGCAGTGAGCCAAGACTGCACCACTGCACTTCAGCCTGGGTGACAGAGCAAGACTCTGTCTTAAAAAAAAAAAAAAAAAGAAAGAAAAAGAAAAGAAAAACATGACAAATCAAAATTTGTGGCATGCAGCTTAAGCATCACTTAGAGGGAAATTTATAGAATTAAACTCTTATATGAGAAAAGAAGAAAGGTTTCAATCAGTGAAATAAGCTCCCACCTTAAGCAACTAGAAAAACAGAGCAAGTTAAACCCAAAGTAAATAGAAAAAAGAAATAATGAAATAAGCAAGAAAATAAATGAAATAGAGACACAAAAATAATAGAAAAAATCAATGAAGCTAAAAGCTGGTTCATAAAATTGCTAAACCTCTAGTAAGATAAATCAGGAAAAAATGAGAGAAGATATAAATTAGCAGTATCAACAATGAGAAAAGAGTCATCACTACCAACTCCACATACACTAAAAGGATGATAATGGCATCTCATGAGCAATGTTATGCTAATAATTATATTAAATTCTTTAAAAATTGTTGAAAGGAACTACTAATACTCACTCAAAAAGCAGTGGATAATCTAAATAGCCCTATATCTATTAAACCAATTGAGTTTGTAGTTAGAACCCTTCTCACAGTCAAAACTCCGGGCCCAGAAGGCTTCATGGTGAATTCTACTAAATATATTTAAGAAAGAAGGAATACCAAATTCTATGCAAACTACTGCAGAAAATAGAGGTCAAGGGAACACTTCTCAACTCATTCTATGAGGCTGGTATTGCTCTGATACCAAAACTGGACAAAGACATTATAAGAAAAGAAAACTATATTCCAATATTCCTCATGAATTCCTCATGAAAAAAATTGTAAATTAATTTCAGGAAATAAAGATTTTTAAAAATTTTTTAAATTTTCATTACTATTATTTTTTGAGATGGCATCTTGCTCTGTTGCCCAGGCTGGAGTGCAGTGATGTGATCTCAGCTCACTGTAACCTCCGCCTTCTAGGTTCATGTGATTCTCCTGTCTCAGCCTCCTGAGTAGCTGGGATTACAGGTGTGCACCACCACACCCGGCTAATTTTTGTATTTTTAGTAGAGACAGGGTTTCGCCATGTTGGCCAGGCTGGTCTCGAACTCCTGACCTCAGGTGATCCGCCTGCCTTGGCCTCCCAAACTGTTGGGATTGCAGGCGTGAGCCACCGTGCCTGGCCAGGAAATAAAGTTTAACAACATTTTGAAGGATAATACATTATGATCAGATGGAGTTTATCTCAGGACTGCAAGATTAATTTAACATTCAAAAATCAATGTAATTCACTCTATTAACAAACAAACAAAAAGAGATGATCTTCATAGGTGTAGAAATGCATTTGATAAAATCTAACATCTATTCATGACAAAACTCTCAAGAACAAAAGGGGATTCCCTCGATCTGATAAAAGGCATCTACAAAAGACCTACAGCTATATCATACTTAACGGCAAAAAATTAAATGCTTTTCCCTTAAGATCAGGAATAAGGCTAGGAATCAATTCTACTCAACATTGTACTGGAGGTATCAGCCTGTGCAAAAATGTAAGTGGAAAAAAAAAGACATACAGATTGGAAAAGAAGTAAAAGTGTCTTGATTCACAGATGACATGGTTGTCTATGCAGAAAATCCTAAGGAATCTACAAAAATGCTACTAGAACTAGTAAGTGAGTTTAGCAAGGTTGTAGGATATATGGTCATTATATAAAAATCAAATGTATTTCTGTATATTAACAGTGATTACCCAGGGCATAGGGGAACTTTTGGGAGTAATGGAAATATTCTATGACATAACTGAAATGTAAACCATATCATTTGCAATAGCATCAAAAATACAAAAAATCTAGAGAAAAAATTAACAAAAGATATATAAAACTACACACTGAAACTACACAATGAAAACTATGAACACATATATATATTCTGTGAACACACAGAATATATTTTTTAAAAACTCTTACACATACATTATTTTCAGTGTGAAACTACACACCGAAAACTATGAAACAACCCGGACAAGGTGGTGTGCACCTGTAATCCCAGCTACTCAGGGAGGATAAGGCAGGAGGATTGCTTGAGCCCAGGAGTTTGAGGCTACAGTGAGCTATGATTGTGCCTCTGCACTCCAGGCTAGAGGACAGAGTGACACCTTGTCTACGAAAAAATAATAATAACAAAACTATGAAATATTGGTGAGAAAAAGTAAGATCTAAATAAATGGAAATACGTGTTCATGGATGAGAAGACTCAATACTAAGCTGTAACTTTTCTCTAAATTCATCTGTGGGTTCAATGAAATCTAATCAAATCCCAGCAGGCTTTTTAGTAGAAATTGATAAGCTAATTATAAAATGTATGTGGAAATGCAATGGACCCAGAATAGCCAAAAGCAATTTTGTAAAAGAAAAAGTTGGAGACCTTACACTACCTGATTTCAATACTTTTTTTTTTTTGAGACAGGGTCTTGTTCTGTCTCCCAGGCTGGAGTGCAGTGGCTTGATCATAGCTCACTGCAGCCTTTATCTCCCGGGCTCAAACAGTCCTCCCACTTCAGCTTCCTGAGCAGCTAGGACTACAGACCCAGGCCACCATGCCCCGCTAATTTTTTTCTTTTTTAAATTTTTGGTAGAGATGAAGTCTCGCTGTGTTCCCAGGCTGGTCTTGAACTCCTGAGCCCAAGTGATTCTCTCACCTTGGCTGCCCAGAATTACAGGCTCAAGCCACCATGTACAGCCTCAAGATATATTATAAAGTTAAAATAATCAAGAATGTAGATCAATAGAACACAATAGACTATCCAGAAATATACCCACACAAATTGATTGTTGACAAAGGTTTTAAGGCAATTCAAGGGGATTCTTGGGGGGAAAAGGATAATCTTTTTAACAAACAGTGCTGAAACAATTGGACAGTCATATACAGAAAGGGAAGAGAGAGAGAGAGAGAGAGAGAGAGAGAGAAGGAAAGAAAGAAAGAAAGAAAGAAAAGAAAGAAAGAAAGAAAGAAAGAAAGAAAGAAAGAAAGAAAGAAAGAAAGAAAAAAGAAGGAAGGAAGGGAAGGAAGGAAAGGAAGGAAGCAAGGAAGGAAAGGAAGGAAGGAAGCAAGGAAAGAAGGAAGGAAGGAAGGGAAAGGAAGGAAGGAAGGGAGAACCTTGACCCTTAGATCACACCATACACAAAAATTAACTCAAAATGGATCACAGACCTAAATGTAAAAGCTAAAAAAGTCTGAGAAATAAACATAGCAGAAATTCTTAATGACCTTGGGTTTGGCAAAGATTTCTTTCCTTCCTTCCTTCCTTCCTTCCTTCCTTCCTTCCTTCCTTTCTTTCTTTCTTTCTTTTTCTTTCTTTCTTTCTTTCCTTTCTTTTTTTAAATGGAGTCTTGCTCTGTTGCCCAGGCTGGAGGGTAGTGCATGATCTCAGCTCACTGCAACCTCTGCCTCCTGGGTTCAAGCGATTCTCATGCCTCAGTCTCCTGCATAGCTGGGATTACAGGCATGAGCCACAGTGCTCAGCTAATTTTTGTATTTTCAGTAGAGACAGGGTTTCACCGTGTTGCCCAGGCTGGTCTTGAACTCCTGGCCTCAAGTGATCTGCCCGCCTTGGCCTCCCAAAGTGCTGGGATTACAGGTATGAGTCACCACATCTGGCCAGATTTCTTAAATAGGAGTCAAAATGTAGGAAACAAAAGAAAAATATAACTAGGACTTCAAAATTTAAAACTTCTGCTCTTCAAGTGACAGTTTTATGAAAATGAAAAGGCAAAGGAGAAATTGGAAAACAATCTGCAAAACGTATCTGACAAAGGAATTATGTCTAGAATATATGTTTTAAAAACTCTTACAACTAAGTAATATAAAAAGAAAAAAGTCCATTCAAAAAAATGGGCAAAAAATTGAACAGACACTTGACCAAAAAAAATATATAGCAATGGCAAAAAAAGTACATGGAAAGATACTTACCACACATCATCAGTGACATGCAAATCAAACCAGTGAGATACTACTATACACCCACTAGAATGGCCAACATTAGAACAAATGATAAATACAAAAGGTTGGGAAAGACATGGAGCAACTGGAACTCCTTAGTAACTGCTGCTGGGAAGGTCAAATGGTACAGTTTGGTAGTTTCTGAAAATATTAAACATAGATCTTCCTTCAACCCTGCCATGCTAGGTATTCATCCAAGAGAAATAAGAACATGTCCACACAAAGATTTGTCCACAAATGTTCATAGAAGTTTTAATTGCCCCAAACTGGAAACAATCCAAATGTCCAAGATGGGAATGGATAGACACATTGTGATATATAAAAACAATGGAATACTACTGAGCAATAAAGAGGAGGGAATTACTGATACATGCAACAGCATAGATAAATCTCAGAAACATTATTCTTGCCAAAAGGAACCAGACACAAAAGAATACATACTATGTGATTCCATTTTATCTGTACTGACAGAAAGCAAATCAATTATTGCTTGGGGCATGAGAAATTTTTTTGTGAGTAATGGAAACATCCTCTAACATGATTGTAGTGATGTTTACCTGACTGCATACATTTGCTAAAACTCATCAAGTTGTACTCTTAAAATTGGTGAAATTTATTGTCTTAATTCTGTCTCAATTTTTAAAAATGAGGCAGCTCTACAAGGTACATATGGAATAGACTCCAAAGTTCATAGTTAAGTGGAAAAAACTAGGTGCAGAAATATGTATACAGTATACTATCATTTGTGAGGGCAAAAAAGAAAACACATAGGTATGTGCCATGTAGGCAGAGAATATCTCTAGAAGGATACCCAAGAAAATATAACAGTGGTAGCCTCTAGGAATAAGAATTCAGTGTCTGGAGTCTGAGATATGTGGGAGACTTTATTTTCCATCATGCATTCTTGGATTTTTTGCCATGTACATTTAAAAAAAAAGATGCTGATACAGGGAAGTACAGGATGCTGTGGAAGTTCATCAGGAAGGGTATCTGTCTCACAGTGGTGGACAGCGTCAGTAAATACTTCTTTGAAGAAGTTATATTTAAGCTAAGACCTGAAGGACAGTAAGGAATTAGCCAACAGAAGTAGGGAAGGAAAAAAAGATCATTCTAGACAGAGAGAATAGCATATACAAAGATCACAAGGAAAGAAAGAAAATGTGAGATTGGGCAACTGCAGGGTAGCTCTGTGAAGCTGGAATATTGAAGGACAAATATGAGACTGATGGGGGCTGGGTTTTCATCTTGTGAGCTAAAGCTCAGCAGACTTTTTCTGTTAAGAGCCAGGTATTAAAGATTTTCGACTTCATGGGCCAAAAGGCAAAAAATCAAACATTTTTTGTGGGTATTTGCACAAGACAAACACAAAAATTTTATAATTTTGAATTGACAAAATTCAACATATAATCATTGAATACTTTTTTTGTAATACAGGCCTATTAATGAGAATAATAGAATTTTTGGGGGGTGGGGGATAACATTTCATTTAATTATGATGCAAATCTAGTGTGTCTTACTGTCAAAATTGATTGCATATATTCACCTGTTAATGCTGATCTGTAATGAGATCTGATGTATTTCATCTTTGAAAATGTCTTTTTCATACAGAAAAGTAATGCCAAATATTGATATCAATCCATAAGCATATGATTTTAATTGAGCATATTCATCACTTGGAAGGCATTTATAGAATTCTGATAGAGTCTTCTCTTGATATTTGCCTTTAGCTTGTCATTACATTGCAGGTTAATTACTTCCAGTTGAAGGTTAGGTGGAAGTCCCTCAATTGCAGAGTTAAGTGAATTTTGAAGTGTAGAAATTTCATTTGCACTTGCATCAACATTGGAATAAAACACTGCTGGAACTATAGTTTGAGCTCAGAAAATATGTCCATTGCAAACTTGTGTGGAACGGAGAGCTTGCTTCTTGTTTCAACTTCCCATAGCATGGGAAGAGTGTAAAGCAGCTTGACATGATTTGTGATTCAAACAACATTAGTTATAGTCAAAATTATTTTACCGCCATATAAATTTCACAAATAAGCATTGTTTTACCTTGTAATTTTAGGTTAAATTCATTAAGAAATACCAAATCCGTAGCAAAAGCTATTATCCAAAATCATTTAGTATTTGATAACACTGGTTAAGGGTAGTTTTTTCATCCAGAAAAATATCAATGTCAGCTCTGAGCTAAAAGAAAAATCACAACAAAATTTTACTACTGTTAAATCATCAAAATGTATGATAGGACAAGTTAACATCTTTAGCTCTTATTTCAGTCAAAAAATGCACAGAACTGTCAATGGTTAAGTTCCTAAGAGTGAATGGTGTTCACTGTTGACACCACTGGTTCAATAATACATGACAGATTAAAATATTTCCTTCAAAGTACCTGTAGATAAATAATACAATGAATGACCACAAGCTTTAAACATTTTATGTTTTCATAAGTTTTGTAAATTTCCCCAATTAAGCCTTTTTTCTGCTGCATACATATTTTTGTGATCATTAGTTATAACACATCTTAGCAGATTCCACTTCAGGTTGTACTGAGTTAGTGTTTTCCCAACTATTCTCATCCGTAGTTATTCTACACTATTCTTAGAGGCAAATTCTTCAGTGACTTCAAACTTGGCATCCATTCCTCAAATAAACAATAATAAATGGTCATTATTGTTAACATCTGTCAACTCATCCAGAGCCTAGGAAAACCACTCAAAATTGTTTGCCTTGTCTTTAACTTTACTATTTATGTTTCTCCCAATGTCCACAGCTCTTTGAACAACTATTTTTGCAGAAAGACTAATACTCTTTAGTGAATTTATTTTCTCTGTACACAGTTTAATTAACTCACCATTTGTAAACAACTTTCCTTGCTTTGCTAACAAATGAGCCACTTGGAAAATTAGTTTGATGTAGCCTGATTTCCACTATTTATTTATTTATTGAAACAGTCTCACTGTGTCATCCAGGCTAGAGTGCAGTGGTGGCATCTCGGCTTACTGCAACCTCCACCTTCTAGTTTCAAGCAATTCTCCCACCTCAGACTACTGAGTAGCTGAGACTACAGTTGCATGTCACCACGCCTGGCTAGTTTTTGTATTTTTAGTAGAGACGGGGCTTCACCATGTTGGCCAGGCTGGTCTTGAGCTCCTGACTTCAGATTATCCATCCGTCTCAGCCTCCCAAAGTGCTGCAATTATAGGTGCGAGCCACCGTGTCTGGCCTCACTTTTTATTTTTATTTCTTTTGAGACGGAGTCTTGCTCTGTCACCCAGGCTGGAGTGCAATGGCGCGATCTCGGCTCACTGCAACCTCTGCCTCCCAGGTTCAAGTGATTCTTCTGCCTCAGCCTCCCGAGTAGCTGAGATTACAGGCGCGTACCACCATGCCTGGCTAATTTTTTTTGTATTTTTAGTAGAGATGGGGTTTCACTGTATTAGCCAGGCTGGTCTCTATCTCCTGACCTCATGATCCACCTGCCTCAGCCTCCCACAGTGCTGGGATTACAGGCATGAGCCACCATGCCCGGCCCCACTTTTGATTTTTGTGAAGAAATTGTGCTGTAATGAGATCTTTGATTTTAAATTTTCTAATTTTTCTGACTGTTTCTTGTCTGTGAGCTGGGAATATTGTGATAAATGTTAAGTGTTTGGTAATATTGACATATATTATGCTCTTTTAGCATGTCTATAATGCCATTGTGTAATAAAGCTAATTATCATCTAATTTAATAACAAAATAATCTACAGTACATTGTGTTTCAAAAGCAAGACATTCAAAGTCCACTTTTCTTTTCTTGTTTTGACATAATGAGGATGCACCAGTAATAAAAATAAAATGAAATACCACAGTATAGTGATACACATGTCACTTATTAACATTGTTAGGTTATAACTATCACTGCAGCAGTGCAGTGAGGGGAGTGTCATATACAATTTTTATGGCAACTTCTCACTGGCAATGCAAACAAACAAACAAACCCATAAACAATATGCAAACAAATGGCATGGCTATGCATTCTAATAAAACTTTATTTATGGACACAGTTTTGAATTTCATACAATTTTCACATCACAAATATTATTCTTTGTACTGAATTAATGTTTTCTCAACTATACTCATTTGTAGTTATTTGATTTTTTTCAACCCCTAAAAAATATGTGGGCAAAAAAAATTAAATAAAAGGTGTCCAGATTGGAATGGAAGAAGCAAAAGTATCTCAATTCACTCTCAGATGATACGATCTTTAAAAAAAAAATGTTTCAACACATACAAGGTATGGTGATTAGATCAGGGCAATTAGCATATCCATCATCTCAAACATTTATCATTTCTTTGTGATAGGAACATTGGATATCCTCCTTCTAGGTTTTTGAAACTATATATTATTATTAACTATAGTCATCCTACTGGACTATAGAACACTAGAACTTATTCCTCCTATCTAGCTGTAATTTTGTATCCTTTTAAAAATCTCTGTCTATCCTTCCTTCCCTATACTCTTCCCAGCCTCTAGTATCCTCTGTTCTACTTTTTTACTTATTTGAGATCAACTTTTTTTTAGGTTCCACATATGAGTGAGAATGCGAACTGTTTAACTTTCTGTTCCTGGCTTATTTCATTTAACACAATGTCCTCCAGTTCCATTCATGTTGCCATGAATGACAGGATTTCATTCCGTTTTATGGCTGAATAGTATTCCATTGTGTGTATGTACCCCATTTTCTTTGTTCACTCATCTATTGCTCGACCCCTAGGTTGATTCCATGTCTTCACTATTGTGAACAGTGCTGTAATCAGCATAGGGATGCAAATGTCTCTCACATGTAATAATTTCCCTTTGGATAAACTCCCAGTAGTGATATTGCTGAATGATAGGGTAGTTCTATTTGTATTGTTCTGAGAGACCCCCATACTGTTTTCCATAGTGGCTGTACTAGTTTGCATTTCCACCAACAGCATATAAGAGTTCCCTTCTCTCTGCATCTTTACCAGCATTTATTTTTTGTCTTTTTGATTATAGCCATCCTAACTGGGGTGAGATGATACCTCATTGTGGTTTTGATTTGCATTTCCCTGATGATTAGTGATGCTGAGGATTTTTCATATATTGTGTGGCCTTTTGTATGTCTTCTTTTGAGAAATATCTGTTCAGACCATTTTTGCCCATTTTTTAATCGAACTGTATGTTTTCCTGCTGTTGAGGTGTTTGAGTTTCTCATATATTCTGGATAGTAATTCCCTATTAGATCAGTAGTTTGCAAATATTTTCTTCCATTCTATAGGTTTTCTTTTCACTCTATTGATTGTTTCCTTTGATATGCAGCAGCTTTTTTAGTTTGATATAATCCCATTTGTTTATTTTTGCTTTTGTCGCCTGTCTTATTCATAAAATATTTTCCCAGACCAATGTCCTGAAGCATTTCTCCTATATTTTCTTCTAGTAGTTTTATAATTTCTGGTCTTACATTTAGGTCTTTATTGAAAAGATGTCTTTTCCCCAAAGAATGTTCCTGGCACTTTTGTCAAATATCAGTTGGCTGTAAATATGTGGGTTTATTTCTGGTTCTCTGTTCTGTTCCATTGGTCTATGTGTCTGTTTTTATGGCAGTACCATGCTGTTTTGGTTACTACAGATTTGAGGAAAGAGAACAAAACTGGAGGTATTGCTTTGACTATTTGGGGTCTTTTGTGGTTCCATACAAATTTTAGGATTTTTTTTCCTGTTTCTGTGAAAAATGTCATTGGCATTTTGATAGGTAGATGAAATAATCTTATATATAGAAATACTCCTTAGTATTAAGGAGTCTACTAAAAAAAGCCATTAGAATGAATAAATGAATTCAACAAAGTTGCAGGATATAAGATCTACATAAATAAATTATATTCTTATACACTTGCAATGAACAATTTGCAAATGAAATTAAGAAAACAATTCCATTTATAATAGCATCAAAAAGAGTAATGTAACTAGGAATAAATCTAACAAATGAAGTGCAAAATGTAAACTCTGAAAACTACAAAATACACTGTTGAAAGAAATTAAAGAAGCTCTCAATAAATATAAAGGCATCATATGTTCATGAATCAGGAGATTCAATATTGTTAAGATGGCAATATTCCCCAGATCGATCTACAGATTCAGTGCCATCCCAATCAAATTCCTGGCTTGCTTTTTTTGCAAAAATTGACAAGCTGATCTTAAAATTCAAGCTGACAAGGTGCCCAAAATAGTCAAAGCAATTTTGAAAAAGAAGAACAAAGTTGCAAGACTCACACTTCCCACTTTCAAAACTTACTATAAGCCACAATAAATTAAGACAGTGCGGTATCAGAATAAGGACAGAAACAGATCAATAGAATAAAATTGAGAATCCGGAAATAAACTCTCACACTTATGGTTAATTGGTTTTCAACAAGGATATAAAAGTAATGTAATCAGGAAAGAATTACAAATTGTTAGTTTTTTCTAACAAATTGTTCTGAGACAACTAGATATCCACAGCAAAATAGTGAAGTTGGATACCTACCTCACACTGTATACAAAAACTAACTCAAAATGGATCAAAGACCTAAATGGAAGAGCTCAAACTATAAAATTCTCAAAAAACATAGATGTATTTCTTTGTGACACTGGATTGGGCAGTGATTTGTTGGATATGACACTTAAAGTATGAACAAGAAAAGAAAAAATAGATAAATTGGACTTCCTCAAAATTAGAAACTTCTGTATTTCAAAGGACATCATTAAGAAAGTGAAACGACAACCCACTGAATTGTAGGAAGTATCTGTAAATCATACATCTGATAAGGAACTTATATCTATAATATATACAGAATGCTTACAACTCAACAACAATAAAACAATCTGGTTAAAAATGGGTTTAATTTTTTCTTTGGAGAAATGTCTTTAATTTCTTCTTTGGAGAAATGTCTATTCAAAGGGTATGAATACATATTTCTCCAAAGAATATATACAAATGGTCAACAAGCATATGAAAAGATGCTTAACATCACTAATCGTTAGGGAAACACAAGTCAAGACTATAGTGAGATACCACCTCACACCTATTAGGATGGCTACTATTAAAAAAAAAAACAGAAGATAACAAGCGTTGGTGAGGATGTGGAGAAATTTGAACGCTTGTGCATTGCTGGCAAAACAGTTTTATTGAGGTATGTTCGCATACCATACAATTCACACATTTAAAGTGTGCAATTCAATGATTTTTAAATATATTCAAAGAGTGGTACAACCATGACTACAATCAATTTTAGAACATTTTATCAACCTGAGAAGTAAACCCATACTCTTTGGCCTCCTACAACTCCCCAGTTTGAAGAAACTGCTAATCAGCCTTCTGTATCTAAAGATCTGCCTATTCTGGACATTTCATATAAATCAAATTATACAATGTTTGGTCATTTGTGACTGGCTTCTTTCACTTAGAATAAAGTTTTCAAAGTTCATCCACATTGTAGCATGTTTCAGTACTTTTTTCCTTTCTGTTGCCAAATAATATTCTATTGTGGATATACCACATTTTATTAATCCAACCAACAGTTGATGGCCATTTAGGTGGTTTCTACTTTTTGTTTATTACGAATAATGCTTCTGTGAACATTTGTGTACAAGTTTTTGTAAAGACATACGTTTTCATTTCTCTTGGGTATATGTACACCTGGGAGTGCACTGCTGGTTCACCAGACTTTTCCAAACCAACTGCATGCACCATCTTATATTCCTATTAGTAGTGTATGAGGGTTCCCATTTCTCCACATCCTTGCCAACATTTATTATTATGCATCTTTTTTAGTCTGGCTATCCTAATAGGTGTGAAGTGGTATATCATTGTGGTTCTGATTTGCATTTCCCTAATGACTAATGATGTTGAACATACTTTCACATGCTTATTGGCCATTTGTATAGCTCCTCTGGAGAAGTGCCTGTTTAGATCCTTTACCAGTTCTTTCCAATTCTTTTTATTGTGGTAAAATGCACATAATGTAAAATTTACCATTCTAACCACTTTAAAGTGTATCAGTGGAACCAAGTACATGAACATTGTTGTGCAACCATCACCATTCTCCATCTCCAGAGCTTTTTTCATCTTTGAAAAGGAAACTGTATGCATAAACAATTACTCCCTATTTTCTCCTCCCCCACCCAACCCCTGGCAGCCACCATTCTACTTTCTGTCTCTATGAATCTGACTACTCTAGGCACCTCATATCAATAGAATTAATGTGGCATTTGTCTTTTTGTGACTAGATAATTTCATTTAGCATAATGTCAATGAACTATACCAAAAGAGGCAGAAGGCTTCTTTCCTGAGACGAATACTCTTCGTAGTCAGAACGGAACCAGTCTCATTGCACTTGACATCTGGTCATATCCAACCTCTTGGCTCCCACATACCAACCTTTCTAGTGGTGGGAAAGAAGTTCAGCTCTGGACTTCCCGAGAGACCTAACCTGAGCCACTCTTTCTCCCACACAGAGGTCCGCTTCACATATAATTGTTACCATCACTTTGATTATCACTGCCACCATTCCAGCCCATCACTCAGCCCTTCTCCTGACCGCCATCCTAGCTGCATCTCAACTACTAGCCCAGTCAATATCCTGGCCACTGCTGCCAATAACAGCTCCCATTTACTGAGCATCTGCAATGTTGTATCTAATCCTCATTGCAAAACTGAATACCAGGAGGTCTGGACTTTATCTTGAGTGCTATGGGAAGTTGTTGAATGGTTTTAAGCAGTATAATCATAAGATAATATCCATATATTAAAATATTTATTCTGACTGCAGCACACAAAATAGAAGTGACTGGAGTTAGCCCAGTTAGCAGGTTGTTGCAGGAGTTCTGGGTGAGACAAGGGTAGTGGTAGTGAGGATGAAGAGAACTGGTAGAATCTGAGAAGTGTTTAGGAGGTACAATGTATAGGACTTGATTTCAGATTGGACATGAGGGTAAGACAGAGGCTAGAGTCAAGATTCCCTCGGCATAGGCAAGCTCCGCAGCCACAGGCAGCCATGTTCAATTAACAAAGCCTCTGAGTCTCGGTGACCCTGAGGCTTCTAGGATTCTCAGTGACCCTGAGGCTTCAATTCCCTACCAATAGGCTTCTCCAAAAATCTGTAGTGTAGACACTTCAGTGAGGAATGAAACTGATAAGACTAATTTGACCACTATAAAAATAATCTCCTGTTTCCTCTCTCCCTTTAAGGGAGAAAGAAGCTGCATATTAAGGAGGTTTGAGGAGCCCCCATCTTTCCTCTCTCAAATTTTCATCATTTCCACCACTCCAACAGCCCTTAAAAAATCAATCAATACATTATTCCACAGACATATAATGGTCATGCTATGTACAAACTATGATATCACTATTTTAGGGTTAAGGATTCAGAGATGATCTCCCTCTCTCTAGCAAATCCTGCTCTTAGGAAAAGACCCAGAACTAATTTTTACTGAAGAACAGATGAGTAATGGAGTGTGACCTTCCTTTAAGGGAATTTTTAACTAATACTTTTTTTTTTCTTATTTCAAAAGTAATTCTCAATAAGTACAAGTAAGGCATAAAAGTCACTAGAACACCCACTACCTGAAGATAATAATTAGAAACATTTTGATGTACGTCTTGTCAGACTTCTGTACATATATATTTTTTTCCTTCTAGGCTTCTATTCTATTTTAGCTAAGGAACTTATATTTTACTTAAGAAGAATATCTTACTCTAAGGAATGACCCCAGCATAACTGCTATTTGGTGCAGAGAACTTTCCTTTAGTCTTCAAAAGTCACGTTTCTAAGGTTCACACATAAATGGTTACTTCTAAAGAAGGCTTTGCTGGGTGTCTGGCCATGGCTAGGTGTTCATATTTACCAGCTGCCCCTAGACAAGTCCTGCTCACCTTGGTTTTGGAGCATGAGAAAAGGGAAGTAATAGACACCCTCAAAGCTTGGCAGGGGGCCTGGTCATGGGAAGAGGCCTCCCAAAGGGCAACTAGTACTGCTACATTCTTTGCATGGCTCCTTCCTCTGTCTAAATAGCAAAAGGCTGCTGGGAATGGCATGTGTGTGACAAAGACACAAGGGAAAATTTGTTAAGAGCAGTGCCCCAGACTCTTCCTAGGGGGAAACCTGATTAAAAGGATTATTTCAAAGGATCATTAGTAGAAAGAGAATTGTAGGCTCCCTTGGGTAGAGCAGCCTTTGAACCAAGCTCTGTTTCAACATTTCTTCTTCGTTCCTCAGAAGGTCAGCTAGAGTGAGCCACACACCACAGACCAAACTCCCAATGCCAGGGACACAGACGATTAATGCTGGCCCCCTCCATGATTGGCGGTACCATCTCAACCTACTTCAGGGGAGAGCTGGAGGGTTTGCCTGTCCCTTGGGAGCTGGCATACAGTGCTGGAAATTCCAGTAGTTCCCTCACACCCAGGAGTATGATACACCTTCTGTAGAACATTTAGCTTCTTTCAAAGTAGAAAATTCCCTGATGTTAAGAGAGCTAAGGTCTCCCCTTTCACTGAAACCTAAAGAGCTTCCCATTTCCACTTCTTTAGGAAGGTTCTGGTCCCAAAGCTGGACTGTGACTTGCAGTTTCCTGGAGAACCAGAGTAGGAGGAGGGTAAAGGTGGCTTTGGACATCCCCAAGCTGACCATGCCTCCTGCAGGTGCTTTTGCAATCACAGCTGCCGCCTTTCCTGGGGCAAATACTTTCCACACGCCAGAATTAAACTAATCCCATTGCAACTGACATCTGGTCATATCCAACCACAAGGCTCCCACATATTGAGCCTTCTAGTGGTGGGAAAGAAATTCAGGTCTGAACTTCCTGAGGGACCTAACCTGAATGGACCACTCCTTTCCCACAAACAAAGATCCACTTCACATAATTGTTACCATCACTTTGATGATCACTGCCGCCATTTCAACCCACCACTCAGCCCCTCTCCCAGCCACCATCCTAGCTGCATCGTGACTACTAGCCCAGTCAGTATCCTGGCCACTGCTGCCAATAACAGCTCCCATATATTGATCATCTTCTATGTTGTCTCTAATCCTCAGTGCAAATCTGCAAGTTTAATGAAGAGGAAACTGGCTCCAAGTGTTGTCACACTGCAGAGAAGAGGCAGAACTGGGCTTTCAACCTAGGCCTAGATGACCCCAAGTCTGTGCTTTTTCCACTGCCCCATGCTACCTCCCTAATGTGGGCCAAGCCCTGGATGCAGACTGAGAAGGTACACATTTGCTGGATATGTGACCTTGCCAAGTCCCTCACTTTCTGTGCTTCAGTTTCATCTCTAAAATGACAGTTTTGTTTGAGGCAGAAAGATACAGAGCAGTGTTTGTGTGTGTGTCTTGGGTGTCTATGTCTCTCTTTGGCTACTTATCGAGAGGTAGGAGTGAGGCCTTTCATTGTTCCTGCTCTTCAAGCCCAGGGCAGTCAAATGCTGGTGCTGTCATGGGGACATAGTGGATCACAGCCAGGCTGGAGGGTGCCTGCTCACCCCCTGCTGCCTCTCTGGGGTGCCACATGCTGTAGTCAGGAAGAGGGGACCCTGGAAGGCCCTTGGAATATTCCATCTGCTGGGGGCCCTTTGGAAGTCTGATGGAACGATGAGCTAACAATAGCAGCCTGAGCTCCGTGGCTCCTCTAATGAGGTTTCTCTGTCCCACAGCCATGGAAAGCTCCCAAGTTCCCCAGAGATGCCTCCTTGGCCCATCCGCCTGCCTTTCATCCTACACCACCCAGCTTTCTCAACTCCTAATTGTGTTTCTGAGAGCTCAGTCCCCAGGCTCTTGACCAACCATGCAGAAAACCCAACTGGTTACAACACTGCAACCTAAGCCTTGCACCCTCCTATGGCACGCCCTCCCCCTGGCTCACCCAGGCAGCCTGGCCTGGCCTGGCAGGAAGGACAAGGCTCGCAGCCTCAGGGTCTTAGCCCTGGAAGATCCAGGTCATGCAGTGGCCAGCCAGGAGGACTTACAGATGGGTAGAGGCATTTACCAACTACATCGCCAGGAAGAAAGCATGGCATAAGGGCATTTAGTTTGTAGTGAAGCTTTGGAATTCTGGCTCTGCCTCTTCCTAGCCATGTGACCATGGGCAAGGGATTTAACCTTTCTGAGACATACTTTCCTTGTGTGTAAAATAAAGATAATAATATCTACTTTGCAGAATGGTTGCAGGGATTAACCAATATAATATATTTAAAGCATCTTGCTCAGTGCCTGACACATAGTTGGCACCCAATAAATGCAGTTTCCTTTTCCTACCCTGCTCCTCTGCCCAGCCTCTGCCAACACCAATGGGGAAACAAATTTGGCAGATCACGTCTCAATTATTTGAGGGTCCAGGGCCCAGCCTCTGTACCTTTTGTCCTTTAAACTACACAATCCATGAACTACTGAAGGTGGGAAGAGGAAAAGAGGAAAATGAGGCAAGGGTGGGAAACAGGTGGGTGGGCAGAAACAAGGTGCAGAGGGCGGCCTCAGCCTGAGACAGGAGAGCTTCCGTGGCTTAGACCCCCAGAGCACCCCAAAACCAGTGCACAAGGAATCTGCTAAGAGCAGCTGGCCCCTGGATGGGGTGGGAGAAGGCTCCAGATTCATAACCTGGTTTCAAGTGGGTCCTTCCCACTAGCCTGTCTGGGCTGGAAGCAGGGAACCTGATATTTACATACCTCCGCAGATGTGTCCCCACAGCCTGCTCGCCCTACCACGGTGGAGGAGGAATAATTGCACTAAGGCCGAGCTCTCCCCTCCTCCCCCTTGAAGAGTCAGATGACCTCAGTGCTTCAATGCTCCAAATGGAGTGGGGCGGTGCGTGTGTGTGTGCGTGTGTGTGCATGCGTGTATGTGCGCACGTGTGTATGTGTGCAGCTCCAGCCTCTAGCAGAGGAGGCTGCAGGCCTGGGTTCAGAGGGAGGCAACATCTGGCCAGCTGTGAGCCTGAGCCAGATGTGCGCCGGCCAGATGGAGGGCAAGCTCCCCTGGGTGGGGGTTGCACAGGAGGAAGTCATAACCTCATTGTGCGGCCTAATCCTGAACATATTACTCTGGAATATGTGCACTATCAACAACATTGCCATAAAAAAGAGGCCTCAATAAAGAGAGAAGAAGAAAGAGCAAGGCCTCAAGAATTGTCAGTGGGCCTCTGACACACTTTCTGGGATTGGGGGTGACGTGGGGAGGGAGTATGGACTAGCACTTAACCATGGGCTGTGGCCGCCCTTGTGCTTGTGAAGAGAGGGGGTTGAGCTGGGAGGTGGGTCTCCTGCCCTGCAGAGAGAGCTACTGAAAGCTCAAAGCCGTGGACATAGCCAAAAAGGGCCTTTGTGACTGGGGCTGAAGGGTTAACGGACCTGGGGAAGGGGGTCCTGAGTCTGGCAAGAGCTGGAAGAAACAGGTCAGCCAGAGAAACACTCTAGGCCCCTCTCCTCTGCCTTCATGAAGCCAGGCATTCTGGATGCTTCTGGCAGGGAAGGCACTAGAATATCTATCTACGCCTCTTGTCCCCACTCCTATCCTCACTGCACTCCATCCTCCAACCCCTTCCCACCGCTCTCATCCTGAGAGAACCAGCCAGATGACCCACAAAGACTCAACGCAAGGCTATCAGGGCTAGGTGGTCTGACTACCTGGGGCACTGCACTAGGGCCCAGCCAGCGTTTTCTGGAACACTGACAAGGTACAGTGGTCACAACAGGCTTCCTGGAGGCTATGGGGTCTCAAAAGATAAGAAGGATTTGACCAGATGATGATAAGAGGAAAGGACATATTCTGTTCATCGTAGGAGGGCCCCAGCCCGGGAGATGCTGAGAGGGAGAAGGAAAGACAGAGTAAGCAAGACTGAAAGCAAAAAACCACATGAGAACCAGAAGCACCTCAGAGCTCAGGTGATCCAAGCCCCCCATCTGACAATAGGGAGAAAATGTAGAAAGAGGTGAATACAGCAGGAGGAAGCAGTGAAGGGTCCCCCAACGCAGGATTTACAGGCCCTCATGAAACCCCTCCCCCATCCCTGGCAGTTTCTCTGCACTGGAAACCCGAAGAGAACCTGAAAAAGTGGGCCAGAGTTGAGGGCAGGTAGCCTGCTCACTGGGAGGCAAGGGGCAGGGTGTGGGGGTGGCTGGAAGCTGAAAAAAAGAGACCCAGGGAGGGGTGGGGGACACAGAGCAAGCATGAGGCCAGGCTGGCGGTTCTCTCCCCTTGCCTCCTGCACGATCGTGGCAAGACAACTGCTTCTCATTAGCAAAAGTGACCGTGGAGGAGAAATCCAGCCCAACCCAGGTCACGGTCACAGCCCTGAGCAGCCAGCAGCAGCCAAGCCAGAGAGGAGCAGCCTGGGGCCCCAGGAGACCTGCAGCGGCTGTCTAGCCCCAGGTCCCAAGGTCGCCCATGTCAGCACCTATAGTGGACAATGATGAAAAGGAAGAATGAAATGACTGGAGGGGCAGGAAGGGAGGGAAATTGTGCCAGCACTCTCCTGGCTGTCCTGCCTGTTTTCTCCCTTCCAATTCATCCATCACACCATGGCCAAATTCATCCCACCACCCACTCTCCTGCTGAGGAAGTGGCAATGGCTTCTCAACGCCTTAGTCAAGATAAATAAACTTCTAAGCCCCAACTTAAAGGTTCTCTGTGATTTAGCAACCCTGGACGTCATCAATCCTCACTCCCATGGCTCTCCAGGCCAAGCCCTCCACCCCAGCGACTCTCCGCAGAGGCCCCTGCGCGTATCCCGCCAAGTTCCTCTCTCTTTGCTCATGCACTTTTCTTAACCTAAAATGCCTTTTTGTCTCTATCAAATCATTGTTATTCCCCTTTTACATTCCACTCACCTGTGAAATTGGGAGAGTAATAATGCCTACATCGTAGGGTTTTTGTAAGGATAAATTAGAAAATGCTTGGAACAGAGCCTGGCACACAGTAAACATTAGCTATTGGTGTTGTTATTATTGTTCTATTCATGATCCTTCCAGTCTGACCCCAAGTTCTACCTTCTCTGTAGGGCACTGTGTCCCTGACCTGCCCACTCACGATTGTCATCACCCTTCTTCTTGCATTTGCCAACTCAATTCATGTATGTTTAAACAATATTTGTCAGGCATCCTCTGCTATGCTAGGTATCATGCTAGACAGCATGGAGAAAATGGAGAATGAGAGGGTTATCCCCGGCCCTTGAAGAGCTTACAGTCTTGAGAAAGTCAAACAGTAAAAGGCAGTTACAGGGTGTGCAAGTGCTGAGCTTAGGGTACGTACACTTCAACGCCATCAAGGAACAGGGGCAGGGTCAGTATTGAGGGACAGGAGGGCTTCTCAGAGGAGGTGACGGACAAGTGGGGACCTGAAAGCCAAATAGGAGTTAGCAGAGTGGAGGGAGGGAGAGGTGTTGCAGAGAGGAGGAGCAGCAGCGGCAGAGGCCCAGAGGGGAGAGGGAGGGTGATGCATATGGAAACTACAATGAGCTCAGGAAGGTTAAGAATGGACTGTGGGGAGGAATAGTGAAAGCTGAGGCTAGAGAGGTTTGGCAGCAGCCAGAAGGTGAAAGGCTACATAAACTGGGCTAGGACACTGGGGCCCAGTCCTGTAGGCAGTGGGTAATCATGGGAGGGGCTGTGGTGCTCACTCTGCCCTTAACATGTGCCTTGGACTGTTGTTAACTCTCTCATGGCTGCCAGACTTGTCTCCTCAGGAGATTAGAACCCAGTGTCTTCCCACGTCTCTTTTATCAGTGAGGTGGGATATCAGTAAGTAGATATCTATTGGGTGCTCTTTTGAGGGCAGACCATGGACTGCACAGAGCAGGACTTCCATGCAAGCCCAGTGAGTTGAGGGAGGAGGAGGAGAAACGTGACAAAGTGGGAGGGCCATGAAGTGTAACAGGAGCCTGGAGCATGCTCTGCACTCCAGGGGGAGTCCCAGGCCAGAATCAGCCCCATGGAGCCTGAGATAAGCCACTGAAACGTCCTCACCCTCAGCTTCTTCCTCTGTAAGGTGAGCATCGGGCCATCTGTCTACCTGCCTACCACACATGAGAATGTAGGTGAAAGCCCTGCAAAGGTGAGCTCTCTCCATAGGAGCAGGCAGATGCTGAGACAGGCAGAGGAAGGTGGGACCCCCTGTGGGGCAGGCTCTGGAGGCTGGTGAAGGAAGCTCAAACCAAGAAAGAAAATAAACAAATGTGTGCCTCAGGTCAGCAACTCCCCCACCCCATTCACATGTGCTCCCTCTGTCCATTTCTCCCTCCCTAGCTTGTAGGAATCACTGTCAACAATCCGTGGCATCCAGTCACCTTTCCCAACACACTGCACAATATGGGCACCTGGATAGTCAGGTCAGGAGGCTCCGAGCTGTCCCTGTCCTGACCAGCTAGCACCTCCCCCAGAAACCTTCCCTGACCCCCAACTCACAGTAATCTCCCCCCTCTCTGACTTTTGCAATTCCAGGCCCTACCTACATGAAGTACATGACTTTGACTTCTCTCTAAGGGCTCTCAGATGACCCTTCCTAGCCCCAAGACTCTAAGGTCCTTGAGGGAAGGATCAAGCTGTTGCCTCTCCAGCATCCTCCAGGGTCCCCAGCGCAGGCTTCTCGAAGGCTTGGGGTGGTTGGTTCTCATCCCTTCCTTTCTGAAGATGTGAAGAGGACATGATAGTCTGAATGGGCCAGAACTGGGACCCAGGGATGGAGACGGATTCACCAGGCAAAGGTCATAAGGTGGAAGCAATGGCCACGTAGCCATTAGATGGAAAGGCTAAATCAGCAGGGCAGCTAGTGTCCCAATGTCAACAGGCAGGATGTGGAAATTCCAGGAAGCCAACGGCTGCTCAGAAAGAAATGGAAAGGCACTGTAGGTTTCAGTGCCCGACAAAGGGTCTGAGGCCAGGCCTCACCCCAAGCAGCTGCCCTCAACCCCTCCCCAGCTTCGTGGTACAGTGGGTGTGCCCAAGGACACAAAGCTGAAAAATGGGCTACCATCTGGAGAAGATGACAGGGCCTGAAGGACAGTGTCACCAAATGGCTTTCCCCCTGAGGCAATCAGGGCAGGGCTCATCAGCACTTTGAAAGGAACATCTGGCTGATTCCAGATGTGGAACCAGATGTGAGAAAATGATATGCTGGCATGAGCTGGTAGGCAAGTTCAGAGTCCATCCTCAACTCTCCCAGCTGGCCAGGCCCTCTCAAGATCCTTCTGCCCATGCTCCTGCCTGCACACCTCTCTTGGTTACATAGCTTTGGGCTGCAAGACTCTCATGGTTGGCCAAGTAGCTTCTCATGTCCAGCTTTGGTCCACCCCAGAATCTATGCATTCTCTTCTTCAGTAGAGATGGGAACTAGCTGGTCACCATCCCCCCACTCAAGAATCTCTGTGTGTGTGTGTGTGTGTGTGTGTGTGTGTGTGTGTGTGTGTGTGCACATTCATATAAAGAATCCTGAGAACAAGAGGCCAAGTCAGATCCCTTGCCCTGAAAAGGGCCCCAGAGAGGATGTAGCCCCACCCACTTGCTATACAGGTAAGGCAGCTGGGAAGGAGAGAAGGAGAGGTCTGCAGAGGCTGGGAGGAAGTCAGCCATGGGTCTAGTAGACTAGATCTCAGGCACTGGGAGTCCAGTGTTCTTTCCACACTGCCACCTCTTCCCCACTCTGTTCCACCTGCCAACCCACCAGGTCCAATCTCTGCCTGATATGCAGAGTAGGGGGAGCCTCTTTCCTGGGGTGAGGCACTCACTGTCAAGAGCTGCAGGTGGTGACGTGCAGGTATCAGATCGAGGAAGAGCAATTGAAAGATGGCAATTTCTCTTCCATGTTAGCACTAGCATTCCTCCTGGAGTAAGCAAGATAAAAGTCTCCAAAAGAAGAAGCCAAGAGAGATTTGAGAGTGGGTAGATGGTGGAAGAGAAGCCCCAAGCACTGGTCTCTGAGGATGTGGTCTGATAAGGAGAAGGTTCCTTGCTCACCCAGAGGAGAGCCTTTCCACTTCCTATGGGCGCTTAAGCCATCATTGCTTCATTCTGCAAGGGCCAGCACTTCTGGATTCTCACTCTGGTGGGTCCTAGACTCCAGAACCAGTGACTTCCCTGGACACGTTGGCTAGGACTGGAAGGTACCTCCTGGAAGTTTCCTGGGACAAGGACCCCAAATATAAGCTTTCACAAGCCCATTCAATTCATCTTACAAAGCAATGCAAGGCCTGACTACAACTTTGCTCAGCCTCAGTCTTACAGCCTGTGAAATAGGCAAAGACCACTAGCGTAGGAAAGAAAACAACCAGTATCTTCAAGCAGAAGATGTGTTCACCTTGCTCTCAGTTCATTCTCACATGAGCTATAGCTTGAGACTCTGGGTTTCCTGGGAATGGGCTGCTGTGTGGGAGCTAGGGCCAGCAAACAGGAAAAAATGGCGAGCTTTTTCAAGCATCAATACTTTTTGATTTGAAATCTCTCTTTTCCAAACTTTGCAGAGCACATACTGTCCAGTCCCCTTTGTTAAGGATTAATTACCAGCCAAGTTTGAAGTCTTTGGAGTTGTTTGGGAGTTATTTGAGCTGAAAAGGAAAACATAACTATGTTGTTATTTCTTCTAAATGGAAAAAGGATATTTTTTGTGGGTGTTTGCAATGCTTACAAACAGCTGAAGGGGTTTTTTACTCTATCTTTCCAAAAATCACTGCTCTAGGCCATGACCAAATATGGAAAAAATGACCAAATAAAAAAAATCCCCAAACCATAAACTTTTCAGAAAGTCACAAATAGTTGAACTGGAAGCATGTAATAGAAATGGCCGGCGACCTTGCTTAGCACAATTTCCCACTATTTCCTGCCACCCCTGTCCACCACTCACGTCTGTGATTCACCCAGGCATCTCTCAAGAGACTTTACCTTCTAGACATCCAAGAACCAGGAGCCAAGTACAGAACAGAGTGTTTGGGGAGACCTCAGCACTGGATTAACTTCCTCATTCCACAGATGAGGAAACCGAGGGCCATTGGTGGCATGAGTGACTTGCCCCAGGCCCCACAGCAAGCTTTGGCACAATCAGATTCCCAGTGTGGCTTTTACCAGGCTATAACCTCCAACCCCAAAAATGCTGCAGGGCAGACTGGGGCAGGGCCTGTGGACCTCTCTGAGAAGCCAGAATAGGTAGCCATCTGTGGCTGTGCTTTGATATGGCCACCACTGAGAAGGTGAGCATTGTACAGGAGAGGGTGTTGGCCTTGAGACAGAGAATAAGACTTCCTTGTGTTTTGTTTGTTTGTTTGTTTGTTTTTGTTTTTCTTTGATACGGAGTCTTGCTCTGTCGCCCAGGCTGGAGTGCAATGGCACGATCTCAGCTCACTGCAACCTCCGCCTCCCAGTCTCAAGCGATTCTCCTGCCTCAGCCTCCCGAGTAGCTGGGACTACAGACATGTGCCACCACACCTGGCTAATTTTGTTTGTTTGTTTGTTTGTTTTTTGAGATGGAGTTTTATTCTTCCCGCCCAGGCTGGAGTGCAATGGCGTGATCTTGGCTCACCACAACCTCTGCCTCCTAGGTTCAAGCGATTCTCCTGCCTCAGCCTCCTGAGTAGCTGGGATTAAAGGCATGCGCCACCACGCCCAGCTAATTTTGTATTTTTAGTAGAAACTGGGTTTCACCACGTTGGTCAGGCTGGTCTCGAACTCCCGACCTCAGATCATCCACCCGCCTCGGCCTCCCAAAGTGCTGGGATTACAGGCATGGGCCACCGCGCCTGGCTTTTTTTTTTGGATTTTTAGTAGAGACAGGGTTTCGCCACATTGGCCAGGCTGGTCTCAAACACCTGACCTCAGATGATCTGCCCACCTCAGCCTCCTAAAGTGTTGGGATTACAGGCGTGAGCCACCGCGCCCAGCCGATTTCCCTGTCTTGGAAGATGAGTGTGGCAGCGTCCTGTCAAAGAGCATACTCACTGTGCTAGCCACTACCAAGTAGCCTGGGACACCCTTCTCTCCCCAGTTCTTAGACAACTGGCATTGAGGAAAAGGTGAGTAGGGGTTGGTGATGCTGCACCTCTATCCCTGGGTCCTGGGCTCTGATAGATCAGAAACTTTGTCAAATAGGAATCTCCTCCACAACATCCCTATAACCAAGATCCAGGGCAAGGTTCCTGGGAATTCATTCCACACATCAATTGCCACTAAATGAGGAAGAAAGGGAAGACTGGAGCCTTCCTCTCTTCAGAGCTGAGGTTGGGGTTCTGCTTTGACACAAGGAGTCTGATGTAGGTATGGTCCAGAATGGTAATATAATATTATGGTTAAAATTATGGCATCGGGCCAGGCCCAGTGGCTCATGCCTGTAATCCTAGCAGTTTGGGAGGTCGAGGCGGGCAGGTCACCTGAGGTCGGGAGTTCGAGACCAGCCCAGCCAACGTGGTGAAACCCAGTTTCTACTAAAAATATAAAAATTAGCTGGGCACAGTGGCACATGCCCGTAGTCCCAGCTACTCGGGAGGCTGAGGCAGGAGAATCGCTGAAACCCAGGAGGTGGAGGCTGCAGTGAGCCAAGGTTGCGCCACTGGACTCCAGCCTGGGCAACAGCGAGACTCCATCTCAAAAAACAAACAAACAAAAAAAATTATGGCATCAGACTTTTGGGCCTGAATCCTAACTCTATTACTTACTGGATATATGACCTGAAAGTTATTTAACTTATCTGTGATTCAGTTTCCTCATCTGTAAATGGAAGTAATATAGCACCTGCATCCTCTGGCTCACAGTAAACGCCATGTAAGTTGTAGCAATTATTAGTGTTGTTAATTGCTCAACATTGACAACTTAGGGAAGAAAGAATAAACAGGTAGATGCCTAAGAACTCAGAACCTACTTCCTATGTTGGACAGAACCTCCCAACATCAGTTCAAGGGGACAAGTTAACCCCACCACCTTCTAGCACATGTCAGCATAGTCACGGATGCAGGAGGAGAGGCCAAAAAGCCCAAGACCTGGAGACCTGCCCATTCCCAGCCTCCTGCCAGCTCCTCCATGAACTCTGAAGAAGCTGCCAGGCTCGTTGGGGCCTTCATTTCTCCACTAGTAATATGAAGATAATAGAACCCTTTGCTGTCTGTCAAGTTCTTTGAGAGGCTTGGATGAAAGGCATAGGCAGCCAGGTGAGATGCTGCTATTACAGCTAATGACAGAACCAACACGCTTGTACGCTGCCGCCCAGCTCTGACTCAGGCTGTTTACGGTTCTTGCCTTGGTAGTGGGGGTTTCGGGAGGGTTGATTGGGTCTGTGGTCTGAGGAGAAGGGGGAGCCCCAGCCGGTGCCCTTGCCTGCCCTGCTACTGCACATAAGTGCATCTGCCATGATCTAGGTTTCGGCAGGGCCTTCTCTCCCTGACTTGAGCCTCTACTGTCCTGTCTCTCTGAGAATTTCAGTGCCCCTCACCCCCATCCCTGCCCCCCTCCTCCCCTCCTGCCAGGACTCAGGCTCCAGCCCTGCATGTGACACATCACTCTAGAGGACAATCAAGCTTGTTTAGAAACATGTGGGAGCCATGGTCTTTGGCTGCTGCAGCCAGAAGAATAAAACATTCTTCAAGGCCAGGCCCTCCCTCTCCCACCATCCCAGCGACAGCAACCCCGTAGGGGCTGATCAGCATGGGGCTGGACTCCTTCTGTGACCTCCACATCTGGTCAGATGCTGCAGGTCCCTCCCTCCTCCTGGGGAACTTCTCATGGGAGGCTGACCAGAGAACAGGGCCATTCCCACTATGTGTCACCAGCTCAGTCTCTAGATTGTGGTTGGCCCCCTGCTCCCTGCTGAGAGCTGGAGGTGAAAGCAGGGCTGGCAAAGCAAAAGCAGCTGCTATCAGGCCATCCTCAGGCTCCTAAAGGAAGAGGTCTCTCCTTGGCAGCTCAATCCAGTTTCAGGAATCGTCTGCAATAGCCACTGTCCTGACTTGGCATTAGCTTGGGGACATGCAAACTCATCCAGCCTCAATCCCAGTATAATGTGGGGGCCGAGGCAGCCCCATGCAAATGCCCCCCAGCCTCCCAAGGTGTCTCCTCTCCACTGAGGCTCTTGCTTTCCTGACCAGCACAGAGAGCTGGTCATTGGGATTTAGATAGCCGGGTGGCAGGAGGCACACACAGTGGTCACCTGATTGCCTCTTCTACTCTATCTGTCTCCCTGGCCCCAGGAACTAGCCCTTGACTGCCCCAGCATATTTTCCCCTCTCCTCTTTCCCTCAAGCTCCCCCTGCTCATCAAGTTCAGCCCCTGACAGTCCTCCTTCTACCAATGCTGCAAAGCCCCTGGAGCAGATCACATGGCAGACACCGAGTGCCAGAACGGGGGATAGCTAAAGAGAGCATAGAAAGAGGGAGGCTGTGTTGGAGACAAACTATGGAGGATGAAGAGAGAAAGACAAACCTCCAGTGGGAGAAGGGTGATCAGAGCCAGCTTGGCTCAAAACTATCGGGACAGAACAAGATTTGCTTGGAGAAGACTGAGGAGAACATTCTAGGCAGGGGGAATAGTACAAGGCAGAAGTGGAAGAGGGAAATGGTTTGGCATCTCTAGGAGAATCAGGTCTGACAAGGTTTACAAGGCTGGGGTAAATGAAGAGTGGCCCCAGACTGCACTTTGGGAATCCTGTGCTCAGGGTAGGAGTGCAGGGGCAGCCAGGGCATTTGCTCAGACCGTCTTCACAGGAAGTCCTGTGAAGTTACACAGGGGGCTTCTTCATCCTTCCCAAGCCCCAGAAGGCAGGGAGGAACTGAAAGAAAACATTCTCATCACTATTTAACAGAGAGGAAAACTGAGGCTTATTAGTGCTTACTCATATGCTCAAGGTCCTGCAGTAAGTCAGCAACCAAGCCAGTGGAATATTCTAGATGCCTGGGCCTGGAGGGGTCCTCAAGAGGTTGCCTACTCTGCCTCTTGCCCCAGGCAGACCAGATACCAACAAATCAGGCCTCTGACTATGCCTAACCATGTTGCAGTTAAACATATAACTTCTCTGGTTCATAGGCAATATGGAGCCATATAAAAGCCCTCTCTAGACCTGAAGGTCATTTTTCAAGATTGACCTTCTCCAGGTTAGGTTTCTCTTCTCCAGGTTCAATCTCAACAGGTTTCTTCTCTACTAGCCTAAGCCTCCCATGATTGACATGGAACATATACTAGTGAATTAAAGGAATGAATAAATAGTGAATAAATGAACAAAGAGACAAATGGTTTCCAGACAAGCACAACACTTTGACCTCCATAAAGCAGATCTCAAATAGAAGTCCTCAACATCCCTAAATTCACTGAACAACCTGACATGATATATTTATAACCACCATCCACGGTGATCTGGAGATAACCTTAGGCCATATCCTTCCTTTAAAAGGATGAATATCTCCCCTCCTTATCTATCCTGACACACACTCACATACACATGTATTTGCACGTTCAAATAAAGTATAGGCATCAGGCCCTGGGGGAAAACCCGTCCCTATCTCAACCAGGTTGGCATCTGTGCTGGAGTCTTTTGATAAAGAGGGTTTCTTCTGCAGACAGCTAAGACATATCTCCCTGAGATTCCTCCCTCATCTTCACACCCATGATCCTCATATAAGGAAAGAACTGAGCCCTATACATATAGGTACCATTTATTCTTACCATGTGCCAGCCACCATGCCAAACACTTTATATGCATTTTCTTATTTGGTCTTCACAAGCACCCTGTAGGTTATAGAAGAGGAAACTGAGACTTGGAGAGGTGAAGTCTGGCCAGTAAAGAAAGAGGCAGGCTTAGACTCTCGTCTGCCTGACTCTAGAGTCCACCTTCCTGCCCACTCTTGCTGTCTTTCCTCTTTCTAGGCCTGGTGGCCTTGAATGTCCTCACTGCTCCCTGTCTAACCCCAAGCCCCACCCCAGCATGCAGAACCTCATCTAGGTAAGAATACTCAATCACAAGAGTTGGGGTTGTTCACATCCAGTAACTTGTCTTTGTTCAAACTGGTTCCTTTCTGGTTTTTTCCTTTTCTTCTAATCTCAGATTGAAGACCTATTATTTCCAAGCCAGGAAAAAAGAACAAGAGAAAAAAAAGGGGGCTCTGTTCCATGAACTGTAACATCTCTCTCTGTGCTGCCCAGTTCCTCAATTTCCTGACTCTTGGACAAGCCCAGCCATGCCTGGCCCCCAAATTTGGCAGGACCATTGGTCACAAAACCTTTTTAGGGTCTTCTCTTCCTTTAGAGCCAAGGCTGGGGTGAGAGAACAAAGAATTGATGGGAAGAAAAGCAGATCAAAGAAAGGTGCTGGAAAATGGTAATAACTCGAATTCCCAGCCTGGCCCTCCAATGTCTACCCTACTGTCTTGGGACTTTATGTATCTCCTTTCCGGCCTAAAGAACTAGCTCCAGAGAGAATGTATGGTTAGTCATACACAGAAATACAGATACACACACACACACACACACACACACACACACACGGATGCCCATTCTAGAATCACAGCCTGTCAATAACCACACATCCCAGGCCAGTCTTATTCTCAGAGGTACCCAAAACCTCAAGGGACCCAAAACCCCCTAAAGCTAAGAAGCTAATCATGAGCACATGCACCCAATCACATGTTCCCAAACATTGCCATAAACATGCCCTTTCTACTAGGCACAAACATTGTCACATGCATGCTTGGGGAGTGTGTCCCAGATCTCTGGACACAGGCATTTGCAGACAGGCTCAAAGAACAAAGGATTCTGGAGTTAGACTCCTCCGTCAGAGAGGTTCTCAAAGCTGACAGGGCCTCTACTTCTTGGCTTCTTGCTCCACCTAACCCCTGAAGTTACTGAATTGGTTGGGTCCTATCAAGTCCAGAGAGAGGGAGGGCCCTTCCCAACTTTCCCCATGACCCTCACTCAAACCATACCTATCTAGCCCTGAGCCATCAGTGGCCAAGCGATGCCAGGAGAGATGGTTTTTGTCTGACTGTCAGGAGATGCCACTGTGTCACCCTGGAGAGGAGAGTGGAGTTTTTGGCCTCAGGCCACTAAGAGCCTCTAACCTGGGGCTGGCTTTCACTCTCCCAGCTTAAGGGGAAACAAAGGTGTCTTGATGCACGGGCACTAGGATTTTTTGTTGGTGGCAGTAGACACATCAGCACTGCCCCAGGGCAAGAACCCTACCACCACCTTGTTAACCCCTCATGGTCAGGCTAGCTCTCCAGCTTCCCACCTGGCTCCACGACAGCAACCTCCTCCCACCCTAGGCACAGTTGTCACATGCTCTAAGACTTCTAAGAGCCTGCGTGAATGGTCCAGAGTGGAACTACGTGGGGGAGATGGGTGGAGCCAGACAGCTCACTATGTTCCAGGGTGGGTCAGGGGACAGTACCCCAGAGGGACACCCCGACTCTCTCAACTCCTCCCAAACCAAAGCCTCAGGTTTTCCAAGAAGGCAAACAGCTGCTCAGAGAAAGCAGCCCAAACCAGCACAATTGCCAACAGAGCTTGAGGCAAGGCATTCCCCAGCCCCAGACCAGGCCAAACAGCAGAGCGACGCAGTCCTCCTGAACAGGGATGGCAGCAGCAGCCCCAGCTGCCAGCAGGAGGCCGTGGCTTTCATGCCACCACACAGCAGTGCTGCTGATGCTCCAATGTATAACAGGGCCTGAATATTCACCCAATCAGGCCCCTGGACAGAGGGACTCTGACACTTCTGCTGATGAATCCTGGCCCTCCTGAAGGCCTTCCTATGAGCAGCAAAGCACAGGGCTATACTTTCTGCCAAGATATATCTCCTTCCCAGTCTGGTAGAGACCGTCACCCCAATTGCAGACAGTGCTAAAAGGAAGAGCTGTCAGGAGTGCTCACTAGTACAACTCTTGCCAAGGTCAGGATGTGACTGTGAGGTAAAGCCAGCAGAGGTATGGATGTGGGGCTCACAGCCTTTGCAGAGGGAGAGGTGTGCTAGCCAGGGGGAGAGGGGATTGTGGGCAAGGTCCCTCCTACCAGTCTCTCATATTGCCCTATATCAGCCTATTCATTTTCTTCCTAGGACTTTTCACAATTTCTAATTTTTTTTTTATATTTGCTTACTTATTATTTGTTTCCTCCACTAGGCTATAAGCCCCATGAGTTTAGGGACCATGTCTCGCTTATTTACTATGGTATCCCCAGTGTCAGTGTGGTGCCTGGCACATAGCAGGGACTCAGTAATATTTACTGAACCAATGAATGGTCTCTGTCCAGAGAACCTCGGTGCACTATGCTCCATTGCCAACGAAACACAGGAGTGATGCACCTAAACACCCAGAGAATCCAGATCAGAGATGGCAGGAAGTTCTTCAAGGAAGGCCCACCAGCTCTCCCACCCATGCATTCATACCACATTGTACAAGTCTAATCTGAGCACTTACGCGACAGGTACTGCACTGGAATGTGAGGATCCCTCCACGAAACAAATAAACAAAACCACTGGCCCCTTCCCTTACGGAGGTATGACTTTGGTAAGGAAGGGATATTAAGAAACAAATGACTACAATTCAGTCTGACAAGCACCATCAGAGGTAAGATCAGAGGACCCACCCTACTCTTGGGAGCTGGGAAGCTTTCCCAGAGGAGGGACATTCTAAGATGAGCTCTTAGGGGTGGTGTGAACTAGCAGCAAAGACTGGAGGAGGAAAGAGGGAAGAAAAGAAGATTTCACAAAAAGAGGTTAGTATATGCAAGAGTTTAGAAATGAGAGCATATGCGACTTAAAAAAGGAGAAAAGGGAAGTTTGGCATGGTCAGGGGTGATGAGGAGAGGCTGAGAGAGAGAGTTGGAAATGCAAGCAGGAGGACCTGGAGGGCCTGGGAAACTGTGTGGTGAGCTGCTGATGGGCTACAAACAGAAAGGTAAAAGAATCTAAGCTTGTGATTTAGAAGCTTCCCTAAGTGCACAGAAAAGCAAGCTCAGAGCATACCTGCTCATGCAGAAGGCTAGTGAGGCTTCTCCTATCTCTAATGGATGGGAAGGAGCTTACAGGAACTGCTCAAAAAAAGGCCTGGGAGGAAACAGGGGTCATGCAGGCCCCCAGCCTCCCCCAGTGGCTCCACATCAATAGAACTTATTTGCCCCTTGCTCCGAGATATAACACCCAGGGGATTGCAGGAGACCTGAGATGCCAGTCATGTGGGAATCACATGTGAGGAGTCTCCACACTGCATAGCCCACGGGGATAGGGTCAACGGGAGTGGCTGGAAAGGAAGAGGAGGCAATGGCCGGTGCTGGGGCCAGGGATCATGGGATTCAAGAAAGCTATTTAGAGTCAACCTCATGCCTAGATTATAAGGACCTTCACTCCAGGGACTATTACCTTGTATCCCACTCAGCCCTGGGTACAAGGTAGATGTCCAACAAGTACTCCTCTTGGGCAGAGGAATAGAAAACCCACTCAGACATTCTCAGGACACACATACCTCCTCCGCAACAGAGTCTCCGTACTGAAGGACAAGTGTCCTTTTCCTCTTTCCTCATCCTGCAGCCCAACAAAGGCCACAGGTGGCCAAATGTACCAGACAACAAAAGCTGATGAAGACGCTGCTGCCGTGCACAAGGTGGGCCCACGAGAGGGCAGTTGGTGGCCAGGTGGGAAGAAAAGCAGAGACACTTCTAAGGAGAGGCTGGTAACTGAAGATCCCTCAGATGCAAGGCCTCATCAGAGATGTAGAATGCCTGGGCTCTAGTCAGAGCCCTCAAGACTCCTTTAACCTTGGGTCTTGATTTTCTTACCTATGAAAGGAGAACAGGGCCGGGCACAATGGCTCTTGCCTGTAATCCTAGCACTCTGGGAGGCCGAGGCGGGTGGGAGATCGAGACCATTCTGGCCAACATGGTGAAACCCCATCTCTATTGAAAATACAAAAATTAGCCAGGCGTGGTGGCGGGCGCCTGTAGTCCCAGCTACTCAGGAGGCTGAGGCAGGAGAATCCCTTGAATCTGGGAGGCAGAGGTTGCAGTGAGCTGAGATCGCACCACTGCACTCCAGCCTGGGCAACAGAGCTAGACTCTGTCCCAAAAAATAAAACATAAAAATAAATAAATAAATAAATAAATAAATAAATAAATAAATGGAGAACAGGACTGCATGCTTACTCAAGCCCCTTCCAGAGTTTCATTCCAGGGGGAGGAGGCCATGCTGACCCCCAAGGCCTCTGAGGGAAACAGCTTCTGCTTTCCTAGCAGGCACTGGCAGCTCAAGTCAGGCCTTCCCACTCTCCGATAGTCCCGTCCCAATGAAATACCGAGGCTGGGCCCAGAATCACCATGCCTGCCCGCCCGGCTGAGAAGGGGTGAGAAGGGAAGATGTGGAAGTGACAAGCCGGAGGCAGCTGATGAGGCCGACCACAGAAAGAACGGGCCTCCGTGGTGGGCCCGGAGCTGAGAGGGCCTGCGTGAGGGTAGGGCGCAGAAGGCCAGAACCCGGAGCCTCAAGGGGGCCTAGTTTAGGAGCAGGGCAGGATTGGAACATCCTCCCTATAGAGAAGAGGCCTGTAGACCAGAATTTTTTCTGACTCTGCAAGCCTGGACTTCATCTTGTTTGTGTGAGGCGAGGAACCTGGTCGATCCTCGCCAAAGGGGATGGGTCAGAGAGACAGCAGCACCTTCCTCCACGCCTGCAGGGGACTGGAAGGAGGAAGGAGGGCTGGGAAGGGCAGAGGGGTAGCTCCTGAGCGGCAGCGCCAGCTGTCCACACTGGGAGCTCTCCGTTCGGCGGCCTTTCACTGAGGGCTGGCTCCCAACAGGCTGTGTTCTGGACACTACTCCAACAAGCAACGGCATATTATTGGACAGGCTGCCCAGGACTCAGCAAGCCCAGCAAGAACCCAGCTCCATCACCCGCACAGGGCAGCAGAGGCATCCGCTGGTCCTCACTGGGGAAGGCAGCAGACCTTTCCAAAGCCCCTACAGCTTTCCTCCCAGCCTCAGCCCAGGAGGAGAGGGCACTCCGAGGCCGGTGCAGGAGCTGAGACGCAGCCTGCCCTGCCACCTGGTGGAGAGATGAGGAAGGTGCGCGGGTCCGCGTTCAGGCAGGTAATGCCCCGCCACCTGGTGGAAAGCTGCCGGCAGAGGGTTCCGGCGCTTGCAATCAGCCCAGCCGCGTGGCAGCCCACAGTCCTAGCCTAGAACATGAAGGATATAGTGTTCTAGGGCTCAGAGGCCTTGCCATATTCTTCTGACCCAAGAAGCAGACTCTGGCCCTGAGCCAGTGCTAGGAAAGGGCCATTCTAATTTAACCCGCCAAGATTAAGGCCAACATATCTGGCTTTTAATAACTTGTTATGACTCTGACACAGTTTCCTGAAGCTTTTCTGAAGCAAGTTCTAGATTTGGCAAAAGGAAATAAGAAATAATAGCTATCTTGAAATATCTATAGGGCTGTTATCTGGAAGAAAGACTAAATTTATTTTGTGTAGCTCAGAGGGACAGACATAAGGCTAACAGGTAAAAGTCAAGGCAAAGCAGATTCTGCCTCCATGAAAGGAGCGTTTCTACCAATTAGAGCTGACCTCACTGGCAGCCTTCAAAAGGAGTGAGTTATCAGGCAACAGGTGCGTTCAAGCAAGGCAGGATCTCTAGTTTGGCAGACATGTTAGAGGGACAGTTTTTGTACAGGGATCTTAGTGTCTCCTGCAATGCTGAGATGCCACACCAGCTTATCCCTGTCTCCTTACCTTCCTTTACCAATGTTTATTGAATCAACTCTATGCTCAGCTCCAGAGATTTCAGAGACAAATAAGACACAACTCTTGCCCTCAAGTATTTTAGAGTTTAGTGGAGTAGTGAGCCCTCTAGCTTCTAGTTCCACCCCAAATAATAGATGATGACCTTTGGCTTACACTGCATTCACCTCTCAAACAGGAAGGGCAAGGGAAACACTATGTGCCTTTCCCGTCCTTACTGGAACAATTCCATGCCTCCCATTGACATATGAACTTAAATAATATTGCAAATGGAGTGTGCTATCATCGCCTAAGAATAATATAAATAAAGCAATAAAAACAATGAATGTCATTTTACTATGTGCCAGGCATTGTGCCCCTCACTTTACAAGTATTATTTTTACTTCATTGTGCTGGCAAAAGTTCAAAGACAAACCGAATAACCTTTAGAAGTCCCTAAAGGGCTATACAGAAAAAAGATGTCTGACTATTCTCCACATTCTCCAATTCATGCCACAGGATAATGGTTTTGTATTACAAGAAGGCCTAAGATAGCTATAAAATAGAACATTCTGGGAACAAGATGGTCCAAAACACTGGAGTAAAACATCAACCAAGATGGTGGTGTTTCCTTCTTTAGAGCACTTGAACAACAACCTGGATATTCATTTGGTTCTAAGGATAAAAGGAAAGGAGTAGAGAAAATGAACTGGTCTGGCCAATGGATAAGGTCTGGGTACAGGATCAGAGCTTTCAAGTCAGGTTGATAAAACCTCACATGATAAGGAGGTAGGCTTCATAGGACCACCAAGACTAGAGCAACATCCCCACCTCCACTGGAGGGGCCCTCAAGAGTGAGCCACTAGAAGATGCAGGCAAGGCTAATTTGGGCTGACTACTTGGCTTCTAAGTTCTACCCTGCACTCTGACCCTCTGTGTCCACCACTCCCACCAACATCCTTTATCCCTCCATGTTTCTCTCTAACTATTCCAGCCCTGCTATCCCCTGATGAGCTTATCTCCTTTTTCAGGGTACCTCTGGGACCATCTTCTCCTCTAGCATGCAACCTGTGCATGAAAGACCAGAGAGCAAAGAAGAGAAGAAGTGGCCTGTGGTAGGAAGCAGTGGGAAGGCAGGAAAGCTGAGAGAGTGCTCATGACTGGGATATAACCCCAAGTGCTAAAAATCAGACAGAAAAGGCAGTGCTAATCTTTACATTCCACCAAAGTAGAATGTGTAAAACCTGCTGGGAATCCTTAGTTAGCACTATCCATGAAACCTTTCCAAACATGCGTTTGCTTCAGACTTGAAAATGAGGCCAGTCTCCATAACCAGTTTTTCTTTTTTTTTTATTTTTTCCCCTTGAGCTTTGAAAGTTAATGAATCTCCATCCTTCTTAGAAGGGAACACAGTGACAACACCACCATCCTGGAGACTATCCTGTTTGCTCAACCTCAGTTTCCCCAACATGGGGAGAAAAGAAGCAGATCTAGCTCTGCCTCTGGGCCATAGTAAAGGACTACCTCAGTCAGATGCATTCAGCCAGCCCAGAGACCAAGCTGATGACACATGTAGGCCCTTAAAGTTTCCCTGAGAGCCCCCAGGGTTGGCATCAATTTCATTTTAACACCCTAGCTCCTCCACGATCACTCTGCCTGTGTCAGCTTTGATTCATGGGCCTATTTTCCACTAGACGGTAAGTCATCTTCCTGGCATCCAAACAGCTGGGGTTGGAGTAGGGAAAGAACTAGGTAGGCATTTGCTTTGCAACACATCTGTCCTTAGGGGGCAGCCAACAAGGAGTTGATTGTGCCCACCATTCTTCACCCAAACTCCTTTCACAATGGCAAGGAATTGCGGGGAGGAGCTGTGGCCCAGACCCAGAAGGAAATTAAATGGCCTCAAAATAGGTCAAACATGCCTTTGGCCCAAACCCACAAAAGGAAAAACCAGAAGACAGCATGCTTGCCTTCCAGTTACAAAACAAATGTAAAAAAAATCAAGCATTCTCAAGTGCATGAGCAATATGCAATTAGAAAATATAATGAAAATACCATCCCATTAGTAATATCAATAAAACATACAATGATAGGACTAAAGTTAGTAAGAAACGTGCAGGATCTATCAATAGAAAATTATGCTCTAGCTCTATTAAAGGAAACAAACAAACAAAAAGGAATAAATGAAAGTAAAAATGTAGTACTTTACAACATATCTCCCCAAGGTAACCTCTACATTTAACAGCATTCCAAACTAAAAAACCCAAGGGCATAATTGATTCTCAAATTTATCTAGAAGAATAAACGTAGAATAGCCAAGAAAAATACTGATAAAGAAGAACAAAAAAAGAGAACGTGCACTGCCAGATACGAAAATGTATTATAAAGCTACAATAATTTTAAAAATGATGTTCAGGTACCAGAATAGATCAATCAGTGGAACATAATATAAAGCCAAGAAACAATTGCAGGTGTTGAACAAAGGCTTTATTAACAGGACCAGTGCGTATATAAAATGTAATATTATAGATACATGTAGAATGTTAAGTGACATTTTGTATTAAAACAAAAAGAATGGACTGTCCAACAATGATACTGGAATAACAAGTTAACTAAAATTTTAAAACACTAGGCCTATAATACACAAAAATAAATTATAGATGGTTAAGAGACCTAAATGTTAAATAAAACACTAGGACATTTAGGTAGATGTTTATGTCACACAGGAGGAATAGAAGAGTCTTTCTAAGAATGAATCAAGAAGTAGACCAAAAAGAAATACTGATAATGTTTACCATATTAAAAAATATAAATCCTCTGTATTAAAGAATGTCATAAACTGGGCACGGTGGCTCACACCTGTAATCCCAGCACTTTGGGAGGCCGAGGTGGGCGGATCACTTGAGGTCAGGAGTCCAAGACCAGCCTGGCCAACATAGTGAAACCCCGTTTCTACTAAAAATACAAAAATTAGCTGGGTATGTGGCGTACGCCTGTAATCCCAGCTACTCGGGAGGCTGAGGCAGGAAAATCGCTCGAACCCAGGAGGCAGAGGTCACAGTGAGCCGAGATTGCACTACTGCACTTCAGCCTGGGTGACAGAGCGAGACTCTGTCTCCAAAAAAGAATGGCACAAAACTACTAAAGGCAAACAATAAGCTGAAAAACTCTATACAGCATTTATCAAAATAAAGATTAATACCCTAGATATATAAGGAACCTTGTAACAATATGAAAAAGATAAATACCTCAACAGAAAAATGGGCAAAGACATAAAAGAAACATAAGATGCTAATAAGCTTATTAAAATGTTAACCTAAATCATAATCAAAGTAAATTAAAATGAAATAACGTTTTGCATATCAGATATGTAAAAGTGAAAAGAACATTGGTGAGTGTGTGCAGAAATTAGTAGTCACATACTGGTAGTGAAGCATAAATTGACACAATCTTTCTGAACTTGGCAATAAGTATCAAAAGCCTTATAACATACATATCTTTAGTCTCTTTAGTTCCATCTGGGAATGCATCCTAAAGAAGTAAGAATATGCAAAAAAAAAAAAAAAAAAAAGCCCTTTATCTGGAAGTGCAACTGGCATAATAAAAAATTAAAAATAAACTAAATTTCTAATAATAAATAATTGATAAAATAAATTATGGTTGTATTTATATAATGAAATACCATGTGACCTTTAAAAATGATAGCATAAAAACACAGCTGTTATCACAGAAAGATGTTCCTTCCTTATATCCTCATATACTTTTTTTTTGAGACGAGGTCTCACTCCGTTGCCTGGGCTGGAGTACAGTGGCACGATCACAGCTCACTGCAGCTCAGCTGCACCTCTTGGGCTCAGGTGATCCTCCCACCTCAGCCTCCCAAGTAGCCGGGACTACAGGCATGTGCCTACACCCCTGGCTAATTTTTGTGTTTTTTGTAGAGATGGGGTTTCTCCATGTTGCCCACACTGGTCTCAAACTCCTGAGCTCAAACAATCCTCCTGCCTCTGCCTCCCAAAATGCTAGGATTACAGGTGTGAGCCACCGCGTCTTGCTAATGTTCCTCATATACTTGTATTTTATTTTGGCTTAAGCAGCAAGTATTTATTTATCACAATTCTGGAAGCCAAAAGTTCAAGATAAAGATTCTGACAGATTCAGTGTCTGGTGAGGGCCCATTTCCTGGTTCGTAGACAGCTGTCGTGATTGCCCTCACAACGCGGCCTCACATACTTTTAAATGAAACATGGGGCAGGTTATGAAAGAGTAGGTATAGTATGATCCCATTTTTAAAAGAGTTTTTCTACACAGTGACAGTTCTGGAAGAATTTACTCCAGAATCTTTAGTTTTGTTGCTGGGTAGTGAGATTATGAGTGTTCTTATTTTCTTCTTTTTGATTACCCATATCGTCTAACTGTTCAAAATTCAATAGTTCTTGTGTAATTTAAAAATGTTTTTTAAAAGCAAAACTAGGAGCCACTTACAATTCCTACATACCCAGTCCTCCCTGGCCCTTTTTGCTCTGGAGATAAAAATGTTTCATTCAGGTAAAATAATCCAATAGCTTAGAAATATATACTCCCCAACCCCAAATAGTTTCATTCCAATTCCTCACTAGGGTTTTCCTCCTCACCGAGAAAATGAAAAACTACCACAAAAGGCTATGATGTGACAAGGATCCAAGATTTCCCCCTTTTCCTCTTCCCCTCCCTCCATTCTCAAGGGGAGTACCTCTGTCCTTGGCAAAATGGGGAAGGGCTATGCCTTGGAGGCAGCAGGGTACCCCAAAAGGCACAAGCCACACCAGTCACTTTGAGCCAGGGGAAGGGGAGAAGGCTGTGGTCTGGCAAACAGGGGAGCTTGGGCTAAGTTGACAACACGTGATTGTGAGGATGATGAGCTGCCACCTAGACCATCGAACAGCAAGGTGTCAGGTAAGACATGAGGCAATCGCACACTCAACCAGTCATAATTTTTTAAAAAATATAATTTACCAATAGTTTTTTTTCTACCAGTGAGAGCCTACATCATTAAAAATGTAAGATTCCAGCCTCCTCTTCCTCCTTGGCTGTTACCAGCCCCTATTTCTCTTCTCCCCGTAGATCAGAGGCCTCAGAAATGGCCTGGTCCTCCACCCAGCCTCGGGACCAACTGTTCTCAGCACCAAGGTTGAGGACAGCAACTCTGCAACGTGGCACATGCCTATGGGGTGCTCCTACCTTTAGGGGGCCTCTGCTTCTGGTCCACAGCTTTAGACTACTTCCTTTCTAAACCCAGAGGGGGACAGGCCCACAGAATGGCTGCTTAGATGCAGTAAATGTTCTCTGGATGTGGAAAACCCATTTCCTGGTCTGTATGTAGGCCATGCGCCCCCTGTGTGGGCTAGCAGCCAATGTGCCTCTGGAGAAGAGGTTTCTTGAATGCTGATACACAAGCGCCTCATATGTGTGTCGTACATGTCTACTTGTCATGTGTACTACATGTGCACGAATGTGCAGGCCACCCCCAATAATATCGCGATGTCCCTGTACCTCTCCATTCTTACATATCTTGGAATCACTCAGCCAATTCTAATCGCAGTCAGCAAAGGACTTAGAATCAAAATCAAGTCCAGCTTCTCTGGTGCAGTGCTTTCTGGTGAAAAGGGAAAAAAAAGACTGGGTCTAAACACCTTTCCCAGCACTTCATGGTCAGACCCTTTTGCCTGTTCTGCATGCCCCAGGGCCTCCGAGGCACAGACAGCAGCCTCCTGCTACAGGAACCGGCCCCGCAGTGTGGCCAGTCTGACCTAGTCTGCCACCCTTACCCCAGTCCTACTTTCAAGGAAGGAGTAGCCTCAGTACCCCTCCCTGAGCTTGGTGTCCAGGACCCCAGCCTGACTGGTATGTGGAGAGCCAGAGAGGGCAGACACAAAGCCAGGTGCCAGGTCTGGGATGAGCCCTGCAGGAGTAACCCTATGGGCAGTCCTGCTCACTTCCTTAGACAAGAGAGGAGGCCCTCCAGAGCCCTAGGGCCATCTGGGGAATATCAGATAGCAGCAAGGCAGGCTGGCTGGGGCAGCTGGGCTGGGCTGAGACTGTCTTGCCAAGGCCACAGGCTTCCTTTGCAGATGGTAGTGAAGGAAATAGTTGGTGAAGCTCAATAGATCACCTCCCCTACCTCTGCCTCAGTCCACCAGAAGAAAACTGTCTGTATCCTGGGGCTGAACATGCTTTTCAGCAATTGGTGCTTTCTAGATACTTGGGACTCCAATAGGGTAATAGAATAAAAGAAAATATAACTTTTAGAGCTGGAATTAAAATTAAAAATAATACATTATTCCAACAAGTCCTAAAAATGCTAACATTTATTAAGCATTTATTGTGGGCTCAACTAAGCATTTTACCTAAATTATTACATTTAATCTAAGAACAACTCCATGAGGTAGCTAACCTTATACTTTCCTTATGTTATAGATGTTGAAAAGGTGACACAGAGAGGCTGAGAGACTTGTCCAAGGTCACCAACTTGTAAGAGGCAGGCTGGGTCTATGTGACTCTCAAGTCCACACCCTTCAGTACTCTGGGACACTCTCGACAATCCTGCTTTGGAATTCCTGACAAGTCAGGGTTGTCAGAGCCTCCCACCACTTTAAATGAGGAGACAAATTCTTTGTATAAGGCTTGTGCTCCTCAAAGAATGGGTTTCATTTGTGTTGCAGAAAAAAATATTGCTCACAATGCCTTCCCCAGAGGCTTTATTCCTGAAGTCTTTGAACCAGTTAAAGGTAATAACCTCAAATGCAGAGCCAACAGTCTTAGGGTCTTAACTTGATGGGCAGCCACATGATTCAATCCTATATAATGAGTGATCTATTGCAGTGATTTGCAAAAGAAGCCAGTGAGGCCAAACAGTGGGCTCATTCCCTGAGGTGCCAATGACTCACTGGGCTTGGGGGAAGCAGAACCCACCTCCTCCCCAATTTTCCCACTGGTAGCCCCTAAATCCTCTGGGACAGACTCACTGGGTTTCAGAAAGTCAGAGCCAGAAGAGACCCCAGGGTCATTAATATAATCCTATCAGTTCTCAGAGAGAAAGTTGAGGCTGAAGGAGAAGGTACTAAAACACCACCAGTTTCCTGACAGGTTCTTATCTTTTCCAAAAGCTTAGACCCTAGGGGTAGGACCAGCTGTTAGGTTATTACTTATGTACATAATTCCCTCCTTCTGAGCAGGAGTCAGAGGATGAGAGAGAGGAAGAAAAGCATAAATGGTTAAGAGCACTGCATGGGAGTGAGAGAGCCCATAGTTAAAGTGCTGACATTGCTTCTGCACAGCTCTGTGATCTGCCAAGTTACTTAATCTCTTTGTGTCTTACTTTCCTCTTCAGTAAAATATAGATAATAATGGTGCCAACTTGAAGGACTAGACTAGGAATTAATCAAATGAATGGATCGCCCAGTGCCTGCCTCAATTACAAAGGAATAGTGAGGAAATCTGAATAAAGTATAAACTTTAGTTCATAATACTACATTAATATTGGTTCATTAATTATAACAAAGGTACCACACTAATGTAAGATGTTAATACTATAGAACACTGGGTTGGGATATATGGAACTCTCTGGCTTATCTTCACAATTTTTCTGTAAACCTAAAAGTTCTAAAATAAAAAGTTTATTAAAAAATATAAAAAGAAGTATGGTAGGTAGAAGTTGTCCTTGCTATAGAGGGGAATGATTATGAACCATGTCCCTAAGAATCCAGAAACAGCCAGAAAGAATCAAGTGGCAAGTCAGCCAGCATCAAGCTCTTAATGTTCAATCAACTCAAGTCTGCTCCAAATTCTAACCAGAGGTATCAGTAGACAATGGGATTGGCAGGCGTCAAGGTATGGGTAGGAAGAATCAATATCGTGAAAATGGCCATACTGCCCAAGGTAATTTATAGATTCAATGCCATCCCCATCAAGCTACCAGTGACTTTCTTCACAGAATTGGAAAAAACTACTTTAAAGTTCATATGGAACCAAAAAAGAGCCTGCATTGCCAAGTCAATCCTAAGACAAAAGAACAAAGCTGGAGGCATCACACTACCTGACTTCAAATGATACTACAAGGCTACAGTAACCAAAACAGCATGGTACTGGTACCAAAACAGAGATATAGACCAACGGAACAGAACAGAGCCCTCAGAAATAATGCCGCGTATCTACAACTATCTGATCTTTGACAAACCTGACAAAAACAAGAAATGGGGAAAGGATTCCCTATTTAATAAATGGTGCTGGGAAAACTGGCTAGCCAAATGTAGAAAGCTGAAACTGGATCCCTTCCTTACACCTTACACAAAAATTAATTCAGGATGGATTAAAGACTTAAATGTCAGACCTAAAACCATAAAAACCCTAGAAGAAAACCTAGGCAATACCATTCAGGACATAGACATGGGCAAGGACTTCATGTCTAAAACACCAAAAGCAATGGCAACAAAAGCCAAAATTGACAAATAGGATCTAATTAAACTAAAGAGCTTCTGCACAGCAAAAGAAACTACCATCAGAGGGAACAGGCAACCTACAGAATGGGAGAAAATTTTTGCAATCTACTCATCTGACAAAGGGCTAATATCCAGCATCTACAATGAACTCCAACAAATTTACAAGAAAAAATCAAACAACCCCATCAAAAAGTGGGCAAAAGATATGAACAGACACTTCTCAAAAGAAGACATTTATGCAGCCAAAAGACACATGAAAAAATGCTCATAATCACTGGCCATCAGAGAAATGCAAATCAAAACCACAATGAGATACTATTTCACACCAGTTAGAATGGCGATCATTAAAAAGTCAGGAAACAACAGGTGCTGGAGAGGATGTGGAGAAATAGGAACACTTTTACACTGTTGGTGGGACTGTAAACTAGTTCAACCATTGTGGAAGTCAGTGTGGCGATTCCTCAGGGATCTAGAACTAGAAATACCATTTGACCCCGCCATCCCATTACTGGGTATATACCCAAAGGATTATAAAACATGCTGCTATAACATGCTTGTATATTATAAACATATAAAACATGCTGCTATATTATAAACATGCACATGTATGTTTATTGTGGCACTATTCACAATATTGTGAGACTCTTTTTATATTGCGGCACTATGTTTACTGTGGCACTATCGCAGCCACAATATTGCAGCACTATGTTTATTGCGGCACTATTCACAATAGCAAAGACTTGGAACCAACCCAAATGTCCATCAATGATAGACTGGATTAAGAAAATGTGGCACATATACACCATGGAATACTATGCAGCCATAAAAAATGATGAGTTCATGTCCTTTGTAGGGACATGGATGAAGCTGGAAACCATCATTCTCAGCAAACTATCACAAGGACAAAAAAACCAAACACCGCGTGTTCTCACTCATAGGTGGGAATTGAACAATGAGAATACAAGGACACAGGAAGGGAGCATCACACACCGGGGCCTGTTGTGGGGTGGGGGGAGGGGGGAGGGATAGTATTAGGAGATATACCTAATGTTAAATGAAGAGTTAATAGGTGCAGCACACCAACATGGCACATATACATATGTAACAAACCTGCACATTGTGCACATGTACCCTAAAACTTAAAGTATAATTTAAAAAAAAAGAGAAAGACTACTAAGTCTGAAGTCAGATGGACGCCTACGTTCAAATTCTAAATCTACCACTTCACAACTCTTTGATCACGAGTAGAGCCCCTCACCTCCCTAGAGCTCCTTTTCCTTTTCCTCCTTACCTGCAGACGATTTCTCCCTGGCTAGAGCACAGAGTTGCTATGAGGCCAAAATGAGAGACGTGGTCGGCAGCCTCTAGGTCAGCCTCCCGAAAATCTCCATCTCCTGGGATTCTCGTTCTTGTGTAATCTTCTCCCTTGAGTGTGGGTTGGACTTATTGATGTGCTGCTAACACATAGAATGTGGGGAATGATGGGATGTCATGTTGCAGATTAGGGCATAAAAAGACTGGCTTCCATTTTGGATTGCTTGTCCCTGGGAAGCTAGCTGTCATGTTATAAGGGAGCCCTGTGGAGAGCCTCATGTGAGTGTGCTTGGAAGCAGATCTTCCAAATCCTGCCAACGACACATGAGTGAGCTTCAAAGCTGATCCTGCAACGCTGGCTGAGCCTTAAGATGACCGCAGTCCTGGAGGACAGCTTGACTGCAATGGCATGAGAGACTTTGAACCAGAAGCACCCAGCTAAGTCATACCTGCATTCCTGATACACAGAAACTGTGAGATAACAAATGCTTGTTGCTGTAAGTCTAAATTTTGAAATGATTTTGTATGCAGTAATATATAACTAATATAAGAGGCCATGTGTGAAAATACTCTGTTGGAAACTAAGAAATTTGGTAACACCAGAAACAAAACAAAACAAAACAAAGCAAAACCCTCAGGCCCATCAGATCCCATGGAAGGTCCCTCCAGTTTGTCACATCCCATGCTATTTCTGCTTATCACTGCCTCTTTCTTCCTCTTACTCCCAGGACATCCGGAGGCAGATGGGTTTGGTGATGACAGCCCATGAAATTCTCTCCCCACACTGGAAACAGCTCAGCAGTCCTGGGGGCCAGGGACACACAGGTGAGGCAGCCCAGCTCTCTCCTGACTCTTGAAAACGGAGGGGCCCTGCTTCAGGTGAAGCCAAACATCCAGCCCCAGCTCTTTGGGAGATTTGTCTTTCTAATTCACAGGATGTTCACAGCATCACCAAAAAAAAAAAAAAATCTTCACTGTACCTGGTTTTGTTCCTTCCAAGGCTGTCCTCAGGATATAGAGAACCTCTTGAAGTCAGAGTCCAAGCCTTAGATCCATAGGAATGTGCAGATAAATAAGCTCTGCTCTTAGCCCAAGTCTGCTTTCAGCGTGTACCCTCCAAGACAGACACACCATCCTCATGCCCACCATTCCCCTGGCAGATATCCTTGAAGGCTGGGGGCAGGAAAATACCTTCCAAGAAGAGTCTAAAAGTCACCGACTGCCATTCAACACTTTCAACCCCAATGAGCTCTGTGGGGAAAGGATGGAGAGAATTGTCTGTTCAGACAGAATGGGCTCCACCTGAACACCAGCACTAATCTCTACAATCAGTTGGCTTCAATACAGAATTTTCCACCCAGTTTCCTTCCCTTCCCTGTCTCTTCTTCCTACCACTAATTCTCCCCACAATTTTTTCTGAGCTTGTCAGGCAACTCCCTTTCCCTGGGGAATCTCCCTCCTACTTTCCTGTCCCAAATGGTGAAATCTATGCATCTCTTGACTTGATTACCCCCTACTAGGAGCTTGGTTGTGCAGAGAAGTGGTTTCTGTAAATGTGTCTCAGGGGGCAGGCAGAAGGATGGAGACACTAAGCCTTAGCTCCTGGGGTGCAGCGTGGCTGTGAAGAGTTGGGAAAAGCATCAACAGTGGCAGCAGCTTCCTAAGAAGGACTCCCTGTGGTGTGACTGATACAGAGATGAGGACCCAGAATAGAGCCAGCAGCATCTATGCTGGGCTTGCTGTACACGCTCTGAGGTCAGGCAGACGAGAGCTGTTGCTGAGTGCAGAGCGATTGCTCACACCCAGCACCAGCCTGAGCAAGCTGCTCATTTGGGACTGGGTGCTGCTCCCCTACCACCTGTGCCCCTCCGACATCCCCTTCCTCCAGAGGTGGCTTGGAGCACTGTTCCCACTCCTAGGGTTGGAGTTCACAGGCAGGAAAATGTAGCCCACTCACCCCACATGGCCATGGTGGGAAGGGCCGGCCTCCCAGCAGCCATGGCCCTGGCCTGGGTCTCCCTCATATGGGACTCTTACGGATCCTTAACCCGCCATGCTGGCAGTGTTCAAGTCCTGCCTCTGGAAGGCATTCCCTGTGGCCGTTTCCCTTCTCTTAACACAGGGAAGCTAATCCAGAGAGAGTCCAAGTGGCTGTGCAGAGCCAGGCTGAGGCTCTGGTTCTATCCCAGGCACCAAAGCCCAGGGATTCCCTCAGGAATAGGGGAGTGATCAGGGGACAGGTCCCAGAACTCCTAGAACTCCATCTAGGGTTCCATGGTTCCAGGAGCACCATGAGGAAGACCCAGTTCAGCATTAGAGGCTCCAGGCTGCCAGCAAAAAAAGACTCTTGTCATGCTTTGCATGTCCATTTAGTCTGGCTCTACCAGGCTGTGGGCTTTGTAGACAGAGGCTGGATCCTGTTTAAGGCTGTGCCCCAGCACAGAGCAAGCTCCCAGTATCTGCCCTCCTCCCTGGAGCCTGCTAACCTAGAGGGGATGCTGGAGAGGAGGCATGGGAAGAAAAATGAAGAATGACAGTGGTCTCTAGGGGTGGCGCTGGAGAAAGAAGAGCTTGACAGCAATCTCCAAGGCTGTGCCAGCATAGAGCACGTTTGGAGCAGTACCATTTAGCTCTTAGAAGAGACCTTACATGGTTCAGGGGTTGAGGTGGCCTCACTGAGGGCAGAAAGAAATTAATTTGGTGGAAGTAAACAGCAAAGCATGGCTTCCCACACCTCCTCACTCTAGGGGTTCTTTCTACTCCCTGTTTTCTGTAAAGTGAAGCCTAAACTCCTCTGCCTAGAATTCAAAGCAATCTACAATCTGTCTTCCTCCCCCGATCTGCTCCTGCACTCCCAACCACTCATCCTACAGCTGCCCAGCATGATCCCGGGGCACTCCTGAGCCTCAGCACTGTCCAAGCACATTCCCCTCACTCCTAAAGCTGCTCCTTTCCACCTCCCTGCCCTCTTTACGGTGGATCCAAACCGCCAGGACTGTGTCCTGGCCCCCGTTCTCTGGGAAACCTGTTCTAATCACTTCAGCCCACACCAATCTCTGCCTTTTCTAAACTCCTACAGCACTCTTGGCCTGTACCACGTGACCTGGCACATTTCCAGCAGCTCACATTGTTCATTAGTTAGTTGCTTTTCTTCAAGTCGTAGTCAATTAGAAGGGAAGAGCTATAAGAAAGCCAGCAGAGCGCGTCAGTCCTAGACAGCGAGTTTCCGGTTCTTTGAGAGTTGGAACCATGTTGGAATTGTTCTTCTCTCTCTTCTGCCTCAGGGCAGCTCAGAAAATGCCAGGAATTATTTCTTTACAACTTTCGGGTGTTATCCTCTTCCCATTCCCCCGCAAGGCGCCTTGCTTTCCCCTGGTCCAGTGAGCAGGGGACAGATCTTTTGTGTCGTACTCTTAGCTGGCTGAGGAGTAGTCTTGCCCAGGGGCAGCAGAATGAATGGGGGAAATTTTATGACTTGCCTCCATCAGAAACTGCCTTCATGGGGGTCCATCCCACACTCCTGCAGTTCCTCTCCCCTTGCTGCTTCCCTTTATCAGGCTTTATCAGCCCAGCTCCCAACTCTGCCAGGCCAGGCCCTGATGTCTGGGGGATTAACCTCTCTGACAGCTCAGGACCACAGCTTCTGTTTATAACACTAGGTCTTTGGCTATGGGAGCCTGGGAAGTGTTGCACATTCCTGTGGACAGTGGGGAGTCATTCATAGGATTCTCCTTGATTCTCAGAGTCACTCCCCTGGAGGTGAGCAGATGGCTCAGAGGGACCCCCCTTCCCTTCCTCATTTCCACAGAGCAGGATCCAGCCTATCTGAAGATTTGGAGGAGAAGGTGGCTGTGAGTTTGATTAGCCACTAAAAACTGCCTCCAAGAGAGTGAGTCCCAAGGCACCCAGGGTCACATGAGAAAGGTCTCTGTTTCTGGGGAAGTTTCAGTGCCCTGCGTCTGAGAGTGGTCCTCAGGACACAGCTGGCCCAAGGCAAGGCCCAGCCTAAAGGGAAGGCGGGCCCATCTGGATCTGCTCCTCTTCCAGGGCTTTTCCAGGTCAGAGCTCTACCAAACTCCATGTGCTATTTCTTGGCCTTATTTCTCTTTCAGTCCCTCAGACGCTTCCCTCCATTGCCCCTGGTTCTCCATTGTTTCCTTCCACTCCCAGCAGCCCTCAATCTCGTGATAAAGAGAAGGCAAAAGAACCTTTGCTTATACTGTTATACTTTCACAGACACGCAATTTCATTAAATTTTCACAATATTCCTTTATGTCAGATGGGTTAAGGATTAGTCTCCCTATTTTAATAGGTGGGACTACAGAAGTCCGAGAAATAATGGGACTTGCTCATGCTATTAAGATATATAGGGTATTGACTGGAACTGAGAGTTTCAAACACTTTGACAAGAGCTTGTTTGTTGATCCTTTTAAAAGGATACCTTGCCAAAACTCCCTGCTCTCTCATACTGAAAGCTTTCTTACCATAAATGATTTGTTTTCCTGGCATAGCACAATTCCAAAAGAGAGAAATAGACACTAATTCAACTGCACTACCCTGCGCCAGGATCATAGAAACATTCACCTCCCATTCACAGAAATGTCTCAACTGCAATGGGCATGCAAGAATTTACATTAATAATGAATGAACAGGTATTTGCCATCAGTCTCATCAATGCCTTGTATTTTATATATATTAAAATATTTAATTATATCAGCTTTACATTCTGGCACAGTAATCTCAGTTCTAAGAATTTCTTTTAAGGCAAGAGAGACAAACATAAAGATTTATACACAAGGCTGTTCAACATAGCATTATTTATAATATATGAAATATTTGGAAGCAACTTATAAATGGCCTACACTTGGGAATTTGTTAAATAAATTTTGGTGCCTTCCAGTGATGGAACATCAGCCATTAAAAATGAGATTGCTGAAGAACGACTAATGATATAGATAAATGGTCACTATACAATAGTAGGTAAGAAAAGCAGTATATAAAATTACATGAACATTAAGATCAAGTAAGGAGAAAAAATATATGCATGGAAAAATGACTTGTAAGGAAAATTTCCGAGACTTTATTGTTCCAATTTTAGTATATGTGCTGCCAAAGCGAGCATAATTTCCAAGATTTTATAAGATGTACTTCAGAATGGAGAGGTTGCAAATAATTCTTCCTTTTTTCACATATTTCTGGGTTTTTCATATTCCTACAATGAGCATTTATTAACTTTTAAAATAAGAAAACATAACAAATGCTAATTTTTGTTAAATTCCTTTTTATTTCTCACAACAGCCACTGTCAGTATTTAGGTCAGGGGAAGTTAGCCCATTTTATAGATGGCACAATAAGCACAGAGAAGCTAAGTGACCGCTAAGGTCACAAAGTGATTTAGGATCAACGTAAGAATCAGGGCCCAAGTGTCCTCAGTCCCATTCTAACACCCCTTTTGCTTTGTGATATGGCCTCCACAGATGACTGCTTTTCTATTCCTTATTCATGGTTTACTTTCAGCCCAGATACTTGCATAGCATACCATACTCATGCATATGTTCTTCAACCTTGTCTTCCAGGGTGTGCCCATGCAGATACTGACCTCACTTAGGGCCAAACACCTGGGAAGAGCAGACTTCAGAGTAGGGGATGGGAGATGTAGATGAGTCAAAAAGTATTTCATTTCCTGTAATCCCAGCACTTTGGGAGGCTGAGGTAGATGGATCACTTGAAACCAGGAGTTTGAGACCAGCCTGGCCAACATTGTGAAACCCCGTCTCTACTATAAATATAAAAATTAGCCAGGTGTGGTGGCACACACCTGTAATCCCAGCTACTCGAGAGGCTGAGGCAGGAGAATCACTCGAATCCTGGAGGTGGAGGCTGCAGTGAGCCGAGACTGCACCACTGCACTCTAGCCTGGGTGACAGAGCAAGACTCGGTCTCAAAAAAAAAAAAAAAAAGTATTTCATTTCTATCTCAAGGGCCCAAAAGAGTGCCTGGCCTTTCTCCATGGGCTGTTCTAAGCACTGTACCTAGCACAGCTGGCTTCTGACTTCCTGGGGAAGCCCAACCTTTGCTGCCCCTCCCGAAACAGGAACAGCACCTCCTCTCCTCAGAACCCAAGTCAAACTTCCTAAGGCAGTGATTCAGAACCGTTTGGGGTTATTTAACTTCTGAGAATCTGATGAAAGCTATAGACCTTCCCCATAAAAATGCATGCAGGCTTACATCCACGTATCCCTGTTCATAATTCAAAGAGGTTTACGGACCTTTTGAAGCTAACCATAGGTCCCAGGCTTCCCAATCTCAGGGGACAGCTTGCCCAAGCAGTGTGAAAGCCAAGCCCCCTCTCCTCGAGCTCTATCCAGAGTTGCTTCTTCCCTTGCCCTTTCAGCTTACACCTTTCGCTTCATTGAGCCCTAATCAGCTCCTCTCTGAGAGGTGACTCAGGGCAATTATCCACACTCCCCCCAACTCCCAATGACCCACTGGGAGGAGAGGGGAAGTGACTTTCACAGAGTCATACAGTGAGTCAGTGTGCAAGCCAAGACTAGATAGAATGTGGCATGTGGGGCTCCCAGGGCTATATTTAGGCCACTGGGAAGAGCTGCTTCTCACAGCAGGGTCTGGACATAGGCAGGCTATAAACATAGTCACATGTTTACCCCAGCTCCAGGATTAGCAGAATGAACACAGAATCTGGAGCTTCGTCACTCCAAGCAATCCCTTCTTGCATCTCCAAAATGCTCAGGAGAAACTCCATCTTCATACTGCACAAGAAGAAACTGAGGTAATGGGAAGGAATGAAAAATTCTGAATTTCTGGCGTTAGCCTAACATTTGTCCTTAGGTCCACTGCAAACACAGGCAAAACTTCAGCCTGTCTATGTGTCAGGCGTGGCCCCTGGGATATCCTCCCACACCCCAGGACCTTGCACTAGAGGAAAGGGGCTTTGGCGTAGGTCAGTCAATGATATAAATTGGTGATCAGACTTCTCTTATAAAGCACACATACACACAGTCTTTAAGATATAACTGTGACACAACTGGAGACCCTTACTCAAGACCGGAGAGAAAGAAGCAAAAAGAACCTAGACATAAATGAGAACTATTTTTTAGATGAGCAGGGAGAAATCCGGCAAGTCATATTAATTGGTAACAATAACTCCTACCCACCCTTACTGACCATCTCAACTGCACACCTAAAAGGGCCCCTGGGAATATTTCTGGAGTAAACCAACCTCTGCAGTGATGTTCTGTAAAACATTCTGTATGATGGAAATGTTCCATATCTGGGTTGTCCAATATGGTAGCCACTAGCACATGTGGCTCTTGAGCACTTGAAATGTGATTAGTGGAACTGGAGAATGGAATTTTTCCATCTTATTTATTTTGACTAATTTAAATTCCAATTTAAATTGCTTCCTGTGGCTAGTGGCTACTGTATTGGACAGCACAGCTTTAGAGGCTCTGAGGGGACATAAACTTCGGTAATTAATTAATTCTTTTATATGCTTGCTTAACCTTTCCAAATTGACTCAGAAAAAAATCCCAGGTTTGTTAGAAATCCCCAAAGGCTCTTTAGGGGTTGGAGGCAGCCAGAGTCTGAGTGGAAGACTCTGGTAAGGAAAAAAGGGAAGAGATCTCTTTGATCCATATGCTAAGGAGCCTTTCCTAGGAAAAAGAATATTATGGGCTAGGCACGGTGGCTCACGCCCGTAATCCTAGCACTTTGGGAGGCCGAGGCGGGCAGATTGCCTGAGCTCAGGAGTTCAAGGCCAGCCTGGGCAACACAATGAAAGCCCATCTCTACTAAAATACAAAAAAAAAAAAAATTAGCCGAGCGTGGCGGTGAGCGCCTGTAGTCCCTGATGAGGCAGGAGAATCTCTTGAACCCGGGAGGCGGAAGTTGCAGTGAGCTGAGATCGCGCCACTGCGCTCCAGCCTGGGTGACAGAGCAAGACTCTGTCTCAAAAAAAAAAAAAAAAAAAAAAAAAGGATATTATGCCACCTCACATCCTGACTCATGCTCCAGGAAAGGACCCAAGGCAGGGGTCCAGTGCTCTAAGGATGCCCACTGCAGGAAGCAGGGAAGTAAATGCTCTAACTGGGACGATCCCAGCCAGAGACTGCTGAGTAACCACACATCTGTCCAGGAGAAATTCACTAGACAGATCTACCTATCTTCCACTGCCAATGAGACTGTCCCTGAATACAGAGCTTTGAATGTAGAAAAGGACAGGTGGATGTTGCCTCATACCAGTGGGAGCTAAAGTGGTGCCATCTTTCATTTCAGGAAGCTAACTTGGTAATATGTATCAAAAGCCTTATTAAATGCACATATCCTTTGATATAAGAATTTCATTTCTGCAGGTTGTTTTTTTTTTTTTTTTTTTGAGACGAGAGTCTCACTCTGTTGCCCAGGCTGGAGTGCAGTAGTGCGATCTCGGCTCACTGCAAGCTCCACCTCCCGGGTTCACGCCATCCTCCTGCCTCAGCCTCCCGAGTAGCTGGGACTATAGGCGCACACCGCCATGCCTGGCTAATTTTTTGTATTTTCAGTAGAGATGGGGTTTCACCGTGTTAGACAGGATGGTCTTGATCTCCTGACCTTGTGATCCGCCTGCCTCGGCCTCCCAAAGTGCTGGGATTACAGGCGTGAGCCACCACGCCCAGCCTCTGCAGGTTGATTTTCAGAAACTAATTCAAGATACATATCTATTAGAATGGCCAAAGTCCAGAACATGACAACACCAAATGCTGGTGAGGATGTGGAGCAACAGGAATTCTGGTTCATTGCTGGTGGGAATGCAAAAGGGCACAGCCACTTTGGAAGATAGTTTGACAGTTTCTTACAAAACTAAACATACTCTTACCATATAATCCAGCAATTGAGCTCTCTGGTATTTACCCAAAGGAGTTGAAAACTTACGTCCATACAAAAACATGCACACAGATGTTCATATCATCTTCTATAATTGCCAAAACTTGAAAGCAACCGAGTTGGCCTTCATTAGAGGAATGAATAAACTGTGGTAAACCAGTAAATGAAATATTCAGTGCTAAAAAGAAAAAAGCTATCAAGCCATGAAAAGATCTGGAGGAACCTTAAATCCATATTGCTAAAGGAAAGAAGCCAATTGAAAAGGTTACGTATTATATGATTCCAACTGTATCACATTCTGGAAAAGGCAAAACTATGGAGAGAGTAAAAGGATCAGTAGTTGCCAGAGGTTGGGGCAAGGGAAGGATGAATAGATGGAGCACAGAGGATTTTCAGGGCAGTGAAAATACTATATGATACTATAGCGAATGTATGTCCTTATACACATGTCCAAACCCATAGAATGTACACCACCAAGAGTGAACCCTAATGTAAGGTATAGACTTTGGGTGATAATGATGTGTCAATGTAGGTTTATCTGTTGTAATGTATGTACCACTCTCGTGGGGGATATTGTAATTGGGAGCCTGAACATGTATGAGGGCAGAGGCCATATGGGAAATCTCTGTACCTTCCTTTCAATTTGACTGTGAGCCTAACACTGCTCTAAAACAAACAGTCTTAAATATAATAAAATTGGCCCCGGTCTCACACCATAAAAAAGAAAGACATTAATTGAATTTGTTTGAAGATTAAGGTACAAGGATGTTCATTTTAGACCTTTACTGGAGCAAAAAATATTGTAAACAACTTAGATGTACCATAAGAGCAGACTGTTAAATTATGGAAGATTTGTACAATAGAATATTCCTTGCCTCCCACATCTAAGTCATCAGAGCAAGTTCTCCATTATCTCCGGAATAGATTCTGATTCTGTTCATTACTCTCCATCTCAATGGCCACCACTGGAGAACAATGCCTCACCCTCCTTCATCTGGATACTAAACATCTTCCTAACTGGTCATCCTGCTCCAGCTTCTACTCCTTTGATCCATTCTTCACATAGCAGTCAGAGCTGTCTACTTTGCTGCCTGGCTAGCTAGCTAACCATTTGTTTAAAGTATTAAAAGCACCCATAAACCTACCACATTTGGCCCCTACCCATGCCATGTCCTAACACCTCCCATGCCAGGCAGCCATCAACCTGAATCCTCACTCCCTTGCTTTCCTTTTTATATAGTGTTATTGCATCTATAAGAGTTCCTAAATACACATATTTTTAAAGTTTTTAATTTAATAAAAAATATCCCGTGGCACGCAATAATTTTTGCACTTAGTGGTATTTGTTAAGATTCACGCATGTTGTTGCATGTCACCACAGTTCATTCATTCAAACAGCTGTGTAATATTCCACTGTAGTTATGGATTTAGTTTATTCAGTCTCTTGTTGATGGGCATTGAAGATTTTTTGCTAGGTTTTTATTATTATTATTATTATTTATTTTATTTTATTTTTTTATTTTTTTTTGAGACAGAGTCTTGCCTTTTGCCCAGGCCGGACTGCAGTGGCGTGATCTCGGCTCACTGCAAGCTCCGCCTCCTGGGTTCATGCCATTCTCCTGCCTCAGCCTCCCGAGTAGCTGGGACTACAGGTGCCCACCACCACGCCCAGCTAATTTTTTGTATTTTTAGTAGAGACGGGGTTTCACCATGTTAGCCAGGATGGTCTTGATCTCCTGACCTTGTGATCCGCCCACCTCGGCCTCCCAAAGTGCTGGGATTACAGGCGTGAGCCACTGTGCCTGGCCTTATTATTATTATTTTATTATTATGAATGCTGTTATGAACATTGTGATCCATGTCTCTTATTGTGTATGTGCAAGAATTTCTGTTGGATATATATCTAGGCATGTAATTTCTGCATTTTGTGGTATGTAAATGTCAAACTTTAATTGTTTGCCAAACTGTTCACCAGTTTACATTCCCACTAGCAATATTTTATTTTATTTTATTTTATTTTATTTTATTTTATTTTATTTTGAGATGGAGTTTTGCTCTTATCATCCAGGCTGGAGGGCAGTGGCATGATCTTGGCTTACTACCACAACCTCCACCTCCTGGGCTCAGGTGATTCTCCCACCTCAGCCTCCCAAGTAGCTGGGACTATAGGTGCACACCACTACATCAAGCTAATTTTTGTATTTTTAGTAGAGATTGGGTTTCGCCATGTTGCCCAGGGTGGTCTCAAACTCCTGGGCTCAAGTGATCCACCTGACTTGGCCTCCCAAAGTGCTGGGATTACAGGCTTGAGCCATGGTGCCCAGCACCCACTAGCAATTTTGAAGAGATCCTATGATTCTAACTTCTTTTTCCAACACTGGCATTATCAAACTGTTAAAGTTTGCCAAGCAAATGGGTGCTAAAAGTTATTGAATTGTATTCTTAATTTGCATCTCCCTGATCACTAATGATGTTAAACATCTCTCCATGTTTTTATTGATCTTAAGTGTTTCCTATTCTATGAAATGCTTGTTATTTGCCCATTTTTTAAAAACTGGGTTGTTTGTGCTTTTCTTATTAATTTGTAAGAGTTGTTTTTTGCGTATCCTTAACACTAATCCTTTGCTGGTTTTGTGTGTTGCAAAGACCTTTTTCCAGTCTGTAAATTGTCTTTTCACTTTCTTTAAGCGGTCTTTTGGTATATAATAATTCTCAGCAGGGCGCGGTGGCTCATGCCTGTAATCCCAGCACTTTGAGAGGCCAAGGCAGGTGGATCACGAGGTCAGGAGTTCAAGACCAACCTGGCCAAGATGGTGAAACCCCATCTCTACTAGAAATACAAAAATTAACCTGGCATGGTGTGGGGGGGTGCCTGTAATCCCAGCTACTCAGGAGGCTGAGGCAGAGAATCGCTTGAATCCCGGAGGCAGAGGTTTCAGTGAGCCAAGATCGCACCACTGCACTCCAGCCTGGGCGACAGAACAAGACTCCATCTCAAAAAAAAACAAAATTCTCAATATTAATATGGTCAAATGTATCCGTTTTTCTTTTGCAGTCAATATTTTTGTGTCTTGTTTAAAAATATTTCCCTACTCAATTTATGAAAGACAATCACCTATATTTTCTACTAAGAATTTTTAAGTTATGGGGTGTTTTTTACATTTCATATTATTATTATTATTAATATAACTATTATCTGAGACAAAGTTTCACTCGGTCGCCCAGGCTGGAGTGCAGTGGCACCATCTCAGCTCACTGAGTGTGCACCACCCAGCCTGGCTGATTTTTGTATTTTTTAGTAGAGAAGAGGTTTCACCATTTTGGCCAGGCTAGTCTCAAACTCCTGACCTCTGGTGATCTGCCCACCTCAGCCTCCCAAAGTGCTGGGATTACAGGCGTGAGCCACTGGGCTGACCTACATTTCCATTCTTAAACCATCTGGAGTTGACTTTTTGTATAGGGTATGAGCAGGGTTCCAGTTTCGCTTTTTTGCATATGAATTTTTTTCCAGTTCCAAGTACTATATCATTCTTTATTTCCCTACTGATTTGACATTCTACTTCTATCATTTACAGAAGTTCCATATCTATGTGAGGCAGTTTCTGAGCTTTCTAATATATTTTATTGGTCAGTTTGTTTTTCCTTGTGCCAAAACCACATTGTCTCAATTACTATAAGTTCATAATAAGTCCTGATATTTGGTGAGGCAAATCTTCTCTCCCTACTTTTCTTTTTTCAGTATTTTAAATCCTTACCAGGTAACATAAAAAACGCTGTAGGTCAAATAGGGTAGAATTGGAGAATTGTCATCTTTATGATATTAAATTATCCTATCTATGAAAGTGTTATCTCCCTTAATTTATTAAGTACTCCCTTAATATCTCTTAATGAAATTGCACATTTTTAAAGTAGAAGGCATGTAACGTTTGTTAGATTTATTTTTAAGTATTTTATTTTCTCTGGTACTATTTTAAATGCGTCTGCTCTTTAATTATGTGTTTTAGTTTGCTGTTGGTATATAGAATGTAAATTACTTTTACATATTCATCTTATATCAAGCTAACTGACTAAATTCTCCTATTACTGCTAATAGTTTATCTATGTATTGTTTTGAGTTTTTTATGCAAATAATGACAAATAATGCCAAAATGACCATTTAATTTCCTCCCTTCTCATTCTTTTGTCTCTCATTTCTTTTTCTTGTCTTTTTGCACTGATGATAGGGGGACCTTTGTTTCATTCCTTGTTTTAAAGTGACTGCTTCTAACACTAACACGTCCTTATGTAGAAAGATGTTTGCTCTAGTGTTTTTATAGTTGGTTAGAAGTTCCCCTTCATTTCATTTATCATGAATAATTGTCGATTAGAAAAAACCTTTTTCATAGCTAAAATAACAAAAATAAAGAAAACAGCCTAAAAATAGAACTTAATTATTCTAAGCCAAACACCTTTGTACCACTACCCATGAAAGGAGACAAATCAACCATCCCAAAAGCCTCACGTGTGTCCCTTCCCAGCTATGAGCCCCTCCTTCCTTCTGCCCAAGAGTAACTGCTCTGTTGACTTTTTGGTAATCACCTCCTTACTGTTTTCTCATAGTTCGCTCACCCAGCCATGAATCTTAAACACCATGGTTTGGTTTTGCCTAATTTTTAGTATGTCTTTTGGGTCTCTTTCGATCTATATAGGTTGTTCCTCCATCTTTTTTTTTTTCTTCTTGCAATCCATTTGGTAAAGACACCAGATTATTTGTTGTGTGGTGTTTTCCTCTGTTGTGTGTTGATTTTTATCCAAGGTTTCTTTGAATATAATGTGATGATTGCATTTGTGTGTGGTGTGTGTGTGGTGGGGAGGGGGAGGTTCTCTCTTTTGTTAATAATGTAAATTACCTTTAGGGAGAACAGTCCTCCTCAAACAAATCAGATCATATCATTTCCCTCTAATGGCTTCTCATTGACATTAGGATAAAATCCAAAATTTTGACCATGGGCTATGAGGCCCACAAGAGCCCCACAAAAATTCTCATCTACATCTACCTCTCTGATTTAATACCCAATTTCCCTCTTCCTCACTGCGTTTTAGCCACAGTGGCTTTCTTATGATTTCTCAAACATGCCAAGTTCATTCTTAAGCTTTGGCCATTAGCTATTCTCTCTTCCTGGAATGCTTTTTCCTAATCTTTACATGGGAGCTCGCTAGTATCGTTAAAGCCTCAACTCAAAATTTCCTTCCTCAAAAGACCTTTATGGACCATCCAATCTAAAATAGTCTCACATCATTGTTTTAATAACCCTTATCAGTATCTGGAATTATCCTGTCCACTTATTTGTTTGATTTTCATCTTGCTCCAGCCCATAGTGTAAGCTTCATGCAAGTCTTGTTCATTGCTTTATTTGTAATCCCTAAATTAGTTCCTGGGACAGCATAGGTCCTCAATAAAGATTTGTTATATCAAAATTATATTACAGGAAATTATTTATGGACAGGCAAAGATATTCAAACTATGTTACGCTGATAAAGGAGTATGTATCAGTGATATGATTTTATTTTTGTTAAAAAATACACAAAATGTGTGTGTGTCTGAATCCATATAGTCAAATATATGAAAGGACGCAAGCCAAAGGTTCACAGCAGTCATCACTATTACTGGTATTTATGTTATTTTGCTTGTCTGTCTTTTCTGTCTTTTTACTTCTTTGACAGGCACATATTGTGTTTACTATATAAAAAAGTAATCTTATTATAATGAAAGAACAATTTCTTTCTTTTTTAAAAATGTATGATTTATTTGAGAGAACACAGACTCCCCAAATAGCCCAGGAACTCATTTACATTAGCATGTGTAATTATCAAACAACACATAGTAAGTATATGCCCATTTCTATCCTGGGTGTCATAAGAACGATACCTGCATTTATTTAGTCACTTTATTCTGCTTTGTTCCAAAAAAAAGAAATTGTTGTGGCTCATAAGAAGTTTGTTCTCATTTCATCTATTTAGGGACATGAGACACATGAATACAAGAGCAAACTCTTATTTGAGAACAATTGCAAACTCTTCACATTTGGTAGCTGTGTCTTATTCAGCTTTGTATTCCTCTAGAATCTACCAGTGGCTTACCTGGAACACTGGTGCTTAGTGAAGGCTAGTGGAATTAAACAGTTCAGCATATGTGATATCACAGCATGGTTCTGGATAAAATGCCAACTAAAGTGAAATAGGGAGTTGTTGTTTAACGGGTATAGAGTTTCAGTTTTACAAGATAAAAAAGTTCTGAAGATCTGTTACACAACAATATAAACACATAATACTACTGAATTGTATACTTAGAAATAGTTAAGATGGCAAATTTTGTGTTGTGTTCTTCACTATCACTTTTTTTAATGCCAAATGAAGTGGTATAGACTTGTATAGAAGATAGTGCTAAAAGAGTTGAGCTCAAGAGAAATCACTGTGCACTCAAGAGGTCTGGGTAGACTTCAAGAGGAAGGACTGAGCTGGCCTAGGAAAGAAGAGTAGAATTGGGTTCCACAAAAGGAAGGAGGGTGATTCAGAGAGGGGTATGCAGAAGCCAGCCTGTAAATGTATTTGGGGCCAATGAAAGGATGGATTGGCTCTGATGAACTACAAGGGTTTTAAGAAGATGAGGAGATGGAAGGAGGTTGTGAAGGGAGGTTGGGTCAAAATGTGAAAGGCCTTGGAGGCCAGGCTGAGGAGTCTGAACTTCAGCCTAGAGGCAATGAGGAGAGATAAAAGGTTTTAGATTTGGGAAATGTGTGATAAAAGGGGTACTTTTAAAACATACTAATTAGCATTCGAATTGTAATATAGTACTGCTGAAAGAGAAGGAAAAGGAAGCACCCAAACCTTCTAAAGTGACATTCAGATGACAGCTATTGCTGAGACAGACAGAGTCTAGACCAAATAGGTCATCTGAATAAGCTTTTCAGGGAACAGAGACCCTGCCCCCCATCACTAACGCAAGAAGATGAATTCTATCACTCTTGTCTCATAACCTTTTCCCAGAGAGGCTCAGAATGGCAAAAGCACCTTTTTCTTCCTGGCACTCTAATTAGATAGACAGTGGGCAGCAGTGATTTCCTGACTAAAATGCAAAGTATGAAGAAAGTGGATTTAAAAAAAAATAGAGCCGCCACAGACGCAGACGGGCAGTTCAGCCCCAGATGCTGCATGCCTGAGAAATATGCAGGTTCCCACAACTAGAAGGAAGAAGCACTTAGAGGCTTCCTCCCAGGCATTGCTCTTTAGACCAGGAGCGGGCAGGCTCCCCAGTACCTCCTGTCTCAAGCAAGCCAACTTGTCTTCAGAAACTGAGGACCAGAGTGAGCTGTGGGCAATATTCCCCACAAAATAAGGGACATGTGACTCCACTGGACCTGTCCACCTACAGGTATTATGGGGCATTCCAACTCTCTTATTGAAAAAAAGGAGGGCTGGGCATGGTGGCTTACACCTGTAAGCCCAGTGCTTCGGGAGGCTGAGGAGGGAGGATCTACAGAGGCCAAGAGTTCAAGACCAACCTGGGCAATAGAGCAAGACTCTATTTCTACAAAATAAAAATAAAAATTAGCCATGCATGGTGGCATGTGCTTGTAGTCCTAGGTACTCAGGAGGCTGAAATAGGAGAATGGCTTGAGCCGAGAAATTTGAGGCTACCATGAGCTATGATCACACAACTGCACTCCAGCCTGGGTGACAGAGAAAGACCCTGTCTCTAAAAAAAGAAAAAAGAAAGAAAAGAAGGGAAAACATCAGAAAGTTATTTATTTATTTCATCCTCAAATGAATAAGCACAGAAGGTTATTTTATTTACAAGTTAATGCACATGTAGCAAAAATCAGAAAATGAGTAAGCAAAAAGATTTTAAGAAGCCATGTTTTGTTTGTTACTGTTAACAAATATAAATGGACTCATACTGTACATAGTACTTTGGAACCTGATTTTTTTCAATGAACAACCTATTGTGAATATTCTTTGATGTCAATAAATAAACTTCTGCAAAAATGATGTATGATGGCTACAAAATATTCCACAACATGGGGAATACGGGAGACCACAGTCTAGTTAACCGATGCCTCATCACTGGATACTTAAGTTGTTTCCAATCTTTGGCTATTATGAACAATACTATAATGAACATCTAGGAACAAAATAACCTTGTCCCCAGGATCCTTAAATTGTTGTCATTGTTGAATGTGCAATAAAGTCTTACCACAAAGAGAGATACCCATAAACCTGTTGTAAAGAAAACACGTATCTTCAGGGACCTGACTGAAATCTCATTTCTTCCAAGAAGGCTTCTCTTAACCAGATCCATCCAAAGTGCTTTCTCTCTCTCTCCCAAGTACTCTGATGCCCTGCTTAGCAGGCCTGCCCTTCACACCTGTCTAGTGTGGTCTTTGCCACATATGCCGCTTGTCTCTCCAAGTATACCGTAAGACCCTTGAAGGCAGAGATCCCATCAATTACCTCTTTTAGTCCCAAAATGATGGCACATGTAATTAGCTCTCAAATATTTGTTAAATTATTTCATTTAAAAGATTGAGGGGGTGGCCAGACGTGGTGGCTCACGCCTATAATCCCAGCACTCTGGGAAGCCGATGGGGGTGGGGGGCAGATTGCTTGAGTCCAGGAGTTCAAGACCAGCCTGGGCAACACAGTGAAACCCTGTCTCTACTAAAAATACAAAAAATTAGCAGGGCATGGTGGCACATGCCTGTAGTCCCAGCTACTCAGGAGGCTGAGGTGGGGGGATCACCTGAGCTTGGGAGGTCGAGGCCGTGGTGAGCCAAGATCGCACCACTGCACACCAGCCTGGGCAACCAGAATGAGATCCTGTGTCACCACAAAATAAATAAATAAAAAATGGAAATAAAAATAAAAGAAAAGCTTGAGGGGAACATGGAGGAGAACTCCTCCAATTTTAATTAAGATTTATGGGTAGTCACTGGGAATGAGGAACTAGAAAAAAACCCACCCTTCCTTTACCCACCCAGAGGCACTACTAAAGCTCAGCACTCTGCCTTTGACCCAGACTCATCTCTTTGGCCCTAAACAATCAAAATTCTGACTATAACTCAAAGAGCAGCAGAAATAACTGGAATAATCTTACGAAGACCATTTGATACATGGACTGCCAGTGCTGGCTCTAAGGGGTTAACTAGTAAGCTGCCTTTATCTTCAAACAGTACTTTACATGCTCTTTAGTGAAAGAGGGAAGAGCAAAGGTCAACAATACAGGTCTGCCCCCAAAGGTTAAGGGAAGACACCACTGTCTAATCCTAGACTGAGGACAGACATGGCAGAGCTGACTCTGCTGTATGGGGCATCATCTGGCAAATAGCAGAAATAGATAGAAACCAGCCCCCAGGGCCAAGGGCTCAGGAGTCAGTGAGGACACCCTCACTCAGCCCTCAATGGGCCCTAGAATGAAGCAAATTCCTGAGAACAGCCAGCATGTGAATCCTGCTTATCAAGAAGGTAGAACTTCCAAGCCTGCTGCCTACAAGCTGAGGTCTATCACAGATGGACATGGTTCCCCTCTCCATGGAGCCTGGAACTAAGAGAGGGCCATGGGCCGGGTTTCCCGCTGGGGAGGAGCCAGCTGCCCTGAGGATTGCCCCTCTAGGTAAATTAGGAAGCTTTTGTTAAACACTTGCTCTGGCTAGACCTGGGCTCAGAGGAGTGGGGTACGTGGGGCCTGGGTCCTCCCTTCACAGAGTTATAATCTGGCTAGGAGTCCAAAGTGAGAGATAGAACAAGGAACAAAAATACCCTGTTTCTACATTGGTGGCAAGGGGTGGGAGTGGAGGTGTGGAGTCAAAAGTCAAAGACTCTAGATTGGAAGTCAGGAGGCCTTGGTTCTAGCTCTCTCTGTTACCAGTGAAAAATGACACCACCTTGGGTAAACCACTTAACTTCTTTGGGCCTCTAGTTTCTACTCTGGAAAGATGAAAGACCAATGCCAATACTCCCCACAGAAGAGCAGGTCAGAATATTGTTCTGAACAAAACCCCAGAGGGCTGGAAAAGTGCTTCTATTATGTTCAACATTTGTATATCCAGACCAACCCAAGGCCAAGAAAGTCCTGGAGGGCCGGCCACGTGACCATCTCAGGTATACTCAGGAAGCCTGTGTTCCCATCTACTGGCAATCAACCCCAGACCAAAGCCACACAAGATCTGCTCCAGTTCCAAACTGGGACCCAATCTAGCCATGGGACTGCAGGTGAAGATAGCCTGCCTCACGCCTTCTACTGTTCTCATTCCCTCAAATTCTCCAAGTTTGGTCTCTACTAGTGATGTGGAAAGAAGTACAGAACTCTAGTCACCAAAAGTAGAGAATCTCAATGCTCAAGAGGCCCAATGCTTGCTCCTGACGAGTCTGAAAAAATTATGAGCTTAGAATTATGAGTCAGAATGTTGTAATTGGCTAAAAACAAACAAACAAACACTATCTACCATCCAAGGGCAAAGAACCATACTGTTACTTGAAATATGGGTAAGACTAGAGAATTATAGGAATAGGGGAAGATAGGAAGAGGAGTTAAGACAAGAGAAAAAACTTGCTCAAATCAGTGAAACCAAGAAGCCTTCTAAATTTCCTAGATTATAGCAGAAGACTCTGAATCCTACATCACAAGCCCCTTGCCCCACCACCTCTTTCAGCACAGCTGTCCTATGCGAGTTCAGATCCACTTCCTGCTTGAAAGTCACACCTCAAACACACAACCCTCTAGGGACTTCACTGTCCTAAGGACGAGGCTCAGCCAGTGGGGGACAGAAGCTAGCTGGAGTTCCTCATCCTTCAAGCAGACAACTCCATGAGGCATTCTGTGTCGTTCTCCTGAAGTTCTGGTGGAATTAAGTCCCCACTGCACACAGTAGGAACCTTAATAATACACCCTAATAACAGTTTATCCTCTATTCCTGCCTCATTCCCCTTATGCCGTTTCCTCATTCCTGCTTCTTGCAATTACCTCTCAAACTATCTGCACCCAATTCTTGTATTAGATTCTGCTTTCTGGTGAATCTGACCCAAAATATCAGTAGAGAATCTGGTGTTTACAAACTGGTTGGAGGTTCTATGGTGACTTAGCATATTTTTTCAAGGGATGCCAAGTTGCTCTGAAAAGTTTTCTCTGTAATGCACCAGGCTCCTCAATAATCCACCAGGTCCAGTTATTCAACTCAGTGGCAAACCTGGCCTGCATTGCCCTATCCAGCAAGCCTCATGGAATGAGAGAAGGGACCAGACGTTCTCTGTTCGTACCTGGTAGCACTTTGGAATCATTGTTCAAGAAGAATGATTATAGTACAGCTTCAGTCTCATTTTCCCCACTGTGCAGTGTCCCATGCTGAGCTCCTCCAAACATCGGTCCCTCCTGGAAGAACAGTCTTTACAAGGAGCATCCTTTCACTTTTGAAAGAGGAGAATCACAGGAGAGAAATCCAAGGAGAATGACAGGAGGGAAATTATCCAGACTACATGGGAAATATACTCTGGGTGAGAACATTTCAGTGCTGAGGGTGGGTGCCCCAATCTATACCCACCCAGAGGGAACCTGGGGATATCTGACATGCATATGTGCCACACACAAACAGACACATGCCCAGGGGAAAACAAGCAGGAAGAAACATCAAACTATTAGCCAGAGCTCTCGCTAAGTGATGGGATGATGGGTTATTTTTATTCTTTTCTTTATACGCTCATGCATTTTCTACAATGAATGTGTAATACTCTTAGGTTTTTAATTATAAAAAAACAACATTTGTCTCTTCTACACTATGATATCCACAGAGCCCTAAAAATGACCTATAAACGCCCACAGATTCAGTTAATGAGGTAATCTGGGACAACAGCAGAATCTAGATCTTGAGTCTGGAGGTTCTCAGACAAGATATGTGGAAACACAAAATATTATTATCAGGCATTCTCTCCCTTATAATTTGGTCTTTCAGAGGAAGTGAAGCACAGAACTGCGAGTCAATTGCCTACACACCTCTGTGCTTGAACTCTGGCATTTAGCAGTACCACCCCTCCCTTCCTCGAGCTTTTGCACTACCCTTCCAGCTTCCCCTGCCGCAGAGGCATGGAGGACCAGGCTTAGCACTCTAGCCACTCCAAGGACTTAGGCATCCTGCCAAAGAGGGAGAGGACTGAAGGGCAGCAGTCGGTGAGCCAGGGAGCCCCTGAACCAAGCCAGTTGTTAAGTAGGCGTGAGAACCCATCAGCTGGAAACACCGAAGGCGGGCAGGCAGGCGGAATGATTCTGGGTGAAGGAACATTGTAAATGTTGTCACCCAAAATAGAGCTGAGCTGAACTTGGCTCTCAGGCATTGCATGCCTCCTTCCTGCACTCTGTCGGCTCTCTTCGGAGCTCTCGAAAATGTTCCCCAGGCACCACACCTCCTCCTGCTGCAGCCAGGATTGGCTTGGTCTGCACTATTGCTCTGGAAGCTGAAGGCAGTGGGCAGAGGAGCGGCCATAGATTCCTATAGGAACTTCCTAACTGCTCTCCCTAGCTTCAATCCATTCTAATCCATCTCTGTCAACGTCAGATGTGATGGTTTCAATCCCCTCTTCAAAAACGTCAGTGGCTTCTTACCACCTACAGAATGACATCAAACTGTAACATAGGACTCAACGTCCTTCTCGATCTCTCTGTGACCTACTTTGATAGCCTCGTCTTCTGCCTTTTCTCCACCCTCACGCCCCATGTTCTAGCTACATCAGACCTCTCAGAGTTCCCTGGATTTTCCAGACCCAGTTCAGAAGAGACCTGTGACACGAAGCCTGCTGCTGCAGGCCCTGCTACTGGACTCCTCTCCCTCTGATCTCCCATCGGTATCCATACCATTTATTAGCACTTGGCTCATCCAGTCGGGTAGAGCTTGTTTTCCTTTGTGTCCTCATAACTAGCCTAAAAAAGCTTGAAAGAAGAAATCGTGTATGGCATATTTGTTTGTCCCTAGTACCTACCACGGTGCCCCATACTTAAGCGTATTTAATACATACCTACAGCTTATGGTAGTGATACCATTAGTTTTTTCACACATGGTTATCTCATTACCCTAACCAAATTATAAGCAATTTGAAAATACAGATCATGTCTTAATTTATTTTTTATCCTCCAAAACATATAGCATTGTACCTTATATGCCTCAGGAAGCAATTGATAAATATATAGCCCAATTATAAAAGCAGATATAATTCATTCTACAAATAATTATTGAGTACCTGCTATTTGCCAAGCACTATTCTAAATACTAGAGATGTGAGCTGGGCTTGGTGGCTCATGTGTGTAATCCTAACACTTTGGCAGGGCAAGGTGGGAGGATCGCTTGAGGCCAGGAGTTCAAGACCAGCCTGGGAAAAATAGCAAGACCCTATCTCCACCAAAAAAAAAAAAAAATGGCCAGACATAGTGCCATGTACCTGCAGTCCTAGCTACTTGGGAGGCTGAGGCTGTAGGATCGTGTAAGCCCAAGAGTTTGAGGCTGCAATGAGCTATGATCCCACCACTGCACTCCAACCTTGGTGACAGAGTAAGACCCTGTCTCTAAAATAAGTAAATTTTAAAAATTAAAATAATTAAGGAGGCCAGGCATAGTGGCTCATGCCTGTAATCCCAGCACTTTGGAAGGCTAAGGTGGGAGGGTTCCTTGAGCCCACGAGTTTGAGACCAGCCTGGGCAACATAGGGAGACCCCTGTCTCTACAAAAAATAAAAATATTCGCCGGGCATGGTGGCATGAGCCTGTGGTCCCAGCTACTCAGGAGGCTGAGGCAGGAGGGTCACTTGAGCCTGGGAGGTCAAGGCTACAGTGAGCCATGATCATGCCACTGTACTCCAGCCTGGGTGGCAGAGAAAGAACCTGTCTCAAAAAATAATAAAGTAAATAAATAAATATTAGAGCTGTGACAGGGGAAAAAAAGACAAAATTTTTTGTCCTCTTGAAGTCTCCAATTCTAGTGGAAAGAGGTAAACATCATTTATAAGAAAAGTTGGTAAAATATGATGTCAGATAATGATAAGAGCTGAGGTGAAAAATAAAACAGAGTAGGGTTGGGAGGGTTATGGGGTTGCAATTTTAGATAGGATAGCTGGGAAATCCTCCTTGAAAAGGCAGAATTTGAAGGGGTGAAAGAAGTAAGGAAATGAGCCACACGGATTTTTAGGTTAAGCATATTCCAAGTAGAGTGAACAATAAATACCAAAAGCTGGAGACAGGAACATGTCTGACAGGTTCAGAAAATAACAGTAAGGGCCAAGTCGGAGAAAGCAGGAGAACTGAAGGGAGAACGTAGGAGCCGGAGTCAGAGAGGTCACAGACCAAAACATGCAAGTGAGCCTTCAGTCATCAACTCTGGGTGAGAAAGAAAGCTCTCTGAGGTTTACAGCAGGAGAATCACACGAGTTTTTTTTATTTGTCAGTCAGACTGCTGTGTTCAGAATAGACCGAAGAGGGGCAAGGGTGGAAGCAGAGAGACCAATTTGAAGGCTATTAAAACAACTAGGCAAGAGATAATGGTGTCTTGGACCAAGTGGATAATTGGGGAGGTGATGAGAACTAGTTGGATTCTGGATGTATTCTGAAGGTAGAATGTACAGGATTTGTAAAAGGATTAGATGTGGAGTGAAAGAAGAGGAGAATCCCAGATGGCTCCAAGATTTTTGACCTGAATAACTGGTCTTAACATTTTTTGAACTGGGGAAGATTACAAGAGACATCCAGGCAACTTTTTTTCCCATCAACTGACAAATTCTCCTTTTCAGCTACAGTGCCTGGCAACACAAGAGGTACTAAATGTGCTTCTTCATAAATTGACCAATATAGATCACTGATCAGAAAAACCATGCTCAAGACAAGCTGCTACTTCATCAGTGGGAGTCCTGACTAAAGAAATGCAAATAAAACAAGATGTAATTATACAGAGATAGAAAGAGATGAAGAGTGTGGTAGTCAGAACAGTGCCCCCCTCCCCCAATATGTTCATATCCTAATTTCTGGAACCTGTAAGTATTTTACCTAACAGGGCAAAAAGGAAATTGCAGATGTGATTAAATTAAGGATACTGGATTATGTGAGTGGCCCACTGTAATCACAAGTTTCCTTGTAAGAGGGAGGTAGGAGGATTAGAGTCAGAGAGACAGGGGTTGGAAGACACTACACTGCTGGTTTTGAAGGTGGAAAATGGAGCCAAGGAATGCAGGTGACCTCTAAGAGTTGGAAAAGGCAAGAAAACAAATTCTCCCATAGAGCCTCCAGAAGGAACACGGTCTTGCCAGCACCTTGATTTGAGCCCACTAAGACTGATTTTGGATTTCTGACCTCCAGAATTGTAAGATAATGAATCTGGGTTGCTTTAAGCCACTAAATTGTAGCCATTTGTTGTGGTAATTTTTTCAGCACTGTGGTTAAAAAGGGGAGTTTGTCACTAGAGTAAAAAATTCCCTGGATGCCATCTGTAGTCTTCTCCTAATTCAAAAAACAGCAAGACCAGTTGTTCAAGTCAAAAATCTTGAAACCATCCTGGATTCCTCCTTTCTTCTCTTACTCCACATCCAATTCTTTCACAAATCCTGTAAGTCCTACCTTCAACATACATCCAGAATCAACTTCACATCACCTCCCCAATTAGCTACTTGCCCAAGCCACCATTATCTCTTGCCTAGTTGTTTTAATGGCCTTTAAATAAACTAAGTAATTTTCTATGTTTGATAATTATACTGTGGTTCTGTAACATGTTAATATTAGGGAAAGTTGGGTGAGGAGTGTACAGGAACCTTCTGTATCATTTTTGCAAATTTTCTGTGAGTGCCAGTAGGAAACTAATACACACAAGTATGAAATAAACAGATCATATTTTAGAAAGAGCTATTGCTCTTGAGTAAAGACTTCATCAAGGAATGATATGTCTTATTAAGATTATTCTCTACTCTACCAATACAGTATTCTACAATTAATCAATGTAGAAGGTACTTGGGCAGAGGAAAACCACCGTCAGGCAAACACCACAAACAACTTTTGCAGATAAGACTTACCAATGGGTGCTAAAATTAGTGGCCAAAGTTGGAAGAGAAAAAGGATCTGCACAGTCTCAAAGTATGTCCTCCAAGATATTTTTTAAACTATAAAGGGTAAGATAGTAACTTTACAGTGGAGAAATTCAGCAGATCAACAAGGTTATTGTCACCAGTAAGATGCCCTCGGAAAGACACAGCATCATTTCTGAATTAATCTCACCAAAAAGGCATAAGTTCACTTCAATAATGAGAAAATATTAGACAAACTCAAGCTGAGGTACAGTACATTCTCCAAAATAACTAATCAACACTCTTCAAAAGTGTCAAGATCATGGAAGGCAGGGAAAGACTGAAAAATTATTACAAATTAGAAGAGACAAAGGAGGAATAATGACTATATGCAACGTGGGATCCTAGGTAGGCTCATGGAACAGAAAGGACACAAATAGAAAACTTGTGAAATTCAAATAAGGCTTATAGTTTAGTTAATAGTATTGTACCAGTGTTAATTCCTAGCTTTGATCATTGTACTATGGTTATGTAAGGTGATAATATTAGGGAAATTGGGTGAGGTTTGTACAGAAACTCTCTGTACTATTTTTTGCAACTTTTCTGTGAATCTAAAATTAATTCCAAAAAATGTTTAAAAAGAAAGATTAAGTCTTTAAATCTACCATTGATTAAACACCATTCTGTAACTTAACATCTTTCCCTTGGTTTTACCTGTAAAACAAAATGAACCTGACATCTTCTCAGGGGATGTAGAATTGGGTGGATTCCCCCACCTCCCCTAAAAAATGTCTATTAGGTCTTGAACTCCCTGGGGCCAAAAGCGAGGATTTGAAAGGGAAAGCCCCAAAGCTTGAAGTATCTGTCTTCCCATATATAAGAACTCCTCCTGTGAACATCAAAGGACCTGATAATAGGTCTGACATTGCCATTAATGACACCTATCAGTTCACCAGAGACCTCTACTCTCAGTTCCACTGCCAGAGAAAGGTGGTCACGGACTAGAAGCTGGTGCTTCCCCATACTCTCACGCCTCAGCAGCGTGGCAAAACCAACACTGATCCTCCTCCCCAGCACTATGAACATAGACTGGTCATGCTTCTACTCACAGCACTATGCTTCTGTCTGACAGTGTCTGCCTCCACAAGAAGGAAGCAAGCTTTTGGTCTCACAACCTGTCTCTCTAGCTGCATCACTGCCAGCCTCTGTATACTTTCCAATCCCCACAGTGAATATATTCTTGGACAGAGACAGCCATGGCAAGAGTGCTCGTGGTCGTCAAATTTTCTGCAGGGCCGTCAAAATCATGTCCAGAACTGCATGGAGCCAATACCTCAGCTACCACATGTCCACTTTGTTGCCCAGTCTAGCCCCAGCTCCTCAGGCATCTCAAGCTCATGTCTAAGCTCATGTCAAGATGAGAGATTACACTTTCAGCATGGCTCTTTTGCCAAGAGTGCCTAGAATGCATCCTGGAGCTTGGGGAAATGCATAGGAGGGGGTAGGGTTCAGGGGAGGGTGCAGGGAGGGATGCACTGGCACTAGCAATAGCTCCTTCTAGCTAACTCCACCTCACGTGTGATCCTCTAAGCCTTCTACAAAGGCCACTGGATTCCTACTCTAGAAAACTAGATACCAAAGACGTCTAGGTCAAAGGCTCTGAAAATCAGTGCTTCTGTCAGAAGACCAGTTAGAAAGGGGCCATTAGCACATGTTGCCCCATTCCTGGGGCAAAAGAAAGCATTAACTCATGGCTTGACCTGCTGAGGGTCTTCCAGTCTTGGGTCTCATTTCTGTCAATAATACTAAAATGTGCTGTCTGTCACTCACTGTGATCAGTACATGTTCTGCCCAGCTGTAACATGAAAGCAGACCACCACTGTGCTTTGTAGGGCTCTTGTGCAGTATTATAAACAAAATGGAGATTGTTCAGCTTCGGTAGAAGCCTGAGCTATCAAAGAAAGCTTTTAAGTACAGATTGCCCCAATTTGGCTCTCTCCTACACTGCTGATGTCAAATGGCGTAACCATTCTGGAGGGCAACTTGATAACATGTATCAAAAGCCTTAAAAATGTTCTTATCCTTTCACCCCAAAATTCCACTTCGAGGAATTAACCTAAGGATATCAGAGATGCACACAAAGATTAATGTACAAAGTTGTCATTCAGTATTATCTCTAGTAGTCTGAAAATTGGTTATAATAATGTTCTACAACTGGAAGTTATTAAATAAATATGGAGCATTCATAAGATTGTCTAATATGCATCCATTAAAAATCATATTTTCTAAGAACGGTTTGCCGTGTATTAAGATATGATCCTGATTTGGTGTGTGAGTATGGTGGAAGAGAAGAGAGACATGCCAGGAAAAGATGCAAGAAGAAAATACACCTTAAAACTTATTATCTCTAGGTGGTTGAGATGCCAACAGATCCTTTAAATTTTTCTTCTTTTATACTTCTCTGTTTCTTCTATATTTTCTCCAACAAACATGTTACTTTTCAAACAAGGAAAATTCATAGTCCCCATTATAGAGAGGCTCATTAACCTGCCCTAGGGTCTTCCGTGAGTCAGAAGTGAAATCAAAAATAAAGACCATGGTTCTCAAAAGCCTAGTTCATCACACAAGCTGCCTACATGTGTGCTGTGGTAACTCTAGAATAGTGGTCCTTAACTGGGGTGATTTTGCCCCACAGGGACGATTTCCATGTTTAGAGACATTTTTGTTTGTGGTAACGGGGGAAGGTGGATGCTACTGGCATCTAGTGGAGGGGCCAAGGATGCTACTAAATATCCTACAATGCCCAAGATAGTACCCCATAACAAAGAATCATTTGGCTCAAAATGCTAATAGTGCCATTGTTGAGTAACTCTGCTCTAGGAGAAGGAAACTGGACTTTGAAAAAGCTCAGGTGGCTCAAAGATACAGGAACCTCCAATCTGCTTCACATCCTGTGCGAGCTGTAGTGCCTTCTGCTTCAAACAGGCAGTTAACAGACCCCAGGGGATAAAGCATTGAGGACTTTATTACTTATATTAAGCAGCCTTCAGCTTCCAATTGGAGAAAAAGAAATTGCTCATTTCACTCCAGAGCCATAACAGACACAAGCAGAACACAGCTTAGGATCAAGAGCTCAGAAAGAGGAGATCAGCCAGGAGCTGGAGGTGGCAGGTGGGGAGTGTGTACCGACAGGCAACACCAGCTGGACTCAGGAGCCGGAGGCCTGTCTGTACATTCTCCTTCTGCATCTTCACCTCCAGCACCCTACTAGTCCTGGGTGACAATTTTAGACTTCACTTCCAAGTATCTTTAGGGTAGGAGAAAAAGGAAGAGCTCCACCCAACCCCTGAGAAAGATTCTTTCTGCTTTTGGAAACTCTCTTCCATCAAAGAGGGTCACTTGCTTGGACTTATCCAGGGGTTTCAAGGGAAGACAGATATTATGCCAGCATTTCATTTTCCCTGTGACCTTGGGCCCAATTTAGCAACTCATAGGACTCAAGTGCTGGAAAGAACCTTGGCCCAAACCTTGTCCCTTAACAGATCAGGAAACCAAGTCCCAGGGAAGCCAAGGATCAGGCCCAACTCACACAGCTATGGCGAAGCCGATACCTGAACCCGGATCTTCCATTCTCTCTATTCCTTACAGCATCTCAGTCACCAGGAAGTCTGATACTGTGAGACCCACAGCCGCCAGTCCTATAGTAGGAAGCTGTCACTCTCTAGTGTCATTTCACATGAGAACAGATGTGGGGAGCACCACACAGGAATGTGTTCCCATGGGCAGCCTGACATCTACATGTCCCATTTTGCTGCAGCCACTGAGGGTAAGTGCAGAGTCTATGCAGAAGATGCATGGGGAAATCAAAGATCTATTCCACAGCAGATGTGAAGCTCTAGTGTTGCTACTACCACATCCTTCGAGTAGCCTAGTAAACCTTATTTCAGCCAAACAAAAGGGCTCTTGTTCCACTAGGGCTATCGCTGGCCCCTTTTACTGGATAGCTGACCACACAACTGTTTGCTGCATTTATTCAACAAATATTTATTGAGCACCTATTATGTGCCAGAAACTGAACTAGGTAATGGTCATTTGGGTCTGACCTACTCTCTCTAAGGTCTAGTCCTATTATAGGCCCACTTCTGGGATTGCTTAGAGATCCCTTACTCCTTACTAAACCAAGTTTCCCTACAGTGAGCTCATCTTTACCTGAGCTAGCTTGGGAGATTCTAACTTTGGCTTGTGACCAAAAGAGAAAAACTAAAACCAAATGAAATGTATATACACTACAGTGAATTCCAGACGGGTCAGCATTAAATGCCAACTTAAAACCTAGAATATAAGAGAATGCTTATTTATCCCTCTCAGTCGGGGAGAAATAACTGACAAATGATATGACCAGAGACTCAACTGGTGAGTTCAAAAAAATAAATGCATGAAACAAGGAGGTATAGTACTATGGTTAGGATATAGGCTCAGAAATCAGACAGGCATGTCTCTGCTACTTACTGTGTGGTCTTGAGCAAGTTACTTAACCTCTCTGTGTCTCAGTTCCCCATATGAAAAATGGGATAATAGCAATAGAACCAACCTCCCAGGGTTGTTGCAAGGACTGAGTGAGAGACAAAACAATTACACAGCAAAACAATGACATAGCACTAGTGCATATTCAGTAACCATTATTTCTGGCACTTAGGAGTCATTTAGCACTCATCCTCCAATCTGATCCTATGCTTTCCCTAAAAGATCCTGGCAAAATGGCACCACAAACTTCCCTGAGCTGCATCATCAATAAAGTAGAAGCTCAGCATACTGTGAAGATTCATTGCTTTTCAAAGCCCCACAGAAGAAATCAGCAGCATCTCAGATTGTGGCTGCCTCTGCTGCTGCTGCAGAGCTGGACACATGGAATCTCTCACTGTCTTGCCTCCAGTTGAAAGAGGCCTCAGAGTCAGTGTCCTAAATCTAAGAACCAGATCTCTTCTTACCCAGAGCTAAGCAGACAGCTTTTCAAGAGTGGGCCTTTATACTCTATGTTACCCATAATATTCTAAATGGGATTCTACATACAGGAGGCACTTTAAAAAATGCTTTGACAATTATGAATAAAGCTTCTATAAACATCCTTCTGCAGGTTTTTATGTAAACATAAGTTTCCAACTCCTTTGGGAAAATACCAAAGAATGAAATTGCTCGATCTTACGGTAAGAGTAGTTTAATTTTGTAAGAAACTGCCAAACGCTCTTCCAAAGTGGCTGTACCATTTTGCATTCCCACCAACAATGAATGAGAGGATGTCCCACATCCTTGCCAGCTTTTGGTGTTGTCAGTGTTTATTCATACCTGCCAAAATTTGGAAGTAACCAAGATGTCCTTCAGTAGGTAAATGAATAAATAAACTGTGGTACATCCAGATAATGGAATATTATTCAGCACTAAAAATAAATGAGCTATCAACCCATGAAAAGACGTAGAGGAAACTTAAATGCATATTACTAAATGAAGGACGCCAATCGGAAAAGCTTACATATTACATCATTCCAACTATATGACATTCTGGAAAAGGCCAAACTATGAAAACTATAAAAAGATCAGTGGTTGCCAGGGGCTGAGGGGAGAGAGGAGTGAATGGGTGGAGCATAGAGGATTTTTAGAGCAGTCAAAAATTTCTGTATGAGGCCGGGCACAGTGGCTCACACCTGTAATCCCAACACTCTGAGAGGCCAAGGTGGGTGGATCATTTGAGGTGAGCAGTTCAAGACCAGTCTGGCCAACGTGGTGAAACCCTGTCTCTACTAAAAATACAAAAATTAGATGGGCATGGTGGCAGGTGCCTGTAATCCCAGCTACTTGGGAAACTGAGACATGAGAATTGCTTGAACCCAGGAGGTGGAGGTTGCAGTGAGCTGAGATTGTACCACTGCACTCCAGCCTGAGTGACACAGCGAGACTGTCTCAAAAAAAAAATAAATAAAATTCTGTATGATAGTATAATGAATACATGTTCTCATACACTTGTCCAAACCCATAGAATGTACAACACTGAGAGTGAAGCCTAATGTATAGACTTTGGGTGATAATGGCGTGTCAATGTAGGCTTATCAATTGTAACAACAGTAATTGTAACTTATCAATTGTAGGCTTATCAATTTTAACAACAACAATTGATAATTGGGACACTGTACATGTGGGGGGCAGGGAGTATATGGGATATCTCTGTGCTTCATCTCAATTTTGCTGTGAACCTAAAATTTCTGTTAGAAAAATAAAGTCTTAAAAAAAAAAACAGGACAGAAAATATGCTTTGAACTAAATACTTCTTTATTGTCCGTGAATAGAACTAGGAATGTGTACCTTAAGGTCACAGGTGAAGGTGACATATGCCAGGACTGAGTCCCCCTCCCATCCACAAGGGACAGTGTCTTCCTCATGCTGTATTGGGTACTTTAGTTATAGCCAGAACCCTCAGTGATCCAGGTGAAGAACTTGGAAAGCATCGGACACATCCGTGCTCCCCCACAGGCTCTCTAAGACTTGTTAACAGTTGTTTAAACATTCTTTGAATCTGGCCCCCCTTCATAAGGCCTACTGCCTTGCCTTGGTGCAGGCCCTGGTCATCTCTCCACTGGCAGTTTTTAGATTCCAGCTATAGAGGGTTCTCCTGGCTCCCTCCCACTACTGTTTGTCCTGCATACAGCTGTCAGAGACCAAAAACTAAACAGGTCGCTTTCTTATATAAGCCTTCAGGTGATCTTATCTTGTTACAAAGAGTAAAGACTAAACTTCTCAGCATAGCCTACAAGACTTTTAACAATCTGGCCACAGCCTATCTTATATCTTGCAATAGCATCTTTTGCCACTTTGGACACATAGTACATTTGGTGCCCTCAGGTTACTTCCTATGTTATAGCCTCTTCCTTAAAACTCTGTGTCAACTTTCTCTAAGTGGTTCCTCATCCCTGCCTGATAACTCCTTAATCTTCCTTCGGGATTATGGTAGGCAGCCTCTGAGATGGACTCCAGTGATCTTATCGCCTAGTACTCCTGCCCCTGTGCAATACTTTCCCTGAGTGTGGGCTGGACCTACTGACTCACTTAGAATAAATAGAATATGACAAAAGTGATGGGAGGTCAGTTCTGTGGTTGGGTTACTACAAATAGACTGTGACCTCCCTCCTCCCACCCTTTCTCTCTCTCTCTCCCTCACCTGCTCTGAGAGAAGTCAGCTGCCATATCATGAACTGCCCTACAGTGAGATCCATGTGGCAGGGAACTGATGCCTCTGGCCAACAGCCATCGAGGACCTGAAGCCTGCCAATGGCCACATGAATGAGTCTGAAAGACCACTGTTGAGCCTGAGATGACTGCATCCCTGGCTGACACCTTATTTGTAGCCTTGTGAAAGTCCCTAGACTGGAGGACTCACATCTGGATTTCTGACTGATAGAAACTATGAGAAAATAAATGTTTGTTGTTTTAACCCACTACATTTTGGGGTAATTTGTTGTGCAGCCACAAATAACTAATAAGAGGACCCAACTCAAAAATCATTAATCTATTAAACATTTCTTAATACTTTCTTCTCCCCTAGTCCATCTATACCTCTCCCATTGCACATGGGATGAATTCATACTACTTAATACAGCCCCCAAGGCCCTACATGATGATCCAATTCAGCTCACCTTCCCAAACTTCTCTTGCACCACTGCCCATGGCACCTGGGGCAATGAATCTCCTTTCAGTTACTTCAGTGTGCCCCAGTCTCATCTTTATCCCTTTGCACATACCGTTCCCCCTTTCTAAAGTACTTTTCCCTGTCTTTTTACCTCATTAACTTTGACTTGTTCTTCAAAATCCCAACTCAAATCTCTTTCCTCCAGAAAGATTCTTCAATCCCAAGGCGGGGTTTAGGTATCCTTCACTTGTGCTCCCCCTTACCTTGTACTTTTCCAATCACAGCAATTATGCCATCATGCCAAATGCTTCTGACTTGCTTATCTTCTGGGCTGGATTGTAAGCTCTTTGAGGGCAGGGCACACATCTGTCATTCACTATATACACAAAGTAATCCTGTCTTAACTTTCAGAAATTTCATTGTACTCATAAGTGGTCATTCCAATACCCTGGCTTCTCAGTTCCTTGAACTCTTCTTCTCTAGTCGTCTTGTGCTCCACCTCATTCTACCCACTGACTCTCATGCTCATTCATACTTGAGAGTCATCTCTACCCATCACCTTGTTATTACCAAGAAATGCAACCCTTCCATGATATCAAATGCATGCATCCTACTCTCCACCTACCAACTCCTACCTTCCAGCTTACACCCTCTACTGTTTGGACTCCAGCAATTCTTCTATCTTAACAGGATTTAAATTCATTGATACTACCACCTTTTTACTGATTCTCACAGTGAATATGATGTTCTTTCTTCCCTTCTCTTTCTTTCTTCCATTCATTCATGATCAATTTTTATAATAATTCTATTTCTTCATTTGGCAAAACCACAATTCTAGTCAAATCCAACCCAGTACCTGTGCCCATGCAATTGAATGTAGCTGGAGAAATGCACACAATCACCTAGACTGGTCTCACTTTAAATTCATATCCATGAGCCAAAGATGAGCCCTTAATGTGCCTGACAATCATACTGTACCTCCCTAGTTTATTCTATTCACCCACCTACTCTTCTAGATGACTACTTCACACCCTCTTTCTCCTCAAACTTCGAACATCTCCTCCCTCATACTCTCAGCTGTTGACCTTGTTTCCTACTTTACTGAGAAAATTGAAACGATCAGAAGAGAATTTCCACTGACTCCCACCACAACATATATGCATCTGTCGGCATCCATATACATAACTCTGCCTCTCTCCTGTTACTGTAGATGAATTATCCATGATCCCAGAGCCAATCCCTCTACTTGTGTGCCAGATCCCACTCTTCTACTCTAAGAAAGCATTTAGACAATCTCCTCTCACCTTCCCACACCATTAATTGCCTCCTCTCAACTGGCTCATTCCTACCAGCATATAAGCATGCGTTACTTCTATATTAAAAAATAATAACAGAGTTTCAGTTCAGAAAGACAAAAAAGTTCTGGAGATGAATGGTGGTGATGGTTGCATAACAATGTGAATGCACTTAATGCCACTGAACTGCACACTTAAAATGGTTAAAATGGTAAACTTTATATTATGTGTATTTTACCACAGTAAAAAATAATGAAATTAAAACCCCTCCAGATTCAATTTCCCCTAACAGCTACCACCCTACTCCTTTGTTCACCTTTGTAGCAAACTTGCAATAAATTCCTTCTCTTCTCTTCCATTCTCTGGTAAATCTACTTACATGAAGCTTTAACCCCCACTACTGCACTGAAACTGTTCTTGTCAAAATCCCCAATGGCATCCACATTGCCAAACCCATTGATAATGAGGTTAGTACTCATCTAACTTGACCCCTCAGCAGCACTGGAACCAGTCAACCTCTCCCTTCTAATTGGTGAACATTCTTCACTCATCTTCCAGGTCACCACATTCTCTTGGTTTTCTTCCTACCTCACTAGTCACTTTTTCTCAGTCGTCTTTTCTGGCTTCTTCTCTTCTCTCTAACCCTTTAATATTGTAGTGTCTAGGGCTCGAGTCCTTGCTCTTCTTTTCTGCTCTACCTATGTTCATTCCTTTGGTGATCTCAACTACTTTCATAGCTTTTAATACCACCTATATGCTGTTGATTTCCATATTTATACCTCCAGCCCCTATCTTACTCTCCACTTAACACATCCACACTATCCAAAACCAAACCCCTTAATTGTCCCCAAAATTTGATCCACTCAGACTCTTCCCATCTCAATGGCGATATCATGTCTCCAGTCGCTCAGGTAAAAAAGCTTGGATTTTTTTTTCCTTTTTTTCTGAGACAGAGTCTCGCTCTGTTGCCCAGGCTACAGTGTAGTGGTGAAATCTCGGTTCACAGCAACTTCTGCCTCCTGGGTTCAAGCATTTCTCGTGCCTCAGTCTCTCAAGTAGCTATAACTACAGGCATGCACCACCATGCCCAGATAATTTTTGTATGTTTTGTAGAGATGGGGTTTTGCCATGTTGCCCAGGCTGGTCTCAAACTCCTGAGCTCAAGCAATTCGCCCGTCTCAGCCTCCCAAAGTGCCGGGATTACAGGCATGAGCCACAGTGCCCCGCCTGGATTCATTTTTTTACTCCTCCTTTTCTGTCTCACTCTATATTTTATCTATCAGGAAGTCTTTTGGGCCTTATCTGTTAAAAATATCTACAATCCAGCCTCTTCTCATCCCCTCTTTCACAACTACAATACACCAAGCCACCACCATGTCTCACCAGATTTCTTCAGTGGCTACCTAACTGGTTTCCCTGCTTTCACTCTTGCTCCTAAATGTCTATTCTCAACATAGCACACTTTGTGATCCCTTTCAAATAAGTAAAATTATATTACTCCTCTGCTCAAACCCTCCAGCAGATCCTTTTTACACTGAAATAAAAGGCCAAGTCTTCACAAAGGCCCACAAGGCCCTATTTGATCTGGCACCACTGCTGCTCTAAACTCCGCTCATTCTACTGTAGCCATATGGGCCTTTTTGCTGTTCCCCAAACATGCCAGGCATGCTTCCACCTTAGGGAGAACTCCCTCTGCCTGAAATTCCTTTCACCATGATATCTACCTGCCTAGCTCCCTTACCTCCTTCCAGTTCTCTGCTCTAATGTCACGTTGTAATTTAGGTCTACCATAACCACTCTATTTAAAATTGCAATCCACCCCTCTGCACTCCCATTACCTCCCTCCATTTTTTTTTCTTATAATATTTATAACTTTCTAAATATTATCTAATTTGCTTATTTATTATGTATATTATTGGTCGCTTACTACCAGAAAGTAAATTCCATGAGGGCAGAGATTTCTGTCTTCTCAATATTCCAAGCACCTGGAAGAAGTTTTAATATATAGGAGGAACTCAAATATTACTCAATGAATGGATAAGCCCAATGTAATGCCTAGCACATGATAGATGCCTACAAAATATCTTATATATGAATGAATGGAGAAATAAATGGTCTATTTATCACTAGACTGTGAGTGTCCCATGGGCAGGGATGTGACATATTCATCTTTGTGTCCCCAGTACCCAAGACATTAACGGAGATTCCATAAGTGTTGGTTAATTAAAAGAAAAAAACCTGAAAATGAATGAGGTAGGACTGGATCTGTGCGGTACCAGCATTCTAGGGTCCACGTCTAAGTATCCTGTTTCCTGCATGGCCACTCCCAGCCTGGAGCTTTCCATTTCTGGATCTTTCAGGATATAATTCTCAATTACTAGAAAGAAGTGGTCCAGTAAACACAATGGAGGAAGGGATGCCTCACTCAGGGAGGGCTTCCCTGCAGGCTTTAACCAAGGCTTCAGCATCTGACTGCACAGGTAGAGTTTCCAGGTGGGCACACGGTGATCTCAAAAGTAACAGATGCAAAACAGGCTCCCAGATGCTTTAGCTGTTACGTCAGGTTTCCAGGCCCCAAATTCTAGTAACCCAGAAACTGGAAAATCAAGTTACTTCAACAAACACATCCCTTGTGTTTTTCTTTCAAGGCGCCACATCTCAATAGGTATGGCTGGCATTGGCTCAGACACCTTTGTAGCCCATCATTCATTCTACACTGGGGAGGAAGGGAGTAAAATGGCTCCTTATGCCGAAGTTATGGGATAGGCTGGCTCCTACTTGCCACGTCCTCAAGTTAGGGAGGAAGCAACAGGCCTTCCTGACTCCAGAGCCCTGCTTTCAACTGGAGAACATAGAGGTTGTCACTTGTAGGAGAGGCAGAAGGGGTGGTGGTGCAGGAGAGCTTGTGTGAATCTGGAAGTCAGGGAGAGGAGTTGTAACTCTGCTACTGTCCAATTCTATAACCTTGGGGCAAATGATTTCACTCTCAGGGCCTTAGTTTTCTCAATTTGAAACTAAAATTTTGGACCAGATAATTTAACTATACGATTCTAATAAAACTGAATTATTATTGACCTCTCTAAATCAATAGTTTGGGAACATAGCATTGTCTGCAATACACTTGCCTGAACATTCATCTTGACTCTCTCCTCAGTTCAGCTGTCATTCATTCATAAAATTAAACATATCCTAGTGTCAACTACGTGCCAGGCATTGTGCTAGGGCTGGTATACAGCACTGAATATGACAGAACAGTCTCTGCCCTCAGGAGCTTATAGGGAGACATCAAACGATTTTTTAGTTACTACCATAAATAAGAGTTTGAAAGACGTGGAAGTGATAGTGGCACTATGTGAACAGATGTAGCACATCTATGGCTTCGTCTGGGATTCTAGAAAAACCTCCTTAAGGAAGTAACATCTGAGCTGAGCTCGGAAGGGCAGAGAGCAGTGAACTAGGTGAGGAGGAGGAAGAGCATCTCGGAGAGAGGGGACAACACGTACAACTGGCCTGCAGCGTGGTCATCTCATGGCAAGGCTGCTGTGGCCAAGGGTGGAGTGTGGAGCAGGGGGCAGAGATGTTGCTGATGAAGTCAGCACAGGTGAGATCACACAGGGCCTTGGAGGCCACGTGAGGGTTTTGTTGTAATATATGCTAAAGAGATTGGAGCAGAGTAGGAGTGGCAGACTTAAATGTGATTGGTCTTGGGTTTTTAAAAGCTCACTATGTGGAGAATGAACTCCAAGAGCCACAAGTCAATATAAAAAGACCAGCTATGAAGCAAATACAGTAAAACAGATGAAAGATGATCAGTATTGACATGGGTGATGTTAGTAAAAAGCAGATAGACTCCAGAAAGATTTAGGAAGTAAAAGTGATAAGATGTGGGGAGTGGGTAAGAAAGAAGGGAACACAAAGTGCAACTTAAGTGGTTAGATGAGGGAACACTGTTAGAGGACCAAGTTTGGAAAGGGGGTGAGAGTTTCACTGGGGCATGTCCAGTTTGTGATATCTATGAGATATCAGGTAGAGAAGATGAGTTAGAAGGTGAATATATGAATCTGAAGTGAAAAGGTCTCCAACTACAGACCTCTCCAACAACTCCGTAGTTGGAGACCATATTTTAAAATTCTGTAGACAGGAAAGAGCTAAAAAACAGAGAATGGAAGAAAACCTCAGAGAGAAAGGAGGACAACTAAGGAGGTAACATAATGGAAGCCAAGGGAACAGTACATTTCAAAAAGTCAGGATTAGCCAACAGTGTCAAAATGCTGACAGGTGAAATAATATGGGCAATGAAACATGTACATTAGGGTCAGGAACTAGAAGTTCACTTAGAGCAGTTTCGATGGAGTCGGAGATGGTAGAGCAGACAAATGCATATGAGAAGAGAAGAGGTCATGATATAGAGACAAGAGGTACGGGCTGTTCTTTCAAGGAGATTGGTTGCGAAAGAGAAGAGAAAGATAGGTAGTAATTTAAGATGGGAGAGACGTGAGTATGATGAAAGATGAATAGAAAGGACTCAGTAGAGACGAAGAGACAGAACGTGCAGTAGAGAGAAGGAAAAGTCAGTGGTGTTAGGCTCCTGAGAAGGTGAGAAGGGATGGACCACAGGACATAGTGGGAGGACTGGCCTCAGACTAGGGACATCTGTTGCATCAGAGGGGAGGAAGAGAGGACCGATAAGTATAAAGGTCAGTTTGCATTCATCCCTCCAAACATGCAAAGTCATAAAGTTAGCTCTTCCAATTTTCCCAAGAAAAACCTCAAAATCTACAGGCCCATGTGTTCTTGGTGGGCAATGTAGATCCCAGGAAGCAAACAACCTCTACAGGCCCTATCTTGACCCCTGGTAGAAAACTACACTCCGTTCTCTGCAAAGCTCCTGAGTCAGAACAAGATAAAATGGGAGCTGCTGCAAGCTGAGCTATCCACAGGTCATGTGATAGGATCTCTGGGAGATGGCCCGGCATAACCAGGTCAAATGTGGGGACGTGATTGAAAACAGCAATGAAGTAGAAGAGAGGTCTCAAAGTGCCAGCCTGCAGACGAGGGATGGGTGTGTTAGCAGGGAAAAGCTGCCTCACCACTCCTTCGTATGGTAACTTTAGAAGAGGAAAACGGAGGCACAGCATCGCTGCCTGACACAACGGTATCTGATTTAATGCTGTAGTCCATAGTGAAATGCCACCCACATCATTGCCCAGCCACCTAACTGATAGCTTCCAAAGCCTGGAATCGAGGGCAGTTTCTCCAATTTACTATCTCATAGCCGTGGCACTTGACTCTAGGATGAGAATTCATCAGCATCTCTTAGCCCAACTGCAAAAACAGCACTAATACATAGAGATTTAAGAGGACAACAAGCGCATGCCAAGGTGCCAAGGACGCAGACGACCAACAGATGCTGCCAAATCATAGGTCAGCGCTTGACTCCTGCAGATCCAGACCAACACCACCATCCCCAATCCAGATCCTGCTCCTGAGCATGCTCTCTTTTCAAACCTTTGAGGCACTCCTTTCTCGGACCACAGAGGAAATACTCATTTACAGTGCCAGTGTTTCTAACAAAAGCTCATCCTCAAGGGAAAATCAGCAGAAAAGCTGAATTCTGAATGCAGAAGAAATGTAGAGGGACCCTACTTAGAATGCTGCCTCCTAGGTCCATATTATCCAAAGTTCCCAAAGCACAGGGTAAGACAGAAGGAGAAGAAAAGGCAGGGAATCACGGGGAGGTGATAACTAACACTTAGCAGGCTGCCTATAATAAGCAAATGACATAAGAAAAATAAACACAGCTCTGGGGAGAGGTGCTGCCAGTGCTGCCCTAGCAGGCCCAAGGACTCAAGGGAGTCATGCTGGGCTAGAAACCCGGTTATTTCTAGGGCACCAAGCAGCATTGACCTGAATCAGAAGCCACTGGAAGCAGGGGCCACAGAAGGGCCAATCAGAGCCTGAAAAACACAGCCCAGTTCCAACAAGGGGGCCTTGGTCACTCCATAACCCCAGAGTTGGGGACAGGGAAAGAAACCACAGAACCCTTCAAAGAACCAAGTTCAATCATCTCTTGAGCCTCCACATTAGACAGGAGGGAACAACTGGGTAATTCGTAAGAGCAAATAATCCCCTTATCAGTCCTGTTTGTTTTCAGACTGGCTCTTCCTAGAAAGCATGGGTTCAGGCTGCTCCGAGTGCAGTGGTGTTTACAACTAATGCATCACAACCAGTTACAGAATTCTTTATCCCTTCTCCATGCCACTGCTTTCCTTGGCCAGCCTTAAAAATAATTTTTTTTAAGAAAGTATAAGTTCAAATTAGCTCCATTATAACTCCTGTGACAAGCCTGGAACTCTCCTAATTGTTTTGAGCCTCAGGTTCTTAGATGCAAAATTGGAAAGGGAGGGCCCACCTCCCTAGGTTGTTGTGAGACTCAAATAAGTAATGTCTATAGAAGTACATGCTCAATAAATGTGAGTGTCTCTTTCTTACCCCTCTTTGGGGCACAATTTTGGCTCACTGCAACCTCAGCCTCCTGGATTAAAACAATTCTCCTGCCTCATCTCCCAAGTAGCTGGGATTACAGGCACCTACCTCCACGCCCGGCTAATTTTTGGCATTTTTTAGTAGAGACAGGGTTTCACCATGTTGGCCAGGCTGGTCTCAAACTCCTGATCTCAGATGTCCATCCGCCTCAGCCTCCCAAAGTGCTGGGATTACAGGCATGAGCCACCATGCCCAGCTGGGATTTATATTCTTAATTTTAAATTTTTCATCTGTATACTCTGAACGTACAGCAAGAGGACAGAGGATTAGTGGCTCAGAAGTCTCCTTGCTATTCAACTCAAAAGGTGGAAAGTCCACACCCAGAGAATCAATAAAAGACTGAAACAATAAGAATTGGTACTAAGTAAGCAGCTCTGGATTTGTAGTAGTCAAATCTGAAGCACGTTCAAAAAGTGAAAAGAAACAAGTACACACTTCTTTGGTTAATTCATCCTAAAGAAAAGCTTTGTGAATAGCTGATTTCTTGTCCTGCCACTTGGAGGGTTTATGTTATGGATTTCCAGGACAGAGGTATGAGACCCAGCTCCTCAACTTCTAACACCTCAAAGCCCAATGCAGTCAAACCCAGCATAACATAAACTGTTAACCAAAATGCATCTCACCTTCCACTTTTAAAAGGAAAAGGAATGATGCCAAAATGTCATTAGGGATTTTCTAATCAATAGAAAAGATATGTCCCAAGATCCGGACACATATGTTCAAGCTAACCTTTTGCTTCCAGAGATCTGTGCAATGAGAAAGAATGACCAGAACACACTGAATGATGCTTAAAGACAGACTGAGTCTTACACTTACTGAAGCAGCAAAAGCACCACTGCATTTTAGCAAGATCGTCTCCTAGCAAAGGTTGAGAAAGAAATAGCTTTTCATGTAGAAAAAAGAAGAAAAGAAAGTTTGCATACGTAGCCCACCTGCCTCAGAAAAGAGTTAGTTTATGTCATCACATCCTCTATGCCATCATTTATAAAGCACAGACAAATTTCAGAGATGTTCATGTGTGGGGGTGGAGAGTAGGGTGAGTACATCTCGGAGCCAATGAAGTAGGACATGCCTGCCAGAAGAAATACTCTATCCCGTGTCTCAAACTCCTACTCTGTGGCCTTGCCCTTTAAGTCCTTGGCAGAAAGACTGTGAGTAGGTTATGCAAAAGGCACTCTCAGAGCATTAATCTTTGAGTGAGCAAACTGGTTCACAGTTGTAATAATAACAACAGCATATTTTCATACAGCCCTTGGCAGTCTTAAAGCACTTCCACAGACATCATCTCCTCTGATCCTCACAATATCCCTGGTAGGTAAGAAAAGCAAATATCATTAGCTCTATTTTATTGTTAACAAAACAGGCTCAAAAAGGTCAGTTGTCCCAAGGTCACAGAGCCAGTAAGTGACAAATGGAGTTTAAACTGACATCTCTGTCTCTCTCTGCTAGGTCTGTGCTTTCTGTTTTATGAGACAAAGTCTGAGGTTAGGACTATTTCAGCAGGTCCAATGAAAAATTCCATAAGTAATGCCTGACCTCTGAATTTTGAAGTTCTGCTTCTACTCCCCACTGTTTTGCTAGGAATGGTCCTTTAAGGCCTAAGGTGGGTATGGAACACTGGAATGGACCATACTTTTCCTATGCCCTGGAAGTCACTGTCCATGACCTAAGAGAGAGCAATCTCAGCACGTTCATGTCATACTACACAAAGCACTCAGGATTCAATAAAATATCACCTCTGCAACAACAACATGAGCATGCCCTACTATTTTATTAATGCCTTCTTGAGTTCAGACAGAAGGGCCATGGGATTCCTGAATACACAGGCAACAAGGACAATGAGAACTTGATTCACCTCTGGTGGCAGGGAGACCTCTGAAGAGCAAAGGTAGAGAGTCAGAAATGGTCTCCCAGCCTCAGCGAGGAACACAACGCATGAAACAAGCTAATAAGCCTTTCTGTAGGGAATATTAAGTTCATCCTGAAGAATAGCTTAGATATCTGCATGCACAAAAGAAGGCTCCATCCCCAGCCCTCGGTTCTTTCCTTCCTACAGTCAGACCTCCAGGAGTCCTCTGCCCTTACAGAATCAACAATCCCTTCCTTATTTGTTTGCCTGGACTTCTAATTCTACATCTCCAGTCCAATCCTCTCACTTAGGCTCCTGCTTTCTCTCAAGGCAGTCCCAGCCTTCTCTCTTACTGCTTCTCCAACTCATACTTTATGCTGCAGCCTAACTAGAACCACCTGTCATCCTAGTTCAGGTTTGCAGAACTAGGTACTGAACTAGGCATTGTACAGTGTGCTGGTCCCAAAACATGTTTGAGCTTTCTTTCTTCGTGATTTTATTCAAGCTTTTATGTCTACCAAGAATGACCTGCCCCTACTACCCACTACCAAAATCCAACTTGACCCATCTTTCAGGGTCTAGCAATAATTCCATCTCCTCCTGGAAGTCTTTTCTGATATCCCTAAATACATATTTGTCCTCCCTCTCTCCTTCCTTATGTGCTACTGTTTCTTATAGTACATGATTTAGTACCCTTATGATTTCACCATTTGCCATTTCCTCATTAGCCCTTTACAAGCTTTTTAATGCTATGTCCATGTTGTACTCATCTTTACCTTTCATGCAAAGGGCTCTGCACAAAGAAAGCATCCAATAAACATTTGATCTACTATCTACCATATTTCTGCTCAGTCTTCTATCAACAAGAGGAAGTCTAGCATAGATGGCCTGGGTTCAGAATCCTGGCTCTCCTATTACAGCTTTGTGATCTTGGGAAAATTATTAACCTCTTTATACTTGAGTTTTCCCCTTTGTAATAAAGATGATACTAACAGTATTTATTTTTATATGATTATTATGGGAACTAAAATGAGTCAACATTTATAAAGTGTTTAGAACAGTGCCAAGTACGTATTAAGTGTCACATAAGTATTTGTTAAGTAAATAAAATAATTGACAAATGCATCATTTTCCTTCTTAAAATTGCTTTTCCTCATAATTTCTCCATTTTTGTTAATGGTGCTACTATTCTTCCCAGCTTTCCAAGATCAAAACCTTGACCCTTTTTTCTCCTTCATGCCTGCTACTCAGCTCATCACCAAGTCTCACAGATTCATGAAAGACACTGCCTAGTTTACCTGCCTCTTCCCCCAGTTTCCCTGGCTTCTAGGACTTTATAACCCCCTCATTGATCTCCAGAACATGCACCTCTACCCAACTCCAGTCCAGTATGAATTGTGTATACAAAGTATTTGCAAACATTCCTCTCTTTCTATCATATCCCTGCTCCAATACCTACAATGGCAACCTATCACCTCCAGAACCAAGTCCAAATTCCTTTGTCTGTCTCTACAGATCCTCTTTAATCTGGTCCTGCCCTCCTTTCCTAATCTTATCTCCCCTATATCTCTACCCCAACCATGCTAATCTCCTTGTGGTCCTGTAAAGACATCTGCTTGTTTCTACCTCTGCTGACATTGTCCTTTTGGCCTAGCACCCTATCCCCTATCTGCCTAAATCCTCCAAATCTATTCATTCAAGGCTAACCTCCAGTCCTAACTCTGTACTAGAAAATGTCCAGCCCTAATTAATCTTCTCGTTCTCTGAATCCTATAGTCTATTTTACCTTTTTGCAATTATTATATTTTGCTTTATGTCACTTGCTACTGATTCATGTGAGTTTAATATCCCCAAATGGACTGTAAACCTCTCAAGATCAAGATATATGATTACTAGACCTCCTTAGCATCCTTCAAAGAAAATAACCAATCAAGGAGCTTAAAAGAATCTCTTAACCAATATTTGATTTTGAACTTGCCTCTTACTTCCTTTTGGAGTCAGGAAGTGGAAAGAATGGGACTGCACACCCATCTAGCTGATCCTATATGCTGTGATCACAGATGGTGTGGAAACCCTACCTGGGGGATTTGCTATAGCCAAAAAGCCTGTTCTTTCTGTTGACAAACGCCAACAATCTCTGTAATCTAGGTTGCCATATGGTTCGCCCAGCCCTGTAGCAAAATTGGTTTCTCGGGAATATCAAAGAGACCAAGCAGGCCAAGTCTTCTATCTATGGAGTGCAGAGAGGTCACCTTGAGCTGACCCTACCAAAAACAGGAAGGCGCAGGACCTCCAAGGACAAGCCAAAGGTCAAACAGACGTAAAACTGACATCCCCTGAGAGACCTGTCAACTGAATGTACCCCTTCTCTGGAATCCAGAAACAGGCTCCCTCCCCCAAGACTCCTGAGACTACCCTAGAGGAACCCAGCTGGGCAGGGCAGAGGGACGAGGTTACCCTATCCTCACTGTATGGAGAGAGATGCCCAAAGTCATAGTTTTATTTTTGTTTTCATAGTATCTGGTCCTGAGGGTTACTAACAGAGTAAAACAATTTTTTTTTTTTTTTTGAGACGGAGTCTCGCTTTGTCGCCCAGGCTGGAGTGCAGTGGCGCGATCTCAGCTCACTACAAGCTCCGCCTCCCGGGTTCACGTCATTCTCCTGCCTCAGCCTCCAGAGTAGCTGGGACTACAGGCGCCCGCCACTAGACCCGGCTAAGTTTTTGTAATTTTTAGTAGAGACGGGGTTTCACTGTGTTAGCCAGGATGGTCTCGATCTCCTGACCTCGTGATCCGCCCGCCTCGGCCTCCCAGAGTGCTGGGATTACAGGCGTGAGCCACCGCCCCCGGCCAGAGTAAAGTGATTTTATCACCAAGCCAGTTGTCCTAATTTGGGAGGGACGATCCTCATTTTTTGATCAACTCTTCATCATTTCCCCACGCTCCCTCCTTTGTGGATTTCAAAGGCAGGAGGAGGTCAGTCCCCCATTATCTTCCTAAATTGCCCTAACCCCTCCCATCCAATTATCACAATCACAGACTTATGGAAGCGGCTCGGGTTTGAGACTCAGAAGGAAATACAGGGGAAGTCCAGCTTCAAGAAAGGAATTCAACATTTGAGACATCTAGATTGTCTCTCAACCCAGGATTTTGCTAAACTTTTCTAAGAAAAACTCTAAACCCATGCAGTCTCTATATTTTGAGGCTATTTTTATGCCACTTACCTAACAGGCTCAAACACTCTCTTCACAAGCTCTCACAGCTGAAGAAGAGACTACAATTTGCTGAAAACAAAAGCCCAGAATGTAAGTACAACCTGCTCAAGGCCATACAGAAAGCAGTGGACTGAGGCTGAACCCAGGGAGGCTGATTTCCAGGAAGGACTTTCATTATTTCAAAACGAAAAAAACCCCTGACAAGGCCTGATTAGTACCCTCTTCCTCAACTAAACACACATAGCCCAACACTCCTCTGGGCCACCTAAAAGCAGCTGCTGTCACTTCTGCTTGCTGGATTCAGACTGCAATTCTGCCATTCCTTTTCAACAGTCATGCTGTGCACATACCTGCCATCTCTGTAACACAGCAGAAGGCTCTAAGTATCAAGAGGGCCCTGGATAAATCACTTATGATAAATAAGCCTCGATTCTGAACCAGCTTTCCAGGCTATGTTCCTTGGGCATGGCACATGTAGGTACACTGCAGAGTCACACAGAAGAAACTGTTTCTTCACTCATTTTTCCCTCAGTTAATGTTTATTGAGCGCCTATTACGCACCAAGTACCATGAAGTTGATCGAGATACAGTAGTATAAAAAACAGCCATATTCTCCAATCTTGAATAATCTTTTCAAGGTGCTTCCCATAGAAGCTAATAAAGCACAGACTCAAATCCACATATCAGAGATTTGGCTTTTTTTCTAAAGTAACTGTCTCAATTTACTGCCTTCATATTTCTACCAATATATACATACCTAAGGTCAGTTTCCTTCCATGAGCCAGATGCTTATTCCCAATGGCCAGTTTTAATTCCAAGATAAAATCCTAAGGTCATTCTCTTCAAGTCACCCAGCAGTTGCTGGTTAACTTACATAAGGCACAAAAAGATAAAGAAGATACATCTTTTGCTGCAGCTCCATCTTGCACTCAGGAAGCTCACAGTCTGGAGGACCGCACACACACTTGCCCTCCTCCCCCATCCGACTATGCCAAGTGATAGACTAGGCCTTTATGTTTACAGAAGAGCAATGAACTGCTACAGAAACACAGGAGGCCATGATTCATTCCGACTGAGGGGATCAGAAAAAGCTTTGAGGAGAAGTGGAATCTCAGCTAAGCCCAGAAGGAAGAGGAGGCAAGAAACTGACTGAGAAGAGGAAATGGAAAGGCATACTAAGCCAAGGAAACAGAATGAGCAAAAGCACTAAAGGATACAAATGTAAAATTTGTTTGAAATTGTCAAGTAGATCATTTTAGCTATGGCAAAGAGTAAGTGTGAAAGAGTGGACTGAAGGATCACAGATAGGTAGGGGCCAAATTGTGGAAGGTCTTGCATGCCCTGTGAAGAAGTTGCTCTTTATGCCACAGGAAATAGGAAGCTATTGAAGATTTTGGGGTTGGGAAGAGATAATTACTCTGTTTTAGAAAGTGAATTCTAGCAATAGATAATAGAAGAGAACAGAGAGTCTGAAACTAGGGAATTCCATTTACAGCCGCTAAGGCAGGCTAGGTGAGATGTAAGTATCCAACTAGAAGCCAGGCACAGTGGCACATGACTGCAGGCCCAGCTACTTGGGAGGCTGAGGTGGGAGGATTGCTCAAGCCCACGAGGTCCAAGCTGTAGTATGCTATTATCACACCTGTGAACAGCCACCGTACTCCAGCCTAGGCAACACAGTAAGATCTCTTCTCCAGAAAAAAAAGAAAAGAAAAGAAAAGAAAGAAAGAAAATAAAAGTTCCAACTAGAGCATCATGAATGAAAAGAATTGGATTGGGGAGACTTTGCAGTAGTAAAAACTGTCATGACTCGTCAATGTCCTCTATACAGAGGATAAGAGTGAAAAAAGAGTCAAAGATGATTTTGACATTTCTAACAGCTTGGAAGACTAGATAAATGCTGTTATTTAGGATAGGAGTGTCCTAAACATAACAGGGTATGGCAAGAAGATATTGAGCTCAGTTTGAGAATTTTTGAATTATATCTTTTGTTAAGACCCCGGAAAGATCAAAGGCAATGCCTCGAAGAATGTTTGAGACAAACAAAAGTCCTTCCGTGGGTCTTTTTTGTTTTTGTTTTTGAGACAGGGTTTCACTCTGTCCCCCAGGCTAGAGTGCAGTGGTGCAATCACAGCTCACTGCAGCCTCAACCTCCCAGACTCAAGTGAGCCTCCTGCCTCAGCCTCTAGAGTAGCTGAGACCACAGGCATGCTCCACTATGCCTGGCTAATTTCAAAAAAAAAAATTGTAGAGATGAGGTCTCCATATGTTGCCCAAGCTGGTCTCAAACTCCTGGGTTCAAGCAATCCACCTGCCCTGGCCTCCCAAAGTACTGGGACTACAGGCATGAGCCACTGCACCAGGCCTCTCCATAGATCTTAAGAATGTGCCCCACAGATCCTTTCTATTAAATAATAGGAATTCTACAAATCTTAAAGAGCATTATCCCACTGCAGCTTCAGAGGGAACTCAAAGTAGAGAAGAGCTTATGTTAAGAAGATTCGTGGGCGTGGCTTTTGTCTAAGGCAGTAAACCCCAATAGGATTCACCGGAAAAACCATACACTTTTTAAAAGAAGTATATAGTAGTCCCCCCTTATCTATGGTTTCACTTTCCACGGTTTAATACAATAGGATATTTTGAGAGAGAGACCACATTCACATAACTTTTATTACAGTATATATTGTTATAATTGTTCTGTTATTATTATGTGTTGTTAATCTCTTACTGTGCCTAATTTATAAATTAAACTTTATCATATGTATGTATGTGTAGGAAAAACATAGTACATATAAGGCCTAGTACTATCTGTGGTTTCGCACATCCACTGGGGGTGGAACATATCCCGCATGGATTGGGGGGACTACTATACTAGCAGGAACATCACCAGCTTGGATGAAAAGGGACATCTACAAGTAGGAAGCAGGCTGAGAAAACTGCTTAGCTGCAAACACAGGCTACATGTTATGGGAAAAAAAGAGTAATTCAGAGGACAGAACCAGGAGCCACAGGGTAGAACAACAAACAGTGAAGAATCATTCCCAGGCAATAGGACTGAGCCCTACTCACATGCCAGGCTGGATTTCAAAACTGCTAGGGACTAGCGACTAATGTTGCCCTCCTTTCTAAATGGAATCATCTACTGTAGATAGAAAATTAAAGAGACATGACAACTAAATGTGATGTAGGATTCTAGATTGGGTCCTGGACCAGGAAAAGGCCATTAGTAAGACAACTGGCAAAATTTCAATAAGGTCTATAGATTAGCTAATAGTATTGCATCCGTACTATTAATGTCCTGGTTTTAATCATTTTACGTGTTGTGTCATTTGAGGAAGCTAGGCAAAGAGTATTTAGGAACTCTGTACTATTTTTGCAACTTTCTTGTATTATAATAAGTCTGAAATTATTTCAAAATCTGAAGAAAAAAATAAAAATAGTCATTTTAAAATGTAAGTGTTACCAATTTTTTAAAACAGGCATCTGTAGTAGTTATCCCAAATCTATCCCAGTGTTGTATTTGGTGTGGAGGACAGATAACTTGTCTCTTGAGTTCACAGTCTTCAGATCAAGAGGAGCAGTACTCGAGTTGCTATACCCACGGAACTGCATTGAGGAGTCTCAACTACACATAGACCTGATTGAGACGATGAGACCCTGGCTCCTGAACCTGAGCCTGATGCCATAATAGATGACACATTGGCCAGGGGGCCAGGGGGAGGTTTTGGGTGGAGATGAGTATATTTTTCATGTGTGAGGAATATAAATAATTTGTGCCAGAGGTCAAACTGTAATGTCCACAAATTCTTTGACCGTCCTTCCACCAAAAGGTGGTGTGTAATTCTCCTCCCCTTGAATCTGGTCAGGTCTTAGTAACTCTCTTCTAACAAGCAGAGTGTGGTGGATGTGATGCTATGTGACTTCTGAAGCTAGACCCTAAGAGACAATAGAGCTTTTATCTGGCCCTCTCTTGGGATGCTTATTCCTGGGCCTAGCCATGGTACTGTGAGGAAACCCAGGCAAGGTCCTTGGTCCTCAGACCCGGCTACACTCCCAGATGAAATTCCAGCCAGAATTATATGCTTGACATGTCAGAGAAGAAACTTTGAAATGACCTTGTCGCAACTAGTGTCTGACTGTTCAGCCACCATCTGACTAAAATACATGAAAGATACTAAACCTCCTAGCTGAGCCCCTCAATTCCCAGGACTGTGAGAGATTATAACAAATAACTGTTGCTGTGTTAAGCTATTCCATTTTGGGGTGTTTTGCCATACCACAATCGATAACTGCCATAGGCAGGTAGAAACTGGGACTCAAAAAAATTAAGGGACTTTTCCCAAGTTCACACAGCGAGTAAGAAACACAGTCAGGAACAGAGTCACATACCCATCCGAATCAAAAGCCATTCTCTTTCCACTAATGACAGACATGACAGTAATTGCAGCTAGCCTGCATTGAATGTTTTCTATAAGAAGGCACTGTTCTCTAAGCACTTCATGTGGAGTAACTCACCAAATGTTCATCACAATGCTATAAGGTAGGTATTACTGTGAGCCCCATAATATAGTTGGGAAACCTGAGGCACAAAGAGGTTCATTAATTTTCCCCAGGTTATCCAGCTAGTAAGTCACAGAGTAAGGACTCGCCTTTAAAAGTCAGCTCCAGGCTGAGGCAGGAGAATTGCTTGAATCTGGAAGGCGGAGGTTGCAGTGAGCTGAGATCGTACCACTGCACTCCAGCCTGGGTGACAGAGCAAGACTCTGTCTCAAAAAAAAAAAAAAAAGCTCCAGCGTGCAGCTGTAACCATTCTGCTATGAACAGATGAAATCTTCAAATCAGATTTCATAAATTGAGAGGAGAACCAAGGACAACCCCTAAGGGACTGTACCCTCTACAAAGTGGTCAAAAGAAGACATGGTGATTGAATGACCTGAGAAAGAAGGGAGAGGGGAAAGAGGTGTGTCAGAAAACCAAACACTATGACAGCATTCCTGGAGGAACCCATGGCAGGATCCACAAACCAGCTTCAAATTTTAAGGCTGACTGGGTCAACTGCAAGCCAACCATAAGGCTCCCCTCCCAAAGCCACATTGCTAGTAGCAAACTCCTCCACAGAAAGTAATCTTTGAACCCTAGAATGGAGAGTTATGTCATTGGATTACTCCCTGAGTCATGTGGACAGAGCAGCACTATTGATCGCCCTTTTCTCCCTCTTACAATGACAACACTCACTCCTACTCTGGAAGGATTAGGCTGTTATTTAACTTCAGACATGAGAAAAGTAAACTCTTATACTTATAAAAATATATATGGTTCATGACCTTGACCCAAGGAAGCCCATCAAACCCACTGGGACTCTTTACCAACTCAATGTTTTCTTTTAGACAGAGCTCCCTAGGATGCACTAGTTTTAGGTGATCCCTTTACAGAACTAATCAAAACCAATGCCTTTAACTTTTTTACCTCTGTACGACAAGCTCTGGATGTAAGGCAGACCATTCACCAGAGGCCCTGAGGCTGTAACACCACACAGGAGAAGCGCAAAGCCCACATTGTCTGTGGGCATAGGTGAAGCAGGGGCAAGCCTGGCAGAGGTGAAAACAGCACTTCCAAGGGAACCAGTCTCAGCTCCAGCTCCCGCTTGCCCTTTCAGTTGACTGAGTGTAAACCATACACAGTGGAAACCTACTCAGATAATTTACACAGTAAGAAACAAATACGGAAAGCTCACTTCCAATCTGGGAGCCACCCATGTGCCTCCCTTCAACTTACAAATTAGATTCTTTCCAGCAGAAAGACCTTTCTCCTTTCTCTCAGAGGTGGTGGTGTCTGGCTCTGCCCAGATGGTAATACTACTTGGCTCTACATGGTGGGATTTTCTTAGCATTGGCCTGAATCACCTGGGCTGAGCTCTGGAGGTGCCATCTGAAAGGAATCTCTGTCAGTACTTGGCCAAGACAACTTAATGTATATGTTACTAAGAGACCAGTGAATGTTACTAGCCTTTTTGGAGAAAGGATTCCTTTTGAAAATGAGACCTAGAATTATGGAAGATGACTTCTGGAAAAAAAAACTCCATGTTATGTCCAAAAGAATCCAACCTAAGGGAAACTCAGCCAGATTTACTGGATTTGGTCCCACCCTCATCCTATCCCAGGATTATGCCTACCTCCCCATTAGGCCTGTCAGACCTGAGGTCTAAGGAAGAGTTGGGAATTTTATACCAAAAATTTCTGGAAATTTTCCTGATTCTTGACAATGGGGGCTGAAGAACGGATGTTACATTCAGAGAAGAGCAATTCTATCAGCAGGCCTAAGCAGAAAGGAAGGAAGCCAGGTGGGATGAAGTGGGAGAGGTGAAGCCTCAGGTAAGAGAGGGTCAGAAGTAAAACCCATACAAACAGACTGTGAAAAAGAAACCAACCAACAGTAAGCAGTCTGACAGGCTGTCTTTGGAAGTCCCAGAGTCCTTTAAAAGAAACTCTTCACTTATGGGCCTTGGATTCAGCCTGTAACAACCGGATCCTGTAATGGTCTGAGACTCCTTTCTTTCTTTTAAAAAAATTTTTATTTTCACTATTTTTCCCCTAAAATCAAATCAACCAATAACAATGCTAGAAAAGTTGCCCTGGATGCAGCCTTGCTGTTTTCTCTCATCCAGAGACAGGGATTCAGACATGACAGATCATCTGCTTAATCACTACCTGTTCGATCCTGACTGGTAAATAAACCCTCCTCTCTAAAGCCATACAAAGTAACTCCAGAAAAGAGGCATCAGTGGGGCAGTGCTTAAGAAATCTATTGCTGGTCTAAGCAAGTGCGGCAAGGTGCTGTATTAAGATCATACCTATGGCCAAAGGCACCAGTGGAAGGGACTCAGACTTAAGGATGCTGAGTGCCAGAGCCTTCTGAAAGGTGGTGTCTAACAGTCCTTGGGAACTTGGAGCTGGAGGAGAAGCCCACACCCTACCCAATACTTCAGCCAAGCAGACATGGCAGAAAATGCCTCATTTCAAGGGAATGGTGTAAGAATGAACATGCCAAAGGAGAAACATTAGGAGAAAGGATTGAGCTCCCACCACCCCCTTTCAAAACAAAAACCAGTGATCAAAGGACCAGCACTGGCCTCCAGAAGCCCCCAAATTGTCTACTAGGCAAAAAGGTGCTACTCCTAATTCGTGATCTCAGCTTACTACAGAAAAGGAACCTGGTCATACCTCTTACCTCTGAAGGTATTCAGCCTGAAGCATGAACAGGCCAGATTAAGAGTGTAGCTAGGCATTCCAGTGAGAGACCAGAATAAGGAATATCCAAAAAGCTCAGGTGGCAAGTGAAACTGGTAAATTTTGCAGAATGCCAACTAACCAAAACACAGAAAAAGAACACAAGCCAAAATATTGACATACATGAGGAAAAGTACCTAGAAATCATTCTAAAACTCAATAAAAGAGGACAATTACTTGCAAGAAAATAAAGAAACTATGGACTATTGAGAGAAAAAAAAAATAGAACTGAAACATGACCAAGAAGCAAAATTCCGCCCTCATCAAAATGTCCAAAGGTACTTTCCATGGTTGTCCCTTAGCCTGGGCTGTCATTTGATGAATCTTGAAATGTGTCTAGGAAAAAAGTGGGCAGTAGAGAAAGCAAATGCTCCCACTGCTCCCTTTTTACTTGGCAATACCAGCAATCAAATATTAACTTCACCATATTTTAAATTACTGCCCCTAAAGATCTTACCACCAGGTAAACGAGATAAGATACTGGCCCATCAAAAGATAATTAGCAATGTGTGGCATTAAATGATAAGTGTTATATACATAATATAGGCCACAAATACTAGGACTTTAAGAATAAGAAAAAATAAACACTACTTCTTGAGGTCAGGGGATTGATGGCCAGCCAAGGACCTGAGGGGTAATAATAAACAACAAATATTTAAAGGAAGAACCCCCAAATATATTACTTTCTGTGTTTTCATTTTCTGTAAAACGAAGATAGTGATAGCACTTAATATAATTGTATGGGTATTAAATGAGATCATGCATGTAAAATAATTAGCAGTCTTTGTCCTACAAACACTTAAAGAGTAAGTTTCATACTTTCATCAGGTTTCACATATCAATTAATTATTTAAAATAAAAATAAAATCACACAAACTCAAAAAATGTCACCTGTTACATGATCACATCTCTATTCCTCTGACCTTGGGAAGCCACCAGATATATTACAACTCACTACAGAAACAAGAAAAGGATGAATGATTCAGTGTGAACCCACTCCCAACCCTGGAAACCCCCAAATCAAAGCAGGATGAGTCAAGGACCCTATCTGAAAATAAGGAAGCTTTCAGCCATTTTCCAGGGACTTTCAGCAACTTCTCCTGACAACAGTAAAAATGTAAGATAAGACCTACCGAAGTCAAAGAGCAATCCTGGCAGGACTCCAGAACTTGGTTCACCCCACCAGTATGATGGGAGTTTGAAAGAGACACTGTGAGTATGGGTCTTAGTCCTCCCATTTGTGAAACAGAGAAAAACAGTATCTATCTTCAGTCTTCTCGAAAAATTGACCAGCACGTACCCATGAGCACATCAAGATCTGTGGGCTACTTGGGATCTCCACAGAATGAGCATTCATATCCTGGGACTCACAAGGGTGTCTCCACAATGTGACCACACACATAACCCATTCTCTTCTCACCACCACCTCCACCAGATCCAGCCCAATAACTCTCAAGTTGAAACAAATGGGAATATCTGGGTGAAAAACATAGTTGTTCATAAAACTGTTTCCTCTTGCCTCCCCCTGGTCTGCTTCTGGAACTTAATATTTTCATTTACCTAGTCTTCCTGCTCACATTGGTTAATAATTAACATTTTTCAATCAAGTGATATGTTAATTATTTTACATGCATTATTACATTTAATACTCATAGCAATTCTATAAAGTGCCATCACTATCTTCATTTTACAGGAAACTAAGATGCAGAAAGTAACTTGCCCAATATCACCCAGCTGGAAAATGCAAAAGACGGTTTCCTTTTTTTTTTTTTTGACATGGAGTCTCGCTCTATCACCCAGGCTGCAGTGCAGTGGCGCGATCTTGGCTCACTGCAACCTCTGCCTCCCAAGTTCAAGTGATTCTCCTGCCTCAGCCTCCCCAGTAGCTGGGACTACAGGCCTGTGGCACACCACACCCAGCTAATTTTTTGTATTTTTAATACAGATAGGATTTAACCATGTTAGCCAGGATGGTCTCGATCTCCTGACCTCATGATCCACCTGCCTTGGCCTGCCCAAGTGCTGGGATTACAGGCGTGAGCCACCATGCCCGGCCACAAAAGATGGTTTCTAAACCCGGGTCCATCCAGAGCTCAAGCTCTTAGTCATTACACAGTTTTGGGTCGACTTTTTTTTTTTTTCTGAAGGAAGGGCAGCTATGAAAAACTTTTAGCTAAAATCATACTTAATCATGAAAGTCTGAATGTTTTTCTGCATGAATAGAAAAAGAATGTCTGCTCTTACCACTTCTATTCAACATTGCACTTTGGCAGTCCTAGCCAGTGTAATAAGGCAAGAAAAAGAAACAAATGAGAAACAGATTAGAAAGGAAAATATAAATGTCTTTTTTTCATTGACCACACAATTATGTACATAGAAAATCCCGATTAATATACAAAAAGAAAGTTAATAGAACAAATAAGTGAATGTATTCAGGTCACAACATACAAAGTCAATATATGAAACAAAACAAAACAATGATATTTCTACACACTACAATGAGTAACTGAAAAATGAAATTAAATGAATAATACCATTTATAATAACATGAATAGAATACCATAGCAAAAAAAACCACGAAACTTCCAGCTAAATTTAACGAAATATGTGCAAGACCCATTCACTGAACTACAAAATGTTACTGAGTTACTTTTAACCTAAGCCTTCAAATACTACTTACATAATTAAGAATAATTAATCAGTCTAGCATTCAAGACTGATTAAAATATCACCCTAGGCTGGACGCAGTGGCTCACACCTGTAATCCCAGGACTTTGGGAGGTCAAAGTGGGAAGATCACTTGAGCTCAGGAGTTCAAGACCAGCCTGAGCAACATGACGAAACCCTATCTCTGCAAAGAAAGGAAGACAATATCACCCTAATCTACCTCTCCAGGCTCCTCATTTTCATTCCCCTTTCATTTTGTTTTTTGTTTTTTATTATTCCATAAACATCCCCCCTCTGCTACTGAGAATGCTGCTCTTGCTGCATGAAATAATCAATTGATTCATCTCTATCCCCAAACTACTCTCACCTCAACTATCTCTGATTATTGGAAACCCTTCTCAAACTACTTCTCCAAGAAACTTTCTTTAATCTTCTAACCAGATATTATCTTTCTTTCCTTTTTGACTCTTCTCCTCCTCCCAAAAGCACTATGTTGGCATATTTTACAGTGTTTATCATATTCTAAGTTAAATTACTGTTATATGATTGTAAGCTCATCAATGATGGTGACTGTATCTGATGCAGCTCCTCTAAAGTAACTTGTTCTTTACACAGAATATATATTTAAATATTTGTTGAAGCAAACATTGAAAAGATTGAATTAAAAGAAAGTTATTTTTGTAATAAAACTTTTGGGATACCAAATTGCATCACTGTCACAATAGAATTCATGATGTCCTGACTTTTGCATGGGCTGGACCAGATGTTTAGCCATTTTGTGACCTTCCTCTCATTCAATTCTGAGGAATGTCAATTCAGCTTGGCTTCTGTTAGTTGGATCAATATCAAGATCAAGACCAAGTAAAACATCCCAGCATAAAGGACAAAGACAGATCCTCAGTCTTTATATAACAGATCAGGGAAAGAAGGTGTAAGGGAGCCAGTGTCCTCAGCACAGGGCAGGAAACTGTGAATGATAAACAGAACCACTGTGGATTCTGTTTCTGGGGAGAGAAAAAAAAAAGTAATCTGATCATCACATCTTGGAGGTCTGCGTTGCTTGCAGAATACAGAAACTTTCTACAGTACCTGTGCCTCTGCTGCTCTAGAAACATCTGCAAGGGTAAATGAAATGTTAACCACCAGTCCTGCCCCACACTCAGGAGGCTAGCAGCACAATCAGGTCCTGAACAGAGGCATAGAGCAGAGCTGACAGGCTCCGGAAGTGTCAGGCCTCTGTCCCAGAGAAGGTCCCTGGAGAGGCCATTTGGATCTTCCTGCATATACAAAGTGGGAAGGGAATGTTACTGTAGAATGGAGCTCATATGCCACACTCTCCCAACTAGCCAGAGAAGGAAGGCTCCTTAATTTAACTTCATTTCATAATTATCAAAAACATTATAGCTGATTAGCAGCAATTAATCACACTCCATAAGTGCAAATTTGTCTTTTGACCCCAGACTGGCAAAAGCTTCCTAGCTCTTTGCCTGGGTACAGAATGTCCTTTCATGTCATCCTAATACCTTTTAATCGTCCTCTATGTGTGCTTCAGTTCTTACAACCTGACATGGAGCTCTAGTTCAGCAAGATTCATCTGCGTGTATTACTGTTTTTAAAGAAGTCTACTTTAATTAAATATAAAAGTCATTGTTCAAACTTGTCATAATTTAGCACTTCTACCGATTAATTCATCTACTTTCCCTAGTTTCCTAAAGAGTTGCCTGTATCATCTCTTGAAATTCATAAACTGGACTTATTTCTATGTACAAATTCGAAAAAGTAAGTGGGAGGAGAGGGTTAATTTGCTAGCAACAAGTAAGACAGAAATCCCCACACCATATACACCCATCCATCCAAACACAAAATTTGGGGGAAATTTCTTTTACTTTTAGTGCAAATTATACTAACAGCACTTCAGATCTTGCAAAGAAAGATCTAAGAACAAGTTGTTGAAAACTGCACTGGGGAAACTTCAATGATACTGATATCACCATTCCTTTCACAAATTTTCAAAATTGCCAAATGCCACTAAGCAAACAGCGCTTAGAGGGTTAAGACTTCTGCTGCTTTGATATTTGCATATTTACTTTTTTCCTATGTATCCAAATGGCAATTCCCTGATCCTCTGAAATTTTAACACTATGTTCCAATCAGTTACTTTAAACGTACTTCAGAACAGTATTCAGGTAGCTAAATTCCCTGGGATTGTACCAGCTGTGCATGAATATGGTCAAAATCAAACTCTTCATTGACAACTGCGGTCTCTGTCTTCTGAATGAAAATCAAAGCAATCATGCACTGTGGAGTTTTCTCTTTTTGTCTGTGAAATCATGTGATCTCCCACATGGACTCTACTGTGAGATCACCAAGCGTGTGAAACAATAAGAATTGCTGTATGGGTTGAGATGCAGCCCTAAATCTCAGTGATAAACCTTTGGATCTCTCCTTTGAGCATCCCAGTTAAGACTTATACAATGTATTGTCAGGGAAAACTTAACGGCAAAGTATCTGAAAAATAAGTTGGTATTTTCATTCCTGAGTCCAGAATTATATTTGTGAGGTAAGGTATTGAGGAGAAAAGAGGATCCTTTAATAGATACTTGAGATAGAGGACTCAGAGATCACTGGAACTAGGTAGATAAGATCTTGGGCCAGGTTAAGAAAATATGTATTACCTGGGAAGAATTTACCACAAAATTGGCTTAATGGCAAAATTAACATTCTCCCTCTGTTGAAAGAAAATTTAAGACTACTTTGGGCCGGGCGCGGTGGCTCACGCCTGTAATCCAAGCACTTTGGGGGGCCAAGGCGGGTGGATCACGAGGTCAGGAGTTCGAGGCCAGCCAGGCCAAGATGGTGAAAACCCGTCTCTACTAAAAATACAAAAATTAATCGGGCGCGGTGGCGGGTGCCTGTAATCCCAGCTACTCAGGAGGCTGAGGCAGGAGAATTGCTTGAACCAGGGAGACGGAGGTTGCAGTGAGCTGAGAATGTGCCACTGCACTCTAGCCTGGGCGACAGAGCAAGACTCCATCTCAAAAAAAAAAAAAAAAAAAAGACTGCTTTGAAAAACATTGTGTTTTTAGAGAAACACACACTTCAAGAATAAATTATTCCTGAATATTTTACCACAGAGCCTTAAAGCGGGGTAGCTGAGAACAGGGATTAAGAAGGAAACTTTTCATCATATATTTTTATGTATTTTCTGAATTTTGAGCCATATAAATGTGCTACAGCTCCAAAAATATAAATATAATTTTATAAAGAAAAAACTAATTGATATTAGGAAATAAAATTAAAATGCCCTAGATAAAACAGGATAGTAAAGGGGAAGCACACTTGCTTTGATTAGGGGCCGAGAGGAAGTTAGTCACCTAGATTGTTAATATACCACCATCCCTAGCTCTCAAACTGTTTGTTAATTCAAACCGACGGTTGTTTTATTTTTGTTTAAATTTGGGGGTGGGCAAGTAGTAATCTACCTTCCAAAAGAAAAAAAAATAAGAGGGTCTTTTCCAGCAAGATCTTTATTCTCCAGTGCTCAAATCCCATTAACACTAATCAGCACAATGATTAAGCACATTGTGGTTAAGTACTCTAGTTGATAATGATTCTTTCGGAAGAAAGGTTCCCATAGCGACAGGTAAAGGCTATCATCAAACTCAGCTTTTCAGCACAGGACTTGATGTCACAGGTCAGAGAGTTAAGATTGTTTTAGTTTTAATCTGGAGGCTTTCTTTAACTTCACTTGACTTTATCCATTCAAATGACACTGATGGAGAGTCCTTCTATAAACCAGGCAAAGTACGAAACGCGGCAGGGCAGGAGAACTAGGAGAAAGAAGACCTCAAAGATAAGCTATTGTTCCTACCCCAAGAATGCAGTCTGCCGAGGAAAGCAGCCACTACAAGAAATAATGACATTAGGGTGGTAATTCAATCGTTAAATCTACAACCATGCCTTGTCCTCATCACTAGGACTGGTCAGTTTCTAATCTAGTTTCACTTTCCCATCTTCAAGCTGCAGCACAGCTGGGTTTCCAGCTGGCTGGGGAAGAAAAGATTCTTTAAATAAACAGCATTTAAAAAATATGTAGTCGCTTTTGCTATACTGAATTTTGTGAACCACCTTTCTCTAATATGTGAATCTGGGTGCCACATTAATTTAAAACTATCCTAAAGAATGTAAAAATCCTTAGGAATACACCTTTCCTTGTAGCAACAAAGTACACTATACACTGGAAAACTGCTAATCAGGAAATCCCAAAGAAAGAAATGATCTTCATTTTTTATGCTATTTACTGCATCTATTCAATAAGGAAACTGCTTAAAAACATGAATATAAGAAAACAACAAGATAGGGTGTAATTATACCAAAATATATGCAACCATCTTTTAAAATGCAGGACTATTTGCAGAACATGATGTTTTTATAACATTGTACAGAATTGCTAATCCCTGCAAGGCCTTTCTAACTCTTTTTCCTCGCCTTTCCACAGAAGGCACAGAAAACACCTCCCTCCATACAATGCAATCTTCTAAGAAATGCAAAGATTTTACTCAACTCTATCACCAGATGTACTCTTTCTGGATAAATGATACACATTAGATATGTAAAAATATCACTCTGGCAGGTCTTGCTCTTCCAGAAAGACCCCTGTCTACCTTTCCCCACCTTAGATCACAGACTTCAAGTCAACATTTCATGGTGGAAACGAGCCATTTATGAGGACTGATAAGAAGAGGTCCAGTGTGACCTCCTGCATTGATGCTCCTGAGGCCAATTTTTAAACACAATATTATCCCTCCATATTTTGCCCCCCTCCAAAAAAAAACCCACGGGCTTTCTAGGTGACTTCCCAGAGAACCACACCTCTCAGAACCTACACACACTCAGACCTGAAACTAGCTAAACAAAGCAACAATGCAACCTCAGTTGCTCAATGTAACGGCCATGACGACAGTTTCCAAGTGCCAGTTTCCCTATTTTGCAATGGGCAAATCTGCTCCAAGGAGAAAATGTTCCCAATGACCCTGTGGCCCAGAGGGCTTTCTTTAGAATAGAAAACAGAAAATGAATTTGTTAGTTATTTCCTGCTAAGCACAAGGACAGTGTTGTGGTTAGTTAGGATGATTTTGTTTCCTTATTTAATATAGCATTACCAGTACATGTTTTCTTTAACCACATAGTAGAAAACAAGAAAATGCAGTTTATGCTCTTCTGTTATATTATCACCAATTCCACAAGTCTCACAAATATGTCCTTTAATTTCTAATCCCCTTATATAAGGCTCCCCAAAATGGTACCTATTTATATACTTCCCTTTGAATATCAATTCAAAGCAATTTTTTTTTGCATTCTAAAATGTTTACTGCCATACACATTCCTGATCCTTGATAATTTGTGATATGTGAGGGCCCTTCCTTTACCAGTGATTGCAGTTCTAAATGTATCTTTTTAAGAACTATACTACACATGCTATTTTGATAATATGAGATGATCATAACCTAGAAACAGACCATATTTCTGCCCCTCAAATCTTTCATGATTTCTGCATTCAACTGTTAAGCTACTGAATACCCACTAGAACAAACAATGTGTAATTGATAAGGTGTATTGTGTTGGGGGAAGGAGAAAGTAGGAGGAGGGAGACAAGGGAGCAGAGAAGCCAGTTACTCTATGGGGTTATCTGACAAAGACCATCAAGTCCTCAGCGGCCCAGACTAGGGATTATGTGGAGATGTACACTGTGCAAATGCAGGAGCAACTCACCAACAACCAAACAGAAGCTGTCCTTGGACAAGATTCAATAAATATTTTTACTATCTATTTTCCACTGTACAATACTGTTTCACAGCTCCCCAAGGCATCTCAGAGTATTTTAATACTCCCCAAGTATCAAAATACTTAATAGAATAAAAAATTAGAAATTCTTAGCTGGTCTCTACTTGTCTTTATAAAACATTTCAGAACATAAAACCAATAATAAAAAGCAGTCAACAATATTCCTAAGGATAATGTCAGAGCGATAAACTGCTGTTATCCCCCAAAGTTTTCCCCTCCTTATTAAGACATTGCCAAGATTCTTCTCATTAAAGTGATCACAGTTTAACATAGTTAGTGTCTAGATATACTCCCATCACTAAACTCCTAAAATTTGCCTCCTGAAGGGGGTGGGGGAGGAAAGCTTCCAAAAATCATAGGTATCGATCTAGAAAGATGAAGGCAGCAAAACTTACTATAAGCTGTTACACATATTTTGCTACTCAAACAAAGCCTGTCTACACTACCCAGAATCAGTTGGTAAAACTGGTAAACATACCAACTTCTATGAGAGTACAGGACATCTATCATAATTCAGCGATTACACAGTCCAGCAAGTCATACCGCATGCCAACAAATTCAGCTTTAGTTGGGACAAAACGAAACCTCAATTTGAATAAGCACGAGACAGGCTTACACCAAATACTCCAGTGTGGGACAATTTGATTTGAAATATCTTACTAAGAAGTAAGTACTGGATTCAGGGACAAGAAGAAAAAGCTCTTAGACTGACATTTCTTTGACTTTTGACATGGGAGACTTCCATTCCCAGCTGCAGAGATCTACAGATTTCAGTGTTTTGTTTCTAATCACCTGCATTCCTGTGCAGCATCCAACATCATGAAGATGAGAGATGCAGTCAAATACATCCGGCGAGTAAGACGTTAGAGCTGAACTTAAAGCATTCAGCAGAAGTTACTCTCTTTCATCATCATCACAATCAACAGACCTTGTAATTCCCCCAGAAACAGCTAAAAAAAAAAAAAAAAAAAGGTGTCTGCTTGCTAGTCTTAAGAGAAGGATGTGCTACCTGCTTAGCAAAGACAGGCAATCACGATGAAGAAAAAAACTGGAGCCACATGGAGGACGGAAAACAGTAGCAGAAAAAGTCCAACTCTGCCTGCGCCAGCGGTGTGGATGAGCAGAGCAACGAGCCCAGGAGAGGAAGGAGGGGGCGGGGGCGACCATTCCCTAGGAGAACTTGTAAGCGGAGGCCTTCACAGCCTGGGAGTCTGCCCAGCTGCTCCCGCAGACCCTGCCAGCCTGGGCACGGCAGGCCCGCGGCAGCAGGGCAGGCAAGGCCTCCGAGGGTCACTCCTGACTCACTGAGCCTCAGGCCAGCACCGCCAGGACCTCTCCGTTTTTCCTTCCGCTACTGGGCTATGATGGCAGCTTTCCAGCCCCACATGCCATACATCAGCCGCAGATCCCCGCTGGCACAGGCCAGCGCCTCCCTCCGCCCCCCACCCCTGGCACACTTTGAGCCTGATCCTTCTTCTCTCCAACCCCAACCCCCTCACCCACCCGTGCCAGGCGCCCTGCCCAGGGGCGGCCCCACCCCCCCAGCGCCCGGACGCTGCCAGGCCCGGGCACCTGCAGCACCTCCCCGCCCCACCCCCATTCTCCACCACCTCGCCCCTCCCCCCTTTCTCCAGCAAAGGGAGGGGGCGACTCACCGCAGTCAGTGCACAGGATCTTGCCCACCTCTTTCTTGAGATTTTTGCCGTTGGTATCGAGGGGGGCAAAGGCCGTCTTAAAGACTAAGGGCTGTTCCGTGGGCTCCAGGAAAAAGATGTAGCGCTGGTTCCTTTCGAGCGGCACACAGGAGCCCACGCTGATCACCTGCTCGCGCTGCAGCCCCCCGCTCCGGAGCGGCCACTTGTCCAGCACCTTTACCAACGCCACCCGACCCGAGGCGGGCGGCTCTCGGGTGCTGTTGGAGCTGGAGCCGCCGGCTGGGACCAGCCCCTGTACCTTGCCCTCCACCACCACGGGTGCCTTGTACGCCTGGTCCTGCACTGACTTGAGGCTGGGCGAGTAGCAGGCGAGCGACACACCGAAGAGCAGCATGGAGAAGCCGGGGGCCGGGTCGCGCCTCATGCCGCCGGCGGCTGCGGCTCGCGAACGGGCGGCGGCTCTCCGGGCTGCGGGGCTGCGGGGCTGCGGCTGTTGCTGCGGCCGCGGCTCTGGGGGCGCAGCGGGACGAGAGATGCTGCTGTTGTTGCTGCTGCTCCTGCTGCTGCTGCCGCTCTCGCTGCTGCTGCTGCTGCTGCTGCTGCTCCTCTCGCTGCTGCTGCTGCTGCTGTCGCTGTAGCTGCTGCACCGACCCTTCTCCAGTGGCGGCGGCGGCAGCGCTGAGCAGCAAACCTGCCGCATCTGGCCAGGCCATTTGGGGGGCTCCGCCGCTCAGCCGCCGCCGCCTTGGGAGGGGAAACAGAGCCCGCTGGAAAACCGGAAACAGCGTAACGTTAGCGCCTCTTAGCCCTCCACCGGCAGCCCGGGGAGGTGGCCCAGCTAGGGCAGGGGGCAGGCGGCAAGCGGGCCGCGATGCGCAGCGCGGCGCAGCGCAGCGCTCCCACCCTGTGCGCCAGGACCTGGAGGAGGATGCGGAGGATGGGACGCCCGCCCACTTGCTCTCTCGCGCCCCCTCTGCCCCCGGACCGAGTAGGGAGCGCGGCTTCTGCAGGGGAAGCTTGGGACTGCACTGCTTTAGTGCCCGCCTTCAGCCCGCAGGGGCGCGGGAGGAATCGTGCCACCCTTTGCTCCCGGGATTTATCGGCATGACAGTGGGGGTGGTGCGTGAGGAGAAGGCGAAGAAGAGATAACGGGCTCCTGGCACCATCCTATGAACGTGGTAATGGGACGCAGGGCGTGCCCCCTGCCTTTGGCCAGCAGCTGTAGGAGCCAGAGAGGTTGCCATGGCCAGGGTGGCCGGCCAGCCTCTCGCCTCTTGGGCTGTCCTCTTTCCTAGGAGGACCCTGGAGCCCAGCCCCTAAATGATACCACGTGCTCGGTCCTGCCACCGCCTGGTGAACGCTGGATATTCGACTTGAGGTGGGGGAGAATCCCAGCCCCGTCATTTTGGAAAGAGTTGGGCCACAAGGTGTCTTGTCTTAGCATTGAGGACACCCAAGCAGAGGTGGTAGCTGAGAAAGGGCCCAGTCCCCAACACTCTGGGCTTTCTTCAGCGGCCACGTGGGGATCTGGCTGAGCACTGTACAACCTCATCTTTTAAAAATCTGATCTCTAAGAAAGGTGGGGGGCTTCTTGGGAGCCAACAGAGAGCCAGAGCCTGTCAGGGCCAGAGGCTGCTCCATAAAAAAGGTTTTTTTTGTTTTGTTTTGTTTTGTTTCCAAGGCTGATGCTTGCAAGAGGCAGAAGAGTTTGCTGCACTGGAGCCAGCATCTGATTTAAAACACACACACACACACACACACACACACACAGGTCCATAATCCATTAGCCTATCAATGAGGGTCCAGGGAGTTTTCAACACCCAGCTTTTAACCTTGAAGGATGTGGAGCTCAGGAATGCCAGTGAGCTCTTGGGGAATTTTATACCGCACTGGGCTCCACAGGAAACTGGTCCAAGGATGAGTGACTTAGGCTAGGACTGCTATTCTGGAAAGGAAGTAGAGAGAGCTACACCTTTCCTCCTAGCTAAGAGACATCTTAAACTCAATACATCCAAAGCCAACATCATTATTTCTTCCACTTCACTCCAAATCCCCTATAATTATTAATGCCACTGTTTTATTCTTTTAGACTACATCAATCCATTACAATAAGTCCCTTCATCTCATCTTTTATTCTTCCTCATCCAATTAATCACCAAGGCCTTTGGGTCTCTCTTTTAAAATAATCTCCAATTTATCTACTTCCACTCCAACTCTGCTGCAAATACCTTAAGTCCAAGCCCTCATCATCTCTCACCTGGACAACTTCTAAGCCTTCTAACTGGTCTCCACTCCTTTCACCTCATCACCTATCTCCAGTCCTACCAATGCCAGAGTGATCCTTCTAAAAATAAAATGTAAGTACAATTTGGCCATGCTACTGCTCTCAGAAGTTAAGTTCAAACTCCTCAGCAAGGCTCTTCATGGGCTCCCTTTGCCTAGCCAGCTTCATATCCTGAGAGCCAACCCCCCACTCTAGCAATCCTCAGCACTTCATGCTCTTTCTTGGTGTGCTTCTGCACATGATGTCTCTTGTGTCCAGAAAGCCTCACCTCCACCTTGACCACATGGAAAACTTATTTTCCCAAGGCCCAGCTCAGCATTATACCGCATCCCCCTTCCTACATATCCACCTCTACTCCCACCAACACATACATGATGGAATTAATCCCTTCCTCCTCTGTATTGCCATGAGCTTCACACATAGTATTACTGTTGGGATACTGGCCCATACCGTATTTCAAGCAGCCATTTAATGGGTCTGCATCTCCCATCAGGCCAGGCACGTTAATGTCAGGGACTATATATATCCTATTCATCTTTGGATTCCTATTACCTCCAACACAATGCCTGGCATAAAATAAGGATTAGCAAATCTCCAGTGAAAGAAGGAGAGAAGGAAGAAAATAACTGAAAATCGGCACGCTTAAAGGCATCAAGCCAATCTTCTTGGCTCCTTCAGTGTCCCCCATTTCATTTTCATAGATCACAGACCTCATAAATCACAAAACATCACCATAAGGAAGATAGCGACATCCACTCTTTCATTTTACAATGAAAGAAAAAGTCCCAGAGGGGATAGGGGACTTACTCAACATTTCACACAGCCAGGACTGAACTCAGTCTTCTGTTCCTGAGACCAGGGTCATAGTGAAGAGCTTGTGCTCTGGAGCCCAGCAGAGCTGGGTTTTAAAGCAACTCTGTGACTTACCAACTTTGGGATGAGTCTATTTCACTCTCTAGGCCTTAGTTTCCTTATCAGTATGAAGGAGAAAATAATAGGGTCTACTTCGTAAAGCTGTTTTTTGCTCAGTATGTACTTTCAATAAATATTCAATTGAATGGCTCCTCTGTGCCAAGCACTGAGGCACTGTATGTTACTGGATGTACTGTGGTGAACCAAACTGTTCAATAGTACATGTCTGTGCTCTCAAAGCTCATACTCTGACTGGGAAGACAACAGTAAATAAGTACACAAATGGGTAACTAATTACTTGTATTGCTGAGTGTCCTGAAGGAAATAAACAGGATGAAATGCTAGAGAATAATGGAAAGGGGAGAGGATAGGTCTACTTGGATAAGGGAAGGCTTCTCTGAGGAGATAACATTTAAGCTGAGACTAGAAGGATGATGAGGATGTGGATTATGTGAGATAATATGTAAAGTGCTTAGAACAATGTCTGGTGCACAGTAAGGGCCAAAATTAAAGTTGAAGATTACTAATATTTTACTTATACTGGTGGTTCCCAATCTAAGAGCTGAGAATCTCTAAGTGGTATTTATTTTCTGTATATTAAAAATATTCACTAGGATTTTCTGTATATTAAAAAATGCGGCTGGGTGCAGTGGCTCATGCCTGTAATCTTAGCACTTTGGTAGGCTGAGTGGGGTGGATCACTTGAGGTCAGGAGTTCAAGACTAACCTGGCCAACATGGTGAAACCCCATCTTTACTACTACCAAAAAAAAAATTAGCCAGGCGTGGTGGCGCTCCCCTATAATCCCAGCTACTTGGGAGGCTGACACAGGAGAAATGCTAGAACCCAGGAGGCAGAGGTTGCAGTGAGCCTCATGACACTACACTCCAGCCTGGGCAACAGAGCACTGTCTCAAAAAAAAAAAAAAAAAAAAGGCGATACAATTTTTCAACAGCACATGTCATGAAGAATAAAAATATTATTTTCCCCTCTCTCTCTTATTTTTTTTTTTTTGAGACAGAGTTTTGGTCTTGTTGCCCATGCTGGAGTGCAATGGTGTGATCTTGGCTCACTGCAACCTCCACCTCCCGGGTTCAAGTGATTATCCTGCCTCAGCCTCCCAAGTAGCTGGGATTACAGGTGCCTGCCACCACGCCTGGCTAATTTTTTGTATTTTTAGTAGAGACGGGGTTTCTCCATGTTGGTCAGGCTGGTCTTGAACTCCCGACCTCAGGTGATCTGCCTGCCTTGGCCTCCCAAAGTGCTGGGATTATAGGTGTGAGCCATTGAGCCCGGCCTCTTTTTTTTTTTTTTTTTTTTCTTTGAGACAGAGTCTCCGTCCCCTAGGCTGGAGTGCGGTGGTGTGATCTCAGCTCACTGCAACTTCTGCCTCCCAGGTTTAAGCAATTCTCCTGCCTCAGCCTCCCGAGTAGCTGGGACTACAGGCACGCACTACCACGCCTGGCTAATTTTTGTATTTTTAGTAGAGACTGGGTTTCGCCACGTTGGCCAGAGCAGCCTCGAACTCCTGACTTCAGGTGATCTGCCTGCCTCAGCCTCCCAAAGTGCCGGGATTACAGGCGTGAGCCACGACGCCCGGACTCTCTTTTTCTTTTGAGACACGATCTGGCTCTGTTGCCCAGGCTGGAGTGCAGTGGGGCCATCATGGCTCACTGCAGCCTCGACCTCCTGGGTTCAAGTGATCCTCCTAAGTAGCTGGGACTACGGGCACATGCCACCACACCCAGCTAGTTTTCTTTTCTTTTCTTTTCTTTTCTTTATTATTACTTTTTTTTTTTTTGGTAGAGATAGGGCCTTGCCCAGACTGGTCTCCAACTCCTGGGCTCAAGCAATCCTCCTGCCTTGGCCTCCCAAAGTGCTGGGATTACAGGTGTGAACCACCACACCTGCTCCCCACCTTTTTTTTTCAACATATCCATGTTAAAGTACAACAAAATATAACAAGATATTGCTAAGTGAAAAAAAGCAAGATGAAGAAGAGTGGTAAGATGCTACCATTTTGTCTTTTTTTAAGATGAAATATGTAAATGTTTGTAGTGCAAATTTACCTTTGAAAAGATACAGCAGAAGTTGAAACAATAGGAGGCTCTGGAGAAGGGCAGTGTGTGAATGAGGGATGGGGTGAAAGAAGGATATTTTCATGGTATTTCCTTTTGTACCTCGTGAATTTTATATCAAGTTCATGTACTAGCTATTCAAAAAAATTTTAAGAGGGGATCCTCTAATTTGTTAATGTTGCTGAATTTTTATCATGTGTTTTTCTCAAAGTCTACTTAAAGTAGAACTACTATTATATAGGATTCTATAAACAGAAAGAATATTCTATATAATGGGAACTACTATTATATGGGGTAAAACTCTTTTTACCTTAAAATGGGATTCTTATGCTAAAAAGCATAGGGAATTATTTTGCTATAATTATATCCTGTTCAGATAAACTTAGAATGCCGAGGTAAATTTTGAGACTCCAGCAGATTACCAGAATTCCTGCAGCCATAGAAAGTGGAGAGTTAGGCAGAGTTTTCTAAAGGGAAGAAAGGGCCAGGTGCAGTGGCTCATGCCTGTAATCCCAACTCTTAGGGAGACAGAGGTGGGAGGGTAGCTTGACCCCAGGAGTTCAAGACCTGCCTGGACAATATAGCGAGACCCCATTCTCCACAAAAAGGAAAAAAAAAAAAAGATAAAGGGGAGGAAGGTGCCTGTCCAGATTTCCTCAAGGTGTGATGTATGTGAGGATAAGCTTCCGAAATTGGCCTCAGCCATTTAGGGTATTTGGTTTCCTAGAAGGACAGCCCAATTTTATACTGGCTTTTTCCTGAAGTTCACAGTGAATTAGTATGTATGACTTAGAAAATAAGACCTAGTATTCCAAACCTGCTAACTCTGCACTGTAATTCAATAACTGACAATAAAAATAATAATAGGCATCATCTATTAATGGCTTGTTGTTGGAAGCTTTGTGTTTATTATTTCTGTGTCTTATCTACTTTGAATTTTTCAAATTGAAAATTCATAGTGGTTTAATAACTTGCCCAAATGACAGACACAGTTGAGACTGTAATCCAAGCTTGCTCATTGCCAAAGCACTTCCTCACGCACAGCACCGTCACAGCTCTCTGTAAGAGACAGTCTTCTCTTAGCATCACTTTCTTTCTTCCTTTTTTTTTTTTTAACAGAGTCTCACTTCTTCAGTCTCGGCTCACTGCAACCTCTGCTTCCCAGGTTCAAGCAATTCTGCCTCAGCCTCCCAAGTAGCTGGGACTACAGGGGCCCACCACCACTCCTAGCTAATTTTTGTATTTTTTGTAGAAACGGGGTTCCATCATGTTGGCCAGGCTGGTTTCGAACTCCCGACCTCAAGTGATCCACCCGCCTCGTCCTCCCAAAGTGCTGGAATTACAGGCGTGGGCCACCGCGCCCAGCCAGCATCACTTTCATTGTCATCTAAGAGGTCTCTAATTTCCTCAGACTACTTCCACATATACACTATTTGAAATTCATAACACCGAAGAGCACGTGGGATAAGCATTATTTTACAAAAACATGAGGAAAATCGACAGACGGAGAATTTAAGTGACTTTCCCAAGATCACAAAGCTATGGATATCTTTTTGCCAAGATTTATCACAAACTCAAGCTCACACTTTTGAATAGAACCACATAGAGAAATGGAAGCCAGACCTGTTCACTATACCGTGGCTTACCACAAGGTTGTGAAAAAAACTGGTTCATGGTAGCAGTGGGCTGTGTCACTATATAATAATCACTAAGAACAAAAACAGAAGTAGACAGAATGGTATAGACATTCTGAATTCAAGATAGAACACCCACATGAAAAGCTTGGCTTCTTTTCTCAGATCCCTCCCACACAGGATGGGCTTCTTCCAGCTTTAGCCAGGATAGCAGGCCAGAAAGAGCCACTGAACCAGGTTACATGGCTTACTGCAGCTAGGAGAACTGGCTAGTCAAGGAGATCTGTATGGCCTTTATCTGGTCACTGAGTCTCACAAATCAAGCCAAACACTTTGCAGGGCAGTCTCGCTTCCTAAATAAAGAAATTTTGAAAACTTATTTTTTCTCCTTTTGAGATCTGTTTTCTAAATTTGGCTTCCAGAGTCACTTTCAGGTTCTGTGGTTAATTTCTTTTCCTCCAAGGATTTTCAAACAAGGGACTAAACAGAAAACAGATATTGAGAGTCAGAATGTTAGCACTGGGAAAGGTTTTAGTATCAATGTAGCCTGATGTCCTTCTTTTACAGAGGAAGGCACAGAGACCATGGAGATTATTTGATTTGCTCAAGGTCACACAGCCTAGTTGGCGGCAGGAACAGCCCTCATTTCCTGACCCCTGGCCCAGTTCTCTTTTGTCTACTTTTCAAAAGCCTGACTCCACCTCTACTGGAACGTGAGCTTGGATAAGTTACTTCACTTTTTTGTTTGTTTGTTTGTTTGTTTTTTGAGACAGAGTCTCGCTCAGTCACCCAGGCTGGAGTGCAGTGGCGCGATCTCAGCTCAGTGCAACCTCTGCCTCCCAGGTACAACCGATTCTCCTGCCTCAGCCTCCTGAGTAGCTGGAATTACAGGCACGTGCCACCACGCCCGGCTAATTTTTGTGTTTTTAGTAGAGACAGGGTTTCACCATTTTGTTCGGGCTGGTCTTGAACTCCTGACCTCATGATCCCCCCACCTCAGCCTCCCAAAGTGCTGGGATTACAGGCGTGAGCCACCATGTCTGGCCACTTCACCTTTTTAAGTCTTTTCATTTCTGAGCCTTAACTACTTTGTATTTTACAAATGGAAAATGTATAGAGGTTTAATAACTTGTCCAAATGACAGACACAGCTGGGACTCTAATCCAAGCTTGTCCATTGCCAAAGCACGTCCTCATGCACAGCACCGTCACAGCTCTCTGGGTAAGAGGCAGTCTCTTAGTGTCACTTTCATTATCATCTAAGAGGTCTCTAATTTCTCTGATTTCCTTTATTGGGAGGGGCCCCCAATAAAATATCTACTTCTTAGAAGTTGTGTAAGGATTAAGTGAGATAATTCATGTGAAATGTTTCACACAGTACCTGGACACAGAGTAACTTGCTAAGAGTGAAGGCTCTGGAGTCAAACTACCTACGTCTGAATTCCAGCTCTGCCAGTTTGCTTGACTGACATTTTGGCCTAGCTACTTAAGTTCTCTGTCTCAGTTTCCTCAACTGTAAAATGAGTAAAATGATATATCTTCCTACATCATTAAAATTGTTATGAGTCTTAAATAAAATAATATATATAACCCACTTAGAATAATGTTCAGCACGTTAGCCATTATTAGTTTGACTGTAATAACCACTTTTCTTATTTTAAGCAGCCATACTTTGCCCAAAATTCATCCGTTTTAAAAGCATTCACTTTCATATGTTTTGAACACATGCTGAAATTCTTAAGATTGGAGCCTGATGTTCTGCTTTATTTAAAAAAAAAAGGCTTCTAATTGATAGTTCCAGTTCCCAATCAAGAGAGGCCAGGATTCAATAGTTTATAGCCTATGGCTGTGTTTGGAGTCGAGGGGCTTCCACTCCCCAATTTGCTGAAAAGGGCAGCAGCCCCTCTGTCTGAGTTGTTCCATCTGGGATAATAATAATTATTTCTTTGTAAAGTGCTTTGAGACCTTTGGATGAAGAGTGCTATGTGAACACAAATTATTATCTCTTTTCCAGATATCACTTTTAGATTAAAATCCAGAAGCTCCCTAAAATAGACCATAGCAGAAGTATAGTCTGGACACAGATATATCTGTCCAGTATTGTCACAACCAGATAATACATTCATGATCAACACCATCATTCATTTTCTTTTACGTGTCATAGCAGATCTAACTTGGATTGGGAAAAAATGAGATGTCCTCAAGATGGATGTTTTTGCTGTTTAACTTTCAAAGATTTCCCCCACTCTGTTTTCCTGATTTGTGTTTTTGGAATCCTCTCCTGAGGTCAACAGGAACTCCGAGGTTGATTCAACTCTGGGGGCGTGAAGCAGGACAAGAAAAAGGAATTATTTTCTTAGTCCCAAATCCTCATGCTAGTGTACCTTCGAGTGTTCAATTCATCTGTTTCTACTTTACAGTTTTTAGTTCATGTGCATTCTTTTTCATGTGGTTTCTAGACACTTCAATATCATCCGAGGTCAGTAATTTTAAGACTTTACTTTCCCTGAGTTTTTGTTATAATTCCTAAATGTATTTATTCATTCTACCAGAAACATTTATTGAAAAATCTGCTAGGCATAGCACTGCCCCAGATGCTAAAGAAATAATAGCCATGGTTCCTGCTAGAGCAAAATCTAGGCAAAATTGGAGTCAGGTGGGCTGTTATCTGTTGAGTGGGCACCCGTTCTTGATTCTTACACACACACACACACACACACACACACAAACACACACACACACACCTTCTCCTTTAATGTCATCCTTCCCCTTTGTATCTCAGAGGCTCAGTGCCCCACTGCTCTCTTGGCTTTCTCAATTCTAAGGGCAGAGACAGTGTGTTTTGCAAATGCTAGGCCCTCAATATTTGCTGATATGACAAACTCAGTCACACTAAAGGATTAACATCTGTTAAAGCATAATGCAAAACTCCTTATGCCTTCATTTCTAAGACATCCCATATTATTCATTTCAAAATGAACTTATTCATCCCAATAATATTTTTATTTCATTCTTTCTTTTAAAACATCCATTTGATTAATACTTATTTTAGAACTTATCATTCAAAAGTGTCTTTAGCGCCTACTCTGTTCCAAACTTTCTATCAGATGCTAAGAACGTAGAGGCAAATAAGACATATAAGGCCCCTGCCCTTGAACAGTTTACACTTGTAAAGGGAGACAGACACCAAAAGGAAAGAAAGAAACAAAAAAAAATTTCAGTGAGAGAAAGAAAAGATGGAGAAATAAAGAGCGAGGTGTATGAGTATGATTGGATTGAAAATGACCAGGACAGGACAGGTGCAGTGGCTCACACCTGTAATCCCAGCACTCTGGGAGGCCAATGTGGGCAGATCACCTAAGGTCAAGAGTTTGAGAACAGCCTGGCCAACATGGTAAAACCCCGTCTCTACCAAAAATACAAAAAAAGAAAAAAGCTGGGCGTGGTGGCTGGCACCTGTAGTCCCAGCTACTTGGAAGGCTGAGGCAGGAGAATTGCTTGAACCCAGGAGGCAGAGGTTGCAGTGAGCTGAGATGACGCCTCTGCACTCCAGCCTGGGTGACAGAGAGAGACTCCATGAAAAAAAAAAATGACCAGGACAGGACAGTGCTTACAGGCATGGTTTCTCTAAGAAGACAGAATGTGATCTGAGACATGAAGAATGAAGAGGAGTCAGCCACACAATACACTGGGAGAAGAGCATTTGAAGCAAAGGGAAGAATCCCACACAAAAGGCCTGAGGAAATAATAAGCTGGACACGATCAAAGTAGGGAAGGAAGGCCAGTGGGGTTAGAGATTGTTATAACAAGGAAGAAGAGTGGTATGGGATGAGGTCAGGGAGATAAGTAGTGATCAGACTCATGCTGGGCCTTGCAAACTAAAGTAAGTTTGGGTTATTTTCTAAGCACAATGGGAAGTCACTGGAGGGTTGAAGTAGACACCATGTGATTTATAATTAAAAGAGATCACTCTGAGGTATGGGGCAGAGACTGTCATGGTACAAGAGTGGAACCAGCGAGATCAGTTAGGAAGCTGGCAGTGTCCTGTCCTGGTCATTTTTTTTTTTTTTTTGCAGTAGACTAGGAGAGATGACAGTGGTTTCAACTTGTGTAGTAGCCATGGAGATAAAGAAAAATTGACAGAATTTAAGATATAATTTGAAGATGGAACCAACAAGACTTGCTAGATTGGATGAAGTGGGCAAGGAAAATAGAGTAATCACAGATGACTCAAGTTTTGGCTTGGACAGAGGATGGTACCATTGGTTGAGATGAGAAATTCAGTAGTTGAAAGAAATAGAAAATTCCATTTTTGTCATATTAATACCAAGATGCCTGTTAGACATGCAAATGGAAATTCAAGTACAAGTGGGTAGGTAAGTCTCGGCTTAAAATAAGAGGTTAGAGTTAAAGGTCTACATTTGGGAGTCAACATATAGTTGGTATTTAAAGCTGTAGAACTACATAAGATGATGAAATAAAAAGGGTGATAGGGAAGAGTTTCTAGAACAGCACTGTCCAGTAGAAATGTGTGAGCCACACATATGAGCTACGTGTGTAATTTTACATTTTCTAGTAGCCATATTAAAAAGTAAAAAGAAACAGATTAATTTTAATAACTTAATATATCTAAAATATTAGTATTTCAACATGTACCCATATAAAAAATTATTCATGAGACATTTTTTAAATACTGAGTCTTTGAAACCCAGAGTCAATGTTATGCTTTATGGCATATCTCATTTCTCACTAGCCACATTTCAAGTGCTCAGCAACGAAAGTTTAGAGGTTGAATAGAGGAGGAGGAATCAGGAAAAGAAAACTGTAAGAATGGTGCCATGGAAGCCAAGTGAAGAAAGTATCTTAAAAAGGGATTGGTCAGCTGTGTCCAGTGTTTATAAGAGGCTGAGTAAGATGAGAAGTGGCAATAGAATTCAGCAACATGGAGGTCACTAATGACCTTGACTAAAGCTGCTTCAGTGGAGTGATGGCTTCCTGGAAGGAAGCCAGAATGGAGTCAATGAAAGGTAAGGAAGTGGTGCCAGCCAGTATAAACAACTGTTTCAAAAACTTTGGCTGTGCAGAGGAACAGAGAAATGAGCACTAGTTGGAGGGGGATATGGAGTCAAGGAAGGGTTTTTACTAAAATAGGAGATGTCAGAGCATGCTCAAATGGCAATGGGAATGTTCTAAGAAGAAGAAAGAAACTGTTGTGGGAGAAAGTGGATAGTAAGTGAGGAATGGAAATCCTTGAGAAAACAAGAGAGATGAGCGTAAGAGCACAAAGAGAGGAGCTGGTCTTTGACAAGAAAAATTATTCTTTTATCAAAACAGGAAGGAAGACAGACCATGGGCACAGTATAGAAGAATGGATACAGATTAGTTTATAGAGCTGAGTAATGGAATCTTCATTTTAACACAGGGCTGAAGCCATAAGCGAAAACAAAAACCAAAAAGAGAGAGAAAAGAGGAATGCAAGCTGGAAAGGAAAAAGGTGGTATGCATGTGGAAGGGGAAGAAGGGACACTGTATTCTTCCTTTTTTTCTTTAAAGAAATCCATTTGACTAATATAAGAGAGGATTAAACTTTTCCACGATCTGAACTGTTGGTGTCCACCCTACAAGATACCCCTTTCTCTGGATCACAATACCTAGGAAACCAATTTAGTAATCACAAGATTGCTCGATGATCAGAGTTTCTGGGCAAAGGGAATGAATAATCTTGAGTTCATTTCATTCAAGGTGTTAAAAAAAAAAAAAGCCTGATGAGCTATCTCTGATACATGTAACAGGGTACACATGCTTGCTACATTCAGCTTATCTCTCCCCTGAACAATGTTGGAAACGAAGCGACACAATCTCAAAATCCAGTTTGTGGAACAATCTACCTGAGACCTATTTAATCTTATATCTATTTGGAAGTACATCTTCCAGCCATTAAGAAAATTGAAAACCACTAGAGGCAAAATGTATCAGGCAGAGTCCCAAGCAGGAAATACTATTCTATTCAAAACAGTTTACTGAAAATAACTTATTAAAGGGACTATCTACAAAGATGTGGGCCAAGTTAAGGGAAACAAGACTCAGTAGAGACACCCAGGGGCCTGCAAGAGTGGTAAAACATTCCCTTCCCTCGACATACAGGGGTGAGGTGAAGAAGAAGTGTCACCAGATCCCAGTAAGTACTGGAGCCACATCGAAGGGGCCGTCAGGCAGCTCCTGCAAGAATGTGGCACTAAAGTAGGGAGAAAGAAGGGGGAAGAAACAATCTAGTCTCTCCTTTCTGCTCTTCCTCCTACCCCCATGCCAAGCTTCTGCTGAATGAACCACAGTCAGAAGCCAGAGGATGAGGGAACCCACAGAGGTCAATGTACAGGGTTCCAGGCAGGACAGGGAAGGGCAAAGAGTGAATCTGATGGGTGGGAGTCTGGGGGCAAACAGTATAACTAGCGCAGGAAGATAAGCTATTCTTACATGAAACAAAGAAGCACCTAAATAGGAATGCCAACCTTGGACTATTTATGGAGCACTAAATTTATGATAGAGAGGAGGGAAGGGGAGAGGGAAAGCGAAGTAAAACTCTCATTCATACGAAGATAACAGTAACTCTTAGCTTTCATTCATCTCTCTTACTAGACCAGAGATTTGGAAAAGGGGGAGATATTATTTTGCATTTTGTTTTATTCAAGAGAAGCCTTTATTTTCCCCTTATTATTAGAAGGCAAAAAATCCTAGATATAAAAATATTTGTTTGACTCTTTGAGAAAAAAGAATCCAGTACAGATTTTCATATCCTATTATCCTTATACTACTATTCCCACCTCCCCTCCACGTGCACCACTGGAAAGAGGCTAAACCTCCAGGAGATACTGGCTTACCGAAGCTTAAATTTAGACAAAAGAACTGATGCAGACATTTGAGGTCACTAAGCTTCTGTCACCATATGGACATAATCAAACAGAAGGCAATACAGCATTGTGGTTAAGAAGGTAGGCTCTGAACCCAGACTGCCTGGGTTTAAATGCATGTTCTACTACTTACTAGCTGTGTGACCTCCAGCAAATTACTCCTGTCATCCTCCATATCATCTGTAAAATGGGGATAATAATAGTACGTATTCTACAGTGTTAGCTTATGAGGATTACATGAGATACTTCATGTAAAGTACTTAGGGTACAGTCTGCCATATAGTAAATGCTTAATAAGAGTCTTACTATTAATAAAGCCAATTTTCTGATTCTGAAGTATTATGCAATCAATTATATTTCTCTTTAATAACCTGGTCTTTGTCTCCTCTCCATATGTTTAGATTCTTCTCCAGAATCAATCTCTCTCTCATTCTGTCTCTCTCTCTCTCTCTCTCTCTCACACACACACACACACACACAGCAGATAGTGGAGTCCTCATTTCTCATTTATATCAAAGATGTTTGGATACTCTTTAATTCATTCATTTACTCATATCTTTATTGAGCACCTACTATGTTCCAGATACTGTACTAGGTGCCGGGCATAATATAAAAGTGAGGAAAAAGCAGACAAAGTCCTTACTCCTAAGAAGCCTGCGATCCAGTGAGGGATACAACATTAATCAAATTACTACAAATAAATATTATATGATATTTACTATCTTATAGTACACTACTAAGTACTATCATATAGTATTTATTTGTAGTAATTACATTAATGAAAAACCTGAGCTGCAATATCACAATACACTTACGGGCATTGTCCATCAGCTCAGGTTTTTCATCATCTAGAGAAAAAGAGGAGCAGAATTCCATGAGCTACAAGTGAGACACCAGGCTTTGCTGTCCAATGTGGTAGTCACCAACCACATGTGGCTATTTATATTTTAGTTGTAAGTAACTAAAATTAACTATAAAGTTTTAAATTATGTTTCTCATTTGCACTAGCCACTTTTCAAGCATTCAGTCATCATATGTAACTAATGGGTACTGTATTGAACAGTGAAAATACAGAAGATTTCTATCATTGTAGAAAGTTTATTGCACAGCCCTCAGATATGAAAGAACCCTTCAGTTGTGAAAGAACCTCATATATAAAAGAAATTTCCATGGTTTGGAAAGGGGAGGTGGTGACAAAAGTAGGGAAAATGCTGTAAGATACAGAAAACATGGCAAAGATAAGGTTTTTCAGCTTAACCATAATTTCAATTTCTAATAGACATGAGGGTCCAAGGGTGATACAAGGCTAAAATATTGCACGGACTAGTTCCCTTCCCTACCACTTCCTCACCAAAAATACATTTTTCTAATGGAATTTTATATTCAATTTCAGGTATTTTTTGTTTGCATTTTTTGTGATGTAACTTCAAGGGAAAACAAAATTCACTTTATAATGAATTATCATGTTTACGTTCCAACTTTTTTGCAATGAAAAGCTATAGGGGATATCTGTATGGGCCAAGTGGCTTTTCCCAGAAGCGACATGATTTCGGGATTTGTCAGTTAGCTCTCTTCCATATTCTGGACGCCACCATTTCTTACTCATGAACATGCCACTTTTTCAGATTTCCTTTTCTCATTATCTCGGGGACACAAAGCTTTAAGTATAGTTTCACATTGACTGTGTTTACATCCAGGGGGTCAGAAGCAAGGGTTCTTCGTTTTCCTGTGTGTGATCACGGAGCCAATGCTCCCTTTTCATTGGTACTTGACAGTGCCTCAGGAAAATGCTGTAACTAGTGTGTGTGTGGCGGGGGAAACGGGACTTTTAAATTTTGCACCCAGGATAAATCTGCCATGTGCACAGAAAAATAAGAGGAGTCCTGGTGACAGGTGGCAGTTTTCTACCTGGGAAAAGAAATTCAAGTCACCAAAGGGGAAAAGAAGCTTTACTTATTTTCTAGGTCTGAGAAAAATCACAGCTGTTGTTGTTAAGAATTCTTATCAGACAGTCTTAATTAGTAAGTCAAAATATGGATATTGTTTCTCAGTTATGGATTGTATGAGTAGATAAATTATAAAATGTGGTCCCCAAAGCTGAAACTAACCTAATACTGAATCCCTCCCAAACAATCCAGCTGACCAACATGTAGGAAGTCCTCCCCTGAGACTGCCATGGGGTGAGGAAACCCAACCACCTGTGTGAAAAGGCTCACATAGAGGAAAACCAAGGACTCTGGCTGGCAGCCCCGGCTGAGCTTCCAGCTGGCTGCCAACACAAACTGCCAGCCATGAGAGTGAGGCCATTCTGGACACTTCACCATTCTCAAGACCCCGGCCAACTCTTGTGAAGCAGAAGGACCACTTAGTCAATCTACCAAAAAGTGAGAAGTAATAAATTGTTGTTTTAAGCCACTAAGTTTGGAAGTATGGTTGACCCTTGAACAACACAGTGTTGAATTGCACGGGGCCACATATACACAGATTTTTTTCCAATAAAAGTTTCACAGAATGTGCTTGCCTCTCCTGCCTGCCTTTCCACCTCCTCCACCTCTTCCACCTCTGCCACCCCTGAGATAGCAAGACCCACCCTTCCTCTTCCTCCTTTTCCTCCTCCTCCTCAGCCTACCCAAAATGAAGACCATGCGAATGAAGACCTTTCTGATGACCCACTTCCACTCGGTGAATAGTAAATATATTTTTTCTTCCTTTTACTTTTCTTAATAACATTTCTTTTCTCTAGCTTACTTTATTTTAAGAATACAGTGTATAACACATATAACATACATATCTGTTAATTGACTGTTTATGTTATCGACGAGTCTTCCCAGTCAACAGTAGGCTACTAACTTGTTAAGTTTTGGGGGAGTCAAAAATTATACGTGGATTTTCAACTGCACATGCAGAGAGGATGTCCGTGTCCCTAACCCCATGTTGCTTAAGGATCAACTGTGGTTTGTTAGAGAGAAATGGATACTGAAACAATATCTTAGGTAAGACTATCTAGAGACTATCTAGCATACTTCCTTTGTACATAATGGTAGGCATATTATTTTGTTTTGATAAATTAAACTATGTCATGGAAGAAAGAAAAAATCAGACAGGCTTTCTCCCTTCTTCCTACTACCAAATATGCTAACCTTTCCATGCCTGTACTCACACTATCTACCTTTCTTTTGTTACATTGAAAGAACTGTCCCTGTTCCTGTCAAAAACCAGCACTTGCAGTTGTTTTCCAGATCCTATCTTTTCTTGCCTTTTCAAGGACTCCACTCAATTCTCTCTTCCTTCTGCTACATCATAAGTTTTTGTCTGTCTGTTGACTCATTCCCATCAGCAAATAAACCTGCCTTAACATCATTCATTAAAATAAAACATTGAATTCATATCACCTCCACCCATTGTCCCATTTTTCTTCTTCCATTCATAGCAAAAAATCCTGAATTAGGTGTCCATGTTCTCTGTCTCCACTTTCCCACCTACTGATTCCTCAACACATCCCAACTTGTCACCAAATTCAACAGTCATCTCCTTTCCTCATCTTCCTCCATCTCTCAGCAATGTTTGACACAATTCATCACTCCTTTCTTCAAACACTTTCTTCTTTTGGTTTCTGTTACATCTCACACTTCTGGTTTTTACTCTATCTCACTGGCTACTCTCTTAAAGTTGTTTCTGGATATTCCTCCTCCGATCAGCCTCAAATTGTTAGTAATCCCCCAGCATCAGTACAGGGACCTCCTTCTTTTCTCCATCTACCCTCATTCCATAGGTATAATTTCATCCACTTTCATGGCTTTAAATACATCTAAGAGCTGATGACTCCCCCCAAATTTGTGTTTTTCTTTTCTTTTTCTTTTCTTTTCTTTTCTTTTCTTTCTTTTTTTTTTTTTTTTTTTTTTTTTTTTTTTGAGACGGAGTTTCACTCTTGTTGCCCAGACTGGAGTGTAATGGCATGATCTCTGCTCACCACAACCTCCGCCTCCCAGGTTCTGCCTCAGCCTCCCAAGTAGCTGGGATTACAGGCATGTGCCACCACACCGAGCTAATTTTGTATTTTTAGTAGAGACAGAGTTTCTCCATTTTCGTCAGGCTGGTCTCAAACTCCCGACCTCAGGTGATCCGCCTGCCTCGGCCTCCCAAAGTGCTGGGATTACAGGCGTGAGCCACTGCTCTCAGCTACCACATTTGTATTTCTATACAAGTACTTCTTTCATGAAGTCCAGAACTACATATCCTCTTGCCATCTCTACTTAGAAGTCTAACAGGCAACTCAAATTTAACATTCTCAAAAAAGAACATGAATTTCCAATCCCATCTTCAAACTTATTCCTCCCTATTTTGGTAAATTGCATGACCCTCTACATAGATGTTTAAGTCAAAAATCCTACAAGACATTGAAACCTCTCTTTCCTTAACCAACCACATTTAATCCCAGTCTTGTCAACTCTACCTCCAAAATATATCACAAATCCTTTCATTTATTCCTATCTCCACTGCTACCAGCTACTACCATCACTTAGACAAGTCACCATCATTTCCACCCTGGACTACCATAATCACCTCCTAACTATGAATTTCCTACAAAGAGCTTTTTAAAATGTAAATTGGATATCATTCCTCTGCTCAAAATTCTCCAAAATTTGCCACTGTATTTAGAATAAAATTAAAATTCTTTACCCTAACCTAGAAGGTCTTACATTACCTGGCCTCTGCCTACTTTTCCAACCCTATGTCCTGTCACTTTCTTGTTAGTTTAGTGCAGTTCCAGCCACACACACCAACCTGCTGTTCCTTAAACACACCAACTGTGTACCAGCCCCAGGGCCTTTGCATTTGCTATTTTCTATGCCTAAAAATCTTTTCAGATCTTTGCAAGGCTGGCTCCCTCTTGTCATTCAGGTATCAGTTTGGATGTCGCTTCCTCAGAGGGATCTTAAATGATTGCCACCTAAGGAGTAGCCCCCAGTCAGTCTCTAGAACATGTCATTTTCATTATAGCAATTCTTACTTGCTGATAATAGTTTGCTTATTTGGTTTTTGTGTGTTTGTTTGCTGTCTGTTTTTCCCCACTAGAATATAAGCTCCATGTGAAAAGAGCCCATGTTGTTTTGTTCAATACTGTATTCCCAGAAGAGTGCCTGGCACTCAAAAGTGCCTACTGGCCGGGCACGGTGGCTCACTCCTGTAATCCCAGCACTTTGGGAGGCCGAGGCGGGTGGATCACGAGATCAGGAGATCGAGACCATCCGGGCCAACATGGTGAAACCCTGTCTCTACTAAAAATACAAAAAGAAATTAGCTGGGCGTGGTGGCAGGTGCCGGTAGTCCCAGCTACTCAGGAGGCTGAGGCAGGAGAATGGCGTGAACCCAGGAGGTGGAGGTTGCAGTGAGCCGAGATCATGCCACTGCACTCCAGCCTGGGTGACAGAGCGAGACTCCGTCTCAAAAAAAAAAAAAAAAAAGTGCCTGCTAGGTGCTTTTCACATGGAGCTTACATTCTAGGGGGGAAAAATAGACAACAAACAAACATACAAAACACAAATAAATAAGCAAACTATTATCAGCGAGTTAGAATTGCTATAATGAAAATGACATGTTCTAGAGACTAATTGGGGGCTACTCCTTAGCACCCAGTAGGCACTCAAAAGTGTATGTTAAATGAACAAATGCCAGGATAATAATTATAATTATGTCATTCCTCCAGCCTGGCAAACATGGTGAAACTCCATCTCTACTAAAAATACAAAAAAATTAGCCAGGTGTGGTGGCACACGCCTGTAATCCCAGTTACTTGGGAGGCTGAGGCAGGAGAATAGCTTGAACCAAGGAGGCGGAGGTTGCAGTGAGCCCAGATGGCACCACTGCACTCCAGCCTGGGTGACAGAGTGAGACTCCATCTCAAATGATAATAATAATAATTAATAATAATAATTATTATTATTATTATGTCATTCTTTAACCTTGGTTCAGTTCAAGAACTTTATATGGGTAGTAATATAAATATTTCCTATGCAACTCACATTCGTCTCTATGAATGATTTCTGTATAGTATGTATACTTGGTACTTTAGTTATGACTCCTCGATTACAACTTTTGTAAAGGCAGGGATTACACCTTACTCAATTTTGTATACTGACAGCCTATATAGTATCTGAACTATTATAGGCTCTAAAAATACTTTGTTGGCTTGAATAATATCAGTCAAGAATCTGAATACTTGCTTTGAGCTTAAGTGGTAAAGTTGATATAAAAATGCATTATGACAGTGATCCCTCTCTACAAGGCATTTAAAACCTAAAATCAGGAGGGGTTATTGCGTAAAATTAAAATACAGGAAACAATAAAACACTTTATAGAAGCAATCCAACATTTTAAGAATAAATACCTCCAGAAACAGGGAAAAATGAAAATAGCTGATGATTTGATAGTGACACTGTGGGTATGTTTTCTCATTTAAATTCTCTTAATTGTTGTTTATGTAAAAAATACAACTCGTGACCAGGCGCGGTGGCTCATGCCTGTAATCCCAACACTTTGGGAGGCTGAGGTAGGTGGATCCTGAGGTCAGGAGTTCGAGACCAGACTAGCCAAGATGGTGAAACCCCATCTCTACTAAAAATTCAAAAAATTATCTGGGCATGGTGGCGCACACCTGTAATCCCAGCTATTCGGGAGGCTGAGGCAGAGAATTGCTTGAACCCAGGAGGCGGAGGTTGCAGTGAGCCAAAATCGTGCCACTGCACTCCAGCCTGGGCGACAGAGCAAGATTCCATCTCAAAAAAATAAATAAATAAAAATAAAACTTGTAAGAAGAATTCTAGGTCCTACAAATATCAGTGCTTTCTCCCATTAGAACCTTCACAGAGTAGAAAGAAGATTTAAGAAATTCCTTTTCCCAGAGAGCCACAATAATGTTGTGCACCACCAACTCTCAACATTTTCCACCAGGCTGATGCCCCTGGACAGCCATTCATGTTACTCCTCTATCACTACCCAGTCAGTTAAGTAATCAAATACTGAGCACATGGCTCTACCCTCAAGAAGTTAACATACTGGTAGGGGAAACACCTGTAAACATAGAAATGCCCTGCAGTATGATAAATACAGCAAAAGAAGTATGTACAAGGCACAGATGCACTAACAAGGACTGCTTAATTCTGTCAAGAAACATATCACAAAGGAGGTGATGATGAAGTTAGGTTTCTAAAATTTAAGTTGGAATTCACCAGGAGGAAAAGGAGAAGAAAGGTATATAAGACAAAGACATAAACCATAAAGTGACATTCCTAAAGGGGTACAGATCCCTGGATAAATCACAGTGTGTCCGTCTCCCCAAAATATTTTATGGGTAATATCAACTTTGTAGAAATAGCAACAAAAGCCTTGGAGAAAAAGTATAAACAAAACCTAAACTTTAGGTTAGTCTGCAGAAGAACAAGAGACAGTCCACCTAATCTTGGTGATAGATTGTGTGTATGTGTTTGAGGTTTTATATATGAATACATGTATGCGATTTTTATTTATCATCATTCAGCCAGCATTGAAATCATGATAAAATTAACTAAAAATTACCTACAGAAACTTTTCTAGGATTCACTCTCACATAAAGCAAAGTGTAATAAATAAAATTTTTAATTTCTTTTACAATGAAATAGGGCTCAAAAATTTTAAAAACCGTTAAAACTGTTTCCTTCACTTTCTAAGTCTCTATGTTCTCATCTGTAAAGATATGTTAATTAATGTATAATCTCCCTTAAGACTGGGATATATATATATGTGTACTAAAAGTGTTTGGAGCCTAGACAAAGGAGATAAAGAAATAGAATTAAATCTACTACCACTTTCTCTGACCCAACCCGGAATACTTAAATTAACTAATATCAGTATTTTTCTGTTACTGTTAGATACACAATGAACTATTCAAGGGTATGTAAAAGTAGTTACAATATGTACTCAAGTAAAAATCAGAAAAAAAGTTGCCTATCATGTCTATGTGCACTTATGGGATATACATTCACAATCTAATTGAGAAGAAAATACATTTATGAAACAGTTAGAAATAATACGGGCAAGTGTAAATGAAGTCCTAAGCTACACAGTAAAGACTGTAGATGCTATCAGTTCTGAGGATGGAAGCAATATTAATGACACTCATGACCTCTAGAATGCGAATGTCCTTGTCATAGTTCTCTATCTCTTTTCGAAAATCTTTTCTCCCACGGGGGGAAAAAAAAAGTTCACTAAAGAAAGATTGGGGCCAGGCATGGTGGCTCACGTCTGTAATCCCTGCACTTTGGGAGGCAGACGTGGGAGGATCGCTTGAGCCCAGGAGTTTGAGACCAGCCTGGGCAATATGGTGAAACCTGTCTCTACAAAAAAATTAGCCAGGTATGTTGGCGTATGCCTAGAGTACCAGCTACTCAGGGGGCTAAGGCAGGAGGATCCTTCAGCCTGGGAGGTTGAGGCTGCAGTGAGCCCAGATTGCACCACCATACTCCAGCCTAGGCAAGAGTGAAAAAGAGCAAAAACTAAGTCAACTATAGTTCAAGAATCCAAAGCCAATTATTACTAGCAATTCAGAGAATTACCTTCTAGGCTTTAGAAAACATATTAGAGCTATTGGGTGGGGGGGAAGTTAGATTCACCCTTCATACCACACACAAGAATAAACTCAAAATGGATCAAGAGCTTTATTGGAAAAAAAAAAAAAACTATACAAGTTCTAGAAGAAAACTTGGGTGAATTCCTTTTTAACCTCTGTGTAGGGAAAGGCTTTGTAACTATAATTTGAAATACAGAGGCAAAACAAATAAAATATTGATAAATGTAACGATATAAAAATAAAAATGTTTTACATGACAAAACATAAGAAAAGGAAATGACAAACTGGGATACAATATTCACAATATGTATCACAGATAAAGAGCTGACGTCTTAAATTTATTTTTTCTTTCTTTCTTTCTTTCTTTCTTCCTTCTTCTTCTTTTTTTGTCTGAGACAGGGTCTCACTCTGTCACCCTAGGCTGGAGTGCAGTGGCACAATCATAGCTCACTGTAACTTTGAGCTCCTGGAATAAAATGATCCTCCTGCCTCAGCCTCCTGAGTAGCTGGGACTACAAGTGTGCACCACTATGCCTGGTTAATTTTTTATTTTTTAATTTTTTTGTAGAGACAGGGTCTCACTATGTTGCCAGGGCTGGTCTTGAACTCCTTGCCTCCAGTCATCCTCCTGCCTTGGCCTCCCAAAGTGCTGGGATTACAGACATGAGCCACCACACCCAGCCAAATTTACTTCTTAAAAACTATTTAAAATATAACAAAAATGACCACAAATTCTAGAGAAAAATAGGCAAAAATACATAAACAGACAATCCACTAAGAGCTATATAAACACAGTCTTAAACATATATAAAAAGATGTTCAACTTTATTCATAGTAAGATAAATGCAAATTATTAAAATGATGTTAAGATATCATTTCTCACTCATCAGATTGGCAAAAAAAAGTCAAAAGCAACCATCCTGGCTAACACAATGAAACCCCATCTCTACCAAAAATAAAAAAAATTAGCAGGGCATGGTGGCACGTGCCTGTAGTACCAGCTACTCAGGAGGCTGAGGCAGGAGAATCATTTGAACCCAGGAGGCGGAGGTTGCAATGAGCCGAGATCGTGCCACTGCACTCCAGCCTCAAAAAAAAAAAAAAAAAAAAAAAGGTCAAAAGCTTGATACAGTGGACCAAATGTTTATATCCCCCCCAAATTAATATCCTAACCCCAAAGGTGATGGTATTAGGAGGTGGGGCCTTTGGGAGGTGACTAGGTTATGAGGACAGAACCCTTAATGGGATTAGAAAGATCATTCTCTCCTTCTGCCATGTGAGGACACACTGAAAAGACCCTCTAAGGAGAAGTGGGCCCTCATTAGACACCAAATCTGCCAGTGCCTTGATCTTGAACTTCCAGGCCTCCAGAACTGTTAGAAATACATTTCTGTTGTTTATAAGCCAGTCATGCATCATTTTACAACAATGTTATGAGAAATGGGTCATTAGGCAATTTCCTTGTTGTGTGAACATCATAGAATGTACTTACACAAACCTAAATGGTACATCCTACTACACAGCTAGACCATATGGTATAGCCTATTTCTCCTAGGCTACAAACCTTTAGGACCCATTGCTATACCGAATACTGTAGGCAATTGTAACACAATGGTAAACATATGTAAACATGGAAAAGGTAATGTGTTGCACTACTATGTTATGATGGCTACAATCTCACTTAAGCCATAGCAATTTTTCAGTTCTATCAGAATATCATGGGACCGCCATCATATATGTGGTCCATTGTTGACTGAAGTGTCACTATGCAGCACATGACTGTATTTTGTTATAGCAGTCCAAAAGGACTCAGGACACCTGACAATACACTCTGTTGGTGAGGATGCAAGAAAACATCTCATCCTCAATATAAGATGCAATGTATGAGAGTACATTGAGAGGTATTCTCATACGTTGCTGATGGGAATATGGCAGTATATAACAAAACTACATACAAATTTACTCTTCAACACAGCAATCCCACTTGTAGAAATGTATCCTTAAGTTATACCCCCAATGATTCAAAAACACATATGTACAAAGTAATATATCCACTGTACCAAGCTTTTGACTTTTTTTTGCCAATCTGATGAGAAATGATATCTTAACATCATTTTATTAATTTGCATTTCTCTTACTATGAATAAAGTTGAATGTCTTTTTATATATGTTTAAGACTCTTTTTTTTTTTTTTTTTTTGACAGAGTCTTCCTCTGTCGCCCATGTTGGAGTGCAGTGGCGCAATCTCGGCTCACTGCAACCTCCGCCTCCCGGGTTCACGCCATTCTCCTGCCTCAGCCTCCCGAGTAGCTGGGACTACAGGTGCCCGCCACCATGCCCAGCTAAGTTTTTTTGTATTTTTAGTAGAGACAGGGTTTCACCGTGTTAGCCAGGATGGTCTCGATCTCCTGACCTTGTGATCCACCTGCCTCGGCCTCTCAAAATGCTGGGATTACAGGCGTGAGCCACCGTGCCCAGCCAAGACTATCTTTGTATAGCTCTTAGTGGATTGTCTGTTTATGTATTTTGCCTATTTTTCTCTAGAATTTTTGGTCATTTTTGTTATATTATAAATAGTTTTTTAAGAAGTAAATTTGGCCAAGTGTGGTGGCTCACGCCTGTAATCACAGCACTTTATTACTTTAATAATGCAATAATATATTGCATTAGTTGTAATATCAAAATATTAGAAACTACCTAATATCTAAGTGGGCAGGTTGATTGAATAAACTATAATACATCTGTACAATGGAGTATTATGCAGCAATAAAGAAGAACTAGAAAGATCTCTAGGAACGATACAGAATGATTTCCAGGAGATATTAAATTTTAAAAAGCAAAGCGCAAAAGACCATATAATATGTTATATTTTGTGGAAGAAAGAGGAGAAATAAGAAAATATACATTATCATTACAAAAAGAGACACAGGCAGGATAAACCAGAAAACCATGAAATTTGTTTTCTGCAAGGAGTAAGGGTGAGGGGATGAGTGGAAGGGACACAGGAGAGAATGGCTGTTCTCTGAGTATAACTCTTCGTATAGTTTTGACTTTTGAAAGCATGTTAATATCTTACATATTCAAAAGATAAATCAATTAAGAATGAGGAGGGGGAACCCATAAGCAAATGCCAATTGAATAAATAAGTGTAATGTATATCAAATGAATAACATGACCACAATGAATGGAAAAAAGTTTAAAAGAAAAAACTAATCCAAGAAATGTATGAAAACAGTGTGGCCTCAGTTTTGGAGGGGATGAGGAAAGAAAAGTGCAAACGAGTCATGAACTCTTTTTAGTAGGGTTGTTAATGGTAGCAGTATGGGCAAAGCAATTTCAAAATTATTTTAGATGTAATTAGGATTGAGCAAATGGGTAAATGTGTTGGTGTTATTGGGAGTCAGGGTTCTCACCGTGGAAAAAGGAATATGTAAGTATGAAATGGGGAAAGGCAAAAAAAGAATCTTGTGGAGATGCACTGGAATTGGAGAAACTGGTATGAAGTCATGATTTCTAAAATGTGAATATGTATATACATGTTTATGTATGTGCACATGTATATGTGTATGTGTATGTGTATGCACATTTGTGTATACATGGCTTTACTTCCCATCTCTGTTTGTTCAAAAGTCCAAGAAGCAAATAAAACCTGGTAGCAATGAGTATGCCTCGTGCCTAGATCTTGGTTTCTAGTACCATTCCCCTCTAAAAGGAATCTGTCCTCCTTCAAGAAATGGCTGATTCCAGGGCTGGGGCAGCATAGATACATTGGAGCCTAGGACACCCTGTTATGCCATCCTGTTAAGGAAGTGCTAAAAGAAAAAAAAAGTGACAGCATATTGCAAGGACATGAGGACTAGCTTGAAGGGGCCCCACTGGCCAAATCGGAGACAATTAAGCACCAAACTAGTACATATAATAATGAATTATAAACCATTGGTAAAACAGTGAGGGCCCAGAGCCAACTGATCCATTAGGCACAGTGTCTGAGACCCATGATACTTTCAAAGGCGCATGAAAATGTTTTAACTTCTTTTAAAAGAAATCAGAAGAAAAATAAATGCACTGGCAATAACATCCTGGATTATATTTATCTTCATAGCAACAAAGTCATCAAATATAATTTTTTAAAATCATATGGAGGAACAATAAAGACAAAAGTGCCGAGGGCCCAAGAAAGTCATAAGGCTGCCCTTCTAGGGACAACTGGCCAATGGGGACCATGTGCTAAACTGGAAAATTATCATTTTGCAACTTTCATAGTACAGATTAATTCAAGCAAGAATCATCAATAGAAGTTAAATCTAAAGGAAATTTTTGGTAAGGAATAAGATATTGGCACCATCTTAAAATGTGTCACCCACAGACTTATTAGTCGCAGGAAAGAAAGAACAAAAGATGATTATACAGTGGAAAACTAAGGCATCACTTTGATTGGATGATCAAAATTAATATTATCTTTGAGAGATAGATGGACATCGTGTGCCTCCAGATCCTGAGAAGGTCACAACATCACCTATGCAATATTCGTGCTGAGAGTGTATAAATGCAATCTAATCATGAGGAAACATCAGACAAACAAAACGAAGTGTTCTATTAAAAAAAAGAAAGGTGGGAGAGTTGTATTCTTCAAAAATGTCAATGTCAAAAAAGACAAAGACTGTGGAAATGTTCCAGATTTAAGGTGGCTAAAAAGACATGGCAATTAAATGCAATATTTGACCCTAAAATTGAAGCTGTACTGGAAGGGGAAAAAACCTGTGAAGGACATGATTAGATCAGCTAAAACTTTTGGAATGTGAACAGTAAATTAGATGATAGCATTCTATCAAGGTAAACTTATGAAGTCAGTAACTAGAGCAAACCCCTTTCCTTCAGAAATACATGCTGAGCTGAGCCCTATGACAAACTCCTGTGGTCCCAGCTACTGAAGGTTGAGGTAGGAGGATCACTTCAGGCCAGGAGTTCAAGGCTAGCCTGGGTAATATATTGAGACCCTATATCTCAATTAATCAATCAATCAATGCCGGATGATTTGAGGATAAAAAGCCATGAGCCATGATATATACAGCCTGGCATGGTGGCATACACCTGTGGTCCCAGCTACTTGGGGGCACTGAGGCATGAGGATCACTTGAACCCAGGAGGTTGAGCCAAGATCATGCCACTGAACTCCAGCCTAGGTGACAAAGTGAGACCTTGCCTTAAAAAAAAAAAGATATATGTAACCTACATCAAATGGTTTAAGGAAAAAATATGTGTGTGTGTGTGTGTGTGTGTGTGTCTGTGTAAACAGAAAGAGAATGTTAGCAATGGCTGAATCTTTGTAAAGGATATTCAAATGTTCCTTGTATGATTTTTACTTTTGCAACTCCTTATAAGTTTGATATTATTTTTAAATAAGTTTTTGAAAACTTAAGAAATAATAAATATATTAGAGTGTCACATACACTGTATGATGACATTGGCTGGAGTTTTCATGTTATAAACAGTTTCTCATCTTATCATATAATCTTTGAGTCTATTATTTTAAATGTCTACATAGCATTCTATCAAACTGATATGCTAGAGTTTGCTGAGCTATTGCTTTACTGTTAAAATTTTAAATTACCTTCAATTTTTTTTCTGTTTCAAACAGTGTTCACAGTTGTTAAGCTTCAGCACTCTAGAACCGTATTACCTATATTCAAAATCCCAGCTCTGTTATTTATTAGTTGTATGGCTTTGAGTAAATTATTTATCCTTCTATGCCTCACTTTCAAGTTAGGCATAAATAGTACTTATAGGGTTGTTGTGAGTATTAAATGAGATATTCATGTAAAGAACTGGCCGGGAGCAGTGGCTCACACCTATAATCATAGCACTTTGGGAGGCCAAGGCAGTAGGATTGCTTGAGCCCAGCAGTTCAAGACCAGCCTGGGCAACATGGCAAAACCGTCTCTACTAAAAATAGAAAAATTAGCTTGGTGTAGTGGTGCGCACCTGTATTCCCAGCTACTTGGGAGGTTGAGATGGGAGAATCACCTGAGCCCAGGAGGCAGAGGTTGTTGTAGTGAGCCAAAATGATGCCACTGCACTCCAGCCTGGGTATCAGAGTGAGACCCTGTCTCAAAACAAAATAAAATGAAATAAAAAAATTGCTAGTTGGAAAGTAAATTGATGAACAGTTTGGCAAACAATTAAAGTTTAACATTTATGTACCCTAAAATGCAAAAATTCCACTCCTAGATATATATCCAAAAGAAATTCTTGCACATATACAATAAGAGACATGGACCATGATGCTCATGACAGGATCATTCACAATAATAAAAACCTAGGAAAAAATCTTCAAAATGCCCATCAACAAGAGACTGAATAAACTAAATCCATAACCACAGTGGAATATTACACAGCTGTTTAAATGAACGAACTGTGGTGACATGCAACAACATGCATGAATCTTAACAAATACCACTAAGTGCAAAAATTATTGTGTGCCACATGATATTTTTTATTAAATTAAAAACATTTAAATATGCATATTTAGGAATGCTTATAAATACAATAACACTATATAAAAAGGAAAGCAAGGGAGTGGGGATTCAGGTTGATGGCTGCCTGGCATGGGAGGAGTTAGGGCATGGTACGGGTAGGGGCCTAATGTGGTAGGTTTATGGGTGCTTTTAATACTTTAAACAAATGGTTAGCTAGCTAGCCAGGCAGCAAAGTAGACAGCTCTGACTGCTATGTGAAGAATGGATCAAAGGAGTAGAAGCTGGAGCAGGATGACCAGTTAGGAAGATGTTTAGTATCCAGATGAAGGAGGGTGAGGCATTGTTCTCGAATGGTGGCCATTGAGATGGAGAGTATTGAACAGAATCAGAATCTATTCTGGAGGTAATGGAGAACTTGCTCTGATGACTTAGATGTGGGAGGCAAGGAATATTCTATTGTACAAATATTCCATAATTAAACTCTGCTCTTATGGTATATCTAAGTTGTTTACAATATTTTTTGCTCCAATAAAGGTCTAAAATGAACATCCTTGTACCTTAATCTTCATACAAATTCAATTAATGTCTTTCTTTTTTATGGTGTGTGATGTGATCCAATTTTATTATATTTAAGATTGTATTTTTTTTTTAGAGCAGTGTTAGGCACACAGCCAAATTGAAAGGAAGGTACAGAGATTTCCCTTATGGCCTCTGCCGTCATACATGTTCAGGCTCCCAATTACAATATCCCCCACCAGAGCGGTACATACATTACAACAGATAAACCTACATTGATACACCACTATCATCCAAAGTCTATACCTTACATTAGGGTTCACTCTTGGTGGTGTACATTCTATGGGTTTGGACATACATTCATTATAGTATCATATAGTATTTTCACTGCCCTGAAAATCCTCTGTGCTCCATCTATTCATCCTTCCCTCGCCCCATACTCTGGCAACTACTGATCCTTTTACTCTCTCCATAGTTTTGCCTTTTCCAGAATGTGATACAGTTTGGAATCATATAATACGTAACTTTTTCAATTGGCTTCTTTCACTTAGCAATATGGATTTAAGGTTCCTGCACGTCTTTTCATGGCTTGATAGCTTTTTTCTTTTTAGCAATGAATATTTCATTTACTGGGTATACCACAGTTTATTCATTCCTCTAATGAAGGCCAACTCAGTTGCTTTCAAGTTTTGGTAATTATAAAAGATGCTATAAACATCCATGTGCACGTCTTTGTATGGACATAAGTTTTCAACTCCTTTTGGTAAACACCAGAGAGTTCAAATGTTGGATTATATAGTAAGATGTATGTTTAGTTTTGTAAGAAGCTGTCAAACTATCTTCCAAAGTGGCTGTGCCCTTTTGCATTCCCACCAGCAATGAACCAGAGTTCCTGTTGCTCCACATCCTCACCAGCATTTGGTGTTGTCATGTTCTGGACTTTGGCCATTCTAATAGATATGTATCTTGAATTAATTTTTAAAAATCAACCTGCAGAAATAAAATTGCTATACCAAAGGATATGTGCATTAAATAAGGCTTTTGATACATATTACCAAGTTAGCTTCCTGAAGTGAAAGATTGTACCATTTTAGCTCCCACTAGCTTGGACAACATGACGAAATTTCATCTCTACAAAACATACAAAAATTCTCTGAGTGTGGTTGCCCGCGCCTAGTAGTCCCAGCTACTCCAGCGGCTGAGGCAGGAGAATCACTCGAGCTGGGGAAGTGGAGGTTGCAGTGAGCCAAGATCGCGCCGCTGCACTTCAGCCTGGACGACAGAAGGAGACACTGTCTTAAAGAAAAAAAAAAGAACAAGAAGAACTTACAGTACTGCCTGGAACATACTAAGCATACAACAAATATTAGCTATTTGAATAACTTTTGTACGTTAAGCTTTTTCCATTGGGGGGATCTAAACTTTTGCAATATTAATAGTTGAATATAAAGGCAATACTACTGATATTTTGGGATACATAAAATAATGTATAATGTAGAGATAGGAATGGCAATATTTCGAACAATGAAATAGATTATTTTATAATCTTTGCTTTCTTTAATTAAAAAAATAGGAATTCACCTAAAAAAGATATATCTGCTATTCTAAAATCTACCACTGAGTGGCAGCATAACCAATTAATATGGCAATATAACTCGTAATTTTCAAACTCAAATTTACAAAAATCTCAAAATAGAAAAAGGGTTCCTAGAAAAGAAGTGTGGTTATAGCAGACACATTAAATCTATTGGCTGATGAATTATTTGAGGTAAATCTATCCCAATACCTTGCTAGGTGTTGGTTGGCCAGACATCTCTAAACTGATTTATCTTTTCTGTGACCCCATTTCCACTCTCCCTTAAAATGGTTTTTCTTCCGTCTTTTCCATCTCAATAAATGACATACGTACCATCTACCTAATTGCTTAAGCCAGAAACTAAAAGTCACTCTATTGTGGGGTACAGGGCTTTTTATTGTTGATTCATAGTTGTATTATATTATGGTAAAAAAAAAATGTGGTCTGTATAATATCAACTTTCTCAGTATTACTTGAGACTGGCTTCGTAGTCAAATTTTCAAGTTTTTCACATTTACTTAGAGAACATGTACTTAGAAAACATGTACTCTCCACTACGTGAAGGATTCTGGCTGTATCCATTAAATCAAGCTTGTGAACCATGTTTTTCAGATCTTCTGTATCCTTATTAATATTATGTCAGCTTCTTCTGTTTCTGTAGGAAATATGGTAAAGAAAAATTTGCCACTGTAATTGTGGATTTGTTAATTTCTTGCAATTCTGTCAATGACATTTTTGCTTTACATGTACTGAAGAGGTATTGTAAATTACATATAGAGTCAGAATTGCTACATCTTTTTGGTACCAACATGGAGAAACCCCGTCTCTACTAAAAATACAAAGTTAGCCAGGCGTAGTGGCGCATGCCTGTAATCCCAGCTATGCGGAAGGCTGAAGCAGGAGAATCGCTTGAACCTGGGAGGTGGAGGTTGCGGTGAGCCGAGAATGCACCACTGCACTCCAGCCTGGGCAAAAAGAGCAAAGCTCCGTCTCAAAAAAAAAAAAATTCCTTTATCGTTTACTTAAAAAAATCTTAGGCCGGCCGGGCGCGGTGGCTCACGCCTGTAATTCCAGTATTTTGGGAGGCCGAGGCGGGTGGATCACCAGAAATCAGGAGTTCGAGACCAGCCTGATCAACACGGAGAAACCCCATCTTTATTAAAAATACAAAATTAGACAGGCGTGGTGGCGCATGACTGTAATCCCAGCTACTCGGGAGGCTGAGGCAGGAGGATGGCGTGAACCCGGGAGACGGAGCTTGCAGTGAGCTGAGATCGCGCCACTGCACTCCAGCCTGGGCGACAGAGCGAGACTCCGTCTCAGAAAAAAAAAAAAAAAAAAGGAAACAAAAATCCTTCAGTGGCTTCGTATGAGAAAGAATAATATCCAAACATTTTACCACAACACTTAGAATGACTTGGCCCATGCCTGCTTCGCCAATCTCCTCTCATAAACTTAAATACTTATGTTTAACTTTATAGGAAATTACCAAACTGTTCCCTGAAATGGTTGTACGATTTTGCATTCCCACCAGCAATGTATGAAAGTTCCAGTTATTCTGCAACCTCACTAGCACCTGACATTGTCTTTTTATTTAATTTAAACTATTTGAGCAGGCATGAGGTGGTGTCTCATTGTCGTTTTAATTTGTAAATGACTAATGAAGTTGAGAATCTTTTCGTGTACTAATTTGCCATCTGTATATCTTTTTTATAAAGTATCTGTTCAAATCTTTTGCCCTTTTCTTTACTGGGTTGTTAGCTTTCTTATTATTGAGGTTAGAGAGTCTTTTATATATTCAGGTTACAAATATTTTATTAGACATATGTTTTGCAAATGTTTCTTCCCAGTATGTGGCTTGTCTTCTCATTTTCTCTATCTTTCAAAGAGCAGAACTTTTTTGTTTCGTAAAATCCAGTTTATTAATTTTTCCTTTTCTACCCAGCCTTTTAATCCCATTTCTTCCCATCCTATTCTATCAGTCTTCTTTCTCTGTCTTCAGTCATGTATAATTCTCCCACTTTTTGCAAAAATCTTCACCTTTCCTCATTATCACTGTTCTTTTTCCCCTTTATTTCCCTGCCAAATATTTGAAATGAATGTCTACAAAAGCCTCCAATTCTTTACTATTTAGACATTCCTTAAAGTCCTAAAATTTTTGCTTTCATTTATACCACACTACCAAAACTAACCTCTTGATGTCACCAAAAAGCCTCTTACATGTCCACTCTAATAATATTTTCTAACCCTAATTATCCCCTATTTCCTTTTGGCATTGAAATAGCTGATGAATCCTTTCTTCTATTTTTTTTTTTTGTTTGTTTAGACAGAGTCATACCCAGGTTGGAGTGCCGTGGCGCCATCTCAGCTCACTGCAACCTCCACCACTCAGGTTCAAGTGATTCTTGTGCCTCAGCCTCCCGAGTAACTGGGACTACAGGTACATACCACCACACCTGGCTAATTTTTGTATTTTTACTACAGATGGGGTTTTGCCATGTTGGCCAAGCTGGTCTCGAACTCCTGGCCTCAAGATATCTGCCCGCTTTGGCCTCCCAAAGTACTGGGATTATAGGCGTGAGCCACCACACCCAGCCCTAAAAATTATTTTTTAACCTCTCATTTTTGACATTCCTCAAAAGCTGATCTAACCCCTATGATATTCCCTTGGGAATTAATTCAAATATTATTTAATATCATGTAAATAAGGGGTTTTGGTCTTTGGTTTATTTTACAGATCAGGGTCTCATTGTGTTGTCCAGGCTGGTCTTGAACTCCTGAGCTAGCTCATGATCCTCCTACCTCAACCTCCCCGGTAACTGAGTCTACAGGTGTGCACCACCAAGTCAGGCTTAAGGGTTTTTTTGGTGAATAAATTTAAGGTTTTGTGTTGTTCTGAAGTCAGACTGAAGTAGCAAATATGAAATAGGTGTTAAATTACTTACAGGAAATTAGTTCCCTTAAATGAGTTGAATATCATCATTTATTTTTTAAATGACATCATTGTTTTTTTTAAAACCTGAATTCCCAATGAGAGAAATTTCAGCAGAACACATAACTGATTTTTATTATAAACTCTAAATTACTGGAGTCCAAATGAACAAAATTTACTCATTTTTTTCATTAATTATAAAATATGTATTATATATTAGGAAGAAATACAATCCAGGAACAATTTCCTAGGAGAGGGAGTATAGTTATTAGGATCACAAAGGGTTTTTTCTAATATTTATTAGGTAGAGAAACTGAAATATAGTAAAATAGATTTTTCCCCTACCTAAAGTAAAATTATAAAAAAGACATTTCAGTTTTGATTTTGCCTCATTGGAACCATAATTAGCAGTGGTTTCATCCTTCTCAGGTACTCCCCCATCTACCATCCTTTCCTTCTCATTCACCTTCTCTTTCTTTTTCCCCTTTTTATTTCCTCTAATTAGTAAAATGACCAGAAATATGACTAAATTAAGTTATTGAGCTTCTCCCTATTCTAGGTCAAAGTAATTACTTCTCGTTATTCCAGCTGGTTCTTCTGCTGGCTTCCATTTATCTGCTGAAAAGTCTGTTTTCAGATGGACAGCTCCTGCTTTCTTCTTCTTGGGCAGAGCAAAAGAGAGCAATGGCTGAGATTTCCTGATTCATTAGTGTCACAAAGTCAGGCTAGGAAAATCTGTGCTCTGGAATCCTCCATGTCTCCATTGTGGGGATATCAGTGCATTCTGAGCACATTGAGAGGGAGCAGAATATAGGAGAAAGAGCTTTGGAGTTAAAAAGACCCGAGTTCAAATCAATCCTGACTACCACTTAATAGCCACATGACCAGAAAGGCAATACATTCTTCGAGCATGTCTCCTCATCTGTGAAAGAGAGATAGATGATAATGTCTATTTTAACAGGAACCATGAGTAAGGAATCTGACACTTAGTACATACTTAGTACGGTTTAGTCTCTTCCTCTACTCTCCCACAATAATTCCTTTAGTTGAGAATGGCTCTTTAAAATGTCATCCCTGGCTGGGCGTGGTGGCTCATGCCTGTAATCCCAGCACTTTGGGAGGCCAGGAGTTCAAGACCAGCCTGGCCAACATGGCAAAACTCCAACTCTACTAAAAATACAAAAATTAGCCGAGCATGGTGGCACACACCTGTAGTCCCAGCTACTCAGGAGGCTGAGGCCCGAGAATTACATGAACCCAGGCAGTGGAGGTTTCAGTGAGCCAAGATTGTGCCACTGCACTTCACCCTGGGCGATAGAACGAGACTCCATCTCAAAAAAAAAAAAAAGTCATCCCTTCTTGGTGTACTGACACAAAGCCAATCCCTTGGCACTTCCCATGGGATACACTGATGTGATAGTGAGATAAGGAGATATACTGTCCCTTGAATATATTTGTGTTTTTAAAAACTTTTGGGGTAGGAATTTTTGATATGGCAAGGAAAGTGCTAGTCGTGGTTTCTACATTGTGTTATGCAGACTCTAAAAGTTCTATGAAGCATCTCAAGAAGTTTCCAAAAGCATATAGTAATGGAAAACATATTTCATTTCTGCCTGCTTTATGACTTCCAGACCCCACTCTGACAATAGATATATTGGTCATCAACACTCAATTGTACTACTTTTTGTAGAAAGAGCATACAGGGTCCTATGAAGATCATACAGCAAGTGTTAAGTCTATAAACAAAATTCAAGGCACCTGGTTAATTATTTTCTTTTGTCCTGAAGTATTATAATATGTTATGTGAAATAAGTGGAACTTTAATTTAAATCTGAAACTCTTTTGTCAAAGTAAGAATACACATAATCTTGATTTGTTTTGCTTTGGGGTTTTTAATTTGTTTGTTTTTGAGAAGGGGTCTCCCATGTTGCCCAGGGCTCAAGTCATTGTCCCGAGTAGCTGAGACTACAGGTGCATACCACCAAACCCAGCATATACATAACCTCAACCCAGCAATTATAGTTCTGGGAATCTCTCCTAGAATATACTCACACATGCATACAAATATCTATCTACCTATATCTATTTATCTATCTATCTATGTAAAAGCATACTTATTGCAGCCTGTTTGCACTAACAGAAGACCAGAATAATTGGTTAAATATCATAGAATATGATTGGTTAAATATCATAGAATATCCTTCCCATATAACAAAATACTATAAACCAATTAAATAATAAATAATTATTAAATAAATAGCAATTATATGCCCAGAACCTTCTTAAGTGCTGAATAAGAATAAAAATAAGTATAAGCCATGGTTCTTGTCCTGAAGGAGTTTACACCCTGTTTAGGTAGAGTCAAAGATG